>NC_000015.10:100704335-101342762 GCF_000001405.40 Homo sapiens
TTGTGCCTGAGGTTCTCATGTTCCCAAATCCTCCTCACAGCTCTGTGAACCGGGCCTGGTGGAAGTCTTCCTTGAACCTCAGAGGAGCGGTGGGGCCTGCCATAGCCATTTGGCTGGCAGAAGGGGGGAAGCCATGCTGTGAGCCAAGGTCTCTCATTTATTATTCCATGTGATGGGCGCTGAGCTGGAGCTGGGGACGCCTACCCCTGAAGAAGACAAGATTCCCCAAGCCTGGAACCCATGAGAGCAGCAGATCTAGTGTGGGGCCCCAGGATCACCTGCATGAAGATCACCTGGTATGTTTATGAAAATGTTCATTCCTGGGCCCCAGATTGGAATCTTGGTCGTGGAACCAGGTGACCTGCTGTTTATCATGCTGCAGGTGATTTTGTGCACACTGGCATTTGAGAACTTTTGGGACTCTTGTGGGAGAGACTGGCTGGTTGACAAAGGATTACAATAGGAAGTGATAAATCCAATGTGGATGAGGTTCCAACCTGCTCTGGGAGAAGACATGAAGGAGTGGGGTGACTCAGGCTGATGTCACAGAAGTCGATGTTGGAGTTGGGCCTCAGAGGATGAATAAGGGTTCATGGGCTAGAGGACTAGAAGAAGAGTGTTCCAAAAGGGAGGGACGTAGTGGTGAAAAGTACAATGGTAGGAAACAGCATTACCTGGTGTGGGATAGAAAGTGGCTTGGTGTGGTTGAGGCAGGAGGTGAAGGGCATGGATGTTTAGAGGATGGTGCAGGCTGGCCAGGGGAAGTCAAGCCAAATAGGCAGAGGCCAGACTATGCATGTCCAAACAGTGTACCATCGGGTGGTACAGGCTCTCAAGCTGTCCTGGGGCTCTGGAGGCAGAGAGGAGGTTGGATGGGACGGAAAGAACCCACCAGAGCGGAGCCAAGAGCAAAGGCCATCATCACGCTAAGGGCAAGGCCAAGTGCAGGCCTGATGGGAGGTTCTCTGCGTGGAAAGATGCGGCAGGGCTCAAGGGAAATAGGGAGACAGAAGCCAGGGGCCTCAGAGAGGACAAGCTATGAGGAGTCAACATCTCTGGCTGAGGCAACTGAAAGTGGTGATGCTGTTATCCTGGCCAGAGACAGCGCAGGGGAACTTGGGAGAGAGGTCAGCTAAAGATAATCAGAGAATCCTACTTTGGGAGGGAGTCCCAGGAGGAAGCTGGGCATGCCGATAGGGAATAAAGAAGCAGCCAGGAGGTCTTTATTGAGCAGCTGTTTGTGCCCAGGCTGCGGCTCGCCGGCTATGGGCACTCTTGAAATCTTGGGAGCCCAGCTGTGTGGGAGGGAAGAGGGGGACTCATGGTTGTGATGAGCTAACCTCATCACAGGAATCCCTCTGCCATCTTTAATGGAGATAAAATGTCAATGTGAAGGGCCCTCCGTGCCTTCCCAGTGCTAAGGCTCACACAGACCATGGAGCCCAGCGACCTGGAGCAGCTGTCGTAGGTGCACCCTTTGCACACCTCCATGTCAGGAGAAGTTCTCTTCGCGCTGCTGCTCTTCTGGAGTGGAGTCTGCGGACCTTGAAGTGGACCAGGCAGCCACAGAAAGGGAGTCGGGCTACGGAAATGTCTGCTCACTCCCATTTATCTTGCAAGTGCTGGGAAGGCTCTGGCCGGCCCTCAGTTCTTGGCGACAGGGTGAATGAGGAAGGGGAGGGCCGGCACCTTCTGGGCAGCAGATAAGTAAGGTGCTAGAGCCATGGCCCTGCCAGGGTGAGCGGCCACCCAGCTTCATCCCCAGAGCTTGTTGGTGACTGGGGCTTTCAGAGCTGAGCTGGCAAGAGTTCTGGGGAGCCCTGTGGAGGCCCCCACTCAATCTCCTCACCAGAGATGTAGCGGAGATCCCCGCCTTCTCTGGAGGTGGGTGAAGGTCCCTTCATTCAAAAGTGACCTTCCTAGGCCAGGCAGTGTCTGAGGGCCTCATAACGCTGGCCACTCCACCATATGCCTTCCACACTGGGTGCTCACCCTGTCCATATGCTACCAATGCTCACCCTGTCCATGCGCTACCAATGCTCACCCTGTCCATGCGCTACCAATGCTCACCCTGTCCATGCGCTACCAATGCTCACCCTGTCCATGCGCTACCAATGCTCACCCTGTCCATGCGCTACCAATGCTCACCCTGTCCATGCGCTACCAATGCTCACCCTGTCCATGCGCTACCAATGCTCACCCTGTCCATGCGCTACCAATGCTCACCCTGTCCATGCGCTACCAATGCTCACCCTGTCCATGCGCTACCAATGCTCACCCTGTCCATGTGCTACCAATGCTCACCCTGTCCATGTGCTACCAATGCTCACCCTGTCCATGTGCTACCAATGCTCACCCTGTCCATGTGCTACCAATGCTCACCCTGTCCATGTGCTACCAATGCTCACCCTGTCCATGTGCTACCAATGCTCACCCTGTCCATGTGCTACCAACCACAGAGAGACCCCCACCCGTGCCAGCTGACCCAGGGCTCTGTGACGTCTTCTTTGGACCTGTGGACAGGCTCTGCCCCTAAAACTGAAGTTGAAGTCTTAATGCTTTAGTACTTTAGAACTTGCCCTAATTGTTTGGAAATAGAGTCATTGAAGATGCAATTAGTTAAATTAGGAAAAGGCCATACTGGAATAGAGTGGGCCTCTAATCCAATATGACTGGTGAACTTATAAAGATGAGAAACTTGGATACAGACACGCACACAGGAAGAATGCCAAGTGAAGATGAAGGCGGGGGTCTACCAGACGAGGAACACCAAAGATAGCCAGCAACCCACCAGGAGAGAGACAGGCCTGGGACGGATTCTCCCTTATGGCCCCTAGAAGGAACCAGCCCTGCTGACACCCTGATCTCAGACTTGCAGCTTCCAGAACCGTGAGATGATAAACATCCTTTGTTTAAGCCACCCTGTCTATGGTATTTGTTCTGGCAGCCCCAGGAAACTAAAGCAAGCTCCATTATGCGTGACACAAGCAGAATGTCTAAGAGCCCTGAGCCTCCAGGAGGCAAGAAGGGAGTTTCTTGTTGATCCGCTGAGAAGGGTGAGGCTGCTGCCTTTTGTGATAGGAACATGCCAGGAGACCTGTTTGGAGGCTGCCACAAGAATGCAAGCAATAGAGAGGTTGGTGTTTGGATTGGCTGGTGGCAATGAGGATCAAGAGAAACGGGTGGACTGGGAAGAATGCTCAGCATCGCTAATCACCAGGAAACACAAACCAAAACCTCAAAGTGATAGCATCTCACACCTGTCAAGATAGCTATTACCAAAGCCCAAAAGATACGTGTTGACAAGGGTGTGGAGAATTTAGAACCCTCACACACTGGGTAGGAATGCAAAATGGTGCAGCCACTCTGGAAAACAGTATGGAGATTCCTCAAAAAAGTAAAAATGGACCTATTATGATCCAACAATCCCACTACTGGGTATTTGTTCTAAAGAACTGAAATCAGGATCTTGAAGAGACGTCTGCGCTCCTCTGCCATTGCAGCATGAGTCACACTAGCAAAGATGTGGAAACAACCTAAGTGTCTTCAAAGAATAAATAGATAAAGAAAATGTGGTATAGACACATGAGGGAATATTATTCAGTCTTGAAAAAGCTGAAAATACTGCTGTCTGCAACAACATAAATGAACCTGGAAGACATTATGCTAAGTGAAATGAACAAGTCACAGAAGGACAAATATTTCATGATTTTACATCTGAGATATTGAAAATAGTGAAACTCATAGAAGCAGAGAGTAGAATGGTGATTTCCAGGGGCCAGAGCAGGGGGAAATGGGGATTTGCTAATCAATAACAAAGAGTTTCAGTAAACCAAGATGATTACTTTTTTTTTTTTTAAAGACAGGGTCTTGCTCTGTCACCCAGGCAGGAATACAGTGGTGTGATCCTGGCTCACTGCAACCTCTGCCTCTTGGGCTCAAGTGATTCTCCTGCCTCAGCCTTCCAAGTAGCTGGGACTACAGGTGCACGTCATCATGACTGACTAATTTTTGTATTTTTGGCAGAGATGGGGTTTCACCATGTTGCCCAGGCTGGTCTCAAGCTCAAGCAATCTGGCTGCCTCCGCCTCCCAAACTGTTTGGATTACAGACATGAGCCACCTCACCTGGCCTATACATGGTATTTTAAAAGTGCAGGTCACATATTTATTATTCTTATTGCAAAAAAATACATTTATAAGAAGATCTGTGTAGAGGAACTAACTTTGGCCAAGCCATGGAGGTAAGCCAGATGGATGAGCCATTTATGGAGATGCGAAAATACCGGAGGCAGATTAGGTTGGAGGGGAAGATCAAGAGTTAAGATTTTGGCTACACTGAGTTTGAGGTGCCAGTGAGATATTAAAGGACATTAGTCCATTGGGCAGTTAGTGAGATCAGACTGGAAGGTCCAAGGAGAAGTCTGGGGCAGACACATCATGACAGGTCATCAGAGGATGGGGATAGTCACAGCCATGGAGCAGCTGGGAAGGGTCAGGAAACTGCTAATGGACAGAGCCCAGCAGGGGATGAGGAGAACAAGGTCCAAGCCTGAAGGGATGCCAGCATTGGCCAGAAGGATAGAGAGGCCCAGGCCAGTAAAGGAGACCAGGACAGCGTAGTAGCCAGAGGGGTGGGAGGAAAACCAGGCAGGGGCTGGGCTGGAGAGTGTCTCAGAGAGACCACAGGGTGGACTGTGTAGAATTCTGCTGAGAAGTTGAGTTGGCTGAAAGCAGAAATGTGCCAGGGGGAGTTAGTGGTTCCAACCACTGGTGACATGAGTAAGAGCGACATTGATGGAGGGGTGGAGGCAGGGTCCAGGGCAGTGAGCTGAGGTGTTGGAGGGAGAAGAGGGCCTGAGATGCAGAGGGTGGGCACATCACTCCAGTAGACCACTGGTTTTGCTTCAACTTTTCTTGCCCAGATCAGTAAACATTCAACAGTTACTCCACAAACACGAATGGGACACACACCATTTCTTGATTGCTGTGTTGGCCCAGGAGATCACTATTATTCCCTGCTTTAGGGAGCTTCCAGACAAGTGGGGAAATCAGAAATGGAGACAGATGATTACAGTATTGGAGAAGGAGTGAGGAAGGAGTAGAGAGGGGCTGACCACATTCACCTTGGAAGATGTGTAAGGAACCTTTATTCTTATCAGCAGAATAAGGGTTTTTAAGGCAGAGAAAGGGAAGCAAGAGCCAAAGAGGTGGTTCAGTATCCACTTTTCCCTGAGGAGCCCCAGCAAGTTATGGGAAACTCTATTCTTCCTCTAGATGTGGCTCAATACCCATTTATATTAAAGGCTGTGACAAAGCTTACAGTAAACATAAGCATTTAAGTTTTTTAACTCAGCATTTTCCAAATATGATCAAGACTCTTTCTTTTAGGGCACATTTGGGAAAGTCTGGGGGCATGTGGTAAGAAGTCATTGCAGGCTTTAAGCCCTCTAGAAAGGTCACTGTAACAGCTGTGTCTAGGCCAGATGGGAGGAGAGGAAGATGAAGAGTGCAGAGCTGGATATGGCAAGATTGACATAGGGGCAGACTCTAGAGAATTTAGGAGAAAGAATCACTAAAAGTAGGTGACCTGACCCAGTAGGAGTGTGTGCATGTGTGTGTGTGTGTATGCACACAAAGTTTTGTGTATGTGTGTGTGGTGTTGGAGGTGGAGGTGGAGGTGGTGGTGAAGACTGTGGAGGTGATGGAGGTGGAGGTGGTGTTGGTGGTGGTGGTGGTGGTGATGGAAGCTAGAGGTGACAATGATGGTGATGGTGGTGGAAGAGAAGCTAGAGGCGAAGATGAGGCAGTGGAGGTGATAGTGGTGGAAGAGAAGCTAGAGGCGAAGATGAGGCAGTGGAGGTGATGATAGTGTTGATGTTGTTAGTGGTAGAGGTGGAGGTAAAAGTAGTGTAGGTGGAGATGGTGGTGGTAGAAATGGAGGTGAAGGTGGAGATTATGATGGTGTTTATATTGGAGGTGGTGGTGGAAGTTGTGATGGTGGTGGTGGAGGTGGAGGTGGAGGTGGAGGTCATGATGGAGGTGGAGGTGGTGGTGGAGGTCATGGTGGAGGTGGAGGTGGAGGTGGAGGTCATGGTGGAGGTGGAGGTGGAGGTGGAGATGATGATGGTGTTTATATTGGTGGTGGTGGTGGTGGCAGAGGTAAAGGAGGTAAAAGTGGTGACGATGGTGGAGGTGGAGGTGGTGGGTGTGGGGATGGGGGTGGAAATGGGGGTGAAGGTGGAGGTTGAGGTCATGGAGGTGTTCGTACAGGTGATGGTAGAGTGGTCATAGGGGAGGTGGTGATGATGAGTGCAGGACATAGTAGGAATTTCTGATTCGTGTCTGCATGGATTCATCATGATAGAGAATGTAGAATGATGGTAGGTTTGAGACCAGGATGGAAGTTAAAAAATAGCTCATTTGGACATGCTGAGTTTGATCGCAGAACAGACACAGGATGTCCTGAAGAACTACCATGTAGGAACTGAGGCTCAGGGGAGGGTTCTGGGCTGGAAACACGGACTTGGGAGTCAACAGCCACAGAAATGGACGGAACCCCTGGAAAAGTGAGCAGAAGGAAAGACAGGTTGATGTCGGGCCCAGGTTACGATGTGCTCTTTAAGCTCTAGTAGGAAGGGGCAGTTGTGCCTCTGAAGTGTTAAATCTATCGGAAAATTCCTGAGTATAAGATCCAGCGGTGCAGTTGCTCATGCTCTTGCGGGAAGGAGTGCCAACCCAATTCCATCTGAACCAGGATCGGCCTACCCACTGCTATTCCTCACCGTGGTCATCACCGCCTCCTCCACAAGCACCATCACCACAAGCTCTACCATCTCCACCATTGCCGCCACCTCCACCTCCACCCCTACCTGCCCTGTTGTCATGGACCTAAGGGATTAGGTGCATGCTTTCGTCCCAGTTGCTCATAAGCAGCCACTTGGTGGAGAAAGATGTGTGTGCAATTTGGGAATGGCAGAACCTGTATCTTGGATCCCTTGACTGATCTTGGGTTGACAGTTAAGAGGGCTGGGCTTGTCTCTGCAGATGGCTGTGTTGCTTCCATGCTAACTGGGCTTGGGTTCGGATTATACGGTTTCCCTTCCTCAAAGCCCTTCAGGCTGCACTGCCCTCAGCACAGCGTTAGTAGCTCTGGCACCTTGGGTTGTTAGATAAATGTTCCAGCAACTCGAATGCAGCCAAAGACCACAAGCTGCAGGATGCCTGGCACGTATCTGGCCTCTTCAAACTTTGATAAATGAAGTGCCCATGTCTCACCGTCAGGAGGGAAGGCTGGGGTTGTTGGGGGTGGGGTTCTGTGCATCTGGGTTTGCATATGGCGTATGAGTGGCTTGTGATATACTTGGAGAGATCACAGGAAACAAGCCAGCAAGCACACAGACATTGCAGCCATTGCGTTGAGGCTTTAATTACAGAAGGCAGAGTTTGTTTTAAGCTAAAGCAGTTGTGCTTGGCTCTAACTTGTGTGTGCAATGTCCAGGCTTCAGAAGAGCCAAACGTCTTGAAAATCCCTAGTAGGAAGACAGAGCTGAGGCACAGGTTGGGACTTACGTCATCCTACGGTAACAGGGAAAAGGCAAGAGCTTCAAGCGGTGCCTATGGGGTGGGGGGAGCTGCTTTGTCCAGGCTACTGCCAGCTCCTTCTTGATCCCCATTAGAGAAAAGACCTTCCCCAGACACCCCTTTCAGAGCCCCCTGTTCCAGATAAGTAGATATCCAGGGTGACTTGGACCCCTTCCATTCCTCCCTGAAGTGCATCCTCCACTGTCAGCTTTCACAATGGAGCTGCTGATTTGTCAAAGGCAAGGAGAGATGGTTGTTTGGTATTTATGTAGAAAACAAAAACAGGCCAACCAAACCCTCTAGTTTGCATGAGTGGTGTCCTCCTGGCCTTGCTGGTGCTGATGGGGTTTGGCCTGCTGAGGTTCTGTGCCTGCAGTGCTCGAAGGAGCAGGCGAAACTTTGCCAGACTCCATCCCCACCACACCCCGTAGGCCACAGCCGGAGGATCCTCTCTCCAGGCTCTGACGTCACTCGCCCCCAATGTCCAGCTCCCAGGCAGCTTGAGAATGTGCATAAGCCTGCATGTTGGGCCTGAAGCCCAGGGAAGCGGGTGGGGTCCCAACCAGACCACATTCTGGTCTCCCCTGAGGCCACTGGTGCCCACCCGGCCAGGCCCAGCCTTGCTCCATCTGAGGGCTGTGTGGGAGAAGCTGGAGTGGGCATGGCTGTGTGGGCCAGGGAATTTCTGGAATGGTCTCCAGAACTCCTGCATGGACAGAGACCTGACCCTCACCGGCAAATGGAAGCAAGATGACCTTGTAGCAGAAAACGGGCCTCTGCTTGGTTCCTGTTGGAAGCCTCTTCCAGCTGTGGCATTTACTTATTTATTTAGACAGAGTCTGGCTCTGTCGCCAGGCTGGAGAGCAGTGGTGCGATCTCGGCTCACTGCAACCTCTGCTTTCTGGGTTCAAGCGATTCTCCTGCCTCAGCCTCCCGAGTAGCTGGGACCACAGGCGCCTGCCACCACGCCCAGCTAATTTTTGATTTTTGGTAGAGACAGGGTTTCACCATGTTGGCCAGGATGGTCTCGATCTCCTGACCTCGTGATCCACCCGCCTCAGGCTCCCAAAGTGCTGGAATTACAGGCGCGAGCCACTGCGCCCGGCCTATTTAATTTTTTAAAAAGGAAATGAAGATGAAGTGGTTTTAACAGACCTGCTTCTATTTAAATGGATTTCCAACTACCTCCCTCCCTGGGCAGCGTTTCCCGCAGCCGGCCTCACATACGAATCTCAG
Organism: Homo sapiens; assembly: GCF_000001405.40. Classification (NCBI taxonomy): domain Eukaryota; kingdom Metazoa; phylum Chordata; class Mammalia; order Primates; family Hominidae; genus Homo; species Homo sapiens. The sequence continues at coordinate 100,713,155 of NC_000015.10, forward strand.
TGGAGTATTTGGTCGACCGCATTGTACTAGGAATCTCTGGATGCTAGAGTTTACGGTGTGATCATTTTGGGGTTCCTGGCTCCTGCCTGTCCCCCACGGCTGGCCAGCAAGCCTCATGGCCTGGTTGAAGGAGCAGAAGCCTCGCTGTCAGACAGACCTGCGTTCCTGTACTGGTTCAGCTGTGGAGCCCGGGCAGGGAGCCTCGCCTGGTCTGTTTATCCGTGTCTAAGTTGGGGATGGGCATGCTTATCTGGGAGGCTGGCATGCTGATAAATTAAATGCCATTGTATAGGCGCAGCTCCGGCAGGCCCCAGGCACCTCGTGCACTTTATAACGCTGGCCTTGGCACGGAAGGGGCTCAAAGCTGCCTGAAGCCTGAAATTCCCTCAGAAGGATTATTCCTGGTTTCATAACTGCCTATCAGGAAGCTGCTCCTACAATGGTGTTTTATCATTCTTCCTCCCATCTCGCCAGCCAGGCCTATTCATAACCCCAGAGGATTCCTCTGCAGTGACTCACCCACCATGCTCCTCTCCCTAGGAGACTTCATCCTCACGCTACCTGAATCACCTGCTGGTATCGTGGCCTGGGCTCACCTGGTGGCCTGGCTCTCACCTTGGCCGGCCCTGCCCAGGTGCCTGCCGGTGCCGCCAGCCCAGGCACGATAGGATTCTGCCAGCTGGAGAGGCAGACGGAAGCCAAAGAGGGCTAGGAAAAACCGAGTCCCAACATGAGGCCAAGGTTGGCAATTATCTATCTAGATGGACACTTCAGCCCAAACCACAGTGGGCAGCTCAGGGAAGGGCTGGCATGACTTGAAATGAAATGACATCTAAGGCTCTCTCCTGGCTGGCAGATCCACTGGGATGTTCCTTCAGCCAACAGGGTACCAGGCAGTGGTCAGGGAATGGGATTTGAGGCCAGGTCTACCCAGGCCCCCTGGGAGCACGTGCAGGTGATTCTGAGGTCCCAATGGCGCTACCCTTTCAACAATCCGTGAGGTCCCTAGCAGGCTGTATGGAGAAAGGCCCCCAGTGAGGCCTCCTCTCTCTTCAGAGGGCAAGGCTGGCTGCTAGGACAGCTACAGAGAGAAGGGCTCTGTTGGCCTTGCAGGCAGCTCGCCTCACTAGCTAAGCATCACTTGGCCAGGCTGTGTGGCACTCATTTCAGGTGGGAGATCGTGTCTGGTGTCCCCTGCTTCCCTTTGCACCATCCCTTCCAGCCTCGAGGCTTCAGCCTAGAGACCCTCAATGGCTTTCCTCTTTCCTCCCACAAAATGCTCTGAAAAAGGCAGCAAGAAAAGCCCCTGCCTGGTAGGAAGGAGGTGGCAGGCATGAGGGGGAATCAGCATTTTAAGCCTTGTCTTTTCTGCACAACACTTAGCTTCCCTCCCTGCACAAGACGTAGGGCCTGTCCCAGGGAGAGAGTTCCCTGGCATCTGCCCCAGGGTCAGAGGCTGGGGAGTGTCCTCTGGGCTCACCTCGGTACTCCTCAGACCCGGCGTCTGACCAGCCATGCTCCCGCGGGCACGGCCATTCAGCTTCTTCCACCTCTCTGTCTTCCTGCTTTAAAGAACCATGTTTAAACATTCAGGTGAATTTAAATTGATATTATCTCAAGAACTTCACATGACCCTTGAGAGGACTTGAGGGGTGTTGCAAAAATGGAATCTAGTTGCTGCCACCCTGGGAACCACGGGAGCAGCCCCGGGAGACAGACCCCTCCCGGCAGGCCCTCGCCATGGGGATGCTGGGGGTGGCAGGGTCTGCCTTCCTTGTGTTCTTTATCTTAACAGAAAAACGTGGAAGAAAGGACACTAAAGTTTGCCAGGCACCTACTCAACATGTTTAAGTGACTGGCCCATTTACATCTTTCAATGTCCCTCCCAGCAGGTATAATAACCACGGCCAACAACAACTGGCAAGAGTGAAGTGCTTGCTGTGAGCAAAGCCCTGTTTTAAGCCCTGCGTGAAATCAGTTGCTCGCTCCTCTGAACAAACACATGGCAGGTTCTTCAGTGCTCTTCAGTTTACAGGAGCGTTAGGTGACACACTCTGACACAGGGGAGGTGGCAGTGCTGGAATTCGGCCCCCGGCCATCTGGCTCTGTCTGAGCGCTCGACCCCTTCATAGCTCTCTCGTCAAGTGGCTGAGTCAGGATTTGAACCCAGATCTTGCTGAGGTTTTAAATTCTGTCACGCTGCCTCTCAGGAATAAGGAACATTGTCTTTCTATTGTCCTCCCAGCCTCTGCTGGAGAAGTGACAGGTCCCAGCTCAGAACATCAGGTTCTGGGGGTGCGAATGAATGGCAGGTGGAAAGGGACCGGAGGAGGGGCAGGACTTAGTGGGGAAGGGGCTTCTGTGCTTGTGCTGCCCCCTGGCCCACGGCAAGACCCCTAGCTTTTACTGTGCTTGTTAACTCAGAGGCTCCTGGAAGGATCAGTTGCCCTGATGCTGAGAAATGGGCTGGGCAAGGCAGGGGCAGGTCCCCAAACAGCTTCGCATACCACAGGCATGGGCGAGAGGCCACTGAACTTCTCTATGAAGCTGCAGCCAAGCAGGTGGCTCCGTGTCCCCTCTTCTTCCCCATCACCCCTCCCTTGACCGTCAGTGTGAGAGTTTGTTGAGGCGCCCGTCTCCCAACCAGCCCAGAAGACAGAAGGCCTGGTTCGATCTCACATGCTGGCACAGAGCCCAGCAATCAGTAAATGTTTGTTGAAAGAATTAATGAAACTTGAGTGTTTACCAGACAGAGGCCATTGACCCCTGGTTGGAGGCCCATCAATCTGACCTTCTGTCTTCGAGTGGGGACCTGGTTAATTATTCTCAGGAGACCCAGTGGCCCTTGGCACTGAATCCCTGGCTTCTTGACTGTCAATGACAGGGCTGGCCTGGCCTGTGGCCACTGGCCTTAGGAGCAGGAGGCCGAGCAGCCAGGGCTGCTTTCCCATCGCTGTCTCAGCTGCTCCCGCTGGCCTTCTGCTCAGGCTGGTGTCTCCTTGGCCGGCTCCCTGCTTCTCAGCTCATGCCTCCAGCCTTCTGGACTCTAGGATCACATGTGGCTGCCCACCTCGGACAGGGTTGACTAGAGGTGAAGAGGTGCCATGCACTCCAGGAGAAGAGCTGACTGGATCCTATACTCAAAGAATGGGCCACGGATCCCTACCTGTCCACTGTTTGTTACTGGGCTGGGAAGCTGCAAGACCCGATGCTGGGGGTAAGAGTCTAGAAACATTTGAGCACTTTGACACTGACACGATGCCCAACAGGGATCCATAGACTTGACTTTCTGAGCCACTCGGGCAGAGATCAGTTCAGTAAGGACGTTCACCTCAGATGGCAGGGTAGGCACTGGGTTAGAAGAGGAGGCCTCAGAAATGCATTTTCCCTGAAGGTCTCTTCTGCCCCTTCCTCGATGAAATCCCATATTGAGGCGGTTCCAGGTTCTTATTCCAGCTCCGTCACCTGCTAGCCATGTGGCCTTGAGTGAGTTCCTGAGTGCTTTGGTTTCCCAACTGCTGGCTATCCTGAGAGTTAATTGAATTAACATAGAACCAGGCCTGGACAATAGTAAGCTGTGTACTAGTGTCTGTTCTTGTCATTCAGGAGCATGTCCAGCTCTGTCCCAGGCACTCAGAGGCACAAACTCTACTTGAGACGCAGGCCTTCACGTTGCCCTTTGGGAAGCAGGACGTGTATGCATTGGGACAGTGCTGTAGAGCAGGACCCAGCAGAGGAGGTGCTGCAGAAGGACGCATGGTTTGTGAGCCAGCATCCTTCTCTGTGACTCCTCAGAGGGGCCGAGAGAGAGAGATGGGCATCGGAGATGGATCAAGTTGGGAGTGTGCAACACAGTGTTGAAACTGGAGTAAATATGGTTTTTGAAGGGGACTAGAGGGAATTGGTCTCTTTGATGTGTGTGTTTCTATTAAGGAGCCTGGAAAAATATCAGATAGGGCCCAACTATGGAATTATAAATGCCAGGACTTTAGATCCCATAAGCAATGGGGTCAGGTGGAGGGCATATATGGTTTCAGTGACGTGAGCACAATGGTGATTAGGCAAATCATTAGCGGGTGAATTAGTGCTTAGCACGTAGTATGTGAATGAGCGAGTGAATGAATGAATGAATGAGTGAACTGATGCATTCATCAGAGCTCTTTGAGTTGTGAGTAAAATAATCCCTACTCAAACTGGTTTAAATAAAAATAAAGGTGGGGGGATTATTGGCCCCCATAACTGAAAGGTGCAGAAATAAGTGGATTTAGTGGCTCAAATAATGTCATCAAGACCCCCTCCCTCCCAGCTGGAGAGCGTCACATTTCCAGTAACTCCCAAGTCCTAAAATTTGGTCTTTTTGGCCTGGCTTGGGTCCTGTTCCCAAGGAAATGGAATAGGTTGTTTGGCTATACTTGAGTTGTCTTCCTGCTGTCAAGTAGCTGGGGGTACGGTCACCTTGGGCTAAGACAGGTGGAGAGTGGAGGAAGGTGAGTTGTCCATGGGGAAACCAGGAGCTATTGACAGGGGAGGAGGTGTTCTGGGAAAGCATGGATGCCAGCTCTGCATTGCAATGGGCACGCAGCTGGAGGCCACAAGGCCAGAGAGGTGCTGAAGGCTTGGATGAGCTTGGAGCTGGGGATGACAGCTTACTGAGCCACAAGGACTTTCCTGTCAAGTTATCTTGTAAAAGGCCAAAAGGTTTGAGATCAGACTGACCCAGGTTTTAGGGGTGGAGCCTCAAGGGTATCTTCTTGGTGGCAGGCCTGAAAGAAGGACTGGAGAAGGCTCAAGAATAAATGTGTGTACTTGTTTCATTGAGCTTTCCCCAGAGGGAAGAGGGAATGGACTAACAGCTCCATTTTGGTCCTGTTCCATGACAGACACCTCCTAGACTGCCAAGTGAGAGTGCCAAGGGGGCAGCTAGAATAAGAGTACGGGTGGTGAGGCAAGGTCTGGAGACATCCTGTTGGCATCCTCAGAGTACAGAAGGTATGTAAAAGCCATGAGGCTGAATGCGATCCTCTGAAAAGAGAGATGAGGAGGAGAAGGGACCCAGGGCCAAGGCAGCGCGCTGCAGTGTTGAACGTTGGTCAGACAGGGCGAGGCATGGGTGGAAAGTGCAGTTGCAGGAAGCTGAGTGGGTGACAGGCCTAGGAAGTCGGGAGGGGAAGGTATTAAAAAAGGAGGAGTGGACGGACGACTGTGACCAACGCCGATAGGGAGAAAAAAGTGTCTACTGGATTTGTGAACAAGGAAACATTGGTGGCCCTAATAAGGGAGCTTCCACGGAGCTAGGGGACAATAGTCAGGCTGGAGAGAGTTGAAGAGGTATGGATCGTGGAGGTGGGGAAATGGAGGCAGCGTGTAGACAGCCATTTTGGAGACCCTCTGTCGTGAAGGAGGGCAGAGAATGAGATGAAGAAATGGGGCGGAGGGTGTGGTTTTTTCAGGTAGAAGGTGCTGGAATCTGCATGTCCAAGGATGATCCAGTGTACAGGCTGAAGGCTATGGTGAGAGAGGGGAAGGGCCAGAGGGGCAGGCGCAGGATGCCACGAGATGAGGGCTGGGGTAGGAGAGCAGGTCACAGTTCCCAGGACTCAGACGTGCTTCCATGGGATGCAGGAAGTGAAGGGAGGTCCCTTCACTTCTAGTGTTTCACGCAGGAACCAGGAGGTGAGGGCAGCCCTGTGGGTGGACCAGGGGAGGAGACAGCATGAGATGGCCTCAGAGAGCAGAAAAGTCAACTCCAAGGAAGGGATTCGGGACCCTGAGCAATGCTGAGTGCCCCTGAGTCATGTTCTAATGGATGGAGGCAGAACCAGTCGTCCTGGTTGGGAGATTTTCTCTGGCAACAACAGCTATGTGGAGAAGGCAAATGGCTGCGTCCATTCAAGATTAGGGTCAGTCATGGGGGTATAGTACTCACAGTGCCAGGGTGGGCAGGTCAGTCATGGGGGTATAGTACTCACAGTGCCAGGGTGGGCAGGTCAGTCATGGGGGTATAGTACTCACAGTGCCAGGGTGGGCAGGTCAGTCATGGGGGTGTAGTACTCACAGTGCCAGGGTGGGCAGGTCAGTCATGGGGGTGTAGTACTCACAGTGCCAGGGTGGGCAGGTCAGTCATGGGGGTATAGTACTCACAGTGCCAGGGTGGGCAGGTCAGTCATGGGGGTGTAGTACTCACAGTGCCAGGGTGGGCAGGTCAGTCATGGGGGTGTAGTACTCACAGTGCCAGGGTGGGCAGGTCAGTCATGGGGGTATAGTACTCACAGTGCCAGGGTGGGCAGGTCAGTCATGGGGGTGTAGTACTCACAGTGCCAGGGTGGGCAGGTCAGTCATGGGGGTGTAGTACTCACAGTGCCAGGGTGGGCAGGTCAGTCATGGGGGTGTAGTAATCACAGTGCCAGGGTGGGCAGGTCAGTCATGGGGGTATAGTACTCACAGTGCCAGGGTGGGCAGGTCAGTCATGGGGGTATAGTACTCACAGTGCCAGGGTGGGCAGGTCAGTCATGGGGGTATAGTACTCACAGTGCCAGGGTGGGCAGGTCAGTCATGGGGGTATAGTACTCACAGTGCCAGGGTGGGCAGGTCAGTCATGGGGGTATAGTACTCACAGTGCCAGGGTGGGCAGGTCAGTCATGGGGGTATAGTACTCACAGTGCCAGGGTGGGCAGGTCAGTCATGGGGGTGTAGTACTCACAGTGCCAGGGTGGGCAGGTCAGTCATGGGGGTGTAGTACTCACAGTGCCAGGGTGGGCAGGTCAGTCATGGGGGTATAGTACTCACAGTGCCAGGGTGGGCAGGTCAGTCATGGGGGTATAGTACTCACAGTGCCAGGGTGGGCAGGTCAGTCATGGGGGTATAGTACTCACAGTGCCAGGGTGGGCAGGTCAGTCATGGGGGTGTAGTACTCACAGTGCCAGGGTGGGCAGGTCAGTCATGGGGGTATAGTACTCACAGTGCCAGGGTGGGCAGGTCAGTCATGGGGGTGTAGTACTCACAGTGCCAGGGTGGGCAGGTCAGTCATGGGGGTATAGTACTCACAGTGCCAGGGTGGGCAGGTCAGTCATGGGGGTGTAGTACTCACAGTGCCAGGGTGGGCAGGTCAGTCATGGGGGTATAGTACTCACAGTGCCAGGGTGGGGAGGTCAGTCATGGGGGTGTAGTACTCACAGTGCCAGGGTGGGGAGGGAGGTAAGGGTTACGATGATGGAGGAGGGTGTAAAGAAAGGGAGGGAGAAGGTGCTGAGGGTGGGGATGGGAGGACTGGGGAGAAAGTGGATTGCAGCCATGGGGACATTGAGTGGGTGAGCTGGGAGGACCCTGTGTGGCAGCCACAGAGGGGATACTGGAGATGGAGACCTTGGATGTGGGGAAGCTACTGGCAACAGCAGGGTGAGACCATGGGAGTGTTGGGGGCGGGGAGGAGGAGGACAGCTCAGGCGCTGGGGAGGTCAGGACCTGGCTCGCCATTGAGAGAGACAGTCTGCCATGTGGTGACAAGAGACGAAGCCAATGAGCAGCTCAAGTCTGCCCCGAAATGAAGGTTGATGGACCACAGCAGCGGGGAGAGGAAGCCAGTGGCCAGGAGGAATAGAGAGGTGTAGAAGCAGCCGTGGGACACTCCCAGCTTCCAACCCACCCCCAACTTTCTTACACCAGCAACCCTTCCCCTCCTTGAGAGGCTGCAGGGGAAGTGGGGCCCTCAGGGGAGGGGGCAGCCAGGTTCCCGCACAAGGAAGATTTAGAGAAGAGGTGGAGGAGATAGGAGAGTTCCAGAGAGCCTGGTGACGGGTTTGGGGTGGGGAGGGAATGAATGGGGAGTCAGGTCACATTAAGGAACAAATGAATGAGCTGCCAGTGAATGAACCGCAGCAGTGCCACGCTGGTTAACTGGGAAGAGGAAATGTCAGTGCTGTCATGCTGTACGCATTCCACACCATTGTTCATTGTTGCTATGCTGGTGCCAGCAGGGCGGTGGGCAGATGGGTCTTGTGTGTGTGTGTGTGTGTGTGTGTGTGTGTGTGTGGCGTGATGTGCCTCACCGGTGTACATTTCAGTTCTTGGTAATCCTGTTTTGAGTCTCACAGAATCTATTTCCTCAAGCCGTTTGTATCCTTATTTATGTAAGTGACTAATTCTTTCATGGGTAGAGCCAAGCTTTCTGTCTCAGTTACATAGAGATACTGAGACAAATTACTCATGAACATTCCAGAAAAGATGAGTATCTACAAATTATTGAGACAGTTTCAATATGTAAATAGTATTGTTGAATACGATTTCTCACAGTTATCCAAGTTAGATTGGATACGGTAAGTGGGTAATTCCAAGCTAGTTATCCCCTTTACACATGGCATAGTGCCCCATCGTTGGGTCTTCCCAGCCTGCCATGTCCACGTGGCCGGGATGCTCCCAGGAGCTGCTGGGGAAAGGAGGGCGGGCTGCAGGCTGTGTCTTGAAGGCTGAGAATTTAACGCCGCTGCCCTCGATGTGCCATAGCTTGTTGGTAGAGCAGTGTCCATTTGAAGGGAGGTAGCTCCTGAATTTACTTTATTTTTGCAATACCCTTCTGAGGAGCTAATTGGCCCTAATAAACCTTGCAGAACATAAGCCCTGCCCAAATGGGGAGAACCACCTGCTGTCAAGAGTCAGCCAGCTGCAGTATCAGCCCCTGAAGAGGACGAGCTAGCAGTGCTGATGTCAGGGAACTTTCCACTCCTCAAACCGACAGGAACAGGACCGTGAGCACAAAACGTGAACACGGACCAGAACGAGTTGGCATGCAGGACTAGGTTGCCTTGACGACTCTGAGTTCTGACAGGGAAATACAATGAGTTTTATGTGGACAGAGTTCCACGGTCTATTGCAAAATCAATGTGCTGTTTGAATGAATCATCACTTCCAACCATTGGTCATTGGTGTCTGAATCTTGATTGCAGATGAAGCACTGAGTCATGACTGTAAAATGCCACAGTATTTATGAAAACCAAGAAGGTTTTTTATTTATCCTGACTAGCTAAATCAAGGTAGGTCATCCTAATAATACTTGTCCACACAAGTGGCAACCCCTTGCCAAAGAAATGCAAACAGAAGCCTGGGATGTTTCCAGCTCTCCTTAACTTCCTTCCCCGACCTCCCTGACACCAGCCAATGGGTCCTTTAAGAAGTGTGAGAGAGCCAGTAGATGGTAGGCCCCCGCTTCAAACTCGCCATCTTGTCCCTTGATCCAGTGACTATACCTGGAATTTGGCCTCTAAGCGAGTGTTTCTTTTTGCACTTGGACTTCTTGAGAGATTACTCATTACTCAGGAGATAACACCAAAGCATTCTCAAAACCAATCTTTGGAACTGGCTTCCAGGATTATACATGCAGGATTAGTCATACAGAAAATCCTTAAAGATAGCAAATTTGGGTCCTTTGAGAGTGTATTTGGTTTGTGAAAACAAAGCCATTGGTAACCAAGCCAAAAGCAAACATGTGATTCTAACCCATGAATTCAGAATTTTTCAGGCAGCTGACCCTAAAGACACTTTTTTCAAACAGGTGACTCCTTTTCATTAATTCATTAATCAGTTGTTGAGATAGTGAAAGAAAAAAGAAACTGAAAGAAATCATCATTACCAGAAATACTTGGGTTCAAATTCTAGCTCTAAAACTTCTTAGCTGTGTAACTTTGGGCAAGTCACTTAACCCGTCTGGGCCATATCTGAAAATTTTCCCTAAGGGAAAAAAAAAACTAAGGTTATTGCTCTTCCTTTTTGCTGCTTCTCCTCCTCTGAGTTGAGGCTCCTTTCCTGATGGAACATTGCCTTCATTCCCCTCTTCTCCCTCTACCCAGGGGTGTATTGGTAAATTGGAACTCTGGGGAAAAAAGTCACAAAGCCCTGATCTGTGGCTTTTGCCAATTTCTGTGGTGTACATACTTCCACCATGGCTGACTTTAATTTCCCAACAGTTAAACAACAGGTTCACGAAGTTCTTAAATATTTAACAGCTGGGCCCTGTGGACCATGGGTGCTGGCTGCAGCATGTCACACTGCCTCTACCCTCTCCCCTTTCTCCTTTTTACTTTCCTGAGAGCATGGTGGATGTCGTCTGATATAATTTCCATCCATGTCTCTGCTTTTTATATTTAACCAGCTTCCAAAAATAGTTTCCTTACTTCCATTAGTTCTTAACCAGGGAGTGTGCTGGAATTCAGGTGGTCTGGTCACTGCCTCTCATCTTCCCGAATTCTTCTTGGCCATATCACCAGCAGGAATTTTCAAAGGGGACACAGCGCTCTTTGTTTTTTAAAGGGCTGTGCCAATTTGCCTTTGGGTTTCCTCATTCTATCAGAGTAGAGTGCTGATCTAGTACCTGTATAATTCTCCTTGGCAGAAGTGCTCAGGGCTTTTTTTTTTCTTTTCCTCATCTAATCGCATTCCACTTCTAACAGCCTGGATGAGTTGTGCAAACCCAAGAAATAAAGAAAAGAACAGGCAGTTCTGATATCGTCACAGGGCCACTTAATGACATGGGCATCAGAAGGAGAGAGTACCATCCACAGACATTCTCAAAGCAATGCGCCTGACGCATCAGAAGATCCTCCTTGTGGGGCCAGACTTAGGCATCAAAAACATCCATGTATTATGATCTCACTCTTGTGAGAAGGACCTCTCAGCACCCAAAGGTCAATAGTGATATTTACTGGGCACCTACTATGTCACAGACTATTTCATTTCGGCTCCCCCATAGCCCTAGGCAGGTGGAATCATTATTCTTGTTTTCTAGTGAGGGTATGTCACATGCCCAGGATTGGCAAAAGAGTGGGGCAATTGTCCTGCTCATAAGTCTTGGTGGGAGTGTATAAGTTAACATAATCCTCCAAAAGGCAATTTTGCCCTACATCTCAAAGTCTTAAAAATCTTCATCATGGCTGGGCATGGTGGCTCATGCCTGTAATCCCAGCACTTTGGGAGGCCAAGGCAGGTGGATCACTTAAGGTCAGGAGTTTAAGACCAGCCTGGTCAATGTGGTGAAACCTCATCTCTACGAAAAATACAAAAATTAGCTGGGTGTGGTGGCAGGCACCTGTAATCCCAGCTACTCAGGAGGCTGAGGCAGGAGAATCGCTTGAGTTCGGGAGGCGGAGGTTGCAGTGAGCCGAGATAGTGCCACTGCACTCCAGCCTGGGCAATAGAGTGAGACTCCATCTCAAAAAAAAAAAAATATTTATCATGTCACTTAATTGTGTTAGCCAGGATAAGCTCACTTCTGTAACAAACAACCCTCAAATCCTAGTGACAGAAGAAAGCAGGGGTTGGCAAACTCTCTGTATGGACTGGGGGGAAATACTTTTAGGCTTTGCAGGCCATACGGTCTTGCAACTCTCACCGCTGCTGTTGTCCTGTGAAAGCAGCCACAGATGGGATGTAAATGAACTGGCGTGACTGTGCTCCAATCAAACTTTATGTAAGGGCACTGAAATTTGAATTTCATATAATTTTCCTGTGTCACAAAATCCTATTCTTTAAATCCTTTTTTAAAACATAAAACCTGGCCGGGCGCGGTGGCTCACGCCTGTAATCCCAGCACTTTGGGAGGCTGAGGCGGGTGGATCACGATGTCAGGAATTCAAGACCAGCCTGATGAACATGATGAAACCCCGTCTCTACTAAAAATACAAAAATTATCCAAGCGTGGTGGCGCAGGCCTGAAATCCCAGCTACTTGGGAGGCTGAGGCAGGAGAATCGCTTGAACCTGGGAGGTGGAGGTTGCAGTGAGCTGAGATCGGGCCTCTGCACTCCAGCCTGGGCAACAGAGCAAGACTTTGTCTCAAAAAAAACAAAACAAACAAAAACAAACAAACAAAAAAACCCATAAAACCCATTTTGAGCTCACATACAAAAGTCCATACAAAAACAGGCAGGCGGCTGGATTTGGCCTGCAGTCTGCAGTTGGCTGACCCCTGGCTTAAAGCACTGGAATTTTCTTTTCACTGATGCAGTGGTCCCACATGGGGGATCCTGGCTGGGCTGGAAGGCTCTCCCAGGTGGCTCTTATTCAGTGGCAACCCAGGGAAGGGACCCGCGGTGCTTCTGTCCTGTGCCCTGCCCTCTCTAGTCCTCAGGGGCTTCCCTATTCAGCAGGCAGATGGAGAGAGGTCATGGAGTCTTGTGTGGGAGGTTTTCATGGATGGTTTGGAGGTGGCTCCCGTCATTTTCCCCACATTCCTTTGTTGGAAGTCAGACATGCAGCTGCTCTGAACTGAACAAGAGATGGGAAACAGAGTGTAGCAGTGTGCACAGGGAGACCCCGGAGCAGTGTGTTCACTGACCAAAGACCATGCCATGTTCACATGTATTTCCACGCTGTAGCATGACTACAAAGGTACAGGCGGGAAGCTAAGCTGGCCTGGAGGGACTTTGCAACAATGGCTGAGCCTGAGTGAATCACATGGACCTGAGCCCTGGGTGCCCCTCCACCTGTTCTTGGGCCTGGATCCTCAAGGTCATCACTGCAGTGCGTGGTACCATGCAGTGAACTCTGTAGAACGTTTCGGCCTCTTCTGTTGCACCTTGGGGACATAGCCACAGAGGCCAAGGCCACAGGTGGGCTGGAGACACTCCAGTGGCACAGGGCTGACCCCTTTGGACTGAGTAAACCCAGAGCTCCTGAAGTTTTGGGTTAAGGGGAATGGGATCGGGGGTGTGGGGAGCTGCTAACAGGGGCAAGTGGAGCCCCTGCTGAAGCAGCCATGCCTGGAGGCTGCCCCACAAGAACAGACAAGCTGCTTTCCACCAGCTTCTGTCAAGGGATGCTTGCAGAAGGAAGAGAAGCCAGGAGGGGCCAGAGGCAGCCTGGGACTCATGGTTGTTCCTAAAAGGGACATGAAACTTGACCTCCTAAATGAGGCCAGCCCAGAATGGATCAGAGGTCACAGATTTCTTGAAAGCAATCAGAGGGAAGTAGCCTATACCTGGTTCCATTTGGGCACTGTGGCCTCCCAGGCCTCCTGCGGACTCTAAGCTTGGGAAGTAGGCAGAGGGCAGGGTGGTCTATGTGGTCACTCCTCATGGCGTGGACCACCAGCCAGCCCCACCGCATCACCAGGACCCGCATGTAACCCTCCGGGGATGCCTGCTGCAGATGGGGCCCAGCTCGTGATACACTTGGGAGAGATTCATGGTTTACCAGGCCCCATGGGTGTTTTCAGGGGCTGGGTTGGGGTGGGGGTGGGTGGTGAGCAGTGAGAGAATACTCTCTCTCTAGGCGATGCCAGAACTTCCTTACAGGGAATACAGGAGCCTTAGGGATAGCAGGGCTCCAGTTTCCCAGCCCTCACTGACTCACCATGGGGCTCAGACAATTTGCTGAAACTCCTTACGTCTCAGTTTGCTCGTCGGTGGAATGCGGGCAGAAATGCCTCACTAGTGCACTGTGCATGTGCCCTGCCCACATATGCCCACCCTGAGTCCAACACACACTGGGCCTGCCCTAGTATGCATGGGCCTGCCGGGTGGCTGCCAAGGGTCAGGGCCTTGCAGGACACTCGAGATCCTGGGCTTGGGGCTGCAGTCTGGAATGCGGAGGAGGGCTGTGGTCCCCCAGGCTTCCTGGGGACTCTGAGCCTGGGGGAGAGTAGGAGGGTCTCTATGCTCCCTCCTCACTGCGTGGAGCAGCGGCTTTGCTGGGCTTCCTTCTACCATCCCCATTACCCTGATTTCATTCTTATCCCATTCCTTTCCTCCTGGGAAGGCCTGGAATGATGATATGTCCCAGTGCCATAGAGTAGCACGGATACCAGCACACACACAGAGTACTCGGCATGAACCCGGCTCTGTTCCACTGACGCTCACTTGTGGCACCCTCCCAGCATCCAATAAGGAACATACTGTGACTGCTGCCATTTTAAAGACGAGAAAAGCGAAGCACCTGAGAATGTCTCTTTTGACATCTAAAGAAACCAAGTAGAGAGAGATGAATGGACTCCCCCAAGGTCACACTGTGATAGCAAGAACAAGAATATTCTACCATTGAATGTAGGGCCTATTGTGTTATGGATTATGGAAAATTATATCTAATTTTCAAAACAACCCTGTGTCAGGGGCATTGTTCTCATTTTCTCAGTGGGGACACTGAGTCCCCACGGGGACTCGTGGTCAAGGACACACAACTGTAGATGGTGTGACCGGGATGACTCAGTCCTCACTCTGCAGCCACCGTTCCTAGCTGCTTCCGGGTGCTAAATATGCCAAGCCTGATTCTCTGTTTTCCAAGGGTGTCAGGGGACCAGGGCCAGGGCTGCCCTGGAAACTATACCCACCCCGGGGCTCCTTTGTCTCCCTCCAGCCCTGCCTGTTGCAGAGTTCAAAGCCCTCGCGTGGCTTCTGTGGACCTGCCCTGACGGCTCTCCCCTCGGAAGGAGAACCTGATTATCCCGGTGTTTCACAATGGAGATACCAAGTGCTTGACTTGCCCGCCCTCCCACGCTTCTGCTCCTCCGGGGCAGGCAGGAGAGTCTCAGCTCCCCGCTGCTCCCACTGCGGGGAAGACCAGCGTACTTCCAGAGTTTCCCAACTTCCCGGGATATCAGAGAGGGGTGGATGCAGGTGGCTTTGGAGGATTTTATTTACTAACTGCGTTTAAATTCATATGCCAGTGAGCACGGCCTGCTGGAATCTGAAGGCGTTTGGACGAGTTACATTCCTCCCTGGACCTCAGTCTCCCGTTTCATTCATAAAGAGAGAATGACATCTGACACGTAGGAGTAACAGGGTGTGCCTGGCAGGGGAGGTCAAGGGGATGGGAACACACTTAAATATCGACATGTGTAGAGGAGGGGGAAATGACTTCCTTCCACCCCGCTAAGTTTTTGGCTGGGATACAAATTAAGTTGACATAACACAGATAAACAAGAGAAAACCATTTTAATTACACATATATGCATGAGAATTCTACAAAATACAAGACTTCAGTAAGGGTCAGAGAATTGAACCTTATATACTGAGCTACAGAACAGAGGCTTGGGACTTCCAGGGTCGGGGGATGGAGGTGGCAACACAGGTTGATGGTAGGATGAGGGAAGGAAATGTATGGTGAATAAAGGTTGTCTTGTTATGCAGATAAAAAGTCCCTCAGGTCATAAAAGTTATCTGGGAGCAACCCTCTTCCTGATAGAGATACTTCACTAAGCTAATGTAGATTTCCTTTATAGATGAAAAATTTCTTTTACAAAAGGACGGCTTTTTCAGAGCTACTAGCTAGTCCTAGTGCAGACACCTTCTTGAATAACTAGACCAAAATACGCCAAGAAGTGTATTTGGAGGTGGCACATTTTGGTCTCCTATGGTCATGTTTTGCGGTGGTGTGTCCTGAGCCCCATCAAATGCATCATGTGACCTTGACGTTTTCAGGCCCCCTGCCCCAGTCCAGACCCTTCCCACCAGCCTTGCTGGAATGGAGCTCTGAGGCTGGGCTCCCGGAGACATGGCTGTAACCAGATTGGAGACCAAAAGCTGGAGGCGAGCCCTCCGACCCAGCCTACCTTTTGGGGGCTTCACACAGTGACTGCCAGGCCCTCCCATGAGGAGAGGAGTCCTCCCTCTGTGGAAGGTGCCACCACTGTGCCTTGCTGGTGCTTGCTTTGTGATAGGCAGGTGTGGAATTCCCAGCACAAGCCCTACGTGGGCCAGGAAAATCTCCCCAGTGGGGCTTCGAACTGAGAAGGGAAGTGTGCTCCAAGAAGTCTGTGGTCACCAGCCAAGCCCTCTAGGTGAGCCCCGAGGGAGCCTGCCCTTCCTCAGCTGCAGCCAGACTGACTGCATCCTCCAGCAGGACGCCAGATAGCTCTCAAGGGAACCACCCAGATGGCTTCCCTTCCTGTCGGGCTCCCAATCCCCACCAGATGATGTCCTCATTCACCAAGTCTCGGGGTCTGCAGCAAACACGTGCAACAGGTGTGAGCTGAGGAGCTCGGGGATGCGGTGAGGGACAGCCCAGCCTCCACCTGGTGGGGCGGACAGAGGTGGACAACCCAGTGGGGCACATTCCTGAGGCCTGAGGAGCAGGGCCCAACGGATCTTGGTCGTTCTCCCCAGCATGTCTATAACATGAGATTTTATTATGTATTTACTGGCATGTTGGCTTTCTTCTGCTCCCTCTCCCCACTAGAAAGTAAGATCCAGGAGGAGAAGGACCTTATCTGTTTTTTGTTCTTTGCCACCTGTGAGTTATGTTCCTCCTGACTCACGGCTGAATACTGGCCCCCAAAGATACCAGGTCTTCACCTCTGGAACCTGTAAATGTTACCTTATAAGGAAAAATGATCTTTGCAGATGTGAAGGATTTTGAGATGGGGAGATTATCCTGGATTATCCAGGTGGCTCCTAAACCAAACAGGTGTCCTTATAAAAGAGATGCAGAAAGAGATGTGACACACACAGGAGGGAAGGAGGCCGTGTGGCCACGAGGCAGAGACTAGAGTGATGCAGCCACCAGAGGCTGGAAGAGGCGAGGAAGGGCTTCTCCCCTGGTGCCTCCACCGGAGGGTGGCCCTAACAACACCTTGACTTTGGCCAAGTGCTACTGGTTTCTAACTTCTGGCCTCCAGAACTGTGAGAGGATACATTTTTGTTGTTTAAAGCCACCGAGTCTGTTGTGATTTGTTACAGCAGCCCCAGGAAATTAACAAGCTGCCATGTATCTCAGTGCCTCGTATGCTGCAGCTAGTAAATATTTGCTGAAAGAATAGGCCAGGCGCGGTGGCTCACACCTGTAATCCCAGCATTTTGGGAGGCCAAGGCGGGTGGATCACCTGAGGTCAAGAGTTCGAGACCAGCCTGGCCAACATGGTGAAACTCCATCTCTACTAATGGTACGGAAATTAGCCAGGCATGATGGGGTGCACCTGTAATTCCAGCTACTCAGGAGGCTGAGGCAAGAGAATCACTTGAACCCAGGAGGCAGAGGTTGCAGTGAGCCAAGACCACGCCATTGCACTGCAGCCTGGGCTACAAGAGCGAAACTCCGTGTCAAAAAAAAAAAAAAAAAGAATAAACGGATGTCCCTATCCACACCTGCTCTCCAGGCCAGCTCATGCCTAGCCATGGCTCAGCCTCTGGTGCCTGCCACCCCAGCCTCTGTGTCCTGGGTGGTTCTGCCCTGCTGGCCTGCAGCCACAGGCTGAGACTGTCTACCAGAAGGTTCATGTCTGAGCAAAGCCAATGCACTCTCCTTGCAGAGCCACTACCTCTTAGACAACGTTGACAGCAGAGGCCACAACAGACAGCCTGGGGGCCGCATCCAGTCAGCAGATAATTTTGTTTGGCCAGTATAGGGTGTTGTTTATAAATTAAATTACATGCCGATATTTTATTACAAGTTGGGAAATTTCACATAAAATCAGAATTTCCCATTTCTTGAAAATCCAGATGATCTTTTCAATTCCAGGATGCATCTCCATGTGGCCCAATCAGTGGGAGCTGAGTGGTGGCTGCCCTTTCTGCCAGGGCCTGGGCTCAGCGCTGACCAGCAGGGTGCATGTCAGAGGACTCCTCCGGCCCCCTTTCTGTTTACACACCTACCCCCATGTTTGAGATGGATGATTCAGGTGTTCTCAGCCTTGCAGACAGTCAAGACAACCTCAACCAATGCCCTCCCCGGCCGACTTGACTGTTGCCCAGCACAGCCTTTATAAAGATTCTAAAGTGACACTGCTCAGGGGCACTGTTAACCCTCAGCGACCACCAGCCAGGAAAGTGGCCTTTGGGGCCCAGGGCCCACTGAAGGTGCTGGGAGTCACCCAGTTGTTTCCTGGGGACAGTCTTTGCTCTCTCAGTCAGTGGGTAGCAAATTTCCAGAACCACCCAGGCTGACCTCCCACATGGCTGGGAAGACAGCGTGATGGCAGCATCCTCATCTGACTTCCCGAGCACTCTCAGGCCCACTCACACAGTAGCTCCAAGGAACCAAAAGCACTAAGGAAAGGAAAGAAATGACAGGAAAGGAATGGAAGTGAAACCCTGGGGGAAAGCCCACAAGGAGGACTTTCAGTTCACTTGGAGAACACATGGGCCTCAAGTCTCCAAAATGGTGACTTAGGTCTGAAGTTCAAGTGCACATAAGGCTCTGTGCAACCACTTTTTTTTTTTTTTTTGAGATGGACTGTCGCTCTGCTACCCAGGCTGGAGTGCAGTGGTGTGATCTCAGCTCACTGCAACCTCCACCTCCTGGGTTCAAGCGATTCTCCTGCCTCAGCCTCCCCAGTAGCTGGGATTATAGACATCTGCCACCACACCCGGCTAATTGTGCAATCACTTTTTAAACAAGCAGATTGTAGGATGGACATTGGTAGGATCTGATTCCATCCATCTTAGAGGGGACCCGGAGAGCTGCATTTATGGCAGGTTGCCCTGGTGGTTCTCACCCAGGGCAGGGGCGGCAGCAGGCAGAGCCGTCTCCTCTTCTCCAGGCAACGGCCACAGCAGTAGAGGGGCTCAATCTGACAAGGAGAGTGAGTCATTGAATGAAGCCCCGAGGACGTGATCTGTCGCCACAGCTGCCATCCACTGGGCTGCTTTTGCAAGCTTTCCCCAGAGCTTGAGAAAATGAATGAATTTAAAACATGTGTCAGGGCCTTAATGAGACTAGTAAACTCCTCAGAGTCCTGCTCTGGTTAAGGTTTGTTAATTCTGTAAGCCCTTCTGACCAGGGGCCTCTAGCACTGGAGGATGAGTTGAGGAATACACTGAATTAGCAGAAGCTGTGTGACTTTAGGCAAGTTGCTTAACCTCTCTGAGCCTCAGTGTTTTTACCTGTAAACTGGGAACAACAATTGCCTCAAAAGGATAGTGCAAAGATGAACAAGGATGAGGAACATGGATGTCCTCACTGTCATTAAACAGTCATGGGAGTTGTCACATATGTGCCCTATGTTTTAAGCATAAAGTTGGGAGATGATGTCTGAAACTGGGGCTTCCACATCCTTGCACTGCTTTGTGACTGCTGGAGGTTCAAGTCAGGGCAAGTTGTCACCTCCCAGTAATGGTGATCCTCTCAAACAGGCAAAAAATAGAAAAGTGTGCAAATGGGGTGCATTTATTTTAAGGACATGGGGAGCCTAAAGGAATGGACAGCTCAGGAAGACCTGGACCCAGGAATGGGAAATCCAGAGAGAATCCAGGAAGGAGCCTTTCCCCTCTTTCTTTCTGGGCCCCCTTCTCTCATTATCATTTCCCCGTCCACGTGGCTCTCTAGGCAGACCAAAGGTCAGACCTTAAAGAGACTCTGTTCAACCTTGAACTTCCTTGCTGACATGTTTTCAATTCAAGTGTGTGTGACAAATCCTATCAGGCATTTCCAAGTCCCAACCCCAAATCCCCAGGCCCAGCTTGGGGGTCTTCATCCCCAGTCCACCAGCTGCGAGGAAGGGGTCTCGGCTCAGCCCCAGCATGCTGTGTTGGTGGCTCCCTCCCAACAGGGGTATCCTTAGATGAGAAGCAAGCCTAGTATCCATAGTGCTTTTCTGAGAGCAGGTGAGCCTTGTTGAAGGCCTCGGGCAAAAAAACAAGCCAGTGAGAGTTGTGTGCACGGGAATAGCAACAAGGTAATATAGGAGAAAGGTCACAGTGGCTTGGAGATGAATTCCAGGACACAGCACTGCAGGAGGGACCATGCCCCTCGAGGCTTCTTATATGTGGTTCCTCAGTTCTTGGCTAAGTTAGGATCCCTGGGCTGACCAACACTGATGTTTGTACCTGGAGCCAAGTCATATTTTAGGCCAATTCTTTCATTCCATGAGAACTTGTCATCAGATTTTCCAGGAAGAACATAAACCTGCCATTATATTTTTGTCTGTTTGGAAGCTTCTTTTGCCCTCTAGAAGCCCAGTGCTACCAAATCCCATGAAGAGTTTGTGCTGGGTTCAGACCCTGTTCAGTACCCCATTCTCAGCTCCATGGGGGGAAGCTTGCAGCTCTCTATTGATGAGAGTCTTGGCTCTCTGCTGTTTCTTGGGTATCTTTTTGTGACAAGGATGGCTGGTGCTGGCACGCACTGTAAACGAGGAGGGGATGGGCCTAAGTTTCCATCACGCTGCAAAGCAGAACCATCTGTTGGTGGCTTCTCTGTTAGCCCGTGGCTGTGAAGAGAGCATTTAACAATGAAGAGCTGGGGCCAGAGACACGAGTCCTTGGCTCCAGTTCCTGTTTGTCTCCAGGCTGCCGCATTCCACAGAAGGCAGTAAACTGACATTCTGAGAATGTTTGTCTCTGCCAGCCAGGGCTTGGCTAATCCTGGTGACCTGCAGCAGATTCCCCACCAAGAAGACATCCAGTGGAAAGACAGGTATGAAATCCCTGGAGCCACAGGCTTTGCACACAAAGACTTGGTGCAGACATCTCCTTGAACCCTCACGATACCCTGAGAGGAGGTTAGGTGGCCATAGAACTAACAAGGGCCACCAGGTTGCACAACCTGAGAGAGCATTCACACTGCTCTCTCAGTGAAAAGCATCTCCTGGGGTTGTGATGCAGTAGACAACCTGGGCAGCTGTATGTGGTGGCCTGTAGCTAATAATTACTAGAGCCAAGTGAGGTTTAGACTTAGGTTCTTGGACTCTAATTTTGTTTTCTTTCCTTTGCCGTGTCTTATATAGGGTTGGCTCTTCTATTGTACCTCACTGGATTTGAAAAGATGCCTGACACCCAAACTCCCTAATACTGAGCTTCTTCATTTGTAAAATAAGATCAAAATATCTAATCCTTTTGACTGTTGTGATGAGAAAATGACCAAATGCAGAAAATATGCCTGACTCATTGGCCTATATCTTAGTGAGAACTCTGGTGATACGGTTTGACTCTGTGTCCCCACCCAAATCTCATGTTGAATTGTAATCCCCAATGTTGGGGGAGGGACCTGGTGGGAAGTGATTGGATCACGGGGGAGGATTTCTCCCTTGCTGTTCTCATGATAGTGAATGAGTTCTCACAAGATCTGGTTGTTTGAAAGTACGTAGCACTTCCCCCTTTGCTCTCTTTCTCTCCTGCTGCCATGTGAAGATGTGCTTGCTTTCCCTTGCCCTTCTACCACTCTCCACCAATTTCCTGAGGCCTCCCAGCCATGCCTTCTGTACACTCTGTGGAACTGTTAGTCAATTAAACCTCTTTTCTTTATAAATTACCCAGTCTCAGGTACTTCTTTATAGCAGTGTGAGAATGGATTAATACATCAGGCAATAAAGGCAGCTATTACTGTTATTCCTGCTGCTGCTACCATAATAATATAATATTCGTTGTAATTATTATCTTTCCAATATAAATGAATATGTTGCCCACCGCTCTCAGGGCAGTCAGAGTCTAAGGCTCCTAGCTCCACATGGGCACAGATTAGGTCCTCCTATCTTCTTCCTTCTTTCCTCAAGCAGGGGAGACCCAGATCATACCTAGGGGGTTGGTGTGATGCTGCGGGAACCTAGATCAGCTGAGGAAGGAGCAGCCACTTAAATGAAATGACATGAGAGCTCCTGGCACCTGGCAGCCCATCCTGCACCTGCATGTTTTGCAGGTGTTAATGGAAATTCTTTGCTTTCTCCATTCAGCTGAGTGTGTCACTGAACCCCTGGCTCCCGATTGTGCTTGGAGCAGGGCCTGGTACAAAAGCGCCACATGCAGTGAGTGAACAGATGGAGGAATGAGTAAGTGAGCAAATGTCAGGGCCCCCTCAGCCCAACTTCAGTGCCACACTGTTTTATTTCTTCTTTCCGGCAAATACTTAGGCTGTGTCTGCTTTGTGCCAAGCACCATGGCCAGGCTGCGGCACTACAGCAAATCCCACCTGTCCTTGACCTTGGCAGCTCAGGCCTGCTCTGCTCCCCTTTTCAAGCCAGTGGGCTGTCATTTTTTTGCCCATTTTATCAGTGGCAGCCATGATCCAGGTAGCCAAGTGTTGACACCACAGCTGTCCATACAGCTCTCCTGGCTTTTGCCTACATTTTCCTCTGTGCCCTCTTGCTGAGAGCCCGGCCAGATCAGCTCCACTCCATCTTTGTGGTGGCCGTGAGTATTTTTGCCCAGCAGACCCCTGGGCTTAGAGGATGTAAGGGCCCAACCCTTGCCCTGGGTTGTAGAGAGGGAAGTGTCTTCTGAAGTAGAGACAGAAGAGCAGGCAGAAAAATGCACAACTCAGGACAAATATTAGAAACACATAAATATGCACATAGCCACTTACAGCTGCACCAAGTCACATGTATATGGGTGAGAAGGCGCCCCAGGGTGGGGGATGAAAGTGACTAGATCCAGGTGGCATCGATCCAGGGTCTTCTCCTGCCACCTCTCTTCTTTTCAGCTTCTTTTGGGTCTTCATGCATTGAGCCTTCAGCGCTTGCTGCTTGACTTTTGACTTTGTAGCCTGGCCTGGAGGCACATCAGAGCCTTCTCCCATCACCCCTTGTATGCAGAGAACAAGGCACATTGCTGCCAACTATTCCAGCTGAGTGGAGTACAAATACAAAATGCAAATGCAAAATACAAAATGCAAAAGCAGTGAAGCTAGGGGTCACAAACACAGAGGCTGGTAGCATCAACACTTGATGTAGATCCAGGCTGGGAGTAGGCATCAGGGCAGAGTGGGCACTTTGGAAACAGTACCCAGGCTCGGTCTCAGCCATCCTCAAATTCAAGCATCAGACTCCCTGCAGGGCTTGTCAGAACACAGAGTGCTGGGCCCTACGCCGGAGTGTCTGAGGCAGTGGTTCTGGGGTTGAAAACGTGCATTTCTCTTTCTTCTTTATTTGGATTTGTTTGTTTGTTTGTTTGTTTTTGTTTTTGAGACAGAGTCTCACTCTGACACCCAGGTTGGAGTGCAGTAGCGCAGTCTCGGCTCACTGCAACCTCCGCCTCCTGGGCTTAGGCTCCCAAGCAGCTGGGAGTACAGGCGCATGTCACCATGCATGCTAATTTGAAGTTTTACTTTTAATTGACAAATAACAATTGCATATACTTATGGGGTAAAATACGATGTTTTGATACATGTATACATTGTGGAATGATTATATCAAGCTAGAGTAACACATCCATCACTTCACATATTTGTCGTTTCTTTGTAGTGAGAACATTTGAAATCTATTCTTCTAGTAATTTTTAAATATATTACGTTATTACTGACCATGGTCACCATATCATACAATAGATCTCAAAAACCTAGTCCTCCTGTCTGGCTGAAACTGTGAACCCCTTTGGTCAACATCTCCCCATCCCCATTCCCCGTCCCCAGTCTCTGGTAGTTACCATTCTACTCTCATCTTCTGCAAGTTTGATTTTTTCAGAGTTCACATTTCTTTTTCTTTCTTTTTTTGTTTTTTGACAGAGTCTTGCTCTTTCACCAGGCTGGAGTGCAGTGGCGCAATCTCGGATCACTGCAACCTCCGCCTTCTTGGTTCAAGCAATTCTCCTGCCTCAGCCTCCCCAATAGCTGGGACTACAGGCACGCACCGCCATGCCCAGCTAATTGTTGTATTTTTAGTAGAGACAGGGTTTCACCATGTTGGCCATCTCTTGACCTTGTGATCCACCCACCTCGGCCTCCCAAAGTGCTGGGATTACAGGCGTGAGCCACCCCACCCGGCCTTCAGACTCCACAGTTCTAACAACTGTCCAGGTGATGTGGCTGCTACTGATGAGGACCACGCTCTGAGATCCACTGCCCTGTCTGAAGGGGGCGATGATTCCTCAGCTCCAGCTCCCAGTTGCCCTGGGGAATGCAGCCTGGAGCTGCTAAGTCTCCCAATTTTTCAAGAGAGGCCAGAAATACAGATCTTAATGTAAAATGTTTTAACTCTTAAAATTTCCAAGCAAATTGAGAAAAAAAAATCAAAATTTGTTAGAGACTAAGTGTCTGTAGGCTGGATTGGACTCCCAGCCTTCCACTTTGTGAGCTGTGTGTTGAGCGCCTATGGGTGGGGACCCCTTACCTCTTGATGATATTTGTGCCCCTTGCCACGCGTTCCCCGGGAGCTGGGAACCTGGGTAGAACCTTTGTGTTATCCTTGCCCCTCACTGCTTACAGAACCAATGAAGATTGGTTGGCCTGTTTTAGGAGCCTCTGCCGTGAGAGGAGAACAAAAAGGCCGTCCATTTTCAGAGGATTACCGCAGACTTCTCAAACCACATATAATTAAATGGTGGAGTGAACCCCTGCGGGGAACCTTGGGCTGGGCTAGCAAGAAGCCTGGCGAGTCCTGCCAAGTGGGCGATTCAGAGGCCTCTGCGGTCACAATAGTCCCGACAAAATGACAGGCAGCTCAGCTTTCAGAAAACATGAGGTGATCTGAAGGCAAGTCAGGGTAACAGGATCTCTCTCCCCATGCGTGGGATTGTGGAGCAGTTTACACCTTTCTACAGCGCGTCTGGCATCGGAGGCAGGGCCTGGAGGCTGGAACTCCCTCTTCCAGACCTTTCCTTACCAACTTTTCTGGTTCTACTGCAGAACAACAACAAAAACAATTAATAGCTCTGAGGATATCTAGGACTTTTGGGGTCTTTGAGCTTTACTTTCTGTTGAGTGACGATTACCTCCAGGGAAGCAAACACACCAGATATGACGATAGTAGGCCACCTCCTTGTCCCCACTACACACACACACCAACAGGGTACTGAGACATCTTATCGCTAGAACTGAATAAACCTCAAGACCTGTCTGATCAGCTGTGCAGAAATCAATCATTAGACTCATTTTACAAAACAGCTTAATTGAAGACTCCTCAATTCTACATTATTTTTAGCCTCACCTCGTTTGATTTTCAGGATGTCCTGCTCCCAGCCTTTTGGAGGGTCACAGTGGTCAAATGTAAAATGTTCCTAGGCCCGGAGATTAAGGTTTAATACTGGTTTCTGTTCAGGTGAAGAAACGGAGGGAAGCTTCCATCCTTAACTCAATGAGTAAACTGCAGCTGGGGTACGGGGTGCCTCGCCTCACTGTTACCCTGCCCAATTAGCTTTTCGCAGTGTGAGCACCATCAAAAGGGATACAGGGAATTGAGAACGGATTTATTCTAGAATTTTCTCCTCCTGATACTATAATGGATTGTCTGTGGGGAGCAGGAAAACATGTTCCCAAGCATGGAAAAGTCATGTGACCATTTGAAATTTGGGCCAGCGCTCCTGTGCCTGTACTTTCAGGTGGCCCTGCCGATTGGAGGGTTTGAGGCTTGGAGAAAACATGTAGGTGCCATACAGACCTGAGAAGAAGACAGTCACTGCAGCACATTCAAAGGACATATTCCAGCTAGTTTTATCAGAGGACATTGCATTAGTCAGGGTTCTCCACACAGGACCAATGAGACGGAGGGCTCTCCTCTGCATTCTGGCTGGTGCCGAGTCCTTTCCCCAGGAAGGGCTGTCACCTGACTGAGAAGCAAGAGCCCAGCTTTTGCAGCCATTTCTCTAGAGAGTTCCCCTCATCCCGGGGCAGAGTCCTACATGAGAAAGAATCATGAAACCCACTAGCCACAGCTTTGACAAGGCCTTGTCTATTTCCACGGCCAATCAGAGGAAAGGGTGAAAGTGCCACCGCTAGGGCAGCAAAGGCTGGTGGGGAAGCCAGAGGCTTGGAGGCAAAAGCCCTGGGTCCTTCGCTCTCAGCTGTGACCCTGGGCAGGCTCTGGAATTGGGCTGGGTCTCAAGTGAAATGGGAAGTGGGAGCTCTATGGAAGACACTGTCCAGGGCGCCAGGGGAGGCACAGTTACACAAGGAAGATCCCCAGCCGTGGGAGCCTTTGCTCTACTCATTGAATCCTGGGTACTCAAGGGAATACTTGGAGTGTTCTGGTGAAGTGGGGTTTTCTGGTCTTCTAGCTGGTCTCTTTGTTCAGCTCAATAAAGGTGTTTATGTAGCACCTATCATGTTTTAGTCATGTTACTAGATGCTGTCAATATCAAGGGGGGAAGATGGGGCACTTGCCTGAGAGCAGCAATTTTCACACTTTCTGATTTCTGAACTTCATTACTCTCTAGCTCTATTTCCCGAAACAGAAAAAAAATTGAGAAGAGTGATATTGTTTTATGTAATTTCGCAAATGTAGAAAATATTTCACAAGTCTTTTTAATGCCTAGGTTAATAAAAGACAGATGGATTCACATACCTGCTTCACCAGTGGTCTCCAGATAATGCTGGAGGGGTAGAGCAATGGGTATTAATGCAGGGAAAACGTACTTGCCTTTGGGGGCATTTTTGGTTGTCACATTTGGGGTTTTATTCAGTGAGCCTAGAATTTAACTCCATGTTACATATAAACACAAAGTCATTTTTGCGTAGTTTTAATATACTTAGTATTTTCCAAGAATGCAAATACTGTGTTATTTGAGAGAAAAGATTATTGTTTGGTTCAGAATTTTATTGAGAATTGTGAACCTTTTGTTAACCAACATTGCTAACAGTATTGTTGTTCATGGCATTTGAATTAACACAAACTTCAGCATTAGCCTGCGTTTAAATCTATTACTGTCACCCTGGCCTTTCCATAGTTGCTGGTGTCTTGTCCACTATTATATATGTGGCTTCTGTAATTTATTTTTTTCTAATTATGTTTTTTATTTTGAGAACATTGTAGACTCACGTGCAGTTGTAAGAAATAACACAAAGAAATCTCCTTACCTGTTTTCTCCAATGGTAACATCTTTCAAAACTGTAGCATAATATCACAACTAGGATATTGACAGTGATGTAGTCAAGATGCAGAACGGTTCCATTTCCTTATGGCTACACCTACTTCCTGCCAGCTCCCTGCCCCCTCCTTAACCCTTGATGAACATTAATATGTTCTCTATTTCTATAATTTTGTCATTTAAAGAGTGTTACATAAGCTAGGCATGGTAACACACGCCTGTAGTCCCGGCTTGAGACCAGGAGGTTGAGGCTGCGGTGAGTTACCATCATGCCACTGCACTCCAGCCTGGGTGACAGAGTGAGACACTGTCTAAAAAAAAAAAAAAAAAGAAAGGGAAAGAAAAAAGAATAGTATATGATAAATGGACTCACAGATCCACTTAGGGTGTTGCATGGATCAGTAGTCTGTTCCTTGCTGTTGCTCAGCATTATCCCATGGTATGGATGTACCACAGCTGGTTTCATTATTCACCCACTGAAGGACATCTGGGCTGTTTTCCATATGGGGCAATTGCAAACAAAGCTGCTATAAACATTCATGTTCAAGTGTTTGGGTGGATATAAGTCTTCATTTCTCTTGGATAAATGTCAAGTAGTGCAATGCTAGTTGCATGTTTAGATTTATATAAAACTTCCGGCTGGTTTTAACTGTATCATTTCACACTCCCACCAGCCATCTGTGAGTGACTGAATTTCCCCACATCACCAGCTTTGGTGTTGTCGTCACCAATTTTTATTTTAGCCATTCTGATTAGATAGTTAGTGATAATTTATTGTTCTTTTAATTTACGTTTCCCTAATGGCTAAGCTCATTAAATATTTTTTCATGTGCTTATTTGCCATTAGTACATCCTTTTTGGTAAAATGTCTGTTCATGTCTTTGGCCCAATTTCTAAGGATTGTTTGCTTTTTTACTGATTAATTACATGAGTTATATAAATATAGATAGGTAGTTTGCAAATATTTTTGCTCACTCTGTAGCTTGTTTTCATCCTCTTAACAGGATCTTTTGCGGAACAAAAGTGTTTTTGATGACGTTCAATGTCAGTTTCTCCTTGTGTGGATCATGTTTTTGGTGTCAAGTTCAAGAATTTTTTTCTATCCTTAGCCCTGAATATTTTATGTTATGTTCTTTTTTCTACAAGTTTTATAATTTTACAGTTTACATTTTAGCCCATGGTGTATTTTGAGTAATTTTTGTATAAGATAGGGCAAGATTCTTTTTTTTTTGCCTCTGGATGTCCAATTGCACTAGTACCATTTGTTGTAAAGGCTATCTTTACTCTGTTGAATTGCTTCTGCTGCTTTGTTAAAACTCAGTTGAACATACTTGTATGGGTCTATTTCCAGGTTCTCTGCTCTGTTCTATTGATCTATGTATGTCTGTCCCTCTGCCAATACCACACAGTCTTGATAACTTCACTATAAATAGTAAGTCTTGAAATTGAGTAAACTCATTTATCCCACTTTATTCTTTTTTGAACTTTTGCTTTAGTTATTCCAGTGATTTTCCTTTTTCATATAAATATAACTAAAACAAAATTCCATATAATTTGAGAATTTATATGGCAAATTCCTGGAATTTTGACAAAAATTGCATTAACTCTGTATATTAACTTAGGAAGAATTGACATCTTTACTGCGTTGAGACTCCAGTCCATGAACAAAATATGCCTTTCCATTTATTATATCATCTTTGATTTCCTTTATCAGCATTATATAATTTTCAGCATACAATTCCTGTAAGTGATTTGTTAGATTTACACCTAAATGTTTTATTTTCCTTTGAACAATTGTAAATGCTATTGTATTTTTAATTTCAATCTCCGTGTGTTCTTTGGTACTATATAGAAAAATGTTATTTTTGCATGTTTATCTTGTATGCTTCAACTTTCCTGAACACATTTGTAAATTCTTAAGAGTTTTTTTAATATATCTCTTGGGATCGTCTCTGTGGACAATTACCTCATCCAGAAATTGGGTGACTTTTATTTCTTCCTTTCATTACCTTTCTTTTCTATTGTATTGACCAGAACTTCCAGTCTATGCTGAGTAAGAGTGATGAGAGCAGACATCCTGCCTTTGTTCCTAATCTTAGGAGGAAAGCATTCAATCTTTCACAGGTAAGAATGTTTGCTGTAGCTTTTTGTAGGTCCTTTTATCAAGTTGAGCAACTTCCCCTTTATTTCTATTTTTTGAGAATTTTTAAAACATTAATGGGTATTGAATCTTGTCAAATGCTTTTTCTGCATTGATTGGTAGGAATACGTGGTTTTCCTTCTTTAGGCTGTTAATATGTTGGATCACATTGATTAGTTTCCTAATACTGGAGCAATCTTGCATGCCTGGAATAAACCCCACAAGGCATTTATCTGAATGTGGCATGAGGGTAATAGTAGGCTCATAAAATGAATTGGAAAATGTTCTTGCCTCTTCTATTTTCTGGAAGAGGTTGTATATAACTGGTGTTCATTCTTTTTAAAGAGTTTGGTAGAGTTATCCAGTAAAACTGCCTTGTCCTAGAGATTTCTTCTTTGGGAGTTTTAAAATTATAAATTAAATTTCCTTAAGAACTATGGGGCTATTTACATGATCTATTTTATATTGGGCGAGTTGTGGTAATTTATATTTTTTAAGGAAGTGATCAGTTTTATCTAAATTGTCAAATTTATGCATGTTGAATACTTTCTCGTATTGCCTTATTATCTGTCTGTATAATCCTGCAGAGACTGTAGTAATATTCCTTGTTTCAACCCTGATATTGGTAATTTGCATCTCTCTCTTGTTTTTAGTCTTTCTAAAGATTTGTCAGTTTTGTTGGTGTTTTTAAAGAACCAGTTCTTTGTTTTGTTGATTTTTCTCTATATTTTGTTTTCGATTTTATTAATTTCTGCTTTTATCTATATTATTTTGTTCTTTTTGATTGCTATTGATTTATTTTGCATTTCTTTCTCTAGATTAAGAACCCAGATTAATGATTTGAGACTTTTCCTGTTTCCTAATGTGTGCGTTTCATGTTATAAATTTCCCTCTCAGCACTATGTTAGCTGCGTCCCTAAAATTTGGATATATTGTATTTTAATTTTTATTCATTTTAATATATTTAAAAACATCTTTTCCTACAGAGTTTATTTTTTACTCAGGGATTATTTAAATATGTGTTGTTTAGTTTCTAAGTGTCTGGAAACTTCTTGTTACTTTTCTGCTTTTGATTTCTTGTTGAATTCCACTGTGGTTAGAGAATACACTCGGTATGAGTCTAATGCTTTTAAATTTGTGAATTTTTTTAATGGCTGGTAATATGTCCTATCTTGGTAAATGTTTTGTGGACACTTGGAAAGAATATATATTCTGCCGTTGAGTGATGTGTTCTATGAATGTCGTTTAGATTTGTTGACTGATGGTATTGCTGAATTCTTCTCTCTATACTTGCTGATTTTCTTTCTAGTTGTTTCATAAATTGTTCAGATAGGTGCATTGAAATCTCCAACTATAATTGTGGATTTGTCTATTTCTCCTTTTAGTTTTATCAGTTTTGTGTTCATATATCTTGTAGCTCTGTTGTTAGGTGCATACATATTTAGAATTACTGTATCTTCTTGATGGATTGACCCTTTTATTATTATATTATTATATGTCTCTTTCTGTCTCTGGTAATTTTCTTTGCTCTGATATCTACTCCATCTTATGTTTATATAGCCATTCCTGCTTTCCTTTGATTGATGTTTGCATGATTTTTAAAAAATCCCTTTACTGCCAACCTGCCTTTATCATTATATTGGAAGAAATTTCTTTTGGATAACATATGGTTGAATAATGTTTGTTGTTGTTTAATTTTTAAGACTTTATTTTTAAGAGCAGTTTTAGGTTCATAGCAAAATTGAGAGGAAGGTGCAGAGATTTGCCTTATACTCTCTGCCCCTAAACATGCATAGCTTCCCTCTGTTTCTGTCTTCTGAAAGTGGCTGTAGAGAATTGGTGTAGTTTCTTCCTTAAATGTTTGGTAGAAATCACCAGTGAACCTATACGGATGGGCCTGAGGCTTTTTGTTTCGGAGGTAATTGATTCAACCTCTTCAATAGATACAGACCTATTAAGATTGTCTGTTTCTTCTTATGTGAGTTTTGGCAGCTTGTGTCTTTCAAGATATTGGTCCATTTTATCTAGGTTACCAAATCTGTGGGCATAGAGTTGTTCATAGTATTTATTTATCATCCTTTCAGTGTCTATGGGCTCTATAGTGACGTCCCTTCTCTCATGTCTGATATTAGTAATTTGGGTCCTGTCTTTTTTTCTCAGCCTGGCTAAAGGCTTATCAATTTTACTGGTCTTTCCAAAGTACCACGTTTTTATTTCATTGATTTTTTTCTGTTAATTTCCTATTTTCAATTTAATTACTTTTTGTTCTAATTCTTATTATTTCTTTTCTTCTGCATACTTGGAATTTAATTTACTCTTTATTTCTAGCTTCCTAATATAGAAATTAGTTTGTTTTTAGATCTTCTTTTCTTATATGTGTATTCAGTGCTATAAATTTCCCACTAAGTGTTGCTTTCACTGCATCCCACAAATTTTTATTAGTTATGTTTTAATTTTCATTTAGTCCCAAATATTTTAAAGTTTCCCTTTAGTTTTCTTCTTTGACCGTATATTATTTAGAAAGGTGTTGTTTAATCTCTATGTAGTTGGGGATTATCCCATTATCTTCCTGTCATTAATTTCTAGTTTAATTACTTTGGGGTCTGAAAGTAGATATTCAATGATTTCTGTTTTTTGTTTTTTTAATTACGTGTATTTTATAGCCCAGAATATGGTCCATTTTGGTGAATGTCCCATGTGAGCTTGAGAAGAATATGTATTCTGCTGTTGTTGGATGAAATAGTCTAGAGGTATCAATTATATCCAGTTGATTTATGGTGTTGTTGAGTTCAATTATGTCCTTACTGATTTACTGCTTGCTGGATCTGCCCATTTATGATCAAGAGTTTTTAAATCTTCAACTATGACAGTGTATTCATCTATTTTTCCTTGCAATTCTATCAGTTTTTGTGTCTCATAGTTTGACACTGATGTTAAGTGCATACATGTTAAGGATTGTTATGTCTTCTTGGAGAATTGACCCATTTATCACTATGTAATGCCCTTCTTTATCCATGATCACTTTCCCTGCTTTTAGGTCTGCTTTTTCTAAAATTAATATGGCTACTTCTGCTTTCTTTTGATTAACCTTACTTTGTAATATTTTGTCCATTTTCTTTTAACCTATTTTTATCTTCATATTTAAAGTGGGTTTGCTTTTTGTTTTTTTGGTAGAGAACATATAGTTGGGTCTTGTTTATTGATCCACTCTGACAATGACTGTCTTTTAGTTGGTGCATTTATATCATTGACATTCAAAATTATTATTGGTATAATTGGATTCATATTATATCATTGACATTCAACATTATTATTGATATCATTGGATTCGTATCTACCATATTTGTTACACTTTTCTATTTGTTGCCTTTCATCTTTCTTTCTTCTTTTGTCTTCTACTCTTTTCCTATCTTTTGTGGTCTTAATTAGCATTTTACATTCCATTTTCTCTCCTTTCTTGGCATATCAGTTGTACTTCTTTTTTTATTTTTTAGTGGTTTCCCTAGAGTTGTAACATACATTGACAACTAATTTGAGTGTACTTTTAAATAACAATATCCCACTTCACAAGTTGTGTGAATACCTTATAATAACAAATAATCCAAATTCCTCTTCTCCATTTCTTGTATCACTGCTGTCACTAATTTTATTTATATATAAGTGCATATATATATCTAATACAATGTTGCTATTATTATTTTAAACAAATTTATCTGTTAAATCAACTGAGAATAAGAAAAATAAACATTTTTATTTTACCTTCACGTATTTTTTCTTCAACCTTTATACTTTCTTTACGTAGGTCCAAGTTTCTGAACTACATTATTTTCCTTCTCCCTAAAGAACTTCTTTTAAAATTTCTTGCAAGGCAGGTTCACGGGCAACGAATTCCCTCAATATTTGTTTGTCTGAGAAAGTATTTTTCCTTCACTTTTGAAGGATAATTTTACAGGGTACAGAATTGTAGGTTGCTGGGTTGTGGGTTTTATTTCCCCACACTTTATTTCACTCTACTCTCTTCTTGCTCGCATGGTTTCTGAAGAGAAGTTGGATATAATTTCTTATCTTTGTTTCTTTGTAGTAACATGTTTTTCCTCTCTTTGATTTTCTGTAGTTTGAAGATGATAGGCCTAGGTGCAGTGTTATTGGCATTTATCCTGCATGGTGTTCTCTGAACTTCCTGGGTCTATGGTTTGGTGTGTGACATTTATTTGGTGGAAATATTGTTCCAGTATTTTTTTTCTGTTTTTTTCTCTCTTTCTTATCTTTCTTTTGATGGGTTACTAATAAGCCCATCAAATGCATCCTTCGTTTCTGTTACAGTGTTTTTGTCTTTCAGCATTTCTTTTTGGTTCTTTCTTAGGATTTCTACCTCCCTGCTTATATTGCCCATCTGTTCTCGCATGTTGTCTACTTTGTCCATTTAAAACAGACTCTTCCAATCTCTGTCTTATAAATGGTGCACTTAGATCATTTACATTTAATAGAATTATAAATATGTTAAAACTTAAGTCTGCCATTTTAAAATTTTGTTTATTCCTTTTTTTCATTGTTTCTTTGTTTTCTTTTCCTGCTTCCTATGGGTTACTTGAACATTTTTTAGAATTCCAATTGATTTATCTGTAGTGCTTTTGAGTGTATTTCTTAGAATTTTTTTTAGTGATTGCTCTAAATATTAAATTACATAAAATAATTTATCACTGTCTGCTAGTATTGTCATTTTACCAGTTAATTCAGTATAGATATCTTCCCTCTCTTTATATCCCTTTACCTTCCTCCAGTTATAACTGTACTGAATTTTCCTCTGCATATCTTTAGAACCATATCACACAGTGTTATAATTTTTGCTTTTCCCATCAAACTTAATTTAGAAAATTCAAGAGAAGAAGGAAAATCTTTTAGTTAGTAATTTTGTTCTTTCCATGTTCTTTCTTCCTTTTAGATATCTTTTTTTTTTTTTTTTTTTTGAGACAGAGTCTCGCTGTGTCACCAGCCTGGAGTGAAATGGCATGATCTCGGTTCACTGCAACCTCCGCCTCCCAGGTTCAAGCAATCCTTGTGCCTCAGCCTCCTGAGTAGCTGGGATTACAGGGCCGCACCACCACGTCTGGCTAATTTTTGTATTTTTAGTAGAGATGGGGTTTCGCCATGTTGGTCAGGCTGGTCTCCAACTCTTGGCCTCACATGATCTGCCTGCCTTGGCATCCTGAAGTGCTGGGATTACCGGTGCGAGCCATTGGCCCCAGCCCCTTTTAGATATTCTAAGATTCTTTCTTTTATTGTTTTGTCTCTATTTTGAGAAATTCCTTTATTATTTTAGGGTAGATTTGCTGGTGACAATTTTCTTAGTTTTCCTTCATTCAAAACTGTCTTGATTTTTCACTTCAATCATAAGGCTATTTTACTAGGTATTGATTCTAGGTTGACAATTCCTTTCTTTCAGCACTTGAAAAATATTACACCCCTTTCTTCTGGCCTCTTTGCTTTCTGAAGAGAAATCTGCTGTCATTCAAATTGTTTTTCCTCAATAGGTAAGATGTTATGGTTTTCTCTGGCCACTTTCAGAATTTTTTTTTTGTCTTTAGTTTTCAAAAGTATTACTTTGATGTGTCTTGGCATGTTTTTCTTGGGGTTTATTCCATTTGGCATTTGTTCTACTTCTTGAATCTGTAAATTTATGTCTCTTGCTAAATTTGGTAAGTTTTTCAGCCATTATTTCTTCAAGTGCTTTTTCAGCCTGGACCTTTTTCTTCCAGGACTCTTATGACCCAAACATTAGATCGTTTGTCATAGTCCCCTCAGTCCCCAACCCTCTGTTCTTTTTTTTTTTTTCCAGAATATTTTCTCTCTGTTGTTCAGATTGGCTTATTTCTATTTTTCTATCTTCAAGTTTACTGATTCTTTCCTCTGTCCCCTCATTCTGCTGTTGAACCCATCTACTAAGCTGTTTATTTCAGCTATTGTATTTTTCAGTTCTAAAATTTTCATTTGGTTCTTCTTTACATCTTCTTTGTGGAAAATTTCTGTTTCTTAAGTTTTTTTTTTAGATGTATTTCGTGATCATAATTGCTTGTTAGAGCATTTTTATCCTGTCTTCTTTAAAATATCTTTAAGATAATTTTAACGTCTTTGTCATCCTGATGTTGGCATCTGTTCACTGTCTTTTTCATTACATTTGAGATCTTTCTAGTTCTTGACATGATGAGTGATTTTCAACTCTAATCTGGACATTTTTGTATTATGTTAGCAAAATTTGGACCATATTTAAATCTTCTGTTTTAGCTAGCTTTCTCTGACATTGTTTTTGCAGAGGTGGAAAAGGAGTGCTGCCTTGTTACTGCCAGGTAGGGGTAGAAGTGCAGGTTCCTCACTCAGCCTCTGTGGACACCCAAGCTGTGGGGTTCTGTGTTGTTGCTGGATGTGGGTGGGAGGTCTAGCTCGCTAACTTGTCTCCACTGACCCTGGGGGTTCATATCTCATTACTTACCAGAGGGGATGAAAATCTTAGGTGTCTACTGGGTCTTCTCTGACGTCACCCTTTGGTGTGTGTTAAGAGTCTCACAAAGGAAGAAGTCTAGGCTCTCTCCTTGGTCTTTGCTGATGTAGGTAATGTTTTCTGTGGTTTTCACTGGAATAGAGCAGTTAGTCTGTACAAGTTTTCTGTCTTGCTAGGCTGCCCCTTTCTTGGCCCTTTTGTTAGAGAGAGCAAGCTTTCGTTATTGTGGTGGTGGTTTGTGTTCATCGGGATCTCCAGCTTGCCAGCTTTTTCAGTTCCAAGTTTAGGATATATGAGGCAAAAAGAAACCCTACAGAACTCACTACCACATCATTCCTTGAGTCTTAAGGCACTTAGCCAGCCTACCTTCTCCTCATCACCTTTCAGAGACTTATCGTGTTTGTTTTATATATAATGTCCAGAGTTTTAGTTGTGCTTAGTGGGAAATTAGGGAAAGATATGTCTACTCCATCTTCCCAGAAGCAGAATTTTTCCTAATTTATTTATTTTAATTAAAAAAATCATTTTAGGAGACGTATTTGCCAAAGTTAAGGACATGCACCGGGGAGATAGGTCTATGCCTTTCTTTAAATATGATTTTGAGGGCTTCAACATTCAAAAGGGAAAGGGTAGGATACTGAGAAATACACAATTTTCATGTGAATGGGGTAGGGGGAAATAGTCATTCATGCCTTTGTCTGGCTCAGTGAATCTGCATTTTTACACAAGATAACATAGACAACAGGGCAGAGGAAACAATTACGTATGCATTTGTCTCAGATGAACAAAGGGACGACTTTGAGTTCTGTCCTTTGTCTCTGTACCTGTGAAGATAAGCTATCAATTTACATGGCTGTGGTGAACTTTAACAGAACCGCTTCAGGGTAAAGATCTTGGGTCCCACAAGGAATTTTCATGTGGGCACAATGTGAGGGAAGTATGTAGCTTTTCATCTTTGTAACCATCTTATTTAGGAATCAAAATGGGAGGCAGGTTTGCATGACCTGGTTCCCAGCTTGGCTTTTCCCTCTGGCTTAGTGAGTTTGGGGTCCCAAGATTCATTTTCCTTTCACAATTGTAATGTTAACTCCTAGTAACGTTTTTTTGACAATGGTTTTGGCAATGATTTTTTTTTCTTTTTTTTCTTTTAACTTTTGTTTTAAGTTCTGGGGTACATGTGAAGGTTTGTTATGTAGGTAAACTCATGTCATGGGGGTTTGTTGTACAGATTATTTTATCACCCAGGTATTAAACCCAGTACCCAATAGTTGTCTTTTCTGCTCCTCTCCCTCCTCCCACCCTCAACATTCAAGTAGACCCAATGTCTATTGTTTCCTTCTTTGTGTTCACAAGTTCTCACAATTTAGCTCCCACTTACAAGTGAGAATGCAGTACTTGGTTTTCTGTTTCTGTGTTAGTTTGCTAAGGATAACAGCCTCCAGCTCCATCCACATTTCTGCAAAAGACATGATCTTGTTTTTTTATCACTGCACAGTATTCCATGGTGTTTATGTACCACATTTTCTTTATTCAGTCTGTCATTGATGGGCATTTAGGTTGATTCCATGTCTTTGCTATTGTGAATAGTGCTGCAGTGAACATTTGTCTTTATGCTAGAATGATTTATATTCCTCTGGGTATATACCCAGTAATGGGACGACAGGGTTGAATGGTAGTTCTGCCTTTAGCTCTTTGAGGAATCACCATACTGCTTTTCACAATGGTTGAACCAGTTTACATTTCCACCAACAGTGTGTAAGTGTTCCATTTTCCCCACAACCTTGCCAGCATCTGTTATTTTTTGACTTTTTAGTGATAGACATTCTGACTGCTGTGAGATGGTATCTCATTGTGGTTTTGATTTGCATTTCTCTAATGATCAGTGATATTGAGCTTATTTTCATATAATTGTTAACCACATATTTGTCTTCTTTTGAAAAGTGTCTGTTCATGTCCTTTGCCCCCTCTTTAATGGGGTTGTTTTCCTCTTGTAAATTTGTTTAAGTTCCTTATAGATGCTGAGTATTAGCCTTTGTCAGATGCATAGTTTGCAAATGTTTTCTCCTATTCTGTAGGTTGTCTGTTTATTCTGCTGATGGTTTCTTTTGCTGTGCAGAAGCTTTTAAGTTTAATTAGATCCCATTTGTCAGTTTTTACTTTTGTTGCAATTGCTTTTGATGTCTTTGTCATGAACTCTTTGCCAGTTCCTATGTCCAGTATGGTATTGCCTAGGTTGTTTTCCAGAGTTTTTTATAGTTTTGGGTTTTATATTTATGTCTTTAATCCATCTTAAATTAACTTTTGTATATGGTGTATGGAAGGAGTCCAGCTTCAATATTCTGCATATTGCTAGCCAGTTATCCAGCACATTCATTGAATAGGGAGTCTTTTCCCCATTGCTTGTTTTTGTCAGCTTTGTTGAAGATCAGATGGTTGTAAGTGTGCGGCCTTACTTCTGGGCTCTCTATTCTGTTACATTGGTGTGTGTGCCTGTTTTTGTACCAGTACCATGCTGTTTTCGTTACTGTAGCTCTGTGGTATAGTTTGAAGTTGGGTAATGTGATGCCTCCAGACTTGTTTTTTTTTTTTGCCTAGGATTGCCTTGGCTATTCAGGCTCTTTTTTGGTTCCATATGAATTTTAAAAGTTTTTTCTAGTTCTGTGAGGAATGTTGTTGGTAGTTTGATAGGAATAGCATTGAATCTGTAGTTGCTTTGGAAAGTAGGTCTATTTTAATGATATTGATTCTTCCTATCCATGAGCATGGGATTTTTTTCCATTTGTTTGTGTCTTCTCTGATTTCTTTGAGTAGTGTTTTGTAATTCTCATTATTAGAGATCTTTCACCTCCCTGGTTAGCTGCCAAATTTATTTTTAAATCATCTTATATTAGTCATGGTTTTCCAGAGAAATAGAACCAGTAGAATGAGTGTGTTTGTGTATACACATGTGTACAACCTATTGTGTGTGAGTGTGCATCTGTGAATGTGTATGCATGTGTATACATATGTATACATACATACTATTGGATATATTCACATACATGCAGACACATATACCATATTAGAGATATATATATATGTGTGTGTGTGTTGTGTGTGTGTGCACATATATATATATGGAGAAGACAGAGGTGGGAGAGAGAGAGGGGGAAATAGGAAGAGAGAGAGAGAGAGACAGACTGACTTATTTTAAGGAATTGGCTCTCACATAACTGTGAGGGCTGGCATGTCCAGAATCTGCAGGGCAGGCTGACAGGCTGGAGATCCAGGGAAGAGTTGTCGCTGCAGCTTAAGTCCAGTGGCATCCTGGAGACAGAATTCCTTCTTCCTTGGGGGACCTCAGTCTTTGCTCTTAAGACCTTCAACTGATTAAACAAGGCCCATCCACCTTATGAAGGATTAATCTGGTTTAGTTAAAATCTGCTGATTTTTTTTTTTTGAGATGAAGTTTCACTCTTGTTGCCTAGGCTGGAGTGTAGTAGCAAGATCTCAGCTCACTGCGACCTCTGCCTCCCGGGTTCAAGCAATTCTACTGCCTCAGCTTCCCAAGTAGCTGGGATTACAGGCAGCTGTCACTACGCCCAGCTAATTTATTTTTTTTAATTAAAGATTGGGTTTCACCATGTTGGCCAGGCTGGTCTTGAACTCCTGACCTCAGGTGATCTGCCCGCCTCAGCCTCCCAAAGTGCTGGGATTGCAGGAGTAAGCCACTATGCGGACCCAAGTCTGGTGATTTAAATGTTAATCTAATCCAAAAAATACCTTTACAGCCACAACTAGACTGGTATTTGACCAAATATTCAGGTACTCTGGCCTAGCCAAGTTGACACATAAAAATAACCATCACATATATTATTTTTTAAAAAGTAACTTCTTCTCATTTCTGCATTACATTAAAGTTAGGGACTAGTACTGAATTTAAAAACTTTTTAAATGTGGTTGAGTTATGTTACTTGACTTTTATTTCAGGATAAAAACAGGGACATTATAAAGCATTAGTTATAAAGAGAGTATTTGGAGCATTGAGAACCTCCACCTTTGAGGAACTTTAGTCTCACCTACTTCTCCATCTCTTCCGCATGTTCAAGTTTCACAGTATTAAGTTGAATCCTATGACATTGCTGTTTTTTTGGTCAATGATGGTTGCATATCAGCAGTTTCATTATGGTTAATCTAATATATGCATGTACACAAATAGCAGCAGGAGTA
This sequence comes from Homo sapiens, assembly GCF_000001405.40. NCBI lineage: Eukaryota > Metazoa > Chordata > Mammalia > Primates > Hominidae > Homo > Homo sapiens. The sequence goes on from NC_000015.10 coordinate 100,752,644, forward strand.
TATTAGGTGCCACTTTGTAAGGGTACAGCTCATCACATGCTGGTCACTCTGGGTGCCAGAATATTGACTTCCAGGATCCTTTGGTCCTCCAGTTCAATTCCCTCTCTGGAACAATCTCTGATGTGCTTTCTTGCTTGGGATTGAATAAAGACAATCATTGCACCCTATGAAATCAGCTAAACAATTGATAGATATGCACAGCAACCTATATTTAAATAGCACATGCAGCTCCCATTTAGACATTCCATTAGGTCTCCTCATTAGAACATCAATGAGGCCTTTAGCCAAGAACCTGTTTAGTTCTCTGGCTCATGGTTCTTCATCATGATTATCTACTCTGCCCCACAGCTAGTCTTTCACTTATAATTACCATTTATTGAGTGTCTACTTTCGTGATTTGCATTGTCTGTATTTCTGAAAATAGCAGAGTAGGGTAGATACCAGTGTTGCTTTTCTAACATGTAAGCAAATACTTATTGAGCCCACTCTGTCTGCTAGCTCTTTCAACCTTTGCCTTTTTAAAATATGATGCTTTAAAAATGATGCAGTAGATTTTGGGGACTAGAAGGGAAAGGGTGGGAGGGGGCTGAGGGATAAAAGACTACAAATTGGGTACAGTGTACACTTCTCGGGTGATGGGTGCACCAAAATCTCACAAATCACCACTGAAGAACTTACTCATGTCACCAAACACCACCTGTTCCCCAATAACCTATGCAAATAAAAATAAATTAATAAATAAATAAAATTTTATGCTTTAAGTTGGATCTTTATCAACCTTAGTTCTGTAGCTTTAACTTCCCTGACATATAAAACACTGCACAGATCTATTCAACAGTAGACATAACCCAAGTTAGTAGTCTGAAAAGATGCCCCATATAACAACTTGTGGATGATTTTGCATTTATCTTTGGATGCAGCAATGAACTTTATGGATGTGAGTAATGAATTTAGGTGTTCATGTGTACCCTGACTTTTGGTAGAAAATTAATGATCTTCAGATTGAGAGTTCGATAAAAAATTCTTCTCCTGTTAGTCAAAGAAGTTTTGTGGTGGTTATTTCCCAATATACAATTAAATTCCACCCCCTACCCCCATCTTACCCAGGGCTTTAGATATTTGAGTTCCTCTCCCCAACTATATCATCCCACTTGTATGTAAACTACATAGATAGTCCTTATATTTCTGGAAATCTTGACCATGAGAGTCTGGCATGAAGGATGGGGGACAGGCAACTGAGGTTTGAGTCTTTTCTGTATACCCTAACAAGTTCTATCCATGGATGGAAACGCTATACCTTCTCATCAGACATCTGTGGGCTCCTGAGACATCAAGAACAACTTTATTTTCTTTTGTTAACATTTTGTTAGAAAAGTCCTGAACATATCCAAATGTATATACAAGGTATAAAAAACAGCCATCATTGCATCTCAATAATCATCACGTCATAGCTAATACATAGCATCTCTAGCCTGCCCATTTTCTTTCCTTCCCCTGATAGGATTCTTTTGAAGCAAATCCCACACAGCAAGTATTTTAGTCTATAAGTACTTTAGCATTTATATCTAAAAGATAAGACTCTTAAAAAAAAACCATATTGCTATTATGAAATCTAAAAATTTTAACAATAAAAATGTCATATATTCTTATTTCCTGAACTATCTCATAACTCATTTTTACAGTTGGTTTGTTTGAATCAGGATTCAAATAAAGGTCACACATTTCATATGGATTGATGAGTCTCTTAAGCATCTTTCCCATCCCCCTTAATTTTCCTGTTGAAGATCCAGGTCATTCATCCTGTGGAGTTTGTCAGATTCCGGACCTTGCTGATTGCATCCCTATGGTGTCATTTAACATGATCTTCCATCTGCAGTGTTTCTTATAAAATGGTAGATCTGTGACTTTATAATAAACAGGTTGGATTTTTTTTGGCAAAAATACTTCATGGGTGGTGGTGTGTACTTCTATCAGGAGACACATAATCTCTGGTTCTCTCCCCTTCTGTGCTATTAAGATGGATCAATGGTTTCAAATATTGTTAGCCTGATCCATCAGTTATTAAAATTCCCCATCAGCTTTTTGCCTAATGGTTTTAGCAGACATTGATGACCATTAGAGGTTTCAAAATGGTGATCTTCCAACTTTATCATTCCTTCTCCACGTGTTAACTAAAATACTTCTACAAAGAGAAACTTCCTCTCACCAAAAACTTTGTTACCCTGAGGCACAGTTCCTTCAGGGAAGGCCAGATAAATGTTTAATTTTTTCCCCTTTGTTTACAGATTTCAGAATAATAAACTGGCATTCCATTAGCCTTAAAAGTTAAAAATGAGTTTGGCGTCTGTCTCATGTTTTTTTGCTTATCATTATGAACTCACGGATTAGACATATTTATGTGTTTTTTATGCTTCAATGCATTGTAACTGCTGTTCTTGATGCTCATATTGTACTACCTTTGGCCAGTAGGAGCCTTCTGCGGTCCTACAAAGAATCCCTTTGACCCAATAGCAGCCGTCCATGACTGTGTACATGTTCTCAGATTTGACAAGATGATCCAGGTTTATCTTGTGTATTTCCTGCTCCACACCTGGATCCAGACATTTCTTCAAAGAGCCTGATTTCTTTTGGTGAAAAATGGAATTTAGAGACCAAAATCGAGGCATTTGTGGTGTTTATCACTCGTCGGCTGATCATTGTTTCTAGGCCTTTGTGAACAAATGGAACAAGGAAATACATTTTTCTTAAAGGAAACACATTATGAGTTTATTCTGATATCTTCAGATTCAAATTTAGTATTACAAAGATTTTACATTGGACCTCTTTTATTTAAAATCTTGATTCCTAACATTTGTACGGTTATTTACTTCATGTTAGCATATACATAAGCTTGAGAACATCAATTCCCAAATGATTTCTAGCAACATGATTAGTAACAATTAAGATTTCTTTGCAGTTACTTTTTTTGGTCATTGGGGTATACCGCACTAGAAATGTTCCATAGAATTACTGTGTTTTAAAATATACCCCTCTGTATGGCTAGGACATTAAGTCAATACAGAGACTTATTTCATTAAATCTGACTTTTTATTTTCACAAATTACTTTATAAATGTTCCTCATATTTCACTTTATGTAGAACATTTATATTGCACAAAAACAAAAGTTTCTCTTTAAAAATGTATTCTTCAATTGTTTTTTCTTCACAAAATGATATATTCTGGAGATTGTCTTTAGCAATGCATAGAGAGAGTCCTCATTTCTCTTAACATCTGAATAATTCTCCATTGAGTAGAAGTACTATAGTTTGAACACTAACTTTATATGATTGTATTTGTGGACATTTTAATTGTTTCCTGTCTTTTAATATAACCATGCATGTTTAAAAAACATTTTGGGAATATGTATTTGTAATAGATTTCTAAAGGGAGATTTCTGGATCAAATGCTTGTGTAATTTTGCTAAATATTTCAAAATTTCTTTTCATAGTGTTGAATAATTTTTTCTTACTCCCACCAGCACTAAGTTTCTCATCAAACTTTTGGATTTTTGTCCCTTAAATGTAAGAATAATACTCATTATAGTTTTCATTTAAATTTCTCTTATTGTGAAGGTGGTTAATCAATGTGCATGTGGATGAGGGCTATTTGCATTTTTTTCTGATATATCTGCTCATAGCTCTGGCTTATTTTTCTATGAGATTCTTAGTCTTTTTCTTCTCTCTTTTAAGAAACTCTTTCACAATCTATTTTTCCTTTTTCATTTATTTATGGTGTTTTTGTTTGTTTTTTTTTTCATGCAAAAGTTTTCCTCTGTTTATATGCTGTCAAATTTGTCAGTCTTTTCCTTAATTGCTTCTGGATTTTCAGTCATAGTTTAGGAACATTTTTCCCCCACCCTGAATTATCAGTAATTTATTCATTTTTTATTTTATATGATTTCTTATTATTCCATAATATTAAATATTTAATCTCTGAACTAATAAGAAGTTATCTTTGTATACAGGGTGAGAAACAAATCAGTTTTCTCTTTTTTTTCTGTAGCTATGCAGGTATTATTCCAGTGCCACTTATTTTAAAAGTCTATTTTTTCTCCACTGATTTGAGATGCTTCCTTTGGTGTATATTAAATTTCCATGAGCGGTTGAGCCTATTTCTGGATTTTTCTATTCTGTCCCATCAGTCTGTGCACCAGTTCTATACTGTTCTTTTAAATGATAAAAACTTTGTAATATGTTTTAATATTTGGTAACGCTAGTTTCTCCACATTGTTTTTTCAGATTTTCCTGGCTATTTCTGCTTGTTTGTGCTTCAATTAAACCTTTGAATCAGCTTGCCTAGCTCCAGAAAAAAAGCCATAATATTTATTGAGAACATGCCAAATTTATAAATTATTTTAAAATAAATTGATATCTTTTTGATGTTCAGTCTTCCTATCTACGAACATGGTATATCTCTCAATTTCCTTAATTACACTTTTGCATCTTTCACAAAAGTTTCATATTTTCCTTGAATAGGTTGCACATTTCTCATTAAGTTTACACTAAGGTCTTTTTTCTCCCTATCAGAAATGAGATCTTCCCTTTTATTATTCCTCCTAGATGGCCTTTGTTTATAGATATGGAGGCTTTGGCTCCTGTTTATTCATTTCATAGCCTGCTATTTTACTGAATTGTCTTATGGTTTGCCTTAGCTTTTCCAGTGATTATTTGGGGACTCTCCTAATATATCATCATATCATCTACACAGATTTTTTTTTATTGTTATTGTTTCCTTTCAAATTGATCTGCTTGTAGTTATTTCCTCTTTTTCTTTCTTTGGCTAATCCCTCCAATACAACTTTATACAGTAATGATGATAGTGAACATCTTTGCCTTGGTCCTGATTTCCTGATTCTATTTGCTTAGATTTTCTTTAACATTTTCCTATCAATGTTAGTGAGTGAGATTGGTCTGTAGTTTTACTTTTAGTTAAACTCTTTGTCAAGTTTTCAAACCAGTAATACTCTTGGCTTTGTAAATAATTGGAAGTTTCCCTCTTTTCCTGTGGAGTGGAGTAATTTGAGAAGCACTGAGAAATGATTTGGACTTGATGCCCTTTGGGGGCGTCTAGGAGGAGCTCTAACTATTTTCTCTATCACTTCTATGATCATTGGTCTGTTCAGACTTTTGGAAGAAAAGACTTTAGAGGAACTACTTCTGAAGAGTTGTTACTTGTGGGAATTGAAGAAAGAAATGCAAATATTCTTTGTAGCTCAGGAACCATGGAAACTGGTTTTATTGGAATATGACTTTGCTTTTATGCCTCAAACACTTAGAAAGAAGGAATAGTTTTTCCTCACAACTTGGTGTTAGTACTTCTTGGAATTAAAATGTCATGGAGAATATGTTATGAAACAGATAGTGCTCTGTAAGTCCCATCTTTTCTTGGGAACAAATATTAATATGAATTCCTATGTATGTATTACAGGAAAGCTGGGGCTCCAAAGAGCACCAAGTACATACTTTTCTTTCTTTCTTTTTTTTTTTTGAGACAGAGTCTCGCTCTGTTGCCCAGACTGGAATGCAGTGGCTCAGTCTTGGCTCACTGCAACCGCTGCCTCCCAGGTTCAAGTGATTTTCCTGCCTCAGCCTCCTGAGTAGCTGGGATTACAGGTGCCTGCCACCACACCCAGCTAATTTCGTTTTTGTATTTTTAGTAGAGACGGGGTTTTACCGTGTTGGCCAGGCTGGTCTCGAACTCCTGACCTCAGGTGACCTGCCCGCTTCAGCCTCCCAAAGTGCTAGGATTACAGGAGTGAGCCACAGCCCCTGGCCACAGTAAATGTTTAATGAATGTTCTTTTTTTGACCGGGAATCTGACTCTGTCACCCAGGGTGGAGTGCAGCAGTGCCATCTCAGCTCATTGCAACGTTTCCGCCTACCCCGGGTTCAAGTGATTCTCCTGCCTCAGCCTCCAGAGTAGCTGGGATTAGAGACACCTGCCACCACGCCTGGCTAATTTTTTTTTTTTTTCTATTTTTAGTAGAGATGGGGTTTCTCCATGTTGGCCAAGCTGGTCTCGAACTCTTGACCTCAGGTGACCCGCCCACCAAGGCCTCCCAAATGCTGGGATTATGGCCATGAGCTGCCACACCCGGCCTGTATGCTTCAACTTCATGTCATTTCAGGAGTTAAGTAAATAGATCAATGTTTAATTTTGTTTAAAATCTCTAGTAGAGTTAATAATGCATTAAAATTATGATGATTATTTTTGAACTCTCTTGTTGACATTTGCCAAATTAGGATAGTTTAATTATTTGGGGTTTGCAATTTTGCGCTGAAAGGCACATCATGGGGTTTAAGTGCCGTTTCTGTTTTACTCTTAAGAGATCACAATCCTCCACTCTTACTCCTCACTTGCTTTTTCTCTAGATAATAATTTCCACTAGAACTTTGGGGAGCTCAGCAGATGCAATTGGATTTTTTTGTCCAAACTAATGACTTGTTTCTGGAAAGAAAACTGTTACCATCAACGGGATTCTTTTTCTTTTTTAAAACATTATACAGTGTTTGGTTCAGGCCAGCGGTGTGGGATGGGATTTAGTCTCCGGATTTGCCAAGATGTTTATGCAGCAGGAATGTTACTTATGTAAGCCTGGAAGCGCTCCTGATGTGCTATAGCCTCCTCTTCCATCACAGCTTTTTTTCATTAAGAAGTTGATCTTCCTTTCATGATACCACATTAAGTGGCTGAAAGGAAAAGAAAAAAATTGTTTACTGTACTAAATAACCTAACTCTCCGCAAAGCATCCATTTGGTTAAAGGAACTGCAAGGAGCTCTGGAAAACGGGGCTGAGAATTGTTTTGATGCTCTCAGCTTGGCCCCTCACTCACTTCCTGTTGCTCTCTAGTTGCAATCAAACTCATATGTGGGAAAATAGAAAATGCTTTTAAAAGAAAAGAAAGATGAATTCACAAACAAGCAAAACACCCTCTTTTACATTTTTTCTGGGGACTGAAATTTCCATGTAATGGAAAAGTGTCAAATGAGAGAAATCATCAACGCTAAACATGAATGAAACACAAATAAAAGCTATATGTGAGAAGCTAAGGAAGAAAAGGGTTAAACTCACCCTGCCACAGATGAGTAAATATCTACATGTTTATATAACCAACCAACAAACTCACTGAGAGCAAACAGGACATTGTGAGGTGAAAACAGAGCTGTGAAAGTCGGACACTCCCAGCCCTCCCGGCTTATCTCATCCTCTGCTTTTCTGTGGATGCTGCCCTATGAGTCAGACGAGATGAGAAACTTTAATCATTCTAAGCAGATGTGTATCAGCACTCTCTGATAAAAGCATGCCAGCACACTGCACCAGTCTGTATCGGCACCCATCCTCCAACAAAGCAATGGTCCCTCAACCAAGACGGTAACAGCTCAGGTTAGACTAGCCCAGCGACCCCTCCCTGGGCTGTTCTGTGACATCAGCAGTGCAGAGACGGAGATTCTTCGCAGAGGGTCCTAGGCTGGGCTTGAAGCATCAGTAGGTGTTTACCTTCTGCCCGTAGCTGTATGAACTTTCTGAATGTTGGAGGTGTGCTGCTACGTTGACGTGGTTTTCACGTGTGGGCAGTGAGTGAGGCTAGGGCCACAGTCCTGAGAAGTGGCCTCTTGCTTGAAAAAAACTGTCATTTTCATTGGACAAGAGGTGCAGCCTCAGCCCAGAAACATCATGGGGGTGGGAGTCCCTATTATTTCTTCCTTAATTATCTCTCCAACTAATATTGAGCAGCTAGATACTGGCAGGGCTGCCACATACGGCTGTGCAAGCTGCATACTGGACAAGGGTGCTGTATCCGAGACATTATTCCCACGGTAGCTGTCATAGATTTGCATGTTTATTGTGTTGATTTTCTGGAGGACACCAGGAAAGTACCTTGAATCAGGAAGTCCTGTTCCCAAGTTTCATAAAAGAGCTATATGTGCTTGAGGGACTGTGTGCACAGGGCTGGGTGTGCAGATCCAAAGATGCAGGGGAGCACAGGAGCCTTCCAGGGTTCTGGATTTTGTTGTATGTGCACCAAGGCCAAGGGGGCTAGGTGGCGAGGACCCTGCAGGATCTCCTGGGATCAAGGAAAGAGGAGGACCCTGGCCTCCCAGGACCAGGCCCCTAAAACAAGTCATATATATTGGACAGTCTGTTGAGTGGCACTACCCTATAGAAACACAACGTGAGCTGTAAATACCAGCCACGTGTCATTTCAAAGCTTCTGGTAGCCATATTTTTAAAGTGAAAAGAAACAGATTCTAATGTATATATTATCTATTATGTTAGATATATTAGATATACATATATCTAATATATATTATGTTATCTATATATCTGATATATATCTAATATCTAAGATATTATTATATATAAAAATACATATATAAATTTTGGTACAAAGTCTTTGAAATCCAGTGTGGATTTTACACTCTCAGGACATGCCAATCTGGACTAGCCACACTTAAAGGGCCCGGTTGCCTGCTGTATCTGGTGGCCCCCAGCTGCTTGTACATCTCTGGAGTCTTGCTAGCTACCATTTGAATCCTCTCTCCAGCTGAGGGTGCAGCCTCCCTTCTTGGAGCAGTCTAAGCCTTGGGTCTCTAAAGGGCCAAAAGTGTGGATGAGTGTTGGGGGTCCTTGGGCAGCCGCACCCAATGGTGTTGTGGGGCTCAAGCAGGTGGGTGCTCCTGCCCACCCCTGTGCCACACCCTGAATCACTTCCCTGGTCAGCCCCGGGGCCTGGGTGTACTTGGTTGAGTAAGTCAGCACTTTTGGGAGATGCAAGGCAAATAGAAACCCGGGACCCGGTGCTGTTCTCATCTGAGGAAGAAACCACCACAAACCACTCTTTAAGGAGCCACATGAGTGAGCAAGTTCAGAGACACAAGCAGCCACAGAACTGCGTGGCCTCCCTCCAAAACGCTAATGACGATGGTGGTCACAGTGCCATGACCACAGTTCCAGGCGTGGTGCTCGGCACTGTATCTGATTTCCACAATGCACACCAGCTCCTTGGGAGGTAGATCTTAGCACCCTGCCTTGTGAGGAGGAAGCAGAGACTCAGAAAGACAAGTGTATTGCTCAGGGTCTCATGATCCAGGCAGGGAGGCTGGCAAAGCCTCCACAGCGTCTGCTGCCTCTTCCGGGTCACCAGCAGCTGGACATGAATAGAGGTGTTATTTACACGGTCCAAAACGTTGGCCAAATCCACTGGGCAGGGTTGCCTTGGTGACCTGTTGTCCCATAGAGTCTGGCATCATTGCCAGAGCCTGCAAAAACAAAGTTAGACTGAGGTTTAGATGGCTTCGTGTGGAAGCTTCCCTGCTCATCCCTACATGTGGCACAGTATCCTGAAAGAGAAGAGCCATTGGAGTCTGTTTCAATTCTTCTCTGGGTTCATTTGGGACACTTGGGAGCAGGTGGAAGGTGCCTTGTCCCTGGCCAGGTGTAAGTCAGATCTCAGCTGTCACCTGTGAGGGCAGCCAGGACGTGGGACGGGCTTGGAGAGGAAGAGAAAGGAATGTGGGGTGATGAGACAAAGGAAGAAGAGGAGAGAGAGAGAGAGAGTGTGTGTTTCATGTGTGTTTCAGAAACAGATTGACAGTGTCAGGAGCTGAAAGAAGATGAGGACCAGTCAGCGCAGGGAGGCGAATTTTGAGAAATACCCAGCGGAGTGCTCTGAGTTGAGGCTTAGAGAAGAGACAAAAGGTTTGCAAAGCAGAGAAAGTCAGGGATTCGAACTGTGGGTGGGTGGCCCTGGGGTAGAGCCAGGGCGCCTGGGTGCAGAAATGTACTCCATGCAAGAACTTTCTGGCGGGCACAGTCGGAGGAGGGGCTGCCTCAGCAGGATGTGTTCCCCACCCCCGGAGGTGGATAAGTTTGCGCATAGTCACAACTTGGCGTGGATTACATGGACCTGGAGCTCAACGAGGTGTCCTTAGTGGGATGGAGTACTGCCTTCAGCAAGACGGCAAGAACAAAGACAAAGAGGATGCTACAGTGAACCTGGAAAGCTCTAGGTGAATCTTTTTATGAGTTTAAAAAATAAGAGTCTGTGTGATGAAAATTACAAGCCACTGATGAAAGAAATCAAGGAAGACCTAACGCATGGAGACACGTCAGGGTTCATGGATTCGAAGGCTCAGCACGACAGATGTCTCTTCTACCCAAACTGACGGCAGTTTTAACACCATTCCTATCAAAATCTCAGCAAGGTTTTTACAGATACAGACAAGCTTATTCTATAATATATATGAAAAAGGAAAGGCCCGAGATAACAATCTCTGACAGAGGAGAATGAAGTAGGAGAAACCACATACCCGGTACTGAGACTTACTACAGAGCTATAGAAACCAAGCGTGGTGCTGGCAGAGGGCAGACACACACATCAGCAGCACCGAATGGAGGCCCAGCGCTTGACACTTCCTGACCTGTGAGTGTTGACCCATCAGATGAGTTCCGGAGTCTCTTCCCCCCCTCTCCTTGCCCTTTATCCCTGGGGAAGTCCAGTGCTGACAGGGAGCTTCCATGCCACCCTGGCATGGGACAGGGGCCATCTAGGTGGCAGGCCAGCCTTCAAACCTCTGCACATCCTCACTGAATGGGGCCCCCACTCCATGTCCTCTACTGCCAACTCTTAGCCATCTCCACCTCGCTCCTAGGAGCCCCAGAAAGCTGTGAGTGCCCCCCAGGCCATTTCAGCTCTGCAGAGGACAAGTGCCACCCCACCTCTGTCCCAGTCTCCTCCAGACCGTGTCTCTCCAGATGGCCACCAGCCAGGCCACAGAGTCTCAGAGGAAAAAGGGGGTCCAAGTTCCTCTGCCTTGGCATCCCTCAACCTACCATGAGGTATCTCTGACCCCTGGAAAGTGGGGTGAGTCATCCCACAGTGCAGGGCCTGATCCTGGGGCCTCTCAGTCAGCAGGAACCCCCCTGTCATCCTATCCCACACTCTTCCCTCCTCTTCTGCAGGAAGTGCCAGATGCCTTTGTCCTCTCAAAGCTATCATCCTTGTGTGTGCTTCTGAGAGCAGGATTGGACTCCATGGGTCGAGGCTTCCCCTGCAGGCCTCACTGGGCTCTTCCGGGTCTCCCTTCCCTGAGACAGTCAGCCCCAGCCTTGAGTCTGGCTGGAAGGGAGGAAGAGCTACAGGCAAAGAGGAATGACTGACAAGGGAGCCTGTGGGGTGGGGGAACGGCTCCTCCAGCTTTAGTCAGCAGCAGCTCCCTCGTGCCTTCCTCCCAAGGGACCTGAGGAGCAGATGACCATCCCGGCTTCCCCGGCAACGGGACAGATGTGAAAAGGCCACCTCTCATATGCCTTCAAGAGGTTGCATCCAGGCAGGCAGTGGGTGCTAGAGGGGTGAACAGGCCTCCCGGCAGGGGAAGAAGTCTGGCTGAAGTCCCCTGGGCAGGAAGAGGAGCTGACAGTAGGCCAGTGGGGCCCAGGCAGCACAAAGTGTGAGGAGAAGCCAGGGGCAGGCAATAGAGCCTTTGTCTTCATTTTGTGGTGTTTTTCATCTCACTCACTGAACTTGAAGTGAGAAGTGGCCGGTGTGGAGGCCTGGCTCGGGCCTTCCCTTCACCCCCAGTTCCTTACAACTCACACTTGACCCATGGGGCCATGGGGGCTTAGACGTGGAGCCCACCTGGGGAGGTGGGCCTTACGGCCCCTCTTTTCTTGCTGATGAGGAAATGGAGGGATGGGGTGCCGAAGTGACCTGGGCAAGGTGGACCCAGCCCTGTGTTCATTCCTCTTTCCTGGTATCAGCTGCCTCATTTCCTTGGGGTGTCAACCCCATCACGATTGTATTCTATCGCGTGGTTCTGCAGCCTTGCGTGGATGCCTCCACTCAGGAGAAGGATGTGAGTGAGGCTGAAATACTCAGCACAGTCCAGCCCGACTGATGTGATTAGTTTGGAGACAAACACGCGGCCTAGTTCACTCGGTAAGCAGCAGCCTCTGGGCTTGTTTGCAGCCGCTGATGTAGCCCAGGAGCTGGTCAAGGGCTGCTCCTTGGAAGGAGCTGCCTGAGAGTGAAGCCAAAAGCCAAAGAAAGCTGAGCTAGAGGATGACAGACAGCTTCCTGGTGACACTGTTAGAGCATCTGGATCCAGCTATACCTGAAGCTACACCTTAAACATTTTAATTACATTCATCAATGTTTCTTTTTGCTTAAGACGGTTTGATTTGTGTTTATATTATTAGAACCTCACAGGCTTGTCTAATCTAGCATCCCCGGGCCGGCCTCCTTTTCCTCCTTCTCCCCTTGGCCAGTATAAAGAATGAAGCTTTCTGGAGCCTGTTCACAGCATGAAGCTCTTCCACTCACCTGCAGCCTGTAATTAGGGGCCTGCTGGCTGAGAGAACCTCATTCCCTTTTGCAGCCTCTGGATCTACAGCTCTGCAGTTCCACCAACAGTATCAGCCTCAATGTATGTGAGACACACTGCCAACGCCCAGAGCCCTGTGCTCAGCCAGTCTGACCTCCAGGCCCTCTAAACCCTGCAGGATGAGGTACTTGTACCCAGAGTGTACCTCCCGCACTGTGCGGTGTGGCTGCCGCCCATGGCCCCAGATCTCTCCACTGCCTTGGGGGAGCTCTCAGGCCTGCCAGGGCTGAAGAGCTGTGAACACACATCGCTGGGGGGTGGAAGGGCTGTTTTTTCCAATGGCCTTTTCCAAGCCAGGAAGAACTGAAATGTGAGCTCCCCCTCCTTTAACCACAAGCAGAGCTGCCAAGGCAGTCAGCTCCCTCCTCCTGTGTGTGGTGGGAGCCCGTATGGGCACAGAGCCACAGCAGTGGGGAATGTGATGGGGCAGAGAAGCGGAAGGCACCAGGGGCTTCCTGTGGTCGAATAATGAAAAAACACCCCAGATAAGCACTGGGGTTCCACGACACCACCTTCTGGAGCTCTCAGGCCCTAGCAAAATAATTTCACATCTGTAAACCTCAGTCTCTCAATCCATAAAATGGACATACAAATCCCTCCTGCCACGGTCACTGAGAGGAAGAACGGGATGATTGGCAAGAGGGTGTGACATGGCGCTGGCACGTACTAGATGCTCAGGGAGTTGCGGTAGCTGTAGCAATCGTCCCGTGAGGCAGGTGCCTTTGTTGCCCCATTTCACACAGAAGAAGGCAGCAGCTCGGTGGGCAGCTTGCCCAAGGGAATGGCAGCGGTTCTGGTCCCTGTGACAGCGACACCCAAGGGAGCTGGCTTCAGTGGGAAGCAGCCTCTGAGGCCGGGCAGGGAGCAGCTGTTATTGGTGGCCCCTAGGGTAAGAACTGGTCCCGCATCCCTTTGCAGAGGTGTGGCTCTGAGCCCCTCCATCGGGGTCTGGGGCAACACGGGGCAAGGGGACTCTCGGAGGAGAGGCACCCCGTTCTGGGAAGAGGGGGGATACGGGCCAGGGGAGGCTGGTTCCCGGGGCTCCCGGGCTCACCACAGATGCTCTCTGGAAGCTTAGGGGCGTAGGGGGCTGGGACCGTTTCTGGGGGCCTGAAAGCTGCTCTACAAATGAAGACAAACTGTCTAACTCAGGTGAGAATCAAGACTTTGAGAGGAGGGAAAGTCCAAGAAAATCCCTGAGAGCCCCAGGACATGTGCTGTTGGGTGAAATAATTAAGAAAACCTGCCCGATCTCCCACGGAGACAGAAATCATCCCCTGCCGCTCCGGGCTGATCCTCACCGTCCAGCTCCTAATTCTTCACAGCTGTCCCTGTGAGACCACTGGAGGGGGGTGGGGACCAAAGCGTGAGGCCGGAAGCAAAGGAGGGAGTGGAGGGACAGGCTCAGAGAGATACGGGAGGAGGGGGAGACGGCAGTGCAGAGACAGACAGAAACAGAGAGGCAAGGGAGATGGATGGCGAGGGACACCCAGCATGAGACAGAGATGGTGGGGGGTGGTCAAGAGAGAATCTGATTGACTTAGGAGGCCTTGTGACCGGCCAATTAAGAGGATTGTGGAAATTAAGAAGATCAAGTCAAGGTCTGGGAGTGTGTGGGCTGGGAGACCTTGGCCTGGTGCCAACCTAGACCCCATTCCCTGGGAGCTGCAGCAGCTCCAGGCAGGCAGGCCCTGGGCACTGGCCCTGGATCCCACCTCTACTCTCCCCACCTCAAAACCACCCAGAGGAACCTGGGCGCATGTACTGTGTTCTCTCAGACAGGCACAGGGCTGGGGCACCCCATCCAGGCTTCACTGCTTAACCTGCAGATGAAGGGGTGAGGTCGGAGAGGGAGTGAATGGCTTCCAGACCCCCCAGAGGGAAGCACATCTCTCCTGGCCAATGGCCACAGCTTATGGGCCAGGCTGGGGAGGGTCCTGCGGGCGGGTGGGCATTACTCCTTCCCTCCTGGAGACCTGAGACATTGGAAGGTCATTAGGAGACACAGAAGCCAAAATCCCCCTGCCCCTGTTCTGGAAAGAGCTGGTCCTGCCTTGCCCTCAGGATCAGGAGGGAAATGAGGGGCCTGCTCCCAGCTCCACTGAAAGTCCCTGAGGGGAGGCCTTGCAGCCCCATTTTACAGATGAGGGAGACAAGCCTCACAGGGGATGAGGGTCTCGGCCAGCATCTGTCAGCTGGTGAGAGGAGGGCCAGAAACTGGAAACCAGATGCGCTGTCCCCCCTCCCTTCCCTCATCCTTGTCCCCCCACTTCCGTCCTCCTTTCCCCTTCCCTCCCTTTCTCCTTCCCTCCCTTTCTCCTTTCTCTCCCTTCCTCCCTCCATCTTTCTCTCCTTCCTTTTCTCCCTCCCTCTCTCCATCTCCCCTCCCGCCTGCCCCCATTTACTCATCGTTTTCCCCACACTCATTTGTTGAGTGATGGGAGGGACAGACACAGAGAAGGAGGAAAGAGAAGGGCCTGGGCTGCCCCCGTGTCGGCTGGCCAGTCCGCACGGACTCCTGCTGAGGGCACCCTGGTAATAAGGTAGTAAAGTAAAGTGGCCTGAGTAAGTCTCTGCTGCTCCACATCAGAGCAGTCCCAGCTGGCTGAGGGAGCAAATCAGTGGCTCTCGGGAGCAGTGAGGGCTTGAAGCACATCACAGCCAGCATGCAGTGGAGACATCCAGGGCCCTGGCCGGCCCGAGGACCTGGGCTGGACCAGTCAAATCCTCCCACCTCCTCTTTCTCTCTGGAATCTGAAGCTGAAGCTCAGAGAGTGGCAGGTCCCAGGGTGGTGGTTTTGGTCCCATGGTGGTGGTTTTGGCCCCAGGGTGGTGGTTTTGGTCCCAGGGTGGTGGTTTTGGCCCCAGGGTGGTGGTTTTGGTCCCAGGGTGGTGGTTTTGGTCCCGTGGTGGTGGTTTTGGCCCCAGGGTGGTGGTTTTGGTCCCGTGGTGGTGGTTTTGGCCCCAGGGTGGTGGTTTTGGTCCCATGGTGGTGGTTTTGGTCCCGTGGTGGTGGTTTTGGCCCCAGGGTGGTGGTTTTGGCCCCAGGGTGGTGGTTTTGGCCCCAGGGTGTTGGTTTTGGCCCCAGGGTGGTGGTTTTGGCCCCAGGGTGGTGGTTTTGGTCCCACGGTGGTGGTTTTGGCCCCAGGGTGGTGGTTTTGGCCCCAGGGTGGTGGTTTTGGCCCCATGGTGGTGGTTTTGGCCCCAGGGTGTTGGTTTTGGCCCCATGGTGGTGGTTTTGGTCCCAGGGTGGTGGCGTTTCTGGAATTCTGATGTAGGCCTTCAAGTTCAGATGACCTGTGTTTGAACCCTGGGTGCACGTGGACCAGTTCTGTGGGCTTCTCTGGTCATCGGTTTTCTATAAAATGAGGATAATTAGAGCCACCTTGGAGGTGAGTGAATGAGAGTGGAGGCAGGGCTCGTGTGTGTCATGCGGTTCCTGAGCCTCCCTCCCCATCAGCCTGGGGTGGGAGGTGAGGCTTCGTTACCTTGTGGGCACCAGGCAAAAGGCTGCAGAAGCCTGAGGGTAGAGGCAGATAAGGGACATCCTCTGAGTCCTCAGGGCCACAGGGACAGGACCTGCCACCCGGCAGTGTCCACGAGACAGGAGTGAGTGGGCTCCTCTTCCAGCCCGGGAGTTAACGGGACCTGTGGAACCCTTCCTGTCTTTGCAAATGCCAGGTGTTGCTTCCTGATGGTCCCTCCTCGCTTAGGGAAGCCCCTGCCCACAGAAGGCCACTCAGGGAGAGGCCCTGTTTGTGTGTCTGTGTGTCCAGGAGCCAGAGGTGCCAGGGGTGGGATGCAGAGACCTGCCCGAGGCCTCACCCTCCACGTAGCCAGGCTTCCTCCCTCTACCACCTTCCCTGGGAGGTGGAAATGAGGGTTGTAAGGGGATCCAGCTCCTTCCTCTTCACTTTATTGCTGCCCTAGGTGTTTACGCCCCATGCAAGTCCTGCATGGAGGCATTAGGTCAGCTGTTCAGCCTAGGCCTTCCAGCCAAGTGCATTATAGCACTGCCCTCCTGGGATGGCAACAGCCACCCAGCCCCTCCACAAGTGGCCACCCCCACACGTCTCGCCCTCCCAGGGGCTGTCAGAGTGACCCACCCAGTCTGTCAGATTTTAGCCCCAGGTGCAGCGACCTCCCCCTACTGTGGGCAGGAGGCAACTCCGCCCCAGATCCCCAGGTCTTCTGTGGTTGCCCAGAGCCCCAGGGAGCGATGGTGGCCATCCCTGAGTGGGGAGGCAGGTGGACCCGAGCACCGACCAGCTCCTGAGAGCAGTTGCAGTTGCAAGTCCATAAGGGCCGCCCTCAGGCTGTGCCGGGACCTTGCTCTAGGGGCCTCGTTGGTTCTCATGCAGTCCTGGAGTTGGAGACTAAAGACAGCTCCATATTACTGAAGATACAGCAGAGACACACAGCAGGTGAGAAGCGTGTCCTGGGTGGGTTTCCTGAGGATCTGCCATCATGAGTGGAAAGCCCTGGCAGGGTACGGGACCCTAACAGGAGAGAGCCATTGTCATGGCCCCTACACAGCTGACCTAGAGCTGGACAGGAGCTGGATGGGGCCTGCTGGAATAGGCTGAGCAGCAAAACAGAACAGAACAAGCAACCCATACTTGGGAGAGCCTTCGTGACTCCACAAACCCCTCTTTTTCCCACAGCCTCTGTCTGCCTAGAGGTGCTGGGCCACGCACAACTCTGACCATGTCCAGCCCTGTGAACAAAGGACCCATGGCCATCTGATTCCTGGCCAGCCCAGCCTGGCACACAGGGTGGGGCTTCTCTGATGCCCCATGTGCCGCTCCATTCTGCTGGAAGCTTACTGTGCTGACACACACTCATCTGTGAAGTGCTGGAGTTTTGGAGAAGTCCCTCTGACTGAGCTGTGATCATTTAGCATTTGGGAAAAATGACCAAAGCAATCATGGGTGGGTGTGTTTCATCTGCCCAAGACAGAAACCCCATTCTAAACCTGGCCGGGTTGAAGCAGGGTTTTCACCTGCTTACAGACTCCGCCCCAGCCTCCAAGATGGGTGGGGACATCATTGCATCTCTGCCCGTTGCCCAAAGGTGACTGGGCCAGGAATGGACAGGGAACACTGCTGGACCTATCAGAGGCTTCCCCAGGATTTTTAACCTGGGACCAGAGCTGCCAGGGCCAAGCCCTGAGGAGGGAGACTGTCCAAGAAAAGTCAGCCATTCGGGAGGAGAGAGGAGAGTCCTAGTGGGGTTGGAGAGCCTAGTTGTTGTTGTCCTGGAAAAAAGAAAGAATCCTGATAAAAGCAGTTTTAGTGAAGTAAAAATGACAATAGGAGAGAGGGACTTTGTTCCAACGCTGCTTCATGAAAAAATGATCATGAAATGAAATGACCATGACGGAATTAGCTCTAGAAGATATTTTCTTCTCCAAAATAGCCAATATTGAAACAATTTGGGCTAATGCTTTTATATTCATAAACATAGAGTCAAAAGCCCTCAGGGTTGAGATGGTGGATTCAAGATGTCCTAAGTTCAGTAACTGAACACTGTCTCCCTGCTGGACCTCCCTCACTCCTTCCCACCCTACTGTGCCTCTGGAACCTTTAGCCTGTAGGATTTCTTACAAACTCTTAATATGCAAATAGCACTTATTCTTAACTTAAAAATCCCTTAAGTAAGACTACTTGGCAACCCATAGTCAGCTTCCTTCAAGTCACTTTATGTTCTTGAAAGTAATCAAAAGTAATCCATTGCAACTGCTTTAAAATATTTTAGAATTCCAATTTCCCCCGTCTCTTCCTTCCCTCGGGTTGGCCAGCTTCCCAGGATTCTGTCCTATAAAATTAAGTTAATGATATCTTCAGGATCAGCATGTCTTTGTCTCTAAATGTGGGAGTGTGTCTCCTCCAGGACTTGCCTTGGCCAGGCCTTCCCCTCCCACTCTGAGCCCCCTTCCCTCCCCGGGCATGCAGCGCAAAGCCAAGGAGCTGGCTCAAGAGTAAAGAGTGGGCACCTCATCCTTGCTCTCTGGGGCTTGCTGCATGGACCTCTCTGCGCATTCTGGGTCAGGGGTGGCATGCATCCAGCATGCCTTCGTTGTCTGAGGCAGCTCCAGGCAAGGAGAGATGTAGGATAACTCAGCCAAGAGGTGGCCTTTCTTCTAGGCAGCATCAATCAGCCCCATTGCCCTCTTGGCAGGTGCTCCATAAATGGTGCTTCCGCAGTTCCCTCCCTCTTCCCAGGTGTGGAATGGCCCCAGGAAGTCAGGCCAGGGAACCACAGGCACAGCCTCCAGGTGACAGCTACAGGCTGGAGGGCCTGCTTTCTGTCTCTGGCCTCTTTTCAACAGCTTATGAGATTTTCAAATGTCTCCAACTGACCCTCCCCACAAATGACATTTATGAAGGACACACAGGGCTGGGTGCGGTGGCTCACGCCTGTATTCCCAGCACTTTAGGAGGCTGAGGTGTGCGTATCACGTGAGGTCTGGAGTTAGAGACCAGCCTGGACAGCATAGCGAAACCCTGTCTCTACTAAAAATACAAAAATTAGCCAGGCATGGTGGTGCATGCCTGTGGTCCTAGCTACTTGGGAGGCTGAGGCAGGAGAATCGCTTGAACTGTGGAGGCGGATGTTGCAGTGAGCCGAGATCACGCCACTGCACTCCAGCCTGGGCAAAACAGTGAGACTCTGTCTCAAAAAGAAAAAAAAGACACACAATAGGCTGATGACTTGCCTTATTGTCCTGGACTCAGACAGGCACAGAGACGGAGAGGAAGGGAGGGAGGGAGGAAGATCTGAGACTTGGAGATGGGCCCCAGTCCAGTAGGCTGCTTGAGTGAGACCTGGGAACCAGGAAGCATCCCTGGGCCGTGCTTAGCCAGAGAGCCAGACAGCTGGGCTGCAGAGCTGGCAGGGTTGGCAGGGTGAGTACAGTGGAAACCTTCCTAGACCTTGTCAGCCACAGGACAGTGTGTGCTCGCTCCCTCCCAACCTGCCCCATTAGACATCTGTGTGGTGGGGCCGCCTCATTCCTGATCATGAGAGAATGCTGTTAAATTTGCAGAAATCTTGTGATCTGCTTGTTAAATGCAGCTTTTATTAAAAAAAAAAGAATAGTAAGCTTACAATGAGATAAGGTATATTAAAAACAATTGTATTAAGAGCAAAGGTATAACTCAAAACTCATCAAACCCATCGCTTTCTACTTATTTTACTCAATTTTACTATTGAGTTTATGTTTATTTACAATCTATCTGGTGTTTATATGGTGGAAACACCATATAATATGTACCATATAATACTGCATACCTCTCCCCAACCTCCAATGATGTCAGGTTGGTGAGATTGTTTATACCACAGAAACTCGCAAATACGATAAACCAGGGGCTTCAACCCCCAACCCGCCCCCAACTCCCACACTGCTGACTCCCTGGTCCCCGAGTGCTTAAATTTGCTAATGTATGTTACATAAACAAGATAAAGCACAGGCAATACTTAGGGCAATCATGCTCCCCAAACTTTCCAGGACAGTTTCAATTTAAATATTCTGCCTGCGGTCAAACTGCGGGACCCAATCAGGTTTCAGAGCCAATGTCAGCCGCAGGGAGGCCACCTGGAAGTGAGTGCCTGACACACAGACTTTCACCCGTCTCTTCGCCCCAGCCTCACAGCACCAGACCCTCATTTCATTAATCTCCCAAATTTAGGTCACAGATATCTCAAATTACCTCCTTATTTACAGACATCAAGATCTAATGCTAAAACCTGGAGAGGGACAGAACCAGTCTGTTCCAGGGCCAGACTTGAAAATAAATAATAATAAAATCCCCAAGCCTTAAGATGTCCATTGCCTGAAATACGCAGTTTACAGCTTGAAATTCAACTGACTCACAAACCACACAGCTGGTGACCCTCCCCACCTTCCCTCTCAAGCTAATTGAATTAAAAAAAAAAAAGTACTTAAAGAGGCCTGGTCTGTCCAAGAAGTAAACTCCATGTACTTCCTCTCCCCTGGGCTGGAGGCACACTTGGCCACACAAGGCATATAAAAGCCCCTTTTGGAGAATTGCTTGCTTCCCACATGGCTTCTGCAGTCAGTGTAATTTAAGAAACACACAACTCACGCACCCAGCTTTGGAAGTCACAGTGGGTATACACCTGAGAGGGAAGCCGGGGGATGGAGGGGTGTTTTTTGTCTGTGTTTAAGCCCCTGTGCTGGCTTCTTGAGATTCCCAATACTTTCCACACACACAAAAGGTTGATCTATGCACTCAGGGCAAAAGGCAAGTCATGCATTCCAAAGGAAAGCGCACAACATAAAATGCTATCGGGAACGGACGGGAGGGTTTGGAAGGAGTCACGTCAGAATGGTAACCGTGTTCATCTGACACTGGTAGGGTTTTCTTCTGTATAGTTCCCTGAATTTTCCAGATGGTGTATGGTGAAGAGATCTGGCATTTCTTTCTTTTTTTTTTATTTTTTTTTATTTTTTTTATTTTTTATTTTTATTTATTTATTTATTTTTTTTTTATTGATCATTCGTGGGTGTTTCCCGCAGAGGGGGATTTGGCAGGGTCATAGGACAATAGTGGAGGGAAGGTCAGCAGATAAACAAGTGAACAAAGGTCTCTGGTTTTCCTAGGCAGAGTGTGTGTGTCCCTGGGTACTTGAGATTAGGGAGTGGTGATGACTCTTAACGAGCATGCTGCCTTCAAGCATCTGTTTAACAAAGCACATCTTGCACCGCCCTTAATCCATTTAACCCTGAGTGGACACAGCACATGTTTCAGAGAGCACAGGGTTGGGGGTAAGGTCATAGATCAACAGGATCCCAAGGCAGAAGAATTTTTCTTAGTACAGAAAAAAATGAAAAGTCTCCCATGTCTACCTCTTTCTACACAGACACGGCAACCATCCGATTTCTCAATCTTTTCCCCACCTTTCCCCCTTTTCTATTCCACAAAACCGCCATTGTCATCATGGCCCGTTCTCAATGAGCTGTTGGGTACACCTCCCAGACGGGGTGGTCAGGCAGAGAGGCTCCTCACTTCCCAGTAGGGGCGGCCGGGCAGAGGCGCCCCTCACCTCCCGGACGGGGTGGCTGGCCGGGTGGGGGGCTGACCCCCACCTCCCTCCCGGACAGGGCGGCTGGCTGGGCAGGGGGCTGACCCCCACCTCCCTTCCGGACAGGGCGGCAGCCGGGCGGAGGGGCTCCTCACTTCTCAGACGGGGCGGTTGCCGGGCAGAGACGCTCCTCACCTCCCAGACGGGGCGGCGGGACAGAGGCGCTCCTCACATCCCAGATGGGGCGGCGGGGCAGAGGCGCTCCCCACATCTCAGACGATGGGCTGCCGGGCAGAGACGCTCCTCACTTCCTAGATGGGATGGCGGCCGGGACGAGGCGCTCCTCACTTCCCAGGTGGGATGGCGGCCGGGCAGAGACGCTCCTCACTTTCCAGACTGGGCAGCCAGGCAGAGGGGCTCCTCACGTCCCAGACGATGGGCAGCCAGGCAGAGACGCTCCTCACTTCCCAGACGGGGTGGCGGCCGGGCAGAGGCTGCAATCTCGGCACTTTGGGAGGCCAAGGCAGGCGGCTGGGAGGTGGAGGTTGTAGCGAGCCGAGATCACGCCACTGCACTCCAGCCTGGGCACCATTGAGCACTGAGTGAACCAGACTCCGTCTGCAATCCCGGCACCTCGGGAGGCCGAGGCTGGCGGATCACTCGCGCTTAGGAGCTGGAGACCAGCCCGGCCAACACAGCGAAACCCCGTCTCCACCAAAAAAATACGAAAACCAGTCAGGCGTGGCGGCGCGCGCCTGCAATCGCAGGCACTCGGCAGGCTGAGGCAGGAGAATCAGGCAGGGAGGTTGCAGTGAGCCGAGATGGCAGCAGTACAGTCCAGCTTCGGCTCGGCATGAGAGGGAGACCGTGGAAAGAGAGGGAGAGGAGGGAGAGGGAGAGGGCTTATCGCATTTCTTTCATAGTTAGGGTCGGGGAAAATGCTGTTTGCTTGCTTGATTTTTTTTTTGAGACAGGGTCTCACTCAGTTGCCCAGGCTGGAGTGCAGTGGTGCAATCTCGGCTCACTGCAACCTCCACCTCCCCAGTTCAAGTGATTCTCCTACCTCAGCCTCCCAAGCAGCTGGGATGACAGGCGTTTGCCAACACGCCCAGCTAATTTTTGCATTTTTAGTAGAGATGGGGTTTCACCATGTTGGCCAGGCTGGTCTTGAACTCCTGATGCTTTGGCCTCCCAAAGTGCTGCGATTACAAGCGGGAGCCACCATGCCTGGCCTGCTTGCTTGATTTTTAAGGGGAGGCCGCTGTGGTGTCCTCTCTTTTCTGAGTGCCTCATGGGCTGGGGTCACTGGGTGTTTTCCCAAGCATACCCGCTGGCTCCGTGTAAGCCCCTAGACTCTGTTTATTGCTTGAAAAGCAACTGTGAGGGAGTTATGGGGCACCTGGCCCTTTTATACCCTCCTGCTCTGTGAGAGGGGCTGCGGGTACCACGACTATCACTGTTATCGTATTTTTCTCCTTTGCTAACAGCTATTCTGCGATTCTGCTTTTTCTTCATTCCGATCTAATTTGATTGGAGTATTAATATGCTCAGCAAAAATACACTCACTTTTCCTGCCTCTCTGGCAGCTCGTTGGCCACGTGGTCCAGATCCGGGGATGAGATCAGGTGATAAGCTCGGCTGGAGCAGCCCTTTGCCCACTGTCCCCCTCCATCCTGCCTGAAAAGTGTCCAGTTCTGCACTTGTCAGCTGCTCCGTGGCAGAGCGGGACCTGCCCTCATCCGAGGGCACAACCAGTGGTTGTGTTTCCCGAGAAGAAAGAGTCTTCCCTCTAGATGAATTCAGCTTCTGGCCAAAAGGATAGTACTTTTCTGGCTTCTCACTTCTGGACTTTGTATTTCCAGGGCTCCTAGGACTGAGAGCCTCCCCGGACACACACAATTGCTGAAGGTCCTTCTAACTGCTCAGATTAGGCCTCCTTAAGTCTTCTGAGGTTGGGGGCACAGAGCTCCGGGACATGCTCCATGAACAGGGGACACCCTTCTTTGATTCATTCTTTCCTTCAGCAAATGCCTCTGGCCCAGGCAAGTTTCAATGCATGAACAAGGCAGTGTGCATGCTCATGGAAAAGCAAAATAGTAAACACACAAGCAAACACAGACATAGCGATTTCAGGTCATAACAGTGAGGTGAAGACAAACAGTAGTGGGATGGAGTGGCCCTCTTAGCTCGTGTGGTCAGGCAAGGCATCGTGCCTTGTGATAGGTGACCAGGGACCCTATCAGAGTGAGGTGGTGAGCAATTTGAAAGTTTAAGGGGAAGACATCGGGCAGTGGAGACCAAGTCCTTAGGCCCAGAAGCAGAAAGCAAATAGTAGTAAATGCATTGTGTAATACGCTGGACATTATTTTTAGTGGCTTAATTTTTTTTTTTTTTTTTGAGACGGAGTTTCATTCTCATTGCCCAAGCTGGAGTGCAGTGGTGCGGTCTCGGCTCACTGCAACCTCTGCCTCCCTGGTTCAAGCAATTCTCCTGCCTCAGCCTCCCATGTAGCTGGAATTACAGGCGCCTGCCACCATGCTCAGCTAATTTTTTTTTTTTTTTTTTTTTGTATTTTTAGTTGAGATGGGGTTTTACCATGTTGGCCAGGCTGGTCTCGAACTCCTGACCTCAGGCGATCTGCCCGCCTCAGCCTCCCAAAGTGCTTGGATTACAGGAATGAGCCACCATGCCCGGGCTAGTGGTTTCAATATTTTACCTATTTAATCCTCATAGAACCCTAAGAAATGGTACCATTTTAATCCCCATTTTATAAAGGAAGAAACTACAAACCGGAGAGGCTAGGTCATTTGCCCAAGGCCACACAGCAAAACAACAAGCTATCACTTTTTTAATTTCATAGATCCTACCACATGCAGTGGCTTATGCCTATAGTCCCAGCAACCTGGGAGGCTGAGACAGGAGGATCACTTGAGGCCAGGAGTTTGGGAGCAGCCTGGGCAACATAGCAAGACCACATTTCTACAATTTTTTTTTTAATGAGTCAGGCATGGTGGCATGCAACTGTAGTCCCAGCTAATCGGCAGGCTGAGACAGGAATATCATTTCAGCCCCGGACTTCGAGGTTGCAGTGAGCCACGATTGCACCCATGTACTCCAGCAAGAACAACAGAGTGATACCCCGACTCTATAAAAACAAAATGAGCTATCATTCTTTGTTTCACGGGTCCAAATACTGGATTCTGGGGTAATAAACATTCAGTCCTTCCTCTAAAATCGTAAGAACATAGCTCAGCCTTTTATGTCAAGGAAAATCATATCCCACTGTTATCTCCCTGGGAGCACGGTGATGAGATCAGTCCTATCTTGCCACAATTCCAAATATTGGATGCCAACCAACAAAACATAAGTCCATTATTTAACCCTATTAAAACCTCTCAGTCAGGCGCGGTGGCTCACACCTGTAATCCCAGCACTTTGGGAGGCCGAGGTGGACGGATCACAAGGTCAGGAGCTTGAGACCACCCTGGCCAACATGGTGAAACCCCGTCTCTACTAAAAATACAAAAAATTAGCTGGGAGTGGTGGCACGCATCTGTAATCCCTGCTACTCAGGAGGCTGAGGCAGGAGAGTCCCTTGAACCCGGGAGGCGGAGGTTGCAGTCAGCTGAGACTGTGCCACTGCACTCCAGCCTGGGTGACAGAGCGAGACTCCGTATCAAAAACAACAACAACAAAATCCCCTCAACTATGTGGGCTGATTGGGTGGGCAACTATCTGGGAATTTAAAAAGTCTGAATCCTGGAATTTGTTGAGAGTGCAACTTTTTTGCCTTTTAAAAGAACAATTTTATTGTGGTATAATTCACATAACATTCAATTTACCCATTGAAAGTGCACAATCCAGTGGCTTTTAGTCTATTCACGGAATTGTACATCCATCACCAAATTAGAGAACATTCCATCACTACAAAAACAAACCTCATAGCCATTAGCAGTCACTCCTCATTCCTCTCTGCCCCCAGCCTTAGGAAACTATGAATTGTTTTTTATTTCTATGGATTTGCCTATTCTGGGCATTTTACATAATTGGAATCATACAATATTGATCATTCTGTGTCTGGCTTCCTTCACTTGCCATCGTGCTTTCAAGGCCCATTCATGCTGCAGGATGTATTGGTACTTCGTTCCTTCTTACTGCCAAATAACACTGCATGATATGGATGGACCCTATTTCATTTCTTCATTCATCATCGGGTGGCGTCTAGGTTGCTTCCACTTTTCGCTGTTGTGAACAGTGCTGCTGTGAGCATTCACGAACAGGTTTCTGGGTGGACGTCTATTCTCATTTGTCTCGGGTATATCCCAGGAGTGGGATTGCTGGGCACATGGTAACTCCACGTTTAACCGACGGAGGAACTAGGATGCAGCTTCATATTCTCAAGACATTTCCTGCCAACTACTGCACTTACACCTGGGCAGTGCCCTTGACACCAGCCAGGAGAGGGCGGGGCATTACGTCACACAAAAATTGGTTGGCTTTCCCTGGCCACCTCCTTTAGATGGTCAGAAACATCTTTATTTACTAGCAAATTAGTGGGGATGACAGGCTCTAATTCAGGTCACTGTATTGCTGGAAAGTATTTTGAAGGGCTGGCATCGTTTTGCCTCCTTTTGAAGTAGTAAGCCTACACACACACACAGAGCACCTCTGGGAATTCAGACCCTTGGAATGAACTATGTGGCTTATTCTTGGTGAGAGGAGAGAGTCAGATGGATGTAAGTAGATTTCTTCCTTCATAAGCAAAGCCTACGTAGCATCGCGTCCACTTCCCAGGGGCCAGGCCGGTCGGCCTGAGTCAACCCAGGGTGCAGCCACCCGCGGTAAGTTCTGGTTGTGGGCACAGGGCTGCTTCAGAGCCAGGAAAGACCCAGAACAGGCTAGACAGGCCCTGCCTCCTCCCCACCCCCACCCCAGAGGTCCTGCAAACACGTGTGTCCTGTCCATCTGCAGGGAGAGGGGGCCGAGGCCCCTCGGAGGAAGTGGGCCGGGCCTGGCCAGGTGCTCGCCCTCTCCCGAGTCAGGGCTGCACTTAGATGACGGCAGACTTCCAGGTGGGAAGTGCAACATCCTGGCGTCTTAGGGGCCCGTCCAAAGATCCAGATGTTTGGCGCCAACAACCCCCAAACCCGGGTGATTGAATCTGACACTTTTTTATAGAGTGTAGGCACAGCTGGCCAGAGGAAGCTTGTCTGTATCCATTTCTTCTCTCCCAGCTCCAGTGCGCTCCCGAGTTCTGATTCCAGGCAACTTTTGGCAGCTCATTTTTTTATTCTTACGCTGGGAAAAACTCAAGAGTCCCCACCTCCCATTTCTATAAGAAGGGACGCTGGGGATCTGGCCTATTTGATGGAGAGGTGGGAAGGGGATGTGGATGAAATTAGTGCTGTAGGAGACGGGGGTCCTGCATTGGATGGGTCTCAGCGACAGAATCTTTGTGGCCACTCTTATTTCTAGGTTTCTAGGACCATAATCCAAGTTCCACAGAACCCCCAAGAGGCCCAGAGGCAATGCCTTAGGAGGCCTCAGAGAGGGAGAGAGACCAGGAGAACATGAATCTCCTTTTTTCCAAATCATTCTTCTCCCAGCACCCCAGCATCCCTGGGGTCCCCAGTCTGGCCCCATAGGCAAACCACCTGTCGCTCCTGGGACACACCTTGCACTCTCCACCTCTGCAGCTCTCCTCTTCTTCCTCGCTGCTGACCTGTGGATCTTCATCATCTTTCTCAGCTCCAGTGCTCCTTCCTTCCTGCAGCCTTCTGGGAGCACCCCAGTAGACTAATTGCCTTCTCTTCCCCAAGCCCATGGACTAGGATGCATTTCTGTGGCGCACTTCAGCTAGCAAGTCTTCCCACGGACAGGGATGGCCAATCACCTCTGCAGCTTCCCCAGCCCAGGGCCCTGGACGTGACAGCCACACTTGCTCAGCGGAAGTTCGTTGACATGAAGTGAAATGCAAGGGGAATCTGTTGGGGGGTGAAGAAAGAGCCAATCTGGAGCCACCCGATAGGGCAAATGCCTCGAGACGGACACCTGTAGTTTGGGGGCCCTTAGACCTGCCTCCCCTGACGTGTTTAAAAAATCATTACATTGCCAACTGTAAGAATTAGGAGATCGCACTTAGGAATCCAGGTATTCAGCTTTTGGCAATAAATAAGTAAATAAATGAATCCCAGCAAGAGAAACCAGAGATGATCAAGGCCCGCCCACGAGCCAAGGCCCCATCCTGACAACTCAGTTGAGCGTGTGAGTTTCTGGCCTGCACCCGGTGGGTACCGAGTTGGGCATGCCCTATGCCAGTAGGTGCTGAGGAGAAGGCAGTTGCCTTGGGAATGGGCAGAAGGACAGGAATCTTTCCCAAATTTTACTTCAGGCCTGACTAGGATTTTAAGTCCACACCCGAGAGCTGCCCTTTACCTTCCTACCATGAAGCGCCTTCTGAAGAGGGTGACAGGCCATCCCCTCTGCCTGGCGTGCCCACATTCAGGTTCTGCCTCAGCCGGCAGCAGACCTGCCCTCAGGAACTCTGTGTAGCATTTCTGGGATGTTCTCCTGCTTTCCAGAAAACCAGAGTGGGTTGCCTGCAGGAGTCCCCACAGGCATGCGTGGAAGTGGTGACCGTCCCCAACCATCCCCTCCACAGAAGAGAGGCTCATGCCTTCGGTTTCTATTTCCTGTCAATTTGTGTCCATACCAGTCTGTTTAAGGATAAACTTAATTTATGTTAGTTTAAAAACATAAATAATGCTTGGGCTGATGAATGCGCTCACTATCTTGACCATGGTGATGGTTTCCTGGGGGTCTACCTATGTCAAAGCTACCAAATTGTACACTTCAGATAGGCACGGCTTGTTCTATGTCAATTATACCTCAGTAAGGCTGTTTAAAAAATAAAGGCAAGAGCCACCGTTTGAATTTAGTGAAAAGGTGGATGTGGAAGTGTCCACACAGAACCATGAACCTCATTTAGCCAGTGATTCTGTGTGGATGGTGTGATTGGCGTTTGGGAGAGCAGGTCAGTAGTGACGGGCCAGGGCAGGGCCCAGAGTACAGGGACCAGGCGGGTCCAGGTGCCCCCAGGAAACCCCATCTTTCTCTCTTGGCACATCCCTCTCCCCCGGGCCCTTCCAGGGCTTCTTTCTCACCTTTGTTTTGTCCAGGGATCTTCCAGTCCCTGGTGGGTGTCAACAGCTCCCAGCTGAAGAAGCAACACCTGGGGAGATCCTGCATCCCAGAGGCCTCTCTCTGGAAGCAAAAGGCGTGGGGAGAAACACCCACACCCCTCCTTTCCTCCTCTGTGCAGCCCCTCTGTCCTCTGAGAGAGGACTGCTGGGAGTGGCCACTCACCACTGCAGCTGTTCCCAGGGGTTCTCAGGGATCTGTTTCTGTCTTTGCTGAAGCCCACAGTGCACACATCAGTAACAGCATCTACCAAATAACTTATCTAAAGAGATAGAGGAAAGCAACTCTCAAGCTAGTAACAAAAGGTCACCTCTGTAGGGCAATCTCTGTCTGCCCTGCCCCTGCCCATTCAGCCCCTCTGATGGGCCAGGCACTGCACCAGCCCAGGGGATTGCTGTGCTGGGAAGGCCTCTCCATTCTGGTCACAGTGGCAGCCTGGGATCCCTGCTCTCCATCTCCCTAATGAACTGTGACTCTCCTGGAAAGCATCTGTTTTCACGAAACGTAACCACGGAGGAGTGGGCGAATGGAGAGGGGAGGCCAGAGGAGCTCCCTGGGAAGGCGCAGGCAGTGCCCTCAAGGCAGGTTCACCCTTTCTGCAGCCAGGGCTGCAAGGAGGGACAGGCAGGACTCGGGCTGCAAGGAGGGACAGGCAGGACTCGGGCTGCAAGGAGGGACAGGCAGGACTCGGGCTGCAAGGAGGGACAGGCAGGACTCGGGCTGCAAGGAGGGACAGGCAGGACTCGGGCTGCAAGGCATACTGAGGCCTCCAAGGGCCAGAGGGAGCTGACCCGCTTGCTCACCCTGGCTGGGGGCCACACCCTGGCACATCCCACAGCATTCCATATCATGGGGGGGGTTACCCTGCTGTTCCCTGGAGCTGGTCCCCTCTTAGGCATGGTGTGCTATGAGCAGGGCCTGGGACCCTCCTCAGGGGTCCTGGCTTTGTGAGGGAGAAAAAAAAATGTGTCTTCTACCTTCTTATGTTCAGTGACTGAGGTCCTGCAAATTAAACTGACAAAAGGCAATTAACAAGAGAAAAGAACAGATTTAATTATATACATATGCGTGGGCATTCACAAAGAAATGTGACTCTCTGAGGTGGTTAGCATTTGGAGCCTGTGTAACATCTTAACAAAGAGCCATAAATTGTGGAGATGTGGCCAGCATGGTGGCTCATGTCTGTAATCCCAGCACTTTGGGAGGCCAAGGCGGGAGGATCACGAGGTCAGGAGATTGAGAGAAGCCTGACCAACATGGTGAAACCCCATCTCTACTAAAAATACAAAAATTATCTGGGCATGGTGGCACATGCCTGTAATCCCAGCTACTCAGGAGGCTGAGGCTGGAGAATCACTTGAACCCGGGAGGCGGAGGTTGCAGTGAGTCGAGATCGTGTCACTGCACTCCAGCCTGGGTGACAGAGCAAGACTCTGTTTCAAAAAAAATAAAAAAATTGTGGAGACATGACAAGACAAAGGAAAAATGTTTTGAGCTTCTAGGGATGGCAAATGTGGAAAGGGATACATACGGGGGAAATAATGGAAGATAAGGGTTGTTAAAGGTTATGACTATTCAGGTTGGTGCCATCTCCGGTGATGAGTTGTGGCTTCTTTCTGGTACAGGAGAGGGGAGGAGGAATCCTTCACAAAAATGAATTTCTGGGCCAGGCACCGTGGCTCATGCCTGTAATCCCAGCACTTTGGGAGGCCGAGGCAGGTGTTGAAGGAGGAAGTCAGGAGTTCAAGACCAGCCTGGCCAACACGGCGAAACCCCGTCTCTACTAAAAATACAAAAATTAGCCGAGTGCGGTGGTGCATGCTTGTCATCCCAGCTACTTGGGGATCTGAGGCATGAGGATCTCTTGAACCGAGGAGGCTGAAATTGCAGTGAGCCAAGATTGCTCCACTGCACTCCAGCCTGGGTGACAGAGTGAGACTCTGTCTCAAAAAAAAAAAAAGATAAATTTCTGCCCTCCCTTGAGGCAGATGGGAGCATGGGGAGTAGAGAGCTTTTTCTGCATCTGGCTGTTTCTCAGTTGCCTTCAGCTCAAAATAATCCTTATGTCAAAGCGGCATCCTTTGGGGTGGCATATTCTGATGCTTTCACACTCCTGCCTCCGTGCCTGTGATCTCCTCATCATTCTGCCTTTGCTCCAGAAAGCCGTGCATGATGGTGCTGGGAGTCTGGCCACAGAGATGAGATTCCCAGCTTTGCCTGTCATCAGGGGTGACATCTCAGCCAAGGCCAGCCCCCTTCCTAGGCCTCGGTTTCCTCTTCTGTAAAGCAGAGAGGAACACGGTGCCTACCTCCTGGCGGGCAGTTACGAGCACTCCACAACAAGATAAGGTGAAGTAACAGCCTGTGTGCACCAGGTTCTCCTTACATACTAGCTAGATGCATGACAGAAAGCTACATTACAGAAAGGGACAATGATGTTCACAGTGACTTCTGAGCCAGGTAGCACATCACTCCCAAACACTGCCGTGGATATTCTCTCACTGAATCCTTATAATTATGTTCTTTTATGGATGAGAACAGGAGAGCTTAGAGACATTTGCTGCCTGGCCCAGGTCCCATAGCCCACGCCATGGCTCAGACTCCCAATCCCACGCTGCCTCAGACCCGGGCTACCCTGCCCTGGCTCACTGAGATGGTGAGTCCTGCTGTTCCTTGGATGGTGCCTGCAAGCCCCAGGGAGGTGTGGACGGAGGGGAGTTTTGCAAAGGGGTGGTGCTGCCCAGATCGGGGCTCCATATGGGCAGAGGGAGTTCTGGAAGGTTAGAGATTCCCCAAAAGACAAGCTGAGGAAGGGAGACAGCAGCAAGGCCAGGAGGGAGGCCAAGGAGGCAAAAGACGACAGGATCAGAAAGAGGCAGGCAGGAGGCCAGGGCAAGCTGCAGCAGAGGGGCAGACTCCGTGAGGTCAGCGCTGCGGGTGCAGGGTGCAGAGCTCGATGAGACCCGGGATGGTCGCAGCAGAAAGCCTGCGCCCTGGAGAACTGGAGGAGGCCTGGCGCATCCCCACTGCTGGCAGCTCCTTAGAGGCACTGGCTCAGCAGGAAGAGGAGGCCAGCCAAACACCGGGGCAGGTGGGGTGGGCACACAGGGAGCAGCGGGGAGCCAGATGGGGAGAGGAAAAGAAGCTGTCCCCAAACATGGGCAGAGCATCCTCACATCTGGTCAGCTACACATGGACGAGGACCTGTGGCTCTCAGGTCTGATGATCCCCAGCTCTGGGGAGGGCTGGAGCACAGGGGGCTCTCCCACTGCTGGTGAGAAGAGAAGCTGACCGTCTGCAGCACCTGCCAAAGTGAAGAAACTCAGTTCCACCCCCAGGTACTTTTCTGGCAGGCACTGTGCACAGGTGCACCTGGAGACAGGTAAGAGGATGTTTATGGGGCAACCTTCCTAAGAGCCAAAGATCAGAAGCAACCCCGAGTCCATCAATAGCAGAAGAGAGAAAACAATGGAAGAGAGAAAACAATGGTTGTGTTCATGTAATGGGCCATGCACGGAACTGCAATAGGAAATGAGCGAAGACCAGGCAATGAAATAGAAGGATCCCCCAAACACACTGAGCAAAAGAAATCAGGCACTGACGAGGACATGCCCAGTGATCCCAGGGGCAGAAAGAGGCCCAACTCAACTCTGGTGCTTAAGAACTTGTAAGTAAGTGATAAACATCATTAAAACCAAGTACATGACTGTCACAAAAGTCAACGCAATGGTTTCCTCTTGGGACAGCTGAAGGATTCCCAATGAGACAGGCTCTTGGGGGCACTCCTGAGTCAAGGCAATTAGCCGTTTCCTATGGCATAGATGTGCTTTCAAATTCTACGTTACGTGGCAAATATCTGCTATATGAGTTTTCTGTGATGTGTGACCAATCACACTTACACAACAAAGAGGGGTGGGGAGTGGAGAAGCAGCCATCACCTCACCTTTCAGGACCTACAGAAGGAAGGGTTGAATGAAGCCAGCTTCCCTGATCCAGTGATGTAGACAGAGTGAGGAGGAAGGGAAGGGCCTGCCTGGGGCCAGCTGTGATGTTCAGCATGAGGTGCTACCTGGTGGACATGCCAAGGTGCCACCAACCATCAAGTGGGCCACAGGAAACAGCTGTAAGATCTGTAAGATGCAATTATGTCAGGGAAATGGTGACTTCAGAAGGTAGGCAGGCAGGTGGGTGGATCATATTTGCCTATGGATATTGGAAACCTCATTCCACGTGGATATGAGTGACTGTAGGAAGAGGCCCAGCGTCACAAGCCCCTCGGCCCCGCAGGAGAGCCCAGAGCACCTCAGCTGTAGCTGAGAGCTCCAGAGCTGTAGGTGCCTTGTGCACCAGGGCGGTGGGAAGGCTTGGAGGGAGGAGCACCCAAGGTGTCCCTGTTCCAGACCAGGCGGTGTGCAGAGGCCCTGGCAGGGGACGATGCTCACAAGCCCCTAAGAAGCTGGGCTCAGAGAGGTCAGTGAGTTGCCCCAGGTCCAGGGGCTGCTCACAGGCACTACTGACTTTCAGCTCAGGTTTTCTTGGCCCCAGGAAGTTGTTCTTCCCACTATGCCATGTCATGACTCATTCATGGAGTGAATTTCTTGAAATACTTTTAGTTTCAAAAACTAATTCGAAACACCTTTTGTTGTTGTTGCTGTTGTTTTACTTTGAGGGGGGCGGTTAATGGGCTTTTACATCAATTGAGATTTTGTCTGAAGCCCTAAGTGAAGATCAGTTCTGCATTTGGACTTACCTGCCCATTTGCAGATGGTCAGGCCCGTTTCAACCTGAGGAAATCCCTAGATCAATGTGATGTGAGAGTGTGTGTGAGAGTGTGTGAATGTGTGTGTGTGTCAATGTGTGTGTGTACGTGTGTGTGAGTGTGTGAATTTGTATGAGTGTGTCAATGTGAGTGTGTGTGAGTGTGTGTGAATGTGTATGAGTGTGTGTGTCAATGTGTGTGAGTGAGTGTGTATATGTGTGTATGTGTATGTGTGTGTGTATGTGTGAGTGTGTGAATGTGTGTCAATGTGAGTGTGCTTATGTGTGTGAATGTGTGTGAGTGTGTGTCGTGTGTGTGAGTGTGCGTGTGTATGTGTGTGTGAATGTGTGTGTGAGAGTGTGTGTGCGTGTCAATGTGTGTGAGTGTGTGGGTGTGGGTGTGTGAGTATGCAGGCGTGTGTGTGTGTGAGCATGCAGGTGTGTGTGAGAGTGTGAGCATACAGGTGTGTGCTTGCTGTCCTGAAGTTAGATTAGGCAGGGCCGTCTCATCAAGCCTCCAGCACAGCTGTTAGGGGCTGAATTGTGTTTCTCCCGAATTCATGCACTGAGGCCCTAAACCCATTCCTCAGAATGTGACTATTTGGAGACAGGGCCTTTAAAGAGGCAGTTAGGTTAAATTGGGGTCGTTAGGGTGGTCCCTAACATGATCTGACTCGTGTCCTTACAAGAAAAAGAGATTAGGACACAGACAGGCACAGAGGAAGGATCACATGTGGATATGGAGAGAGGGCGGCCGTCTGCAAGCCCAGGATGGTCTCAGAGAAACCAGCCCTGCCGACGCCTTGATTTGGGGCTTCCAGCTTCCAGAGCTGTGAGAAAAATCAAGCTGTTACTTAAGCCTCCCATTCTGTGGTGTTTTGCTACGGCAGCCCGAGCTGGCTGAGACACCAGTCTCCAGTCCCTCAGGGCTGGGAAGTGGGTGCGTCCCACCTGCCTTCACGTCTTCTCCGGCCCACCCTTCACGAAGATTTTGCCCCAGGGAGGAGCCTCACGGGTCACCTGGCCAGATCGCCTCTCTAGACCCAGGTGAGGATCGGCCTGCTCCAGCTCACATGGCCCCTGGTCGACCTGCTGCCACCCTGGAGGCAGAAGACTTCATGGGACGGGGTGGGGAGCAGACCTGGGTGGGCGTCATGAGCCCACAGAGAAAGATTCTCCATCACAGCTACACAGCAGAGTCCTGAAACTCAAAAACATGCCCCTGCCGGGGTCTCCCCAGAGCAATTAAGGCAGAACCATTGAATAGGGCCCAAGCCTATGCGCTCGCTTTGTAACTTCTCCGGGGACCCTAACGCGCAGCTAGAGCTGCGGCGCCCGCTGAAGGCGCATCACGGACACCTGGAGGCGGCTGTGGCTCCTGCCGCCTGGGTGCGCTTCTTGTGCTGGTTGAGCGTGCTCCTGACGCCAGCGTGTAGGCTTCCTTCCATCCTATTGCTAAATCCTCCTTGAGCAATCGATGCCATCCCCCTGACTTTTCCGGAGAAACCCCTCGGTGGCTTTGCTCTCCATACGGAAATCGCGTGCCATTTCTGTTGTCACTGATTTCTCCAGACATGTTGAACACGGGCTCCTGTCCCTCCCAGCACCACACCTGCTGCCTTCCCCACACACCCAGATGGGATGAGGTCAGCTGCTCTGGGAGCAACACAAGAGCCCAACCTGCCCAGGCTGCAGCTTCCCCCGCACAACTGCACCCAGCGCCAGGCTGGGGTGGTGTCCATGCAGAGGCGGCAGCTGCTGTGGGGAGCCAGGCAGGCCGGGGTCTAAAGTGTGGCCCAGCCACTGACTAGTAGAGTGGTAGGGGTCAAGCAGCCTCACCCAGTGAGCCTCAGTTGATTCCTGTGTAAAGTGGAGCCAGGGACACCCAGCCCCTGGCTTTGATCAGGTGCCTTTGTTACTTTACCTTTTGTCTCTCTTGCCTCGCACCCTTTTGGCATCCTGTGATGGCAGGAGATTCCCATGTTGCTAAGCAGGCTTCAGTCACAGGGATCTCCCCTCAGTTCCCCGCCAATCTCTGGAAACTCCCTCTCCTGCTTTTCCTTCTGAGAATCTCCAGAGTCAGTTCCTGCAAGGCTCTGCCAACCTCCAAGCATGCCCCAGGGCTGGGATGAGAGGGAATGGGGAGGTAAGAGGCCCTGTGCAGGTGGGTTGGCCGCCCATCTCTCTGCCCCTGCTACTTCCCCTGCAGCAGTTTGGGGTCCCACCAAGGGGCTGCACACTGCACCTTGCCTTCTTGCTCACCGGCATCGGATGCACCGGAAGGAAGCAAGCTCAGCACTGCCCACGTGCTGTGCCTTTGTGTAGATTACAGAAGGTGCCCCCCTGGGCAGCAGCAACCCCTGGCATGGTGTGGCAAAAGTGGCATGAGCTGGATTTCAGGTCCAATTTGCCTCCTAGCTGGGCACATTTGGCCCAATGCAACTACACAACTGAACGGAACAGCCCTGAAGACCATCGCCATTCAATCATCACCCAAAGAAACCATTTCTAGCAAGGGAAACAGCAGCTCACTGCAAAGCCTGATTCTGCAGTGTCTCTTCCCAAGCCCTGCATCTGGAGCATGAACTGGGGGGAGGTGATGCCCATGGGATTCATCCCTGTGTTTCCTCTCTGACACACAGAGAGTGGGGTCCTGCACAGGATGGGGGCTCAGAAGCAACAGGCTGAGCCAGTGCTTACACTGTGGCTCTGTCTTTACTGTGTGGGCTTTCTGGGTGATCGTGCCTTTCTCCGCTCTGCGAACAGTCAAGTTAGCATCCCTTAGCAGACACACAGGACCTAGAAGACTGTGTGGGCAGATGCAGCAATATTGAGGCAGAGGCCCCCAGGCAGGCTCCTGGATGCCTCAGGTAGAGTTCCAGAATGAAATGCCTATGAATGTGTCTCCCAGGACAGCACAGGGTTTTACTCTCGGCTTCCCCTTGAAATCTGAACTCTTCTCTTCCTGTTGCCCTCCACTGTCTTGGCTATGATGCCCTGCCCATTCATTGATTCTGCCAGCAAGCATCGAGCACCTACTATATGTGCTTGGAGGAGCTCACCACAGGGGAAGGGGAGTTAGAGAGGGAGCCACCTTTCCAACTGACATAGGCAGAAAGGAGTTTAGGAAAGACGGCTTTCTGGAAGAAATACAGCCTCCACTTGGCAAATGGCTGCTGTGCACCAGGCCTCATAACAGGAGGGCCGCAGAGCTCAGCAAAGGGAATCTTTGCAATTGGCCTGTGCTGCCGCCTGTCCATGCCCAGAATAGCAGGGAACCAGCCCTTGTGGATGGAATGGAATCAGACGGGTTGATTCCAGAACTTGTGCCTTTCCCAACACCTCTCCCCACTCTCTGTCCACCCGCCCCCTACCCTGCCACTCACCATGTTGTGGTTTTGTTACCTCCGGCTGTTACCCGCCCAGTGGGGTATTAGTTGGGCCAGGAACACCTGCCCTCAGTGTGTGCCCTCAGTGTCTGCCCTCCTGCCCTCCTCACAGGAGCCCGTGCTCTTACCCTCCCCCTGTGCCAGGAGGGCATGACCCCTCACCTCCCAGCGCCCTCACTCCTCGCTGAGAGGGGCAAGTCTACGCAGGAAGGGGATGGGCTTGCCCTCCCACATCTCAGGCTCCAGCGGGCAAGGGCACAAGAATAGTGTAGGGTTGGCCGGGTGCGGTGGCTCACGCCTGTAATCCCAGCACTTTGGGAGGCCAAGGCGGGCGGATCACGAGGTCAGGAGATCGAGACCATCCTGGCTAATACGGTGAAACCCCGTCTCTACTAAAAATACAAAAAATTAGCCGGGCGTGGTGGCGGGCGCCTGTAGTCCTACCTGCTCGGGAGGCTGAAGCAGGAGCATGGCTTGAACCCGGGAGGCGGAGCTTGCAGTGAGCCGAGATCGCACCACCACACTCCAGCCTGGGCGACAGAGCGAGACTCCGTCTCAAAAAAAAAAAAAAAAAGAATAGTGTAGGATCTGCAAAGTGGCCTGAAATTGCTGCCCTCTCATCATCTGCCTACTGTGGGCGGACGACTTCCTACACTGTGTGGGTTGTGATTTTCTCAACATCTCCATGAGGGAAGAGTGGCTGTCTATGTTCTACAGATGAAGAAACTGAGAAGCAAGACAGGGATGGGACGCCCCTGCCTCACATCACCGGGTGGCCCGGAGCCACATCACACTGCATCCTTGAACTTCACACCATGTGCCGCTTTCTCTGTGCCTCCTCCCCGCATCCAACCACCCTGGATGTGAAGGAAGATCAGGATCCTGAGGGACCAGGGTGCTTCTGACAGAGGCACCCCACGATGTCCTGACCATCCTTCCATGCCTTGGAGGACAACGTTTGGAGCCAGCCAGCTGGTGACAGGAACAGGCCTACTAATATCTTTGCACTTCCATTTCCTCATCTGCAAAGTGCAGGTAACTGCACCCAAGTGCCGGAAGATCTGGATGGAGAGACCTCAGCCAGCGGAGTGAGGTGTGCAGCACACACATAAGCTGTCCAGAAGCAGTAGGTAGAGGAGCATGAAACGCACTCTCTGCTGTCAGGCAAGTGTTTTTCACAGCAAGAGCTCCCTGGCATGTTCCTTTTATGTGGGCCCCCATCCTAAATCATCCCTCCCTTCATGTGGCTCAAGCCACAGGCATTTGGCAACTTCCTTTGCCTCGTGACCATAGATGTTACCTCTCGTATCATGTACCAGTTAAAACTTCCCTGGGTCCCCTTATAAAATGAACTTCCTATGTTCATATTCACAGTAGCATTATTTACAAAAAGATGAAAACAACCTAAATGTCCAACAATGAATGAATAAGCAACATGTGGTATATACATACAATGAAATATTATTCCACCTTCAAAAGATTCTGACACGTGTTGCAACATGGTAAGCCCTTGAGGACATTACGCTCAATCATAAGCCAGTCACGAAGGACCAATGCTGCGCGATTCCATTTATGCGAGGTGCCTGGAGTCATCAGATTCATAGAGACAGAAAGTAGAATGGTGCTTGCCAGGGGCTGAGGGGAAGAGGGAATGTGGAGTTAGTGTTTAATGAGTACAGAATTTCAGTTTGGGAAGATGGAAAGAGTTCTGGAGGCGGATGGCAGTGATGGCTGCACAGTAATGTGAGTGTGCAGAGTGCCACTCAACTGTCCACTTTAAAATGGGTGGCCGGCACAGTGGCTCACGCCTGCAATCCCAGCACTGTGGGAGGCTGAGGCGGGTGGATCACGAGGTCAGGAGATCGAGACCATCCTGGCGAACACGGTGAAGCCCCGTCGCTACTAAAAATAAAAAAAATTAACCAGGCATGGTGGCGGGCGTCTGTAGTCCCAGCTACTTGGGAGGCTGAGGCAGGAGAATGGCGTGAACCCGGGAGGCGGAGCTTGCAGTGAGCCGAGATCGCGCCACTACACTCAAAATAATAATAATAAAATAAGGGGAAAGCTTCATGACATTGGACTTGGCAATGATTTCTTCGATATGACACTAAAAGCACAGGTAGCAAAAGTAAAAATAGATAAATTTTATTATAAAAAATCTGTACATCAAAGAATATAATCAACAAAATGAAAAAGCAGCCCACAGAATGAGAGAAAATATTTACAAATTATATATCTGATAAAGGGTTAATATTCAGAATACAGACAGAATTCCAATAGCTCGACAGCAAAACAAAACAACAAAAAAAAACTCAATTAAAAAAATGGGTAAAGAATTGAATAGACATTTCTCCAAAGAAAATATACAAATGGCTAACAAGCACATGAAGAGATGTTCAACATCACTAATCACTGAAAAAAACACAAATTAAAATCACAATAAGATACCACTTCATACCTAGTAGTGTGCCACCTTAAAAAAATAAGAAGAGTTGACAAGGACATGATGAAATTGGAACACCAGTGCACTGTTGTAAGAGTGTAAAAGGTTCAGCTGCTGTGGCAGAGTATGGTGGTTCCTCAAAAAATTGAAAATAGACCAGGCGCAGTGGATCACACCTGTCATCCCAACACTTCGAGAGGCCAAGACGGGCAGATCACCTGAGGTCAGGAGTTTGAGACCAGCTTGACCAACATGGCAAAACCCCGTCTCTACTAAAAATACAAAAAATTAGCCAGGCGTGGTGGCAGGCGCCTGTAATCCTAGCTACTCGAGAGGCTGAGGCAGGAGAATTGCTTGAACCCAGGAGGTGGAGGCTGCAGTGAGCCGAGATTGTGCCACTGTACTCCAGCCTGGGCAACAAGAGTGAAACGCTGTCTCAAAAAAAAAAAAAATTGAAAAGAGATTTACCATATGATTCAGCAATTCCATGTTTGGGCATATACCCAGAGGAATTGAGAGCAGGGATTCCAACAGGTATTTGTACACCAGTTTTCATAGTCACATTATCCACAGTAGCCAAAAGATGGAAGCAACACAAGTGTCCATCGATGCATGAGCACATAAACAAAATGTGGTGTATACATACAGCAAGATATTCTTCAGCCTTAGAAAGGAAGGAAATTTGAACACATGCTACAGCGTGGATGCACCTTGAGGACACGGTACTAAGTGAAATAAGCTAGTCAG
The DNA here is from genome assembly GCF_000001405.40 of Homo sapiens. Lineage (NCBI taxonomy): Eukaryota > Metazoa > Chordata > Mammalia > Primates > Hominidae > Homo > Homo sapiens. The sequence continues at coordinate 100,792,653 of NC_000015.10, forward strand.
AAAAGGACAAATACTGTATGGTTCCACCTACATGAGATACCCAGAATAGTCAGATTTATAGAGACGGAAAATAGAATGCTGGTTACCAGGGCCTGAAGGGAGGAGGGAATAGAGATTTCTGTGGTGGGTGTAGAGTTTTACTTTGGCGAAATGAAACGAGTTCTGGAGTTGGGTTGCACAGCAATGTGAATGTTCTTAAAACTACCAAATTGTATACATAAAGTTCTATGTGATCTATATCTTATCACAAGTTTTAAACTGCAAATAATTTCTACAGAAAAAAAAATAGCTCCAAATTTCTAAATTTTAAAGATTAAAGAAGCTCAGTAAACTCCAAGAAGTACAAATACAAAGAAAACCAAGCCAGGGCACATCAGAGTCAAACTTCTGAAAACAAGTTTTTTATAGAAAGAATCTCAAAAGAAGCCAGAAAAAAAATACATATGGGTGAAAAACATTTGAGTTATCACTGACTTCTCATCAGAAACAATGGAGATGAGAAGTTATTTAAAAGCTTTGAAACAAAAAAACCATTAACTCAGAAGTTTATATACGGTGAAAATATCTTTCAAGAATAAAGATGAAATAAAAACATGCTTAGGTAAAAAGAAAATTAAGAGAATTTGTAGCCAGCAAACTTCAGTATAAGAAATGCTTAAAGAGGTTCCTGAGGCTGAAGGGAAATGATACTAAACAGAAAACTGGATCTTTAGGAAGGGAAGAATAACATAAGAAATAGTATATTTCTGGGTAAATATACTATTTCTCTTTTAATTTTTAAAAATATATAAAACTGTCAAAGGAAAAACAGAACAATGCCTTGAGAGGTAACATATGTAGAGGTAACACATATGATTACTATAGCATAAAAAACAGAGGAATGGGAAATGGTCCTATATGGCTGCAAGGTTTCTACACTTTAGGTAAATGGTGCAATATTAATAGGAAGTAAACTGTGGAGGGTTAGGAGTGTTATCCCCAAGACAAACATCTAAAAATGCAATGGTATAGTTAAAACCAATAGATATCCCTTGTGGCTGGTTTCACTGGCTGGCACTGAGTGCCTAAGGCTTTTCCAAGTGCATGGTGCAAGCTATCAGTGGATCTACCATTCTGGGGTTTGAAGGACGGTGGCCCTCTTCTCACAGCTCCACTAGGCAGTGCCTCAGTGGGGACTCTGTGTTGGGACTCCAACCCCACATTTCCCCTCTGCATTTCCCTAGTAGAGGTTCCCCATGAGGGTTCTGCCCCTGCAGCAGACTTCTGCCTGGACAATCAGGTGTTTCCATACATCTTCTGAAATCTAGGCAGAGGCACCCAAAGCTCAACTCTTGTTTTCTGTGCACCTGCAGGCCCAACACCATGTGGAAGGCTCAAAGGCTTGGGGCTTGCACACTCGGAAGCAATGGCCTGACCTGTACTGTGGCCCCTTTTAGCTACGGCTGGAGCTGAAGCAGCTGGGACACAGGGCACCAAGTCCCTATGTTGCACAAAGCAGCTGGGCCCTGGGCCTGGCCCATGAAACCATTTTTCCCTCCTAGACCTCTGGACCTGTGATGGGAGGGGCTGCCTTGAAGATCTCTGAAATGCCCTAGACACATTTTCCTTATTGTCTTGGCAATTAACATTCAGTTCCTCATTATTCATGAAAATTTCTGCAGCTAACTTGAAGTTCTCCCCAGAAAACGGGTTTTTCTTTTCTATCACATGGTCAGGCTGCAAATTTTCTAAACTTTTATTCTTTGCTTCCCCTTTAAACATAAGCTCCAATTTCAAACCATCTCTTTGTGAGCTCATATACCTGTACACTTCCAGGAAAAGCCCGTCACCTCTTGAATGCTTTGCTGCTTAGAAATTTCTTCTGCCAGATACCCTAAATCAACTCTCTCAAGTTCAAATTTCCACAGATCTCTAGGGCAGGGACAAAATGCCTCCAGTCTCTTTGCTAAAGCATATCAAGAGTGACCTTTGCTCCAGTTCCCAATAAGTTCCTCATCTCCATCTGAGACCACCTCAGCCTGGAATTTATTGTCCATATCACTATTAGCATTTTGGTCAAAACCATTCAACAAGTCTGTCCCAAACTTTCCCACATCTTCCTGTCTTCTGAGCCTTCCAAACTGTTCCAACCTCTGCCCATTACCAAGTTCCAAAGTCACTTCCACATTTTCAGGGATCTTTATAGCAGTACCCCATTCCTGGTACCAAAATCTGTATTAGGGATCTCCAGAGGGACAGAACTAATAGGATATATGTATATATGAAAGGGAGTTTATTAAGGAAAATTAACTCACATGATCACCAAGACGAAGTCCCACTTGCTGTCTGCAACCTGAGGAGCAAGGAAGCCAGTAGTGGCTCAATCTGAGTCCCAAAGCCTCAGAAGTAGGGAAGCTGACAGTGCCACCTTCAATCTGTGGCTGAAGGCCCAAGAGCCCCTGGCAAACCACTGGCATAAGTCCAAGAGGCCAAAGAACTCAGAGTCTGATGTTCAAGGGCAGGAGGCATCCAGCACGGGAGAAAGACGAAAGCCTGACAACTCAGCAAGCCAGTTTATTTCACCTTCTTCTGCCTGCTTTTTCTAGTTGCACTGGCAGCTGATGGAAAGGTACCCACCCACACTGACAGTGAGTGTTCCTTTCCCAGTCCACTGACTCAAATGTTAACTTCCTCTGGCAACATCCTTACCGACACACCCAGAAACAATACTTTGCATCCTTCAATCAAATCAAGTTGACACTTAATATTAACCATCACAGAATAGAACAAACATGACAATTAAAAGAATGATATTATCATTATGGATGAAAGAGCAAAACCCAACTATATGCTATCTATAAGAGGTACGACTTATATGTAATAAGACACACATAGGTTGAAAGTAAATGGATGAAAACATTTGTACCATGCTACCAGGAAGCAGAAGAAGACTGGAATGGCTACATTAATATCAGACAAAACTGACCATAAGACAAATAGTTTTACTGGAGATGAAGAAGGGTAAGTCATGATGATAAAAGGGTCAATTTATTAGATTCATCTATAAAAATTATAGATAAACATATGGCTAATAACAGAGCTTCAAAATACATGAAGCAAAAATTGACAGAATTAAAGAATCACACAGTTCCACAAAGTTAAAATTGTAAACATCGCTCTCTCAAGAATAGTCATAAAACCTAGTCCAAAACATCACTAAAGATATAGATGAACTGAATAATGCTATCAGCCACTCTAATCTAATTGATGTTTTAGGACAATATATCTAAAATTGCTGAATCTGTATTCTTAAGTTCACATAGTTTGCTTACCAAGATATACCATATGATAGGTTATTAAATAAACTAAATAAATTTACAAGGATTTAAATCACATAGACTACGTTCCCTGATAATTACAGAACTAACTTAGAAATCTATAAGAATAAAATATCTAGGAAAATCCCAAATATTTGGCAACAAATAACACACTTCTAAGTAATCTATGAGTAAAAAAAAAGTCACAATGAAAATTTAAAAATATTAAAACTGAATGATAGAAAATCAAAAACCCTACGCATTAAAATTAGGAATTTGAGTAAAGCAGAATTTAGATAAAAACATTACAGCTCAGAAACTTACATTATAAAATTAAAAAATCTTAAATCAATGACCTATGATTTCACCTTAAGAAGTTGGGGAAAAAAAGCAAAGTTGAGTAGAAAAAAAGAAACAATAAAGATACAGGCAGAAATCAACAAAATGGAAAATAATAGAGAAAAAATTAAAAACCAAAAGTTGGTTTTTTGAAAAGATTAAGAAAATTAATAAATGCTTAGCTAAACTGATGAGAGAGAGAGAGAGAACACAAATCACCAATATCAGGGGGATAGAAGAAGAAATATAATGAACAGTATTATGCCAAAAAATTTAACAACTTAGATGAAATAGACAAATTCTTAGAGAAACACCACTAACCAAAACTAATACAAGAGGAAACAAAAATTAGGAATAGTCCTATATTAAAGAAATTAAATTCCTCCAGTAAAGAAAATTCCAGGTCCAAATGTTTTCACTGATTAATTCTATTAAACATTTAAGAAATAATACCAATCTTATGTAAACTTATTCAGAAAACAGAGGAGGATGAAAAACATTCCAACCCATTTAGTGATACCAGCACAACCCTAATACCAAATAATAGCCTGACAAAAAGAAAAGAAAGGGAGGGAGGGAGGGAGGAAAGAAGGAAGAGAATTACGACTCTAGGTGCAAAAAAACTTAACAAAATACTAGTAAATGCCATCCAGCAATATATAAAAAGGATACTACTTCACTACGAAATAGTTTATACCAGCAATGCAGTTATTATTACTAACTAGTAATCTGCTAATAAGCAATAGTAATTACTATTACTAATTTGTTAATATTTGCTAATATTATTGCTATTTATCCTTGTATAGCCTATTGGATGTGTATATAAGGTAATAGACAAACTATCACTAATTAGTTTAGTAATAATGCAAGTGCTATTACTAATTACTGATTTGCTAATAAGTAATAGTAATTACTATTACTAATTGCTAATTTTACTAATATTGGCAAATACTATCCAGCAATATAAAATAAGAATACTATGGCTGGATGCGGTGGCTCATACCTGTAATCCCAGCACTTTGGGAGGCTGAGGCAGGTGGATCACGAGGTCAGGAGATCGAAACCATCCTGGCTAACATGATGAAACCCCATCTGTACTAAAAATACAAAAAATTAGCCTGGTGTGGTGGCACACGCCTATAGTACCAGCTACTCAGGAGGCTGAGGCAGGAGAATCACTTGAACCCAGGAGGCAGAGGTTGCAGTGAGCCGAGATCACGCCACTGCACTCCAGCCTGGGTGACAAAGCGATACTCCATCTCAAAAAAAAAAAATTAATTTGAAATGGACCATGAAGCTTTTAAAGGAAAATAGAATGTCTTCAGGACTTGGGCATAGGCAAAGGTTTCTCAGACAAAACAGAAAGCAATAACAATAAAAGAAAAAAAAACCTGATAAATTAGACTTCATCAAAATTAAATCTTCTGCTGATCAAAAGGCCCAGTGAGGAAAACGAATAGACAAGCCACAGAGTAAGATAACACATGCACATAACATATATCTGACAAAATAAAAAACTGGTACCCAGTATACTTAAAGTACTGCTACAACTTAATAATAGAAAGACAAACAAGCTAACAAAATGGGCAAATGTGAACAAAGAAATTCTATAATAGAAATACTAATGTCACACCAAATAAAGTTTAAAGCAACAGTATTAAAAGGGGTGAAGAAATACATTTTATACTGATAAAATAAACAATACACCCATCGAGAAAATAAATCCATATTATAGTAGATGTTAGCAAACTTCTCAAAAATGAAAACACCAACCAGGCAAAAAACAAAGAGGGATGTAGATAATGGAATAATTCAATTATAAACTTAATATTAACTTTGTATATAGAAAACAAAAAGCACACAGAACAGTTATGAAAATTGATCACATATTTGGCCACAAAGAAAGTCTCAACAAATTCCAAATAACCAACATCATACAGACTGCATTCTCTCTTCATGATACAATAAAATCAGGAATCAACAAAGAAAAAATTCACTGAAAACATTCCATGTTTGAAAACTAAAAGCTTTACTTTTCAATAATTTGTGGATTAAAAGGAAATCATAATGGAATTATCATTTTTCAATGAAATAAATATAAAAATACTACTTATCAAAAACTGTGGAATATATCCAAAACAATACTTAGAGGGAGACATATAGTTTTAATATATTTAGCAGAAAACAAGAAAGATTGAAAAAATTAGGCTTAGAATAAAAAAGGGGGCAAAAGTTAATGAAATACATGGATTGGGGGAGAGTAGGTACTAGAGATAATTCATAAAACCGAGGTTCTTTGAAAGAACTATTAAGATTTTAAATAAATCCTTTGACAGAATGAATCAATTGAAAAAGAAGGTACGAAACCCCAAATCTGGCAATTAAAAAGGGAAATAACTATAGATACTGAAAAAATGTTTTAGATCAAAGAAGATATTATGAACAACTATTTCATACACTTTTGAAAAACCAAAGAATATATAGAATATAAGCTGCCAAAGTAAACCAGTTGCAATCAAGAAAATCAGGTGGCAATCTACAACCTCACTCAGATTTTTTGGGTATATTTTTATCAAATTGCCAAAGAACAGATAATTCCTATTTTTATAAGTCCTTACAGATAATAAGAATTAAATAAGATAAAATACTTACATAACATATATCTTACAGATAAAAATAAATAAGTTTTTAATTTATTTTTTGTGTAAATATAATCTGTATTAAAATAAATGCAATGGTTCCTATAAGAAAGAAAAAGTACAGGTCACTTAGAAGTCTCTTAGAAATATAAATGTAAAAGTCCTACAGGAAATGTTAGGGATTCTAATCTGTAGTGTCCTAAAATAATAATTTGTCATGACTAAGTTAGGCTTACACTAGAAATGGAAAGATGGTTCTTTCATTAGGTATAATGTATGCATATTTCACCTCGTTAATATATTAAAGAAGAAAAGTCCAGGTGCAGAGGCTCACGCCTGTAATCCCAACACTTTGGGAGGCCAAGGTGGGCGGATCACGAGGTCAGGAGATGGAGACCATCCCGGCTAACATGGTGAAACCCCATCTCTACTAAAAATACAAAAAATTAGCCGGGCATGGTGGCGGGCGCCTGTAGTCCCAGCTACTCGGGAGGCTGAGGCAGGAGAATGGCGTGAACCTGGGAAGCAGAGCTTGCAGTGAGCCAAGATCGTGCCACTGCACTCCAGCCTGGGCGACAGAGCAAGACTCCATCTCAAAAAAAAAAAAAAAAAAAGAAGAAGAAGAAACATCTATGTACCTTTCGAAAGATACAGAAAAAGCACTCAATACAATTTAAAGCGCGTTCACAAGAAAACATGCACATCATAACCATAGAAGGAAATATCATGAAAATAATAATTGGCACTTATCAAAAATCTACTGCAGACAGCTTATGTAATAGTAAAACAACATATTTAATGTGGGAAAATGCCCATTATCACCACTACTATTGAATAGAGTACTAGAGATTCTAAACAATGCAACAAGACAAGAATAAGAATTAGAAAGGTAGACAAAATTGTAAGTAATTTATCATCATCCATATAAAAAAAGACAAGCAACTCAATGGATAAAATAATAGAATTAGTAAGACAGTGAGGAAGGGTATATGAATACAAAATAAAGTTATAAAAATTAACAATTATTCATTAAATATTCAATAAGAAACTAGTAATGTAACATTTAAAATGTCACATCTGCAAGACATATACATACACCCATATAAAATACACCTAACAAGAATGTGCAAACTTTATGGAGATTATTAGAAAACACTGAAAGACATAAAAAATTAAAATAAATAAATAGATATTTACTGTCTAGGCATAGAAAAATTCAACATTGTAGAGATCTAGTTACTTTACTTCCAAATTAATACATTAAGTGCAAATGCAATTAAGATTCTTTGATTCATCTTTGGAAACCGATTCCAAAATTTATATGAAACAATGAAGGAATTTGAAGAGCTAAATCAATTTTAAACACCATCATCAAAAACAACCTCTCTCTACCAGGCATTAGGCCATTTTGCAAAGCCAGAGTCATTAAAATAGTGCAGTACTGGTACAAAAACAGAGCAATGGAATACAATAACCACTCGACAGGCTAGGTAGGGCATTGGTCAGAATGTCGGGTTTGATAGACACAGCATCACAATGCCTGGGGGAAAAGAGCTCAGACACAAAAAGACAAATTCCAGGTGAATGCTGGCAGAGAAGGGACAGAGGGATTGGATCTGGAAGGAGATGTGGGAGCAAGATCAGTTTTTGTTTTTTATTTTTTTGTGTGTGTTGTTATTTTTAATGAGGAGAGGCTGTAGTGCAAAAAAGCCCCTGGGAAAGCGCAGAAGGGTCGTCTCTGGGGTAAGTTCCTGAAGAACTTTGGACTCTAAAGCAGAGGAGAAGAAGTGGAGGGATGTGGGAAAGGGTGGGCGAGTGTGCATACCTGGCCCAGGAAAAGGAGAGCATTTCTGTCTTTTTGCTCACCGCTGTTCCATGTAAATTTCCCTTGTGTACTGCGACCATCTGCAGGGTAAGATGGATGGCTAGAAATCAGAGACTCCATAGGAGGGTAGGGAAGCAGGAACCAAAGAAGCCGAGTGGTGGTGTTTCGAGGTTTGTTGTTGTTTTCAGCAGGGAGGCGAAAACCAAGGGCCACATCCACGGCCTTTGTGTCTGTGAAGGTTAAACTGGGGCAGCTTATCAGCAGCTGCCTCTGGATGAGGACACCGGGGAGTCATTGGCTGGAAAATAAGCCAAAAATGCTGCCAACAGAAGTCACCGTGTGGTCCATCAAACGTCCACCAGAATGAATGCATGGCAGCGTGTGCAGTGCAGCTCCACTCGCCTGGAGGTCCAGGTGAGGTGCACCCAGGGAGGGAAGGTGCCTTGGTAGGTTTGGTACAACGTGAGGTGAGACCTGCAAAGTGTGACTCCATGGAAGATCTAAGGTCTTAACTAGCCCTGCTTGTGCCTCTGCTTGTTTACTCTGTGTGCTAAAACCAGACAAATACACAGTGAACAGGGACTGAGTTGTACCCCGCCTTCACGCCCAAAGGGAGAACCAGCCACACTGGGCAGGTGTTCTGGGGGCCAGGACCAAATGGAACGGGGTTGTTAGTGGGAGGAGACCCGGGGAAGGTCTGTGACCCAGTGCAGTCACAGAGTGAAGCCAGGGAGTGAGCAAAAGCAAAACCAAGTCCTAGAACGCGCCCAAGGGTCAAAATCAGTATGACCTTTTCAGTGATGGGATCTGAAGCTGGAGAAGAGAAGGAAGGCAGGGGAGTGAGACGGGAACCATGTGGGAAGCACAAGGAGGCTTTGGGCTTTGCGCTGGACGAGGCCCCCCGGGGCTCCCTTCTGTGCATCTGGGAGCTGGGACAGGCCTGGGTGGGCCAAGGAGCGAGGCACGGCCTGGAGGGGCGCACATAGCGCCAAGTGAACTGAGAACTAGAGAAACAAATCATTCTGCAGACGAAAACCTGGGACCCGTGGAGCAAAATAAAAAAGAGCCAGTGGCTGCACAGTGTCCAGGAACAACAGCTATAAAACCTAAGCGTCTGTTAGGATTCAGAGTTAGTTTGGCAGAATCAACTGTGGTCCCTAGGGGGCTGCAGTGGGGTGGGGTGGGCTGTGAGCGTTGCTGGAATCCTCAGATGACGCCCCCAAACCAAGACTCCTGGATATACAGGGGACATAACTGTTCCCTGCGAGGCTGAGTGCTTTAGGCTCTGTTCATGCATTTCAGACGTTACATCTGGGCTGTAATAACTGCTGAAAAATTCCAGAATATTCTCAGCAAACAAAAGGTTCCTAGCCTTTAGAGCTGGACTGCTTCAGACCTGCAGGGGAGGTGCTGGTGCCCTGGAATAAGCTTCATTTTCTTTGACAAGAAACCCAGGCATCCTTGCATTTTATCTTGTCATGATCGCTGTCGGCAGATATAAAAAGCCTCCCCCAGGGAAGCGGCTTCGTACCTGTGAGGGGAACGGCCCAGGTGTGCGTGTGTCTCCTGCCACCCCCTTGCTCGGTGTTGGGTGTCTGCTGGTGCATACCTGTCCACAGCCTGCCTGAAACAAGCATGGCTCTGCAGCCTGGGGAATAATAACACAAGGGTGAGTCCTCTCTGCTTTCAGGTGCCTGGACCTTGGGGGCGCCCACCCCCCCGGGGGTAAGGGCTGTAAACATTGTTGGGCCATTCAGCCGGAAACCTGGGAGCAGGGCTCTGACAGGGCTCCAGGTGCCCCAGGTCCCTGTGGATGAAGATCAGACGGGGATCCCTTCCCCACGACACACAATCCCCCAGGCTTGTTTTCAGCCAGACAATCAGCCACTGTCCCCACCCGATGGGCCGCTCAGCTGCCTGCCCAGGCCCATGCCAGCAGTGGAGCTGGAATCTGGGTGCCTTTCCCAGCTTTGCCGTCTGCTGGGCTCAATTAGGGAGGGTGGTCTGGGCCTTGAGCGATGTCCTTGCGTGACTGGCCCCGCTGCCCTGGGCTCCTTCCACCACACATCAAAGGCAGCCAGGTTAGAACCCACTTCCCTTCAGTCACAGGCACAAGTTAAACAGTCTCAGGTGTCCTCAGATGCCCTCTTCTGCAAGTGTTTATTTTTGTGTTTATCCCCACAAATAGATTCCAGCACTTCCCATGACGCCCAAATAAGGCAGAGCAAGCAATGTCATGTACTGAACAACAACCAAGTAAAAAACAAAACAGCATCAAGGAAATAACTTACCTTTGAAGCCAACACCATGTGCACAGCTACAACAAGCCAGTCTCTGAACAGTGTGCTTTGAGCTGAATGGAAAGGTTCTTTTGTAGCCAGCACAGCTTGCGGTTGCAGCGAGCCATGCCTCTTTCTCTTGTGGTACTGTCATTTAATCATGGTGAAGCCTAGAGGCCATTTTGCCTGGGGTGGGAAGCAATAGATCAAAGGGATTTCAGCAGTCCAGGACATCCTCTGAATCCTCACTTGTATCTGGAAACAAACCCAAGAGAACAGGACAGGATGGTGGAATGGAATGTTGGCCTTGGGGTTAGAATAAGCCATCGCCAGCTGCGCTCAGGCTGGGCTTGCGGATGCCATGTAGGTACACACAGTGGCCCTAGCACCAATCCTGGGTATGGCCTGCTGGGGAGCACCTGTCAAGTGTGGCTGTCCCTGAACAGTGAGGCCAGAATCTCCCTGTCACCCGCACAAGCACGGAAGCAGGACAGCGCTCTCAAGGACCTGGCCACTCTCACTCCCTTGCCTACCACAAAAAAGGCCTATCGATTTCAGTAGGCAGTTCCCATCCTTGAGTTTAAGCCATTTAGGGCCATTTCTCCTAAGCAATTCCTAGAGCAGAGCTTTAAAAATACCTGCTGTGGTCTTCCTTAGGCTAACCACATGTGCAGGAGGGCTTGTGAGCTTGCAGCTTCCTGTGGCCTTCATGGTGTGGCCAGGGGACTTGTTTGTTCACTCTGGGTCACCAGGAGCTGAAGACACCCAGAGGTCACTAAGAGCCCCCAGGGCCAAGAGGCTTGCTTCCGCCACAGTGGGAGTTTATGAAGGACGTCAATTATTCAAGCTCCACTTATTCGGAGGCAGTGGGTCTTCTATGAATACAGACATTATGTTTATTTATAGGGACGGTAAACCAACCTGGAAAGTTCATCCTCTGGCTCTGGATGAGCTCGGGATATCAGGAAGGAAGGTATTGCTTCCTGTCAACTATTTAAACTCAAGTCCAACCAACCAGGGTTCTATGAATAAACACACAGGGACCTGTTAAACCGTAACTATGAGCTAAAGTGAGTTTATTCCTCCCCCGGCCGGTTATCAGATGTTCACTTCATGGTCTGTGGGGGACGTGGTAAACAGCCACCGGGGAGTTTCCTGCTCTTTTAATTGGAGGGGTTCTTGAAGCAGATGTCCAACGTGTAAGGAGACGTGGATGACAGCTCTGGGGCCTCTTGCTGTTGAAGCTGGAAGAACGGAGAAGGTCCAGTAGACTAGTGCAGTAGATAATCACTCCAGGGCCAACCCATGAGGTCTCAAATCTCCTACCTGAGCTGGCACCTTCCTTAGTTAACTACCTTTGGCATAATATGAAGAAATGTCAAATGCTGTGCATTGTTTTCAAGCCAGATTCCAACAATGCTTAGAAAGGTTCTTCGGAAGAAAGCTTTTCTCAGCCTTTTTTCTGAATTTTGCTTTCCAGAGCCTGACGCAAGGGCGAAAATTTCTTTATTTTCCCTCATTCCCACCCGTGCTTGTCAGGGCCAACACTGTACACTGGCTCACTTTGGGGAACTCTGGAAAACATACATCCTAACCCTTGTCTGAAAATAACTGGCAGCAAGGCTATAGGTAAAAGCGGAGCTTCTGTATTTTAGTTTTGAGATTTGATCGTTTTTCCATGGGAGTTGGTATGTTTTACAAGTAAACACACACAGAAACCCATGCAGAAGGAGGGGCATAGGGAGAGAGAGACAACTGACTACTTTTGACTGTGGCTTTGGGGCCTGAAGGGAAAAAACCCTACCCTTGATTTTTTGGAATTACACCAACCAAAATGAGGACCTACACTTAACTAATGTAACAAAGGGAGATATTTAGGAAAGAAAAAAAACATTTAATCAAAACTTAGTCACAGCAGCCTATAATGTAATATGATTTCCAGAGGCTCTTTGCTTTAAAAAATGAGGAAATTCAGAGTACACATTAAAAATAAAGTTTTTCTTTAAAAAGGGTTAATCCATTGTGCTTTTTTTTCAATTGAATGTCACCTCATTCTATAAGATTATTTTTAAATACTAAAAAAATTACAGGTTTAAAGAAGACATAACAATCCTAAATGTGTATGTTCCTAACAACAGGGCTTCAAAATACATAAAGTAAAACCAAATAGAACTGAAAGGAGAAATAGACAAATATACAGTTACAGTTGTGGATTTAAGCATTTCTCTCAGTAATCAAACAAATAGATGGAAAATCAGCAAGTATATAAAAGACATGAAGAACACCATCAACCAGCTCAACCTAATTGATATGTGTAGATACTTCACCCAACAAAAGCAGAATACACATTCTTTTCAAGTACATATAGAACATTTACAAAATAAGATCATATTCTAATTTTTTTAAGTTAAATTTAATTTTTTTTAAATTATTCAAGTATGGTTTATGGCCATAAAGGAATTAAACTAGAAATCAATATTAGAATAATGTCTGGAAAATCTTCAAATATTTGAAAATTAAATAATGTATTTCTAAATAATCCATAGGCCAACAAAGAAGTCTCAAGGGAAATTAAAAAATCTTTTGAAGTAAATAAAATGAAAATATAACATATAAAAATTTGTGGGATGGAGCTAAAGCAGTGTTTAGAGGAAAAGTTATGGTATATGAAATATATATTATAAAAGAAGAAAGGTCTCAAATCAATAATTTAAGCTTCCACTTCAATTAGCTAGAAAAAAGAGTAAAATAAACCTAAAGCTAGGAGGGCAGAAATAATAAAGATGAGAGCAGGAATCAACGACATTTAAGAGGTAAAAACAACAGATAAAATCAATAAAACCAAATTTGATTCTTTAAAAAAGTCAATAAAATTGATAAACCTATAGCCAGACTGACCAAGAAAAAAAGATGAAAGAAACAAATTGCCGACATCAGGGGGAAAAAGAAGGTATTCCTGATTGTTGTTCATAGTATCTGACACCTTTTAAATACATCAGAAGGATAATAAAGGGATACTATGAACAACTCTATGCTCATAAATTTAATAATTTAGATGATGAGCCAATTTCTTAAAAGCCACAAACTACCAAAATTAAATCAAGAAGAAATAAACTGTGTAAATAGTCTTATATATTTTTTAAAATTTGAACTCGCCATTAAAAACAAAACCAAAAAGGCAAACTCCAAGCCAGATGGTTTCATTGTGAATTTGGCCACACATTCAAATGAAAAATAACAGTGATACTTAACAAACCCATCCAGAAAATAGAAAAGGAGAGAACACTTCTTAACTTCTTTAGTAGGCCAATGTTACTGTCATACCAAAACTGAACTAAGACAAGCACAAGAAAAGAAAACCACAGACCAATACTCCTATGACTATAGACCCAAAAGTCCTCAATAAAATATTAGCAAATTGGATACAGCAATATTTTTTAAAAATCCATCATAATGAAGTGGAATTTATCCTAAATAAGAATGACTCAATATTTGAAGGTAATGAATGTGATTCACCACATTAATAGGCTGCATTAGTGAGTTATCCAGAGAAGCAGAACCAACAGAAATGGACAGAGGGAGAGGAAAAGGGAGAGGAAGGAGAGGGACGGGGAGAGGAGAGGGGGAGAGAGAGAGAGAAAGAGAGAGAAAGAGATTTCCTATGGGGAACTGATTTACATAAATTATGGAATGGAGGCTGGGAAATTCAAATCTGTAGTGTGGGCCAGTAGGCTTGAGACCTAGAAGAGCCAATGGGGCAGATGAGATTTAAAGGCAGACTGCTGAAAAATTTTACCTTGCTGGGGAGACCAGTCTTTTTTTTTTTTCATGCAGGCCTTCAACTAATTCAATGAGACCCACCCATGTTATGGAGGGCAGTCTTCTTTACCAACAGTAAATTGTTTTAAATAATCTCATCCAAAAACATCCTCAAAGTTGACACATAAAATGAACCGTCACAAGTTTACTTCTTGTCAACCTGGCATCTGAATGCATCTTCTTAGGATACAATTGTCTTGCACACAACTGAAAATGCACTAACTTCTTCCCCAGAAAAGAAAGCAAAGTCATTGGATGTTTACTCCTTTCCCTGATATCCAGTAATTTAAATGCTATGATATAAAGTTAATGATGGCAGCAGAGGCCCATCTGGAGCAGCTGCTGCCATCACTCTGGCTGCAACAGGGAGGCGTGGCCAGGGCTGCACACTCCGTGGAGCTGGCAGGAGCCAGGGACAAATGGGAACCCTGCCCCTTCTGAGTTGATGGAAAGGGAGCTCCCCAGGTGCAGCCGCAGCCACCCAAGTCATGGCTGCTGACCAGGGCCTCCTGCTTCATGGAGCAGGCAGAATCCCCACCCCACCAGGCAGAGCTGCAGCAACCCAAACCACAGTTGTGGACCCAGGCATCCCTGCACTCTTGGGGACTCCAGAAGTCTCCCCCTGCCCTTGCAGGCTTGGAAGTACCTTATCCTGCTGCCTGGCTTCTCCCTGTTGCCAGTGCCTGCACTGATCTCAGAGAAAAGTCAGGGCCAAGCCCGGACACTATCACAGCCCAGCCAGGTGTGCACACACTCAGGGCAGTGCTGACACACCAGCCACCTGCTGCCTAGGCCCCCTCCAGACTTTGGGCACTGTTGAGCATAGGAGGGAAGCCAAGGGGGCACTGAGGGCAGCTTGATGCTGGCCTGCAGGTGCCCATTGGCACCTACAGCACGGGCACCATGAATGTAGCAGGAGACACACAGGTTCCTGAGTGGAAGGGGGTAGGTGCCCAGTAAGGACTCACCTTCTGCCCAGGGAGGGCCTGAAGGCTGCAGGCTGGGCTTCGAGTCCCACAGACCAGAATGGAAACTTGTGGTGTGTTTTCCAGGCCAGCCCATGGCTGCCTGTGGACCAATTGGTGTGCACTTCCTCCCCTCTGAGGCCCATAAATGCCCTGGGCTCAGCCACAGCTGAGCAGACATCAGGACAACTGGCTGCAGAGAGGAGCTACCCACTGCAGGGCCTCCTCTGAGCTATTTTGTCACTCAGTAAAGCTCTTCTTCACCTTGCTCACCCTCCACTTGTCTGCATACCTCATTCTTCCTGGACACAGGGCAAGAACTCAGGACCTGCCACATGGCAGGACTGAAAAAGCTGTGACACAAACAGGGCTGAAACACACCCATTGCTTGCCACATTGTGGGTGAAGAGAAGGAGAGAAGAACTGTGGCCCTTCAGGGAGCCCAGACTTAGAAGCTCCCCAGGCCAGGGCTGTGACTCCCTCTCTGTGGCCTAGCAGCTCCTGGAGTCTCCAAGCTACCAGGTGCCACCACATTCCCCGGTGGCAGCCATGTAAGCTGCTTGCAGTGCACCTGGTCCAACTGCAGCCTCACAGAGAGCAAGGGCCTGTGCTGACCCCTGGAGCTGCCTGCCCTGCTGCAGTGGCCAGCATGACTGATTGTGTGCAGTGACTGGATCCCATGCTTATTTGCTCATACACCCCTCACCACTTGACACCTGGCTCACCCTTGGCAGGTATGGGATCCAGGCTGGTAGTGTGAGCCAAGCACAGCCTGCCAGGCTGAGTGGGCTGAATGAGCCCAGTGGGCCTGAACAAAACTCAGCCAAAAAGGTGCCACCAGCCACAGAGATTTCCAGCCAGAAAAGCAGCACCCCACGGATCTTGTAACATTAACAAACTTAAATACTGTGATCTGACATCAGTACATCTTATGGTATATAATAATGAGATTAGAGAGGGAAGAAAACAAAGATATTTGGTACATACATGCATATATACACACACAAACATGTTCATCAAAAATATGGAAGAAACAGTCATCACAATTATAGTTCTCATTTCTATAACTGGTCACGTGATCATAGCTGGCAATTAAAACTACCTTCCACTACCCACTTCATGTTCCCTTTGCCTTCAGCAGGTACTTCAGCAAGTAGGAGTTCTTTATCGAGTGTGGTACCCAAACCTTCATTCCTGAGGTGTCTGGACTGTTAGTAGCCCTGCCTGGATTGAGTTGTTCTAGTTTTTATTGACTTTGATCTCAAGGCTTGGTAATACTGAGATGCCCTAGGGGATCTCCTGTGCTCCAGACACATTCTTCTTTACCATCATTGTGGAGCAGTATCCAGTTTCCCTTGGTAGTCAGAATCAATCACCCCAGCCAGCACAGTAACTCTTTTTCCTCTTGATCCAGAGGCATGAGGAGTCCAAAATGCTCAGTTGGCAGTCCTAACTTCCAATTCAGTGGAATCAGTGTTGTGTCTCTTGGCAGAAGCATTTTTTCCTTTGGTACTAAGACCTCTAGGCCAGGGGGATATGAAGTTGTGGAACAGGAAGCAAACATTTTGCTAGTGAGTCACTAGGGATGGTAGTGAATGGTGTCACTCCTATTTTCACCCCTTGATTCCTGGACCTTTGATTCCTGGATCTTTGATGAGTAGAAGTTCATCCTGGCTATGGGAGAAACAGCACCATATATTGGATACTTCAGAGCATATACAGCCTTGTAAATAACTTTCCCCAGACCTGGAAGGTATTGTCACGTAGATGAAACTGTTGCTGAGTTTTCCAATGCCAATTCCACTATTCTATCAAGCCAGGTGCTTCAGGATGGTGTGGAACATGGAAAGACCAATGATGTCCAGGGGCATAGGTCTATTATCACACTTTATTTGCTGCAAAGTGAATTCCTTGACCAGACACAATGCTGTGTGGAATACCATGACAATGGATAAGGCATTCCATAAATCTGAGTAGTAGTCTTGGCAGAAACATTGCGTGCATGATAGGCAAATCTGTATCTAGAATATATATTCTGGTAAGAATAAAATGCTGCTTCTCCCATGAGAGAAACAGTCCGGTATAATCAACCTGCCACCTGGTAGCTGACTGAACACCGCAGGGAATGATGCCATGGTGGAGATTCAGAGCTGGTCTCTGCTGTTAGCAGATTGGGTGCTCAGTGGTGTCTGTAGTCAGGTCATCTTTGATGAGTAGAAGTTCATGTTACTGAGGCCAGGCATAACCTCCACCATGGCTACTTTTTTTATGAGTTCACTGGGAAATAACAGAAGTCCCTGGGGAAAGAGGCTAATTGATATCCACAGAGCAGGTCATCCTATCCATTTAATTATTAAAGTCCACCTCTACTGAGGTCACCCTTTGGTGGCATTGACATAGGATACAAATATCTTCATCTTTTTTTTGCCCATGCAGAGAGGTCTATCCACATACCTCTTCCTTGTGACCAATTTTCCAATCATGTTTCTTACGTGTCCTTGACTATCCAGCCGAACTACTGGCCACAGCCCATGACTCAGTATATAGTTACATGTCTAGCCTTTTCCCCTTTCAAGCAAAGTGCATAACCAGGTGTATTGTTCAAATTTCTGCTGACTGGGAGGATTTCCATTCACCACTGTCCTTTAGGGATGTCCCAGAAAGGGGCTGTAGTGCTGCAGGTGCTCACATTTAGGTGGTGCCTGCATATCACATAAACAAGGCCAGTGCTTTCTCTTCCTCTGTCAATTGATCATAGGGAACTCCCCATGAGGTCATAGGTGCAGACTGGGAGACAGAAGGCAGTATGGCAGGAGTGGGGACCATGGGCATTTGGGCCACTTCTTCGTGTAGCTTATTTGTGCCTTCTGGGCCCACATGAACCCAATCTTGTATATAGCACCCTCATTTGATGATGAAGTCCTGCTGTGTATGCCCAACTTTATGGGTTAGGGGTCATACGCCACCTAGTTCATGATGGGCAGCTCAAATTGTATGGGAATTTGATGGTCCATAATTAGGCATTCAGTCATTACTGAGGCCCAGTAGCAGGCCAAGAGCTGTTTCTCAAAGGAGTAGTTATTTGCAGAGGATAGCAAGGCTTTGCCCCAAAATCCTAACCATCTATTCCTGTGATTCATCTCCAGGGGCCTGCCAAATGCTCCAAACAGCATCTCCATCTGCCACTGATACTTCAAGAACCACTGGATCTGCTGGGTCATATGGTCTAAGTGACAGAGCGGCTTGCACAACAGCCTGAACCTGTTGCAGAGCATTCTCTTATTCTGGGCCCCACTCAAAACAAGCAGCTTTTGGAGTTATTCAGTCACTCAGTGAATGGATCAGATTAGCAAACCCAGATGAGGAATATATTGCCTCCAAAATCCAGAGAGGCGCACTAGGCATTGTGCCTTTTTGTTGATATTGTTGCAGGAGAGGCCAGATTCAACAACTTATCCTTCATTTTAGAACTAATATATTGGAATGCCCCACTCTACCAGATCCCTAGAAATGTCACTGAGGTAGAAGGCCCCCGAATTTTTTTTTTTTTTTTTTGAGATGGAGTCTCACTCTGTCGCCCAGGCTGGAGTACAGTGGCCTAATCTTGGCTCACTGCAAGCTCCGCCTCCCGGGTTCAAGCCATTCTCCTGCCTCAGCCTCCTGAGTAACTGGGACTACAGGTGCCCGCCACCACGCACAGCTAATGTTTTGTATTTTTAGTAGAGACGGGGTTTCACCATGTTAGCCAGGATGGTCTTGATCTCCTGACCTCATGATCTGCCTGCCTCAGCCTCCCAAAGTGCTGGGATTACAGGCGTAAGCCACCGCACCTGGCCGGCCCCTGAATTTTTATTGGATTTATTTCTTACCTCCTGGCATGTAAATGTCTTTTCAATAAATCTAGAGTAGTTACACTTCTTGCTCACTAGGTCCAGTCGGTGTAATGTCATCAAGGTAATGCACCAGTATGATACCTTGTGGAAGGGAAACACAGTCAAGATCCTGTGAACTAAATTATAACACAGGACTTGAGAGTTGATATAGCCCTGAGGTAGGACAGTGAAGATGTATTGCTGGCTTTGCTAGCTGAAAGCAAACTGCTTCTGGTGGAAAGCATTTGCCAGATAAATAGCTGGTACAAGGTACCAGGGGTTGTGTTCATTTGCTCAAGCTGTGAAACTCCATCTTATATAGCAGCTAAAATTAGACTCACCCCCTGATGAAGCTTATAATAATCCACCATTATTCTCCAAGATCCATCTGTCTTCTGTGCAGGCCAAATAGGCAAGTTGAATGGGGATATGGTGGGAATCACCATCTCTGCATCTTCCAGGTCCTTGACGGTGGCACCAATCTGTGCAATCCTTCCAGGGATATAGACACAGTATTGTTTTTGATTAACTATTTTTCTATGTGGAGGAAGCTCTAATGGCTTCCAATTGGCCTTTTCCACCATATTAGCCCTCATATCATAGGTCAGGTGAGCAATGTAAGGATTCTGCCTGTGACCGAGTATGTCTACTCCAATTATGCATTCTGGAACTGGAGAAATAGCCCAAGATGGGTTCTGAGGCTCGCTGAATCCACTGTGAAACTCAGCTGAGCTGAAACTCCATTGATCACCTGACTTCCATAAGTCCCTACTTTGACTGGTGGGCCTCAATGATGTTTTGGGTCTCCTGGCATTGGTGATATCAGCTCAGCACCAGTGTCCAGTAGTCCCCTAGAGGTCTGATTATTTTCTTTTTCCCAATGCACAGTTACCCTGGTAAAAGGCCATAGGTCTCTTTTGGAAAGTTGGGAGAAAGATTAATAGTATAAATTTGGGGGAATTGGCTCAAGGAGTTCAAGGGTCGATAAACTGGCTCAAGTCTGGGAATTGATTGAGGGGCCAAGATTCTCTGTTTTTGTGATTCAGCTTAGACTTTTGGTTACTTGACCTAGAACTTTTATGCTTATACAGATGAAGTAAGAATTTATTTTGCTCCTTGTCTATTTCACTTCTGGGAACGCCATGGTCAACTGTTAACCAACACATAAGTCTACTTACAACATAAATCTACTTATGGTATTGGTTAGCAGCTGACCATGGTGTTCCTAGAAGTGAAATAGACTATTCTGATTGCTGCTGTGACTTTGCTGTTCATCATGATAACCACATCCTCCTTGCCTGTGGCAGCTGAATATATACCTTGTCCCCTGCCACCCTGAGATCCAGTTACTCCATTTGATGTAGGTTTCCCAATCAGTGACCACAGTTCCCACTGTAAGGTCTGGCCTACAAAGAAGAGTGATCACAGAGCTCTTCAAAGACACTTGGGCTCTCCTCATAAATTTACTTCTCACAGTCATGGTGAAAGGTATATGTTTTGGACCGTTTCAGGGTCTGTGAGCAGGCCTTACATGACAAATTTATTCTAACGTTCCAATCTCTCTAAGCCTTTGAGTATAGCAAGACAGTTCTGGTATTTCTAGCTCACTCACTCTGGGCCACCTTTTAGTCCTCATTTTAGCCAACCAACCAACCAAACTTTAAAGCCCTTTCTAACTCCCTGAGCTGAAATATTAAATGCAGAATCTCTTCTTAGTGGGCCCATATCAATAAATTTGTCCTCATCCAACTTTATGTTCCTTCAAGCATTATCCCACAACCTTAATGTCTGTTTCCATACATATGCCCCAGATTCCTGTTTGTGTAAATTAGAAAACTCAAGTAGCTCCTTTAAAGTGTAGCACATCTCATGAGTCATACTCCATACCCTACCTTTAGGATCCTATTGGGGCTTAAGTCTAGTTACAGGTTTAGAAACAAAGAAGTGTCTTGGGGGTGGACCCTGAGGACAATCTGCCTTGTCTTGCAGGGCAACTGCCTCGAGGCAGCCATTGCAACTTCCTTAAACAAGACAGGGTTAATTTCCTCTCACTGGGGTGGAGAGGCTTCTCATACTGGGGACAGAAAGACTCCTTCTACTGACAAAGAAGTCTGATCAAAATTTAGGGTCTCAATGTCCTCAGCTTCATCAGGGTCCCATTTCAACTTTCTACACATCCCATTTCAAATTTAGGATCTAGTTCCTTTCCAATCGATGCCTCATTTAGCAGTGGACACTCTGCAAGGCTTGGAATTCAATTTACATTGTAAGTCAGCCTCTTGCAGGATGAGATTCTGGGTTTGGTTTTCAGCAATCTCAGCTCTGAGGCTACAGGAGATAATGGTCTCTTTCAGGGCAGACATAGAAGCTCTTAGGTCATTAATTCAGCATTTGTGCTGGAAACTAATATCCCTGAGCTTAACTTTTTATTTCCCCACTTCTTTGTCTAGCAACATTAGCTCCAACCAGCCAATGTCATTACACTTCTAGTGTGACAAAAATGTTGGAAAGTATTATATACACACTCAGATCCTTGCTTCTTATAAGTGTTTGGTTAGGAGTATTGAAGGATGATATTTTGCCTATCTCTGTTACCAGATCACTCCATGACCTAACAGTGCTCTCTTTACACATGCATACATGTGTAAAGAGATTTATTATAAAGAATTGGCTCATGAGATTATAGAGACTGGCAAGTCCAAAATCTGCAGTGTGGGCTGGCAGGCTTGAGATAGAGCAGAGGTCCATCTTAGGGGCCTGCAGGCATAGAAATTAAAGGAAATCTTGAGTTCCTTCAAGGGAAATTTCAGGCACCAACCCAGCCCTGAGAAGTAAATGAGTAACTTGATAAACAAGCAGGTAATAGTAGCTTAAAACAATAGTCAAGGAAGTTAGAGTCATAGGATATTTGACTACAGATAACATCTTAACGTATGTCCCTAAGTGCTTTTTTGGAAATCTGGACCTCCACTAAATGAATCCACTGGCACATAGACCTCTCAGATAAGGGGGAATGGAGGACTAAACTCTGACCACTGTTCTTTGTTCTGAAGTTCTTCCTGAAGTGCTGGGAGGAAGTCACACAAGTCAGACTTAGCATATCTTTCTACTCCCCTCAAATTTTTAAACAAAGCTTCTCTTCCTTAACCAATTGCAAATCAGAAAAATTTTGAAGCTATTACCTAGAAGCCCTCACTTCAAGATATCCCCACTTTGTAGGCCAAACCATTGTATAACCTCCATATATTGCTTTACAATTTTGCCTGTAACTTCTGCTTTCCTGAAATTTATCCCCACCTTTAAAAATTCTTGCTTGCAAGCCACTGGATAGGTTGTGTCTTAAGCGTGAGCTGCCCAATTCTCCTTGCCTGGTGTCCTATAAATAAATGTTCTTCTTTCTCCTGCTGCAAATCTCAGTGTGGGTGTTTGCCCTTACTGTGCTGAGAGAGTGGACCCCAGTTCAGTTCTGTAACAGGCTCAAGATACAGGAGAGCCAGTGGTGCAGTTCCAGTCTGAAGGCCAGCAGGCAAGACTCAGAAGAGCCACTGGTGCGGATGAAGTCTGATGGCCATCTGCCAGAGAATTTTCTCTTGTTCAGGGAGGCTGATCTTTTTGTTCTATTTAAACTTTCAACTGATTGGATGAGGCCCACTCACATTATTGAGGGCAATCTTCTTTACCCAAAATTTACTGATTTAAATGTTAAACTCATCCCAAAATAACCTGCAAGTGGACAAATAAAATTAACCACTACACAGACTTAACAGTAACAAAATGCTATGATCATATCAATAGATGGAGAAAAAACACTGCTGGATAGAATTCAACATTTATGCATAATTTTTTTAAACCTAGGCAAACTAAGAATAGTAATGAAGTTCCTCAATCTGATAAAAGGCATATACTAGACAACCTACAGCTAACATCATTCTTAACAGTCAAAGACTGAATACTTTCTAAGTCTGGGAACTAGGCAAGGATATCTGCCTTCACTACTCCTATTTGATGGCATATTAAAATGCTCGCAAATGCAATAAGGCAAGAAAAAGAAATAATAGGCATCCAGATTTGAAAGAAAAATGTTACTACCTTTATTAAGAGATGATATGATTGTCTATATAGAAAATTCACTTTAAAAAATTTCTAGAACTAGTGTGTTGAACAAGGTCATACCACTGTGAGACCAAAGAAAATGACTGAGGTGAGCCTCAATCAATTTAGAGGTTTATTTTGCTGGGAAAAGGAGATGCAAGCCACAGTAGGATCTGTGGCCCAAACTTTTTCCAAAGAAGCTTTTGAGGGCTTCAATATTTAAAAGGGAAAATGTGAGCAGCAGGGGAAAGGGGAAAGAAAAAAACAGAGGGAGTGTATGGCCACATTCTTGTGAGGCTTTGATTAGTCTCACTGAATCCACATGTTGTGCATGGAAAGGAAGGAGCGTAAAGGGAACAGCCAATTATGTATTCATCTTGCACTTGGGAAACCTACACTTAACATAAGATAAACACAGAGTAGAGGTAAAAATCAAATATGTATTCATGTTAGGGTGGGTTGGGGGATGATTTCTAGTCTCCTATTTTCCTGTACTAGTAAAAATAACCTGTTAATTTACATCGTCAGGATGAGAGAGGCCACCTGTGGAGACATTTGACCTTCTATCTGTAGTTATATTTTTAGTAAAAAAAGAAAAGACAGCTTTTATTTGGGTAACTCACTTCCAAACTTAATTTTTCTCTTTGACATAGGGAGTTTTGGGTCCCAATATTTTATTTTCCTGTCACAGAACATAATATCAATAAACAAAATCAATTGCATTTCTTTATACTAACACTGGGCAGTTGGAAACTGATATTTTAAAAGCATTTACAATAGCCTTCAAAATGAAGTACTTAGGTATAAGTAAATTTGTCAAAATATGTGCAGCTTTTACATGCTGAAAAATCCAGAACACCAGTGAAAGAGATCGAAGAAGTCTAAATAGAGTGACATACCATGTTCACAGAGATTGGAAGGCTTACTTAAGATGTCAATAAATCCCAAAATTGATTTATAGATTTAGCACATTCCCAGTTAAAATATCAGCAAGATCCTTTGTACATATAGACAACTTATTCTAAAATGTGTATGGATGGGTTAAGGAACTAGAATAGCCAAAATCTTTAAAAAGAAGAACAAAGTTCAAGGACTCATATTACCTAATTTTAAAACATACGATAAAACTCCAGTAGTCAATACAGTGTAGTATTGGCAAATGAATAGATATGTGCATACGTGAAACAGAACAGAAACTCAAAAAATAGGTTCACAAAAATACGGCCAACTGAATTTTGACAAAGGTGCAAAGGCAGTTAGGTGAAGAAATAACAAACTTTTCTCTAAATGGTCCTAGAACAACTGAATACCATATGTAAAAAATAAATAAATAAGCCTTAACCTACACCCCACAGAATATTTAAAAATTTACTCAAATAGCATCGTAGACCTACATGTAAAACATAAAACTAGCCTGTTAGGAACTGGGCTGCACAGCAGGAGGTGAGTGGCAGGCCAGCAAGCATTACCATCTGAGCTCTGCTCCTGTCAGATCAGCGGTGGCATTAGATTCTCACGGGAGCTTGGAACCCATTGTGAACTGCACATGCAAGGGATCTAGGTTGCATGCTCCTTATAAGAATCTAATGCCTGATGATCTGAGGTGGAACAGTGTCATCCTGAAACCATCTCCTCTGTCAGTCCATGGAAACAATTATCTTTGACAAAACTGGTCCCTGGTGCCAAAAATGTTGGGGACTGCTGAGACAAAGGATTGTATCCAGAATGTACTCTACTCAATTAAAAAAAAAAAAAACTTTTAAGGAGCAAAACATTTTAACAGACACTTCACCAAAAGATATATGGATAGCAAATAAACTCATGAACAGATACTCAGTACCATTAGCTATTAAGGAAGTGCATATTAAAGCTACAATGACACACCATTACATGCCTATTAAAATGGCAAAATTTTAAAAAAAGAACTCAATACCAAGTGTTGGTGAGGATGAGGAGCAACTGGAGCTCTCATGCATACATTTGTTGATGGGAATACAAAATGATACAATCACTCTGGAAAATAGTTGAGCAGTTGTTGTAAAGTTAACCATAAACTTACAATATGACCCAGCAATCACACTCTTAGGTATTTACTATAGAGAAATGAAAACTTACATTCACACAATAATTAGTTCATGAATGTTTATACCAACATTATTTATAATTGCCAGAAAAGTGGAAATGATCCCAATATGTCTCAGTGGGTAAATAGGCAAACAAACTTGTATATCCATACAACAGAAAACTACTCAGCAATGAAAAGGAACTAATTCTTTTTTTTTTTTTTTTTTTTTTTTTGAGACAGAGTCTTGTTTTCATTGCCCAGGCTGGAGTGCAGTGGTGTGATCTTGGCTCACTGCAACCTCTGCCTCTTGGATTCAATAGGTTCTCCTGCCTCAGCCTCCTGAGTAGCTGGGATTACAGGCACGTGCTATTACACCCAGCTGATTTTTGTACTTTTTATAGAGATTGGGTTTCACCATTTTGGCCAGCTGGTCTCTAACTTCTGACCTCACGTGATCCACCCGCCTCAGCCTCCCAAAGTGCTGGTATTATAGGTGTGAGCCACCATGTCCGGCCAGAACAAACTCTTGATACACACAATGACTTGGATGAATTGCAAAGGCATTGTGGTTAGAAGTCATGCTTAAAGTTACCTGTTACATGATTCCATTTATATGACATTCTGGAAAAGGAAAACTTAGTGATGGAGAACACATTAAGTGATTGTCAGGGGTTAAGTGTGGAAGGAGGGATTGACTTCAAAGGGAAAACCCAAAGGACACATCCTTTGGGATACTGGACTTGTTTTGAATCCTATATGTGGTGGTGGTTACAAGAATCTATGCGTATGTAAAAACTCACAGAATTGTTCATGAGAAAAGTTAATTATACGTAAATTAAAATATTAAGACATATAGATATTTATCTATCCAAATATGTTTCAAATCTTTAAAATAAATTCGGTATTTTAAAACTATTGTCAATGGGCTATACATTTTTTTAAATGAGGAAAAAAGAAAAAAGCCATTTTAGAATGGTTAATCACACACACAATTTATTGATGAATAGAGTCTGTAAGATTTACAAAACTGTTTGTGGGCATTTGAGGCCTAAAATTATAGTTGTCACATTTCTCCAGTACAATTAGATGTGGAACAGCATTTTACATTGTTTAAAAAGAGGGAATGGAGAAGAAATGTCAAAGCTTTTCTGTCTGGCTTAAATGATAGGTCACGCAACACAGAAATCTCTTTGGTTTTGGAAACTGGTATCTGGGCCCAGATTGTCCAATTATCTGGGCCATCAGCCTCAGGTCTGGGCTGTCCACAATGATGCTTTCTGGGCCCAAGGCCAAAGTGTCTAGGCCAGTAAAAGCTTCACTGACGTCAGGAGGCCGAAATTGGAGAGGAAGAGAGGAGGGAGGGATCCTCCCAGCATTTGAGTCTGCCTTGAAGGAAGTATTTGACCCATACAGTTCAGGATAAGAAGGTTTGCCTTTCCATATGAGTTCACTGTGATACAGCATTTGGGAGCTCAAAAAACCCAGTGTGAACCTAGGAAAAGCTCAGAATGATGGAGCTGGAAGGCTTCTGTCCTGTCTTATTTCCAACAGTATATTTCCTATTCAACAGAGCCCACCATGAAATCTGTCCCAAATCATGGAACCCCGAGGTGAAAGGCCCCCAGGCATGCCAACACATGGCAGACAAATCCAGTTGTGTCCAGGGATGGCGTTCCCTCCAGTTTTCTGAAAGACGCTCCCATATTCCTTAAGCACAGGTAAGAATCTTCTCTTCATAAAGCCTTCATCACCCAGCTGGAGGTGGCTTGCCAATGTTTTCCTTTGTCGTGGTTTATTGGGTGATTTATAATTTGAACACAGTGCCAGCTTCTAGCAGCAGCCGACATGGACTGATATGAAGGTGCTAGAAACCACCCACACTCTGGTATATCTCCTTCACCAGCTTCCAAAGGTGCTCCAGATGCCTATAATATTTACCCTTTGGACCAAAGTATTAAAATGCAAATGTTAGTCAGAATTGAGTAACCCATTAAGCCAGCACGGTTCAAGTGATTGGCTGTTCTAACCTGGAGGAGCATCCTGGGGAGATGGGACTGAGAAGTTTTGACATCAGAAAATACAGCAGTTGGGTTTTAGAGGTCCTAGTGAGAAGGCTGCCTCAGTCCTAGATGCCTGAGGGAAGTGGAGGCAGCCAGGGACAGGGGAGAGCACAAACGACACCTCACCATTCTTACTATTCCTTTCACAAAGACAGCCCTCCTCTCCTGAAGCATCTGAGAGGTGCCTGTTGGTGAGCCTTTTCTTGAGTAACTACACAGAGTAAGCTAAGAAAACCAGTACCATGCCTGCTTCCTGCAGCTGACACATCAGCACAGACCACACTGCGCCAGACTGAAATATTAGAAACAGATAGGCAATTAATAAACTGGGAATTTACATTTTTACAGTAATGAAAAGCAAATGGGTCAAGGTATTTGGTGGAAGAATATGTATGTGAGGAAGGAATTGTGGTAGAACTCAACACCCCTTATCTAAATATTTAGGAGGAATTTCTTAGTGGGTAGGTATCTCAGAAATCATTTTAAGAACATGGAAGCATAGTGCTTTTACTAAAGCCGCTGGGAGTGGACATGGCTTTGGGAAAAGGGTAGAACAGGAACAGAATGGGAAAAGATAAAAGCTTGAATATAGGTGCCAGGTGGATTCGGGCAAGATGGGGGTGATGAAGGACGAAAGGATACAGTTTAGCATTGAACAGACTTGTCCCATTGATGTCCACTTGGTTTGGGGTACGCATTTTGGATCACCAGTTCCTCAAAGGGAATGTCCTTTTACTGGGCCTCCCTCTAGCAGGCACAGCTGTGCTTGAGCCTCAGGCATTCTGGGCTAAGTGGACAAACGCTGCACCAGAGAATGGGAAAACTGCTGGTTCAAGTCCAGCCACACCCAAAATTCACACGCCTAGTCAGCTCATCAACAGCATCCTTCCACCATCCCCCCACCTAACCCAGGGAACCTGGCCTGGCCTCCCTTCTCTCCTCAGGCACATGGCTTCTCTTTCCTTTCCAGGTTATCTTTGGTGGCTTTTAAAAAAACAATTTTATTATAAAAATTTTCAAATATACACAAGAGCAGAGAGACCAAATGGACCCACATGTACCAATTGCCAACTTCAACAAGTATTAAATCATTTATAATTTTATTTCAATAACACCCTGACGTCCTCCCCACCCACACACACACACTCACACACACATTGGCTTATTTCAAAGCAGATTCCAGACATCATACCATTTTGTCTGCAAATACTGAAATATATATATATATATATATATCTCCAAAAAATTAGAATTGTTTTTTAAAAATCATATGCACAATATCATTACCACATGTAATTTTCAAACAAAAAGCCCTTAAAATCATCAATACTCAAGGTTTCTCCTGAATGTGAGCACTGTGGGGTGAGAGTTAGGGGTCAGGGCTCAGGCTCAGAGTTTTAGGATGAGGCCATCCTAGAAATCTACAATCTTGCTGGAACTCACTGTTCCAACCTACAAGCCCCCTTACTTTGTCCCTTCTCCTTCCTTAAAGCCTTCCAGTTCTGCTTTAAGTCTGAAATATAGAAAAAATTTGGATGTGCTTGGCAGATGCCCCTGGTCCCTTACTCATTAGCTTGGTTTCAGGCAAGTTTTGGTTTAAGACTCAGAGTGATAGTTTTATCATCAGTCAAATGTGGTAATAGCATGAATTTGTGGGGGCAGCAGTAACCACATTAATCATATTTGTTAAACACTCACTTCACAGTGGGAGCTCAGAATTGCTTCTCTGACATTGATTCTGAACTTGGTGACATCTCTGATTTGTGAACTTAACATCCAACTTCAGCTTGTCCCCTGCCCACCCAGGCCATGGGCATCTTACTGCCTCTTCTTTTACTTTCAAACTACGTATATTATTAAATTTGAAGTAAGTTCTTCATAGACAGAAAGTAGTTGGGTCATGATCTTTAATCCACTCTGCCAATATCTGGCACATTTAGATCATTTACATTTAATGTAATTATTAGTATGTTAGCCATTTTATTCTTCTGTCTGCCATGTTATTTTTTTGTTTGTTCTCTGTGTTGTTTGTTTCTGTTTTTAATGTTTTGTTTTCTTGTGAGTTACTTAAACATTTTCTAGAATGCTATTTTATTTATCTTAAATATTGTAAGTATATGTCTTTTATAGTTTTTTAGTGGTTTCTCTAGGTATTAAAATATGCATATGTAACTTATTGCAGTCTGCTGGTGTCAGTATCTTACCACTTCAAATAAAATGTAGAAATGTTATCTCCATTTAGGTGCCTTTAACCATCCCCCCACTCCTTTATAATACAATTTCCTTAAATGTTTCCTCTACATACACTGAGCACTACATTAAATGATGTGGGTTTTTACAAACATTTTGCTTCAACCATCAAACTTTATTTAAAAAACTAGGCCAGTCGCGGTGGCTCACACCTGTAATCCCAGCACTTTGGGAGGCCGAGGCGGGTGGATCACGAGGACAGGAGATGGAGACCATCCTGGCTAACACGGTGAAACCCTGTTTCTACTAAAAAATACAAAAAAAATTAGCCAGGCCTGGTGGCAGGTGCCTGTAGTCCCAGCTACTTGGGAGGCTGAGGCAGGAGAATGGTGTGAACCTGGGAGGTGGAGCTTGCAGTGAGCCGAGATGGCGCCACTGCACTCCAGCCTGGGTGACAGAGTGAGACTCTGTCTTAAAAAGAACAAACAAAACAAAACAAACAAACAAAAAACTAAAGAGTAAAGGGATAGTCTATTTTACTTAACTCCATTTTACCCATTTCATTGTTATTTATTCCTTCCTCACATTCTAAGTTTTTTTTCTGTTATTTTCTTTCTGTTTGAAGAACTTCCTTTAGTCATTTTTCTGGGGTAGGTCTGCTGGTAACAAATTCTCCTTTATCTGAGAATGCTCTTATCCTCTCTTCCTTCCTGAAGGATATTTTTGCTGGATATAGAATCCTGAGTTGACAGTTAATGGTTTGTTTTCCCTTCAGCACTTGAAACATGTACCACTTCCTTCTGGACTGCAGGATTTCTGATGATAAGTCCACTGTTACTAGAATTATTGTTTCTTTTTAGGTAATGCATTATTTCTTTCTAGGTGATTTTCCTATGTCCTTAGTTTTCAGAAGTTTGATTGTGATATGTCTGGGCATGGGTTTCTTGAGTTATCCTATTTGGGGTTCACTGTGCTCTTGAATCTGTAGGCTTATGACTTTTGCCAAATTTGGGGGGATTTTAGGCATTATTTCTTCAAATATGTTTCAACCCTACTCCCTTTCTCCTCCCTTACTGGGACTCTGATGATGCACATACTAGATTTCTTTTGTTATTATTTCACAGTTCCCTGAGGCTCTGTTCTTCTTTTTTCAGTGCATTTTTTGTATATGTTGTCCAAACTGGATCATTTCTATTCATCTGCCTTCAAATTCAGAAGTTCTTTCTTCTATTATCTCTTCTTTGCTATTAAGCACATTCAGGAAGCTTTTAATTTTGGTTATTACATTTTTTGGTTCTATTAGTTCCATGTAGTTATATCATTTTATCTGTGATGTCTATTTAGTTATTTTGTATCTTTTTAAATTAAGATTTTAACATATTTCAAGAGCGTTCCTAATTCCTTATTGGAGCATTTTTATGATGGTTGCTTTAAAATCTTTGTCAGAAAATTTCATCTGAATCATCAGATGAAATCTGAATTCATCTCAGTGTTAGCATCTGTTGATTGTTCTTTCAAGTTGTAATTTTCCTGCTCCTTTATATAACAAATCATTTTAAAAATAATCCTGAGTATTGTGTTATGAGACAGGTCCTATTTAAATTTTCCTTTTAGCAGGCTTAGCATGCAGGTCCAGTCTGCTTCATTTGTGTGCTACCTTGAGGCCAATCTGAAAACTTGGGTGGTATTCTATGTTATAGCCTGTCTGCACTCTGCCTGCCTGCTTCACACTGTCCCAGGAAGGGGAGGGGGCAAGGTGGAAGGTCAACAGCAGTGTCCTTACCCTATGACTTCTGTCCCCTAAACTGCACAGCTGTACCCCAGAACTGTCTTGCCATTCTTCCTGCAATATCTGGAGACTGCAAAGTCAGAAATTAGAAAAGGAAATCAGTCCCAGAGGTGCTATTTCAATCCTGTGAGCAGTTGATAAAACAAACTCCCCAAATCATTACAAACGCAGGTGCCTGCAGTTTTTCTCCATCTGTACCTTCCTCCCAGAGCTGAAAACTCACACCTAGGTAATAAAGTATTTGTTTTACAAAGGAAAGATCATCTGAGACTCTCATAATTATATTTTCTCACAGAGGAAACTGTTGCTGTAGGTAATCTTTAATCACCTCATCTTTTTGTTTTAGCTGTTGAATTTAGAAGTTAATTCCCCAATTGTTTCATATCAGACATCCAAAAATCTGCTGAATTTAAATCCTGTTATTCAAAAAGCTCAGTTTTCTTGACCTCCAGGCTGATTTATCAGGAACCTGCCTGTTTCCACTGAGGAAATGCCTACAGCCTTCCGGCTGATACATCTCTTCTGATGACGTGAGTTCAGGAGTAGGCGCTCTGGGATCCCTTCCTCCCACTCACCTTCCTCATCCACTCACCTCTTTGGTTGTGGAAATTTGCTTTCGTTTCCTCTGTCCATCCCCCAGAATTCTCAAAAGGAATCACCTGAGGATTCGTGGTTATGCAGAAGGTTCCTGCTTCTGGCTTAGGTTCTATGAGACTATAGAGGATCTCACACCATCCAAACAATTAGAGAAAAAAAAGGTTATGACAGGCAGACAACAGTAGAAAATATGTCCTTATTTGGTGCAGAATAAAATTAAGATAGTAACCTTTTTTAAAAAATCACCATTAAAATCTGTGATAATCTCCAGCCATCCTTCAGCTTCTCTTTCATAACTAGAATTTTCCCCTTATATATGAAAGAAAGCAGAAGTGGCAGGACTTTAAAAAGAAAATCTCCTCATTTTGGTGGGAATTTTCCAGTTGCTTCTTGATTCGACTCACTAACTTTGTCCACTTATTTACTTCTCATTAGATAAGATCAAATTCAAAAGAAGTGAGGAAAATTGATTAATA
This sequence comes from Homo sapiens, assembly GCF_000001405.40. NCBI lineage: Eukaryota > Metazoa > Chordata > Mammalia > Primates > Hominidae > Homo > Homo sapiens. The sequence goes on from NC_000015.10 coordinate 100,824,956, forward strand.
GCAAATCAAGCCAAATCACTGATTTTTGGGAAACAACCAGCCCATCCCAGTCCCTCATTTTTGGGACATAAATAACTCCTAAACTTTTTTGTATGGGCAAAACCTCTCATAAGCAACCTTGAAGTCCCCTTATAACTAATGTAAAACTGCAGAGTTTCCATCAATAAAAAAGTGAATTCCAGCACCAGGCTGGTAAAATGGATAATTTACCGTTGCAATGATTTAAAATATGTAATCAGATGGCCATGGATAAACCTGGCAGCTAAACCCTGGGAAACGTCCTGATTTCTAACTGTGGTCTTTTTGGGATTGTCTCCTGGGGCCATCGAGGCAAGACAAGGAGCCTGTTAACTGCCAGGGACCCGGATCATGGGGAAGCCCCTCGTTTGTCCTGGCCAGAACCCTGGTGGGAGGATTGCCCTGTCAGCCGCCTCCTGGGCAGACAGGCAGCACATGCTGGGAGAACGGACATGTGCATACTCACGTGTGGACACAGGAGCTGTGGGACCCTGGGCTGAGCAGAGCACCAGTGCTTGATGAAGGTGTCAAGGGTGAGTAGCTGAGCAGGCCAAGGTAGTCTGTTCAGTGAGCAAGTTGGGCACATGCATGCCAGCCCTAAAGGAGAACACTTGTTGAGAGGCCCCTGGAGGAGGCATGGTGCTGCATTGTGGTGGAAGTGAGGAAGGAGCTGAAACATCCACATGTGAACAGTTAGATAAAAATCAGAGGTTCATGTCATGGCTCAAAGCCTCTGTAAGCACCACAGAATGAGGAAAACTGCCACATTAATTATACAGCCCAGGATCTGCCCCTGGAGCCCAGGAGTGGAAGAGTGGGCTTTTCTCCTGTGGAGGAGGTGTGTTTATAGGAGGGAAAGGTTCACAGCAGGAACGGGTCCTAGCCGGGGGTAATGGACCCCCAAAATCCTTGCCCTGGTGTCCTGATCACAGGCACTCTTGGAGGACAGGGGCCAATCTGTTCACCCCAACCCTGGGCTGCAAAGCCAGGTGGCTCCCCCAGGGATTTGGGAGAGACTATGGCTACTGCAACTATCTCAGCATGTGCACAGCACGTGTTCCCACCTTCTTCTCCCCTCCCTGTTCCTCTGCCAGCCTTGTTTGTGCCCAGCATGCAGGCCCAAGGACGACTTGGTTTCTCATCTTTGAGCCTTCTGCTCTCACCTTCTGGCATTGTCCACTTCTGACCACCCTGGGCAACCCCCATGTCCCTCTGGCACGAGTCCCCTGTGGCAGCCCACACCCTCTAGTTCCTGTCGTTGACTTCGGAAGTGGCAGTAGAAACGGAGCCCAGCCCACAGCTGAGCCTCACTGTTTGGGAGTGCAGTCACAGCAACAGAGAAGAGAGAGGATGAGTGTGGGGCCTTCTCCTCCAGGGGCAATGCAACCACCCTCAACACGTGCCCAGCCAGTGTGAAGCCCCAGACGGATCCAGTCACAGCTTTTGTCCATGGGAGCTAGTCTGAGACCCAGGGTGCTTTAAAACAGTACAAGAAGCAGGGATGATGGATGCAGAATTAGGAGAGCCCAGTGGTCAAGAAAGAGAGCAGGAAAAAGCACAACGCAGGTGACACCATGCTGGGTTGGATAGAGGACCCCTGAGCACCCATGGGCTAAGGGGTCAGAAAAGGATCAGACAGGCCATGGGCTGCCCCATGGCACACAGGCATGCCCTGATAGTTGGTTCAACAGGAAGGGATTGGTGGGGAGTAAGGGATCGGGGCTTGGGGAACTGCCAATTTTCAGGTCTCTTTGGACCACCCCCGCTAGAGTGCCAGCCTCATGGGACACAGAGCCAAATGCCCTCAAGGAATTCGTCCTTCCTACCTGGCTTCTTTCTCAGGGGTAGTACCAACCCCTAGAAGCACAGGTGACTGGTACAAAATTCCCAGGCAGTCTGAACACTTCTGGAATATCCCCTAAGGATGCTCTCCAACAGGCTGACTTTTTTTTTTTTTTTTTTTTTTTTGAGACGGAGTCTCGCTCTGTAGCCCAGGCTGGAGTGCAGTGACGTGATCTCCGCCTCCCGGGTTCACGCCATTCTCCTGCCTCAGCCTCCCGAGTAGCTGAGACTACAGGCACCCACCATCACTACCGGCTAATTTTTTTTGTATTTTTAGTAGAGACAGGGTTTCACCGTGTTAGCCAGGATGGTCTTGATCTGCTGACCTCGTGATCCGCCTGCCTCGGCCTCCCAAAGTTCTGGGATTACAGGTATGAGCCACTGCGCCTGGCCCAGGCTGACATTTTTAAAGGCCTCTCAAGGATCCCAGATCAGTAAATAAACAGATCATAGGCCCAGGCTGGATTTTCTGAAATGTAGATTTTTTTTATAATTGTTGAAAATCTATTAGAATTCCTTCAGCTCATTTAAGAACATGCTAGTTTGAGGGACTCTTTTTATTTCAGATTCCAATCATGCAAGTGGCTGCTGCTGATTTTTTCATCTGCCCTCTACTATTTCCTTTTTCTTTCTTTTCTCCTTCACTCTCCTCCTCCCCCATTCTTCATTTTTACAGATTTCCCTGGATAAAGTCACCCAAAGATTATTCATGAAACAGAATTCTATAATTTTACAGCGAGAAGTCCCTCTACTGTCATCGTATCTCATGCCTTCGTTGTTTGGGTTGAAGAAATTAGGGCACAAATCAGGAATACAGGGTAAATAAATAACGCTTTGTCTCACCTAAATGCATTTTAGAAGTCACCACACAAGCCACATGCAAAATCAGACTTTAGCGTTGTCTTTAAAGATGCTGTCACACTAATGGCAAGTGAAGTGTGGCATTTGAGACCAGGCAGGAAAGAACATGAAGCTGAACAAGCTTTGAATGACAGCTGTTTGATGATGGAATTTGTAAGGTAAAAATATCAAAGCCAAAGACTTGAAAAGCATAATGTTCCACATGAAAGACTTTAAGTAGCAAAAGAATTTTTATTGTTATAATCAACAGGATAATAATAATGAAGCATAGTAGATTCACAATGCATATTGAACAAATGATTAAAAAAATGAGAAAAGAGTGAGTGATGGTTTCTAACTATGATAATGAAGCATATCTCAACCAAGTGGTAAACACATCAGGCCAGTGGATTTCATTCGACATGTGCCTAGATGATCTGACAAGAAAAATTCCATTTCCCTTTTCTCAGGGATCTACTAAAGGATGTGCTCCTTAAAAATGAGGGAGTAAGCCGAGAAAGAGGAAGATGTGGGCTCTAGAAAATGGAATCCAATGCAGCAAAAGGTAAAGGGGATTTTTAGAATCACGACCAAGAGAACTCTGAGGTCAACAGCTGTGCAGCAGGCCTAGAGAATGATCTGTGAAGATGGGTACAGGAGGAGGAGGGACTCTAGGTGGGAGGGCTCTATCATGTGGTGGTACTGGTGTCAGCCCATTGGAGCCAATTGTTAAATATTTGGGAATGTTGTAAGCCAGTTTTTAAACACAGTCATTATTTAAAAAGTAAATTATAAAAGGCTTAATCATATTAGAAATAAAGATGATAAATATTCCAAATTCATCTATATCTCATTATACTACATTTTACTGGTATCTGTGTTCTTGTAATTTACACTTATTGTATTTTTTTTGGCATTTTAACACGTGTGGTTTCTTTTTGTTTTTTCTTTTTTTCAACTTTTATTTTAAGTTCAGGAGTGCATTTATTGTGTTTTCATGGTAGAGTACAACGCACCTCTTGCCAACTCTGTGTTCAGCAATGTCACATTAGTAGCTTCATATTGGCCTGGGTGGAAGTATTTACACCACAGAAACCAGCAAAACCTTCAAATCAGGGCTTGATTTATTGTTCTGATGGTCTATACTTAAGAAAATAATGAAGACATTGTTAATGCAGATTAGACTTTACATGAGTCAAGTCTGAAGTCATTACGTTGTGAATAGCAGGAATAAAAGACACGAAAATAGTCTTTCAGTACTCAAAAACTAATATGCAATGAAGCAAAGAAATTATACTCACATCATTGATGAACAAAATGAAGTTCAAAAAAATTCTTGTTGTTGCACTTGTGTCTTATACATTAACAAAAGTGAAAATACTAAATAACTAACACATAAGAACTGCACTCCAGGCCGGGCATGGTGGCTCACACCTATAATCTCTACACTTGGAAGGCTGAGGCAGGAGGATCAATCTCTTGAGGCCAGGAGATGGAGACCAGCCTGGGCAGCAAGTGAGACTCCATCTCTATGGAAAAATTTAAAAATTAGCCAGCCATGGTGGTGCATGCCTGTAGTCCCACCTACTCAGTAAACTGAGGCAGGAAGATTGCTTGAGCCCAGGAGTTCCAGACAATGAGATCACATCACTGCACTCCAGCCTGGGCAACAGAGGGAGACCCTGTCACTAAAAATTAAAAATAACATAAAAAATTTTAAAAAGAACTACACTCATTCGTTATGGTTATATGAGTTTGACAAAAATCAATGAAAGCATTCTGTGAGAAACAGTTCATCGTATAGAAGTTACAATAAAGTTTTTATTGTTAATTGTAAGTAGTGTGCTAACTGTCCTTTATGTCAGTAACACTTATAGTAAACTTATATGCATATAAATGCATGTGTTTTCTTTTGGAGAGGCAGTTGTTAAACATGTACCAGCCTGCCACTGGTCCAGATGAAAAAATAAAGAAAACAGCACCTTACCTCATACATTTGCACCGAATGGAGTTAAATGGATTTTTTGGAATGTTTAAAATGGAATTAGCTTAGGCATATAAAAAACTAAGCAAATAATATGACAGAATGATTCTTAACACAAGGAACAAAGATTGCACAAAACAGGAGATGTAATCCTGTCTACTATATGGCTCAGCTTTGAATTTTTAAAGTCAAAATAAAGAATATTGACTTAACCAAAATCGGAGCTATAAGCACTGTATGACATTGGTTGTACAATGCAACACAAGAGGGAAAACTCTTACTGATGAATGAAATATCATCTATTGTTGCATCCCATTTTCAGACATTTTAAAATGTGAAGGAATTGTGCCTGACTTGGAATCAGAGTGGTAAAGATTAATGTCTTCATGATAAGCTTGATAGTTCCATTTGTTTTCAATGTTTTGATTAAGTCATAAAATGTTAACATTACATGTTAAGTATTATCTTTTTTTAATCCTGGAATACAAGAGTGATTTACTATTGGAAAGTCAATGCACACACTTCATCACATTAATGTATTAAAGGAGAAAAACCATATCATCTTCTCAACAGGCATCTGAAAATCAGTGGAAATCATCGCCAACTCTCACTCCTCCCAATTACCTCCTGGGTGGGCTGGAACCTGAGAAATCTCATCAGTAAAGCTCAACAGCGTTGCCGAATGCATTCTCCTCTTCAGGCTACAAGAGCTTTGGGGTTGCATGCTGTCACTCAAGATCAACCGTAAGGGGCTCACAGAGGTCCAGAGAGGCCTCAGTGCTCCCTGATGTTGATGCCCCCAAAACCAGTCCAAATCTAAGCCAGGTGCTCGGACCCACAGCAGCGGTCAGGGCCCTGCAGCCGGGCAGAACGCTGCTCCTCTGCGAACCTAACAGGGACAGGCAGAAGAGTAGATAGATGCCCACCCTCCCCGATCTCCAGCTGAGATGCACATTGGCCCAGAACAAGTGAGCTGCCTTGCAGAGCCACCACGAGAAGGAAGCCGAGGCAGGAACAGAAGTGTCTGCTGTCTATGTGCTAACATGCACACAGACTGTGCCCCAGTTTCTAGCCCCGAGTCACAGCGAGGCTTCTCTGAGGACACAGTCCTGCTCTTTTGCCTGCCAAGTCATCGGCTCCCCGCACCTCTAGTGGGAAGCTGTGGGGTGGCCGAGAACTGGGTGAGCCCACCCCCCACCAGAAGGCTCTCTGTTCACCCAGTGACATCATCTTCTGCTCCCTGTGATCTTGGTAATCCTATCCATCCTGTGCTTTCCCCCAGAAAAATAAATTAAAGCAGGGCCCTCTGAGTCCCCAATCTACTTAATTGTACTGCCTTCACAGTCTTTGTTTGAGAAACAGTCCCCACAGCTCAAGACTCTTCAAGCATGGATCTGTATTGCCATGATTATTTCTGGAATCTCTTTGAAATTCCACTCGATGCAGAAAACATGTCCCACCTGTCTCAGATCTCACTCCATTCAGTCCATGCAGAGTGGTCTTTCCACCCAGCCCCTCTCCTGGGGAGCCAACCTGGGAAAGTTCCCACACACCTTGTCAGAGCCCCACTACCTGGGCAGTGATCAGGAGGTTTGCAGAAAATGGAGAGGCCTTAATTTACAGCCAATGAGGTCAGGCCATCACAGCGATGCCCAGGGCAGAGGGCAAGAAGGAATGAGCTCCACAGACGTCCAACTGCCCTCAGGATTGGAGAATCCAGACAGCCCCTGCATGCCTCCTCTGGCTTCATCCAAGTCAGGACAGAGTCATCTGCAGGCACAAATCAACTCCAGAACCTTTCCTGAATGACACAAAGGCTCTGAAATCGGTGTCTGCCTCTGGTCAGTTTGAGCCCCTCTCCTGCACTGTGTACAGGAAGAATGACAGACTTTATGCAGAATGCTTTTAATTTTTCTCTATGTCAGAGCAATGCTCAACTCACTGAGCCCTGACTTGCAGGATGACTAGTTCCAGGGCACCCTGGGGCAATCCTGTTCCAGGAACAACCTTTAGTGAGCCAGGGTGGTCCTTTTCCATCCTGCTCACACGTGTGCCAACAATCGGATTTTAGTACTTTCTGTGCTCCCAGAGGACTGACTCCTGGGGATGGCCGCCATCTGCTCAGCCTCCTGTCACAAGCCTGAGTCCCACCTCGCTGCTAGTCACAGATCCCAGCCAGCCCGTAGCTCCTGTCCAAACACAAAAGCCAGGTCTTGCAGTAGAAGACAAATCCCATGCACCAACTTATTAAACTAAAGAAGAAGCCAAGTGAAAAAGGCATCACCAGAAGTAACTTGAAGTTGTTCTGGGCTTTTGGCTTGGTGCCAGTCTAGCTGAAAATCAGGTAGCTGAGGTGTGGTGGGAAGCTGGAGTCAGAGGGACCAAAGTGGAAATGAATGCCCTTGGACAGAATGCCACAATAGGCCAAGCACATGGTAAGCACTTGATCGATGCCAGCTACCATTTTTGCTTATTTGCTTTTATTATTAATGTTTAAATTTATAGACAGTGAAATGGACTTCCATGTAGTGTACAGTTCTATGAGTTTTAAGACATGTAGATTTGTGTAACCACCTCCACAATTAGGTTATGGAAGACTTCCATCCCCCAGACTCTGGCCTCAAGCTGCCTTTCATAGCCAAACTCTTCTCCACCCCCAACCCCTGACAACTGCTGGTCTGTTTTCCATCCCTATGGTTTTGCTTTATAAACTCACGCAGTAGGTAACCTTTTGCAATTAGTTTTCTTTCACTCAGTGTAATGCCTTTGAAGTTTCTCCATGTTGTCATCTGTCTCAATAGTTTATTCCTTTTTATTGTGAGGTAGTATTTCATATACCACAGTGTGTTTCTCAATTCACCCATCAATAAGAGTGTTTCAGTTTTAGTGATGATAAATACTCTTTCTATAAACAGTCATGCACAGGTTCTGTGTAAACATGCTTTCATTTCTGTAGAGCAAGTATCTAGGCGTGGGATTCTTGAGTCGTATGGTAAGCGTGTCATTAAACTTAAACTGACAAACTGTTTTTCAGAGTGGCCACGTCACTTTGCATTCCCACCAGCATGTGTGAAAGTGCCAGTTGTCTCATTCTTGCCGCCACTTGGTATTGTCAGTGTTTTCATTTTAGCCATTCTACTAGGTGGGAAACGGACTCTCATGGCTGTTCTAATTTGCATTTTCCTAGAGGCTAATGGTGTTGAAGACTTCTCGTTGTGCCCATTTGCTTATATCTTCTTTGGTGAAGTGTCTCTTCGAATATTTTGCCCATTGAAAAAATTCAGTTGTTTGTTTTCTTACTGTTGAGTTTTGAGGGTTCTTTATATACTCTGGATATAAGTCCTTAATCTCATACGTGATTTGCAAGTGTTTCCTCCCCATTTACGACTTGTGTTTTCACCCACTTAATGGTGCCTTTTGTGGAGCAAAATATTTTAATTTGCTGAAATCCAATTCACGAAGTTTTTCTTTTCTCAGTCATGTACTAGATGTTAAGTGTAAGAACTTCTCATGCAACCCAAGGTCATGAAGCTGTTCTCCTGTTTTCTTCTAAGAGCTTTATAGTTTTACATGGTACATTTTGACTTAATTCTTTTATAAGGTAAGAGACTTAGATCAGAGACTTAAAAAATTTTTTTGCTTATGGATGTCCAGTTGTTCTGTTGGCAAATTTTAACATGAATCTTTTTCACCCTCCTCTTTATATTAACTTTTGTCTCTGTAAATTGAGGATCTTTTTAAAAAAACTTGCAATGAGAAGACATATGTGAAAAGTGCTTTGCAAGTGATTTGTAGAAAAGTAGATAAATAAATATTAGTTTAAAACACATACACACACTCGTAGTAAGACATTGCAAAATGAAGATTCAAAGATGAAGATTCGTCACCCAGAAATAAATTCTGGAATCACAAGGTAAAGTTTGCAATGCTGACTTAAAACCACTTAAGGTCTCTGGCTCACAGGCAGCCTGCCGAAGGGGAAGTGTCTCTGCCTTTCTGTGAAAACAAGGCCAGTCCCTTATCCTGTTAGTGGTCGGATGAGCTTGCTGGTAAAATGGTTGGATCTCAGCTGAAGGTGAATGCTGTCCTCCTACCTTGAGGAGTATAGCTTGCGTGCGAGTGGGTGTGGACCTGTGTGCACACTCGGGGTGTATATGAAACCCACATCTACTGGTCTCTGCCCATGCAGACCCCTCATGGGAGCGGTATTTATGTGAATGATTTACCCTGGTGACTTCAAGACCACAGAACTCCATCCAACAAAGGAGCTCATTTACTTTCTGACATGGTTAATGTCCTGATTTAATGGCCCTCTTATATCACACTCAGCACCCTAAATTATAGGGCAACCCAGACAATAACACTGCAGGGTTTCAGGCTGTACCTCTCCCCAGAGCTGCCCTCCCATACTCGAGTGGAAGCAGCAGAGGCGGACTCTCCTCCCTTCCTGCGAGCCACATGCCTCTGCTCTCATTAAAATAACTGTTTGTACCACCTTGTTGCTCCAGATCACAGTCTCCTGAGATTTTTCAGCCACAGGAAATGCTATTCTGAACATATAACTGCACATGTGAAGACTAAAAATGTCTTTCTTGTTGATATTACTCAAGAAGCAGAGTCAGTGTTTCTTGATTGTGTGCTCTGCAATGCCTCTGTTATGAAAGATCAGTTTCCATAATGACCCTTTGGAGGGAAGTAGTTATGGTAAGGATTTCACAAACAGAAGACCCTGAACTTGCTCCTAAACACAAAACTTGCTGTGTAAATCCAGGGAGCTGCCGCTAGGCATATTTAGTGCATAAGAAAAATTTGTCAGATGGGTTTAAGAGATTTTTACAACCCTGGCATTAATCACAAGGTTAATCGTAAGGTAAAAAGGTAAAATACTCATGCCTAGAGCCCAAATTCAAGGGCCTACATCCAAGACAGCCAGGTGCCTTACAGCTGAAACTCTAAGAACCATTTCTTCGCTTTGATCTACTAATTTATGCAGTAAGTAATGACCTAAGAGTAAACTAAACAACTGAAAGCATAAATTATCTAAGAAATGAAATCTCACTTTAAAAAATACTGTCACTTTCTAAAACTTAGATGCCACTCTATAAATATGGGAAATAAAATGTTTTAATGAGACAAATAGGGAATGACAGGTTACAAAAATTAGCATCCATAACAATTAAAAAACAGCTTAACATTTTATAATTGTATCAATTTGATTTGCTAGAAGCAGATGAGGTGGGAAGGAGAGGCCTCTTGAGAAAGAGGAAGGGAAAGCAGACAGGAATGGTGCTGTATTTTCTGCTCCAGATATTACTCAATTCTATTTTGAATCTTCAAACGTTTACCCAACTCTAAAAGGAGGTTCCTTGCAACATTGGGAGAAAACACTCTTTTTTTAACTTTTATGTTAAGTTCAGAGTACAAGCGCAGGTTTGTTACATAGGTAAACTTGTGACATGGCGGTGAGGTTGTTGTACTGATTATTTCCTCACCCCAGGTATTAAGCCTAATACCCGTTAGTTGTTTTTCTGGATCCTCTCCCTCCTCCCAACCTCCACCCTCAAGGAGGCCCGAGCGTCTGTTGTTCCCCTCTATGTGTCCATGTGTTCTCATAATTTAGCTCCCACTTATGAGAGAACATTTAGTATTTGGTTTTCTGTTCCTGTGTTAGTTTGCTAAGGATAAAGGCCTCCAGCTCCATCCGTGTCCCTGCAAAGGACGTGATCTTGTTCTTTTTTATGACTGCATAGTATTCCATACCGATTATATGTACCATATTTTCTTTATCTAGTCTATCATTGATGGACATTTAGGTTGATTCCATGTATTTGCTATTGTGAATAGCGCTGCAATGGACATTCATGTGCATGTGTCTTTGTAATAGAATGATTTATATTCCTTCAGGTATATACTCAGTAATGGGATTGCTGGGTCGGATGGTACTCTGTCTTCAGGTCTTCGAGGAATTGCCACACTGTCTGCCACATGGCTAAACTAATTTACAGTCCCACCAACAGTGTGTAAGCATTCTTTTTGGGAGAAAACACTCTTAGGAAGCTGTAGAAAAGCCTTTAGTAAAGAAGGCTACATCTTCCACAGAGCATCCTGACCATCATTGGTTATACAATCTGAGTTTTGATCCCATTCCCACTGTAGACGAATTAGTCACTCTCTGAGCCTCAGTCACGTCATGTGTCCAATGGGGATAGCATTCCTATCTTGTAGAGTCGTCGTGAGGACTAACAGATGTAATACAGGCAAGGCGCCTAACAAAGAGTGGCATTGGATAGTGTGAAGATTCAACACAATTTCTCAGGTATTATTATTATTACCATGGTGAGTATTTGGTGATACCTTGAAGCTATTCAAATTAGGCAATGTTTTATTGTTTTGTGGCACCTAATCAGTGCCAACCCTTTCTCTATCCCTCCCTCTGTCTTTCTCATGCACACACACAAATGCACACATACAACATGGCGAACTGAATTTAATGATAAGCTAGGAAGTATGAGAACACCTGATTTCTTTTTGGCTCATAAAATAAGAGTAAATTACTATAAAATAAAATAAAAGTAATTACTATAAAATAATAATCATTATTACTATATGACACTGAAGTCAGGTAAAGATGGAATTTATAATAAACATGAGCATGCTGCCCCGAAACCCATATACAGCTGTGTGTGCTCTAAAGAAAACGAGCTGTGGAAAGAGCAACAAGAAGACAATGAAAAAAGAAACAGGAAGAAGCACATAGAAGCTGATGTACCCCCTCCTATACTTTTTGCTGACCAGTTAAGGGGATCCAGGCCATTCCCTCTACCTAGAAATGGAAGGAACACTGGGCTCACAAGGGGCAACTCTCAGGCGTTGATGAAAAACATCCCTCAGCCCTGTGGAGCTGCAGCCGCTGTAGTTGATAGCATGTAATACAAAACACATTTGTCAACTTTCTTTATATCTAAATAAATAAATACCCAGGGGAAGAGGAAGCTCACTACAGTAATCTGATTTGGAGACGTGTCTCAAGAAAGAATGCACACCCAAGGGCTGGCACGGAAGATGTGGACAGCTATCAGCCAAGCGAAACAACTAGAAAAGACCCACCACATTGGACAGGGTGGAAAATGGCAAATGGTATGGGCAATGGAACCACATGAATCCCTTGAGAATCATATCATTTTCATCAGATTGAGTCATGTGGGAAGATTTGGGGGAACAAGTCAAAATCCATTACTTCAGGAAGCATTCAAGGCTAAAGTCAGTTTTATAGGTTATGTGTGAATATTCTTAAAATCCACGTTGGGTTTTGTATGCTTTATTATTTCTGAATAATTTGAAGCAACGCCTTACCTTTGAGACACTTGGCAGAGCAGGGCAGCATCCCAGCTTGCAGAACTTTTGGAGAGGATCTTGGCCTCTACAGAGGCCACACAGAAAGACGAGGGATGGAGCATGGCCACTCCGAAGGCCAAGGGTGTGGAAGTATTTCGTGTCTAGCAGAGGTGATACCACTCAGGAATTGGTCGGGGGGCAACCTTATCTGCCCGGAAGTTGTTGGCTAGATTTTCAATCAGCTAAAAATGGGGCTGCAAATGCTGACACACACCCCCTCCCTTAATCATGTAAGTGATACCCTCCTGCATTGAACTAAAGGGTCCCTATTATTTCTGATGGGGACTTCATCAGCATCTTAGGTTAGTAGTGGGACTGGGGATTCTTGGCTTCCTAAGATGTGACATTCACAGATTTAGGAGCATATTTCATCATCATTCCTTTCTCCCCTTTATGTCCTATATGTCTCTATCATTATACTTCTTTATTCTAAATTTTCATTGAACCTAAACAACTTCTAACTATACAACCTCCCAAAGAGACATGATCTAATTGTATAGCTCCTTTCACTTAACTGAAAGTCCAATGCAACCTCTGATAAATTATGAAAGTAAAATCAAATAAGCTAGGAAAAGAAGTCTGAACTTTTTAAAGTGTGGGAAGATATGGCAGAAATGAAGATAAAGAATTTTACTGTATGTCTGCTTTTGTTTTGCAAGTATTCATGATCAAATAAAAATATTCATAGAGAAAAAAATGACAGTGGTTACTCACTGTAAGGACTTGTTCAAAAATAAAAATAACCAATCTAGCGAGTGTTACTTTTAAAAGCAACAGATCCCTAAAAACTTTTAAATTTTCTCTTATACAGAACTCAGGTCCAAAATAAAATAGAAAACAGAACTGCAGAATATTATGAAATAAAAATAATACAAAAACATTTATCAGAAGCTATATGATATAGCTAAAGCAATATGTTGAGGGAATTTCATAGCTTTAAGTACTTAAATTAACAGTATATACACTCAACTAAAAAAAAGTACTGGGAGTGGTGGCTCACACCTGTAATCCCAGCACTTTGGGAGGCTGAGGTGGGTGGATTACCTGAGGTCAGGCGTTCGAGACCAGCCTGGCCAACGTGGTGAAACCCCATCTCTACTAAAAATACAAAAATTAGCTTGGCATCGTGGCACATGCCAGTAATCCCAGCTACAAGGGAGGCTGAGGCAGGAGAGTCTCTTGAACCTGGGAGGCGGAAGTTGCAGTGAGCCAAGATCACGCCACTGCGCTCCAACCTGGGCAACAGAGTGAGACCCGGTCTCAAAAAAAAAAAAAAAAAAAAAAAAAATTAAGGCAAGACAAATAAAATAAATTTGAGAAAATTGCAGGGAGAGATAATAAATATAAAAGGAGAAAAATTAACCAAATCAAGGAAAATGGCAGAAAACCACAAAAAGAAAAAAAAATAGGTATGAAATCGGAAAATTCTCAGCTGCAAGGAAAATTTTAAAATAATAAATGATTACCCTGCTCAATTTTGCAGAAATAAATATGAAAACCTCATGGTTTTCTAATAAGATATAAGTTACTAAATACAGAAATGAAAAGAGAGAAATAGAAACAGAGTAGTTCACATAGCAGAGACTTCAAGGGAGCACTCAGCGCAGTTGATTTTGTAAACGGATTTCATCAACCATCCAAAATGCTGATACCGCCAATGTTATTGAAACTGCTATGAATAATGAAGAAGGAAATCTTACGAAGTATGTTTTATTTCAGAACTTTTATTTTTGAATACTTTTAGATTTACAGAAGACTTGCAAAGATAATACAGGGAGTTTCCATACAGCCTTCTCCCAGCTTTCCGTACTGGTAATGTATTCTATAACCAGAGTACATTTGTCAAAACTAAGAAACTATTAATGGTACAGAACTATTAACTAACCTACAGATTTTATTTGGATTTCACCCATTCTTTTTCCACTGATGATCCTTTTCTGTTCCCAGATTCAATCCAAGATATTGTGCTCCATTTAACCAATTATTTTTATGAATAAAAATGTGTGTGTATATATATATATATGTATATATATATACACACACACAGAGAGAGATAACAACATTTGAGAATGCCTCCCAAAAGAAAAATATAAACCAATCTCACCCATGAACATAGTTAAAAAAAACTCTAATCCAACCATGCTTTAAAAGAAAAATCCACCATAGCCAACATGGAGTTCAATCTAAGATGGGAAAATGCCCCAAAGTAGGAAATCTACTAATATAACATGGAGTAGGTGAAAAGAGAAAAACTACATTAGTTTGTCCATAGATTTAGAAAAGGCATTAAGTTCGGCTGGATGTGGTGGCTCATGCCTGTAATCCCAGCACTTTGGGAGGCAGAGGCGGGCAGATCACCTGAGGTCAGGAGTTCGAGACCAGGCTGGCAAACATGGTGAAACCCCTCTCTACTAATAATACAAAAAAATTAGCCAGGCATGGTGGTGGGCGCCTGTTATCCCAGCTACTAGGGAGGCCAAGGCAGGAGAATTGCTTGAACCCAGGAGGTGGAGGTTGCAGTGAGCCAAGATCTTACCACTGCACTCTAGCCTGGGTGACAGAGCGAGAACCATCTCAAAAAAAAAAAAAAAAAAAAAAAAGAAAAGAAAACAAAAGAAAAAGCATTAAGTTCAACACAATTCACATTTAATGTCTTAATAAAATAGGAACGTACTCATTTATCATGATTTTACACACATGTGCAGGTGCCGGAATTGTGTTTAATGACAAAATATTTCTACTGAAGTCAAGAAAGAGATCAAGATGCTCACAATTACCACAACAATTCTAAATTGTATTTGAATTACTCATTAATATAATTAGACAAGAGAAAAAAATGCAAAAAAAATTGAGAAGGAAGTAAATGTTTTATTATTTGCAGATCATACAATAGTATGCCTCAAATACACACTCACACAGGAGAATCAACTGAAAAACTGTTGTAAACAATTAAGAGACTTAGTAAGATCCCTGGTGACAAAATTAAACAAAAATTAGTAGCTTCTCATGTGCAAGCAGCAACTCACTAGAAAATATAATGGAAGAAAAGAGTAAAAAAAAAAGAATATCTGGGACTATAATTTTTAAGAAATACACATGTCCTATATAAATATACTTTATAAATGATACCAAAAGACAAGAGAAGACTAAAATATGGGGGAACTACTTTATTATTGGGTAGAAAACATCAGTGTTGTAAATGCTGAAAATAATTCTGCCTAAACTAATGTGATCTCAATAAAAATATCAATAGGATCTCCTCCTTTTTTAACTACACAAGCTAAAGAAAAATTCACGCAGAAAAAAATAAACATTTGATCATTTCCAGAAAAACTGTGAAAACTCAAAAGAGCAATAATTTAAAGAGAGCAATAATTTAAAAATATTGTAGAGCTGTAGTTTGGTTTTCATGTGTGAACAGTCAAAAAGATCAATGGAATCATGCAGTGAGTAAAGAAACAGGCCAAATGCATATAACAATTTGATGTATGATCCAACTGTATTTCAGGCTGGGTGCAGTGGCTCATGCCTGTAATCTCAACACTTTGGGAAGCTGAGGCAGGAGGATTGCTTGAGCCTAGGAGTTTGAGACAAGCCTGGGTAACATAGGTAGATACCATCTCTATAAATAATTTTTAAAAATTAGCTGGTTGTAGTGGCACACGTGCCTGTGGTCCCAGCTACTCGGGAGGCTGAGATCGGAGGATCACTTGAGCCCAGGAGGTCAAGGCTGCAGTGAGCTGTGATCGTGTCACTGCACTCCAGCCTGGGTGACAGAGCGAGATCCTGTCTTAAAAAAAATGAAATAATATTTTTAAAAACTGTATTTCAAATCAGTGGGTAAAAGGGTAGATAATTCAAAAGTGGAGTTGGGGTACCAGGGTAGCAATCTGTAAAAAGTAATATAAAAATTTTTATCTCATTTCATTCAATCAAAAACTTCTAGTAGATGGATGAATATTTAAACACATACGAAAGATAAAACTGCCAAATTATTAGAGTAAAACTTGAGAACATTAAAAAAAAAAGACCCTTGAGTGTTTTTGGAAGGGCTTTCTACATAAAACATAATATTCCAACATGATAAAAGTTATGAATCTGACCACATAATTCTGTTTAGGAAAAATTACCATAAACAGAGTTAAAAAATAAATGACAATCTGCGGGAAAGCATTTGTCACAGATAATATAGAGAAAGTGCTAATTTCCACAATTTGTAATGATCGGTTGAGATTCAATAAGAAAAGACAAGTAACAGATAAATAAGTGAGGCTATTTTCATGTACAAATGGAATACAAATGGCTACTTGACCTCAATCATAATTAAATAAATGTTATTTAATTTAAAAGTAGAAAGCTTTTACTTTTCAAACTGGCCAGGACAAAAAAAAAATTAACTTTACCAACTATTGTGATGAAGCAGGACTCTCATTCAACAACTGTGAAAGAGATCATTGGTGTAACTCCTTGTATGGCAAACTTAGCCCTATCTAGCCCTTGACCCAGTTGACTGGGGCTTTTGACCTGGGCTTTTATCCTTGAGGATACTCAGAGAGGTATGCAAAGACATATATAGAAGCAGGGTCATGGTTGTTACAAATAACAGCCAAATGATTCAAACATTCTGAATGCCCATCGGTTAGACTGGTTAAGTAAGTTATGATACATCCACCCAAAGGAGTACAACAGAGTGGTGAAAATGAACGAGGAACTATGACATAATTTTTACTTCAAAAAGAAGAGAAGAGAAACAAAATGAGATATTATTTAGATATTATTACATGCGGAGTAAAATGATTTTTATACAGCAAGAGAGTATATGGAACCCCTGCAATTTTTTATTTTACTACTGTGCTTCATACTACATACTCCTGGGCCGGGTGCGGTGGCTCACTCCTGTAATCCCAGCACTTTGGGAGGCCGAGGTGGGCGGATCACCTAATGTCAGGAGTTCGAGACCAGCCTGGCCAACATGGTGAAACTCCGTCTCTACTAAAAACACAAAAAAATTAGCTGGGCTTGGTGGCGGGCACATGTAATCCCAGCTACTTGGGAGGCCGAGGCAGGAGAATCACTTGAACCTGGGAGGCAGAGGTTGCAGTGAGCGGAGATCACACCATTTCACTCCAGCCTGGGTGACAGAGCAAGACTCCATCTCAAAAAAAATACTACATACTCCTTATACTTTCTATTGTATCTATGAAGTATGATATAATAGTATTGGTTTTTAAGAATGAGGTGCCTCTAGGGTGATAACACTGGTAGTTGTCTTGAACAGGTTCTGGGGTTAAAATCCTGGGTTGGCCTCTCTAGACTGGAGACCTTGGGCAGGTCATGTATCCCTCCATGCCTTTATTTGTGCATCTGTAAAACGAGCTTCATAATTGTACCCACCTCATAAACTGTTGAGAGGATTACAAATATAGGTACAAATACCAAGCCTGGTGTTCTGGACATAGTGAGAACACAAAAGACATAGCCATTATCACAGTTAAAGAATGACCTACAAGATACTACGTGAACAGAGCAGGAGACAGAGGGTATGGTGGTGCCACTCCCTTCTGTGTAGAAGCTGGAGTAGGACCATGCTTGATGAACTCCTAGATTATTTACGCCCACATAAATTGGGCAACAATGACTGCTCCTGAGAGGAGAACTCAACAAGGAATTTAGGATGGGAGACAGACTTGTTTTCCATTGTACAATTTGACTTTGTTCCCATGTATATGATTACCTTTTTAATTAAAAAAATTAATCTAATATGAAGCCAGTCATAAGCTGCAAGGCTTCCTGCTCTGGCTAGGAGGAATTCCACATGCCCACAGCCTTTCTCTCTGCCCACTGATGCTGAAGCTATCCATAATCATGGAGCTTGATGTCATGCCAGTTCTCAGTGGTGTTGACAGACTCCAGCTCAAAAGTTCCTTTATGAGACCTTGTCCCTCAGTAAAGCTTGCAAATTGCTCTGATCTTAGCAGACAAAGCCATCGCTCATTCTCTGCATCTCTGAATATCCTACACAATAACGTAAGAATTGGCCAAAATTACCCCAGATAAAGCGTCCTTTAGAACATCAAAGTCCCTGGTTTCCAGGCTGTAGGCTGCAGGTATGTGACAGGCCTGACAGCCCAGATGGACAGCAGAGATAAAGCGAAAAGTGAAATTCTGCAGCCACAGCGCCAGGGTTGGATTTGGTGCTAGAGTTTCTGCTGAGGGGATTGTTATCCTCGGAGGTGTGAGCACATTTTGCTTTTACCTTCAAAACCAGGTAATCAGCAGCAGATAACAATCAGAGAAGGCCGCCTTAAACCCTCAGCGAGCTGGAAAGTCTCTCTCTTCCTGCCTGGTTTGTTTAATTTTGGCCTGAGTCAGTTCACATGCACAACATATTTTCTATGTTTTCACTAAATTCCTTGTTTCTAGCTTTGTTTATGGTGTGAGCCTATTTCCCTTTCTTTCATCATCATTGTACTTTCCAGGCAACCAGAGTCTTGTCCACGTTTTTGAAGACCGGCTATAGCAAACTTGCCACGTGACTCAACTGACATAAATAACGTCCAGAAATACAGCCAAACCAGAATCCTGCACACATTCCCCAGAATACATACATGTACAACCTAAAGTCGGCAGCACGGGTTTGAGGGCTCAACCACCCTCTGGCAGAGAAGTTGCTTAGTCCTCTTGCTGGACAGCTAAATTCTAGCTGTCTCTCTGGAAGGGAAACATTTTACCAGGTAATAGAAGAAATTGGAAACTTTTCATATTTTACAGCGGGACCATCAGCTTTACCCTGTCCTATTTTAGCAACAAGAGTTATGTTCACAAAAATAAGCACAAGTCACTTAACTGGGACATGCTCTTTTTTTTTTTTAACGTAGATAATGGGAAACTAGCAAGAAAGAAGTTAGTGATACAGACCTAGTACCAGAAGACGCTGGTACTACGGAGACCCTCTGAAATAGAGTTTGCAGTGAGGATTCGTTTGGTGGTTTTTGTTGTTGTTGTTGTTGGTTTTGTTTTTGGTTGAGTCCAAAGTATTCTCTAATTCTTGATGTGAGGATAATTTGTAAATGTCAGTGACCCACAACAGCCCTGGGACAGTATTTTGAAGGAAAGCAGAAAATAATTCAAATAGTTTCCGTACTATGATCTCTGGCTGATTGACTGATGACATGTAATAAGTTACAGAATGTACTGTTTAGATAAATGCTTCTTGAACCTGGATGCAACTAACAAGCATGCAGGTCACTGTGTGGGGAAGTGCCAGGACGTAGGATGGACCCAGTTAGTGGGTGCCTCTGTCAGAGCGCAGCTGTGTTGGAAAAGCATGGAATAGACTTGAGTCCCGAACAGCTGGATCCAAATCCGCACATTCCTCCGGGTGCTGCCTTTCAAAGCAGCCCCTTTGGGTGGCTGGACTCCCGCTCCCACGATGCAGCTTTGGAACATGCTTGGAATTGCAGAATGTGGACTCACCTTGCCAATAAACCTCACCAAAAAAGGTTAATAAGTCTCATAAAAAAAAGTGATCTCATTACCTTGCTTACGTTCAAAAGATTTTTTTTAAAGAAAACAAAAATGGTGTTACCTACTATGATTATTTCTACACCAGATCTGAGTGACTTAGAACTGTTTTCAAAATGAAGCCCGCCCTCAAAGAACAAGGATTTGTCACTTACAAGGAAAATCAAAATCATGCTCCCCAAGCCCTGAGCTGTCCGGGTATGTTTTAGACAGGGCTGGATTGCTGGAGTGAAATGTGGGCCCACTCCTAACGCGACAACGTCGGGTGCTCCGGTGAGAGCGATGTTTTCTAAGCATGACCACATGACCTCAGATGACACCTGGAGGGTATGTGGTCCACAGTGTGAACAGCTTGTTTGCCTGGTGTGAGGTCTCTGCCACCTGATCAAGTGAAGGGCTAAGAGGCCTTCGAATCTGGGAAAGATACATGGGGACAACACCTTGCCTAGGCGGAGCCACCCTTAGCTGTTATCCCAGGGTCATTTAGACCCATTGTCCCAAGGTCAGATAAAGTCGGTCACTTTAGAGGGTTGCATCTGCTGACCAAGACTTACCCCTGAAGGGCCCAGGTCACAGATGTCTGATTCTGGCCTCTCAGGGAGGTTCTTTCATGTCACTGGAGAGAGAGGTGTGCAAGTGGCCCTAGGGAGGGGCCAGAAAGTATCTGAGCGTGGGCTGCTTCTTGACCCCTCCAGGAGCAGAGGCCCGGACACTCAGGCATCCTGCCACTGTGCCTTTCAGAAAGACAGCAGGGGGTGCATCAGAAATCATCTGACCACTCTGCTTTTTGGCTCATGGTTAGGTCCCATTTGAGACTCGAATCAGAGTAGCTGTGTATTTACCTAAGAGAACTCTTTTTTTAAAATAAAAATAAAAATAAAATAAAATAAACACCAACTTTATTAATGTGATAGCATTTTTTGTTTGTTTTGAGACAGAGTCTTGCTCTGTTGCCCAGGCTGGAGTGCAGTGGTGCGATCTTCGCTCAGTGCAACCTCTGCCTCCTGGGTTCAAGAGATTCTCATGCCTCAGCCACCCGAGTAGCTGGGACTACAGATGCGCAAGACCACACCCGGCTAATTTTTGTATTTGTAGTAGAGACGGGGTTTCACCATGTTGGCCAGGCTGGTCTCGAACTCCTGATCTCAAGTGATCCACCCGTCTCAGACTCCCAAAATGCTGGGATTACAGGCTTGAGCCACCGTGCGGGGTCCCCAATTTTTTTAAAGGAAAATAACACGAAACCAGCACCGCCAGGTAAGTGTTACAAGACTAAATGTGCACATTTCTTGTTTTGATAGCTTCCACACACCAAAGCCCCCTCAAGGACAACTGCCACCAGAGTTGCTGCAAGAACACGTTTTTCACTGGGTTAGCTTCACTGTCAACTCCTCAAGCAGCAGACTGAAATATTATTTCTTTTTAGAAGACCTAAGTTTAGGGAGAACATATCAATATGGAGAACAGAGCTTTGCTTCTGGAATTCGAGAAAAACCATGAACGAATCTATCAGTTTTTCTCTGATACAGTGTGCCCGAGTGCTCTGTGAAGAATCCTTTTCCATTTCTCTCATGTGTCTGGGTGAAGGGAGAGGAGGGGTGGCAAGGTGCTGGTATATTACCAGGCGCTCCTGGTGATGCCCTGGGCTCTGCTCCCTTTCTGCTGGTGGCAGAAGGCTTATTTTCTGGCAGCTGCAGCAGCTTGATGTGGAAGAGGAAGGGGACACCCACCAATCATCTTTTTTTTTTTTTTTTTTTTTTGAGACAGAGTCTCGCTTTGCCACTTGGGCTGGAGTGCAGTGGCACAATCTCAGCTCATTGAAGCCTCTGCCTCCCAGGTTCAAATGATTCTCATGCCTCAGCCTCCTGAGTAGCTGAGATTATAGGCATGTGCCACCACACCCGGCTAATTTTTGTATTTTTAGTAGAGATGGGGTTTCGACATGTTGGCCAGGCTGGTCTGGAACTCCTGATCTCAGGTGATTCGCCTGCCTTGGCCTCCCAAAGTGCTAGGATTACAGGCATGAGCCACTCAGCCCCACCCAATTACCTCTTCTTGAAGCTGTATTTTTTGCATTCATGGAAGACGTCTGTCTTAGAGCTCCCCAAATTGACAATCTTTGGGGAGCCATTTCTATTTTTGACACAGTCTTCTGATGGCAACCACCAGCCTGCTTGCAGCAAAAGATCAAATCAGGATGATGTTTTGCTGTCGCTCCCGATGAAACTGGCCACTGGGCTACCTATTAAGATAACTCTGAACCCAGTGCATAAACCTATCTTTTTCCATTTAGAAATCATTCCCTTTCCTTTCATGAATTCGCCTCATTTAGAAATAGTTTCTTCATTCTCGTTGTCTCCAAATCATTCCAGTTCCAGGAACTGACATTTCAGTTGCTTAGCCATGCCTTCTGATATGTTTCAGACATGCAGGCATTCGGGGTTTTAAACTTATTTTAAAACTGAAGAGAGAGCTGGTCCCTGGGGGCGAGCAGGACAGGGACAGGTCAAGTCACTGCTGGTCCTGCTTCATGAGGGGACACCGATAGGAAGCTTCATAGCAACCCATGTTTCATACCGTCTGGTGCACATATCAATATGTTTTCCAAAAGATAATAAAGGGGGAAAAATAAACATCTTCAATCCCTCTCAGAGAAAGGCTATTCTTCTTAAGAGTCCACACTCACCAGGCCCAGGATCTCCAATCCCACCTCTGCCCTACACAGGTGAATGCTATCTTCTCATTGCACAGATGAGGAAACTGAAGCTCGTGTCAAATAGCCACACAGCTGAGGAAGGTCCGTGCTGGGTTGGCGCTCAGCTCCAGCTGACCCAAAGCTGCCCTATGTGCCACTTTGACGTGTTCACTTCCAGTGAATCATGTATTGGAAAAACAGGTTGACTTGTTTATAGTCAGTGACACAGTCTGACTTACTTCGCTTGTTTTTGTTTTTATGTACCTTGTTGCTGGGTATCTTAAAAAAGAATAACTCTTCTCATGCATGCCTTAAACAGCACAGAATCCTGAACCAACCCTGACACAAAGCTGGTAATTTTTTAAATATTTTAAAGCAAAAAAGTGTAAAGAACAACAAATAAAAACAATTGTACCCATAATTTCACTACTCCACCCTATTTTCATATACTACCTGACATATACGTACATAATTATAATTACAATGTAGATATAATTTTGTTGTTTAACCTTTCAAAAATGTGGTTTGGTGGATAACTCCCTCATTTCTAGCATTTACATAATTACTAATTGCTGGATGTCATACTATACAGTTCACCTATTGACACACACGTGCTTTCCAGCTTTTCCGTTGTATGATCCACTGTAACGAACACTTTCACACATACTGTATCTTTCTTCAGTTATCTTGGGATTAGTTCCCAAGGGGCCATATTAGTGAAATAGTATGGAATATTTTTATACATATCACTAAGTTATTACTCTCCCAAAGTGATAGACCCGATTTGCAGGGCCACCAGTGCCAGTTTTACTGCAACCTTGCCAGCCCAAGTGGGCAAATCTTCCAAACAACACTAATTTGCCTGATGATTAACTATTCAAAATGTTATGTATTTCCTTACAGTTACTGTGGCAAACAATAAAACATCAGAAGAAATAGAAAACTGAATTCAGATGGGATTCTAGTTATAGAATTTTAGTGCTCGTAAAGACCTAAGGAGGGGGAGGCTGGCCGTGGTGGCTCACACTTGTAATCCCAGTACTTTGGGAGGCCGAGGCAGGCAGATCACCTGAGGTCGGGAGTTCGAGACCAGCCTGACCAACATGGAGAAACCCTGTCTCTACTAAAAATACAAAATTAGCCAGGCATGGTGACCCATGCCTGTAATTCCAGCTACTCAGGAGGCAGAGGCAGGAGAATGGCTTGAACCCAGGAGGTGGAGGTTACGGTGAGCCGAGATCGAGCCACTGCACTCCAGCCTGGGCAACAAGAACGAAGCTCCATATCAAAAAAAAAAAAAGAAAAAAAAAAGACCTAAGGAGGGGGAAAAATGAAGGAATCTCTTCAAACTCAGCCTTTACGCAAACACATGAAAAATCACAGACTCATTTGTCTGCAGTCCCAAATCAGGTCATTAAGAAAACGTGGTGGGCCGGGCGCGGTGGCTCACGCCTGTACTCCCAGCACTTTGGGAGGCCGAGGCGGGCGGATCACGAGGTCAGGAGATCGAGACCATCCTGGCTAACACGGTGAAACCCCGTCTCCACTAAAAATACAAAAAATTAGCCGGGCGTGGCGGCGGGCGCCTGTAGTCCCAGCTGCTCGGGAGGCTGAGGCAGGAGAAGGGCGTGAACCCGGGAGGCGGAGCTTGCAGTGAGCCGAGATCGCACCACTGCGCTCCAGCCTGGGGGACAGAGCGAGACTCGGTCTCAAGAAAAAAAGAAAAAGAAAAAAAGAAAACGGGGTGGACAAATCGATGGGGAGGCGGCTCAACCTTTTTCCTTCTCAGGCAGAAGCCCCTGAGTAAGGCCGCCGCTGCCACCCACTGCCCCTGAAAGGACATCTGAGCACAGTGATTCCGGTGGTGCCAGGACTCCAACCAGCAAGGAGCGTTTCGCACAGAGCTGCAGAGAGTCTGTGCCTTCCAACGAGAGCCGTGTCCCGAACGCCATCCACTTAGCTCTCACTCTCCTCCTTCCTCCTTTCCCTGCCGCTTTCTGTTTTTCATCAGGGCCTTGGAACTCGCTAGTACAGACCGACTTTCAAGTTAAGTCTTTCAAGGAAAATGACTCTTGGTTTCCAGCCTGGATGTGTCATTACACCCTCATGCGTCTCAGGGAAATTAGCAACCTGATTCTTGCCCTGACTGTCATTTAAAATAAAAAGCTTTCTTATTTGCCATCTAAGACAAACTCTAGTAAACCCACAGCGGACGGGTAGGAGGAATGAAACACAGTTACTCGTATTCAGCAAGTTCCTGGGGTCATATTTACCCGCATGTGTCTCCGGGTAACTGGGGGGTGGCGCGTGTTTGCCGTTGTGATGCGGGCGTGTGTGTGTGGAGTCTGTGTGCGCTGGAGAGAGCAGTGTGTCCCCCCGAGGACCTCGGGGTCCCAGAGCTGTGCACACGCTGCCCCCCTGGACGTACAGAACCAGCAGGTGGCATCGCTCCACACAGGCCACCGAACGGCCCTGCCCCGCCCCCTGCCACGCCCTGTGCGTGCATCCGGGTCCCCGCGCAGTGGCTGCACGCAGCCCACCTCTCCCGACGATCCGGGTCCTCCCGCCCTTCGCGGTGATTCTGTCGCGAACCCTCTCACGGCAGCTATGAGACTGCTGCGCTCCCCAGACGAGGAAACCTGGTCTCCCGGAGCCAGGTAACCCACCCGCAGCCTGCGGGAGAGCCGAGGTCTGCAGCCGGGCCGTCGGGCTGCCTCTTCCCGGGGACCCGGGAGCGGGGGGCGGGGGGCATGGTGGCCTCTCGGGCTGCTCCGAACGTCCCCTCCAAACAGCGAGGGGACGCACAGCCCCACTCAGGAGGGAGCCAATGACATTGAACCTGAACCCAAGCCAGCCTTAGACTGAACTTTCAAAGTACCATTAAGCAACGCCGTGAGGAAATGGAACATTCGACAAGGTATTATGTCGCATCTCTCTCTCTTTTTTTTTTTTTTTAGGTGGAGTCTCGCTCTGTCGCCCAGGCTGGAGTGCGGTGGCGCGATCTCGGCTCACTGCAAGCTCCGCCTCCCGGGTTCACGCCATTCTCCTGCCTCAGCCTCCCGAGTAGCTGGGACTACAGGTGCCCGCCACCGCGCCCGGCTAATTTTTTGTATTTTTAGTAGAGACGGGGTTTCACCAAGTTAGCCAGGATGGTGTCGATCTCCTGACCTCGTGATCCGCCCGCCTCGGCCTCCTACAGTGCTGGGATTACAAGCGTGAGCCACTGCGCCTGGTCGCACCTCTTTTCAAAAGCCAGTGTTATCTGGGAAAGTGCAAGGGGTGGGGAGTGGGAGGTGCTGTTTTCAATGAAAAGAAATGAAAGAGACATTGTGCGTCTTCTTAGGTGATATTACAGTACCACAGACACTACAGTTAGGTGACTGAGTCCAGTATTGTCTGTTTTCTCAGGTGTGATGACTGTGTCGTGTCATGCAGAAAAATGTCCTTATTTCTAGGAATCGCATGCTGAGATCTCGGGGAGTAAAGGGCCAGGATGTCTGGAACTTAATTTAAAATGATTTGACAAGGACAGGCATACACATAGGGACAAAGCAAATATGGTAGATGTTATCAATTGCTGAATCTATGTGCTGAGTACACACGTATTTGTTGTATTGTCTTTTCACCTTTCCTATATGTTTAAAATCTTTCATAATGTCATTCGGGGGGAAAAAAAGCTGATCTGGCTATACTTATTTGGGAATGTGCCGGCTAAAAGGGAACTAACAAATAAAAACTTAACTTAGAACATAAAATTTTAGAGACTGAAGGAACCGGAGACCTTCTAGAGCTCAACTCTCATTTTAAAGATGAGGAAAGTGGGCATATTGATTTTATCTTATTTTCTTTTTCTCTTTACTTTTTAAATGTTTTTGGTTTAACTTTAAGTTCAGCGGTCCATGTGCAGGTTTGTTACACAGGTAAACTTGTGTCATGGGAGTTTGTTATACACATTAGTTCGTCACCCAGATATTAAGCCTAGTACCCAATAGTTGTTTTTCCTGATCCTCTCCCTCATCCCACCTTCACCCTCCAATAGACCCCAGTGTGTATTGTTCCCTTTTGTGCCCGTAAGTTCTCATCGGTCAGCTCCCACTTATAAGTGAGAACATGTGGTATTTGGTTTTCTGTTCCTGTGTTAGTTTGCTGAGGACAATGGCCTCCAGCTCTATATTGAATAGTTAAAAACTATTTAGGCCGGGTGCAGTGGCTCACACCTGTAATCCCAGCACTTTGGAAGGCCGAGGCAGGTGGATCACTGAGGTCAGGAGTTTGAGACCAGCCTGGCCAACATGGCGAAACCCCATCTCTAATAAAAATACGAAACAATTAGCCGGGCATGGTGGCAGATACCTGTAATCCCAGCTACTCCGGAGGCTGAGGCAGGAGAATCACTTGAACCCGGAAGACGGAGGTTGCAGTGAGCTGAGATCACACCACTGCATTCCAGCCTGGTGACCGAGCGAGACTCCGTCGCAAAAAAACAAAACAAAACAAACAAAAAAAAAACTCTTTAAAATAAGTGTTATAAACTAACAGTTTATTTATCCCAGGCACAGAAAGACAAATACTGCATGATCTCACCCACAGGTGGAATCTTAAAACATTGAACTCACAGAAACAGAGTAGAATGGAGGTTACCAGGGGCTAGAGTGTGGGGGGTTGGGGTGATGTTGGTCAGAGGGTACAAAAGTTCAGTTAGACAGGAGAAAGTTTATCTTTTAGTGATTTTCATGATTTTGACAAAGTTGAAACAACTGAAACAAAGTATCTAAATATTTTAATACTTGTAATTATTTTTTAATTGTTGAGTGATTTTAATGAGTCAAAAATATAAAACAATCATGCATAATACATATAAATAATTTGAGTGTCCAACCCATATTACAGATGAAAGTAAAGAACAGGCAGATTCTGAGACTTGGGACAGGCAGCATTTGGCACCTGCGGAGGCCCGGTTCTACACGTCTGTAGTGGCAGAAAGGCAATATATATTAAAACCTAGGAAAACAGTCAGGGCACGGTGGCTCACACCTGTAATCCCAGCACTTTGGGAGGCCAAGGCGGGCAGATCACCAAAGGTCAGAAGTTCCAGACCAGCCTGGCCAACATGGCGAAACCCTGCCTCTACTAAAAGTACAAAAATTAGCCAGGTGTGGTGGCTGTAATCCCAGCTACTCGGTAGGCTAAGACAGGAGAATCGCTTGAACCCGGCAGGCAGAAGTTGCAGTGAGCCGAGATCACGCCATTGCACTTCAGCCTGGGTGACAGAGGGGGACTCCACCAAAAAAAAACCAAAAAACAAAAACAAACAAACCTTGGAAAATGGGTGAGAGAGGATGGTATGTGATGGTTTTATCAAGTACTTCTACTCTATTTATATCAACTACTCCAAGCTGTGGTAAACACCTCTGGGAAGCCAGGTCCAGTGCAAGTGGGCCAAAGCCCGTATTGACAGTTATAAACCAGGCATCTCCAGATGACAGCTTTATGACCCAAGCAGTGTGCTCCTCACTAGACTAGTGCAGTACGTATCAGAGTCCAGCAGGGAGTGTGCCCACCTGGAGGACCAGGGTAAAGGTGGGAGGCCAGGAGCAGGGATCTGGGAGCTAACAATAACTCAAAGTACCCACGTTCATGGTTTCCACCCTCCCCCTGAGCCCCCACGTATGCCATCCCCAACCCTCTCCCCCATCTTTCAAGTCCATGACTGCCAGTCACCAATTAGACCCATCACTCAACAGCCCTGGTTCCCCAACAGATGGACTCACAAGAACAAGAAACAATGACTCGGTCATTAGAACTCTTAGTTTCCCACAATTCCTGTCATTGGGATTAAAGTTCTCCGATGTTGTCCCCATCATGTGTCTGAGAAACTGGCCATGGGCACCTCCTGAAAGGGGAAGCAAGAGTGACTCTGGGGGCTTGTTGTGCTCCTCGGAAGAGGTTCTCACTCCTTTAGCATGTCGCTGCCTGGCCCTGGACAGCAAAAACCAACCCTTTGAGAGGACTTAAGTAAATACATCATCAGATCTGGGAGCTGATCAAAACCTTATTTCGTTGCACTCACATGTATGTGTTTCTTAATGTACTTGATCTTGGATAAAATATATCCTAGTGCATTAGATTTTAAGCCATGGATACACATCCTAAGTTGAATATCCAGTTATATTAATTTCATTCATGTTAATTGATATAAATATTAATTTATGGTGAATTATAGATTTATTTAACTGATGTAGTAGTGATATATACATAAGAATTCCTGGAAGGAGATGAATTCATATAAGCTGTGTAGAGAAACCTATATTCTTTCAAGTCATCACAGATACTTTATAAAAGTAGGTACTTCGGGTACCAAATACTGTAGTGTCCCCAGCAAATCTGCAGCAATTGGCTTTTGACACTGAAATGTTGGATTCCGCCCTGTTGGGTAGTGTTGCTTGTTCGGGCTTTAGAGTTAAGATTAAATCGGGTGGACTATGTGGATCCTGGAAACTGTGTGGGGTGTTAGACTTAGAGGAACGCACAGAGCTTCCATGGCTGACCTTGACCTCGGGAGGTGGCCAGGGACCTGGCAGTCTCTCATGCAAGGCTCTGCTCAGAGAGCTGAACACTGACCCCACTGAACGCTGTGTTAAGGAGCTAGGGTCCCCCCCTCCCTGCCCCCAGCTCCCTGCTATGAGCTTTCCCAGTTACTACATGAATCCAATTACAGGCACCCCTGTTGGGTTTCCTGTGAAATAACAGATCTTACTGTAACCAAATATTACCATCTCGGAAAAACCTTATGCAACTAGCGAGGACTCTTCATTCTCAGGCAGCAGAGAAAAGCCTCTTTGTTTTGGGGCTGAACACCTGGAACATGTTATCCGGGGCGGCCTCCCCGGGCCCACAGTGGAGAGGGGGCTTCTAGGACCCAATCACACCCCTGTCTGTGGAGGACTGGCTAGCCCAAAGCTGCCTCTCGCTGGCTCTGTTTAGCCTGGTTTCAGCAGACCCTGGCTCTTGCAGTCAGCCATAGGCAAATGGCAGAGGGCGCCCCGCATCGATACAGAAGGACTACATTGGCAAGGACCACAGAACTCCCAGGCAACCTTTGATAAGATGAGAAGAGGAAGGGCTAAGGATGCAGAGAGATGGGAGGCCTAAAATCTACCCTCCCTGCCCCCAGACACTGGTGCCCTCCTGAAGCCATCACAGATAAGAATGCTGGCTGTGTGTGCAGGAGAGCAGGTGTTGTGGCATGGGCTCAATCAGGGGACATGTCTGTGGATGACTGCCCTTGGAAACCAGTGAAACCCTGTGATCCCACCTTTCCTTCAGATCACTGACTTTCCAGAAGAAAACTTAATGCTGCTCTTTCATCCTTACGCCATGGCTAATACAGCAGTCACAGAAAGGGATGGCTGTAAGAACCCAACGCAGGCCAGGCTAGAGGCAGGAGTCAAGGCCGGCTGCCGTAGGGCTCAGGATGTCCATCCGACCGTGACCTCAGCACTCATTGATAAAAGGAGAGTAGGACCATTCCCAGGTGTGGAGAACCAGGGGGCATCTATGACAAATGCAGACCCAAACACCGGTGTAACTTTTTGAAGATAACTCCCATTTTTACTCACGTCTCTTAGTCTTAATGAAATACAAAGTCCTTGCTGGAAGGGAACAGCTGTCACTCATCTCTGGGCCCCTCGTTGTTCGACACCTGAATGTAATGTGTAGTCTTCAACCCTCCAACCCTCTCCACCAACACTCATGGGTGTGGCAGTGCCCTGGGGCCTAGGAGAGGCAGATTCTAAGCTGGGCATGAGGTAAGGTCAAAGATAGCACTTTCCCAGGAGCTCCAGGGAGATGCTAGGGCTGTAGCACCTAGGCTCAGTTGAAAAGGGGTGGTCCAATGACAGTTATTTGTCTACACAATAGGCAATTTCCAACATCCAATAAAATGCCTTTTTTTCTTCTTCTTCTTCTTTGAGACAGAGTCTTGCTCTGTCGCCCAGGCTGGAGTGCAGTGGCGCGATCTCGGCTCACTACAACCTCTGCCTCCCAGGTTCAAGTGATTCTCCTGCCTCAGCCTCCTGAGTAGCTGGGATTACAGGTATCTGCCACCACGCCCAGCTAATTGTTTCGTATTTTTAGTAGAGACAGGGTTTCACCATGTTGGCCAGGATGGTCTCCAACTCCTGACCTCAGGTGATCCACCCACCTCGGCCTCCCAAAGTGCTGAGATTACAGGCGTGACCCACCACGCCTGGCCAAAATGCCCTTGTTTGACTCTGGGTATCTAAGACAGTTATAAAAATATAGCTTCCCCCCAACCCACCAAATAACAACAAAATACAGTTGTGTCTGTGTGATAATTCTTGTATCATTCCTTCCACCCTTACCTGCGTGTGAATATTACCTGCAAGTCTCAGCAACTCATCAGCCATGTAGCTCGTGTAGCATCTTAGATGACTATTTGGAAAAATAAAGCCAAATACACACTTTTGACTCAAAGGAGGAAGCACATTCCTGTCGAGCTATTGTTATTTTAATAATTGGAAATAAATTTTAATAAAGCCAGTAACTTTTGCTAAATACACAGTTGTGCTTTGACAGTGACGGAAAACCATTTAAAGCCACGCTTGAGGCTCTGTCCTTGGCACAAACACGATTGAAAGTCTACATCTGATTGACCCTTTTAAAATGCCTTCCTTTACTTCTGAACTGTTGATAAAGAGCTCTATTTGTTTGTAGAATTTTTCCTTAAAAGTGGGGCAACAGAAATTATTTCCTGTCCAGCGTCCTATTTCAAGGAACCTGGTGCGTTTCTACTCATCGAAGCTGGTCTCTCTAGCAGGATGCAATCTGGCTGCTTCGTCCTGCTTTAAAGCAACTTTAATTTACTTGATTAAAAGTATGCCTATGCTCAGCACGTCTCACAAAGTCAGGGAGAGACATTCATGAAGAGTTTCCCTTTGAAATAAAATATTCAGATTTTGTTTCCCAGTGTTTCCACGTCTATCTTCTTTGCTTTCTTAGTTTTCATGTGGTATCCGATATCACAGAGGCTGGCAGCAGAACCGCATGGACACGCTTCTCATGGGGGCCCATTCTCTGGGCTTGGAGGTGTAACATATATTTTACAAGAACAATGGGAAATCATTTAGGGATCCACTTTTCACCATTCTCTTAGGAGAAATGCTCTCTGGGTTGGAAGAGGGGGTGGAGGGCAGATGACTGTTATATAAAGCGCTTGACAGGAAAAAAGGCACCCCCTATTTCTTGGGATTTTCTCCCACTACAGTCCCTTTGACAAAGTTCCTTTCCCTAGAATGTTCCCCCAAACCGTAAATATTAGTGAAGAAAAAGAACTTGTATTGACCAGAACTCATTACACAATCAGAAAGATTGAGCATTTTATATTTGTTTTTATATTTATATCTTTCGGGGGAAAATGCACTATGTATATTAATTTTACCACAATGTGCAGAAATTCCTTAGGCAAATATGTAATTAGGCATTTTAAAATATAAAATGTATTTATTTATAGCTTCCAACCACACATTTATTTTTATTTATCTGAAAGATTTAAACGACACTGTCTTGAATTCGTTCTTTCTTTAGTTTATTTGCAAAATATATAATTAGGCAAATAGCCCTGAGGAGACTGGGCAGTGATCTTTCTGCAGCTTTTAAAGTATTGGTAGGACGCTGTTCTCTTCTTTTCCCCAAGTTCAATAGCTTAGCTATTCGTTTCCTGTTTCTAATAGCCAAGGTAATTAGACCATAATGAGAACTCTTTGCTTGGAAGATGACATCTGAAAGTTGAAACTATTTGGCTGCTCAAACCTCAACAGGGAGGGGAGGGGGTAAGCATCGCCTCCTCGGTGGGAGGAAGTTCTACGACTAGAGTGTCACTTTCCCCTAAACTTATTTCTTCCTGGAAAGACTCCAAAGTCCAGAAGGCAAAGTGACATGTGCACTGGTTTTTTTTTTTTTTTTTTTTATGGAATGGCCAATTCTTCATTGTTAAGGAAGCATCGCTTAAAAACTCCAAAAAGCCCAGAACATATAGAAAACCTGTTTGCCCCTTCTTTTACCTTTCTTTTACTGTCTAAATATCACACACGTACATTAAAGTGCATACATCTGAAAGGCATATCTTGATGAATGTTTCACCTGTGTGTATATCTGTGTAACCACCACCAATATCAAGAAATAGAACATTTCTTGCCCCTGAAGGCTCTCAGACCCCTCCCTGTCAAGACCCCACCTGAGGGAGCCACCGTGCTAATTTCTATCCCCCAGAATGGTTTTGCCTGTCCTTGGATTTTCCATAACTGGAACTATGAATGTTACATACACTCTGGCTGGCAGGCGCTTTTTCTCAAGGGTGCATGCCTGAGGTCCATCTGTGTTGCTCTGTAGAGTTGTGCTCTTACATTTTCACTGCAGTTAGTGTTCCTGTGTGTGAATATTTATGTATCTGTTCTGCCTTTTACGGACATTGGGGTCTTTCCCAGTTATGGCTCTTAGGAATAAAGCTACCATGAACATTCTCATCTACATCTCTGGGTGAAAGCACTTTCTTCCTTGGTGAACCTAGGAGTGAACTTCCCGGGCCACAGAGGATGTGCAGCTTTGGTAGATTCTCCCAAACCATTTCCCATGAGTTGTACCAATCATCAGTCCCACCAGGAGTTCATTCACCACTTTTTGATGGGCAACCAGGGGTCAATCTCATCATTGAAAGCAAAGTCTCAACTGTTCGCAAAAGGGGGACACGAAGACTTAGTAGCAGGAGAGATAGAAAAAAAATAATTAAAAGGGAAAAAGCTACCCCCAAGAAAGGACCTGGCCCAGGCTGAACAAGCTCTGGCAGCCCTGGGGCATTGCTGTGGTAACCGTTTCCCACCCTTGCTGCCCAGGAGGAGGGGCAGTGGCTCTGGAGGGGAAGCTCAGTCCCTTGGGGCTTTCCACCTCATGCACATGGACAGACAAGGCTTTCCTGGGGTCAGGCCACCTCCAGCACCCTCCAGCCCAGTTCTCAGCCACATAGAGCATCACTTGTAGGACGAGACTACTGGCTCCAGTAAGTCCCCTGAACTTTTCTTTAGGCCAAATTCCATATGTTCTCTCTTTCCAATACTTTTTCCAATTATTGACCAAAAAGTAAATAGTAAGGCTATGTCAGGAAATCTGCTGCCTTGTGGCCAGCAACCCTCCCCAGCCCACAGTGGCCCCACTGCACTCTGTGTGCCTGTCCTCTGGGCCAGCACTGCCCCGGCCCTCCCCACTTACATGCAGCCCCCTGAGGGTCCCAGAAGGGAGCCTTCAGTCACTGAGCTCTCACTAGGCCAGAATTCCAGGAAAGGTGAGAACCCAAAACACCTCCCCTGTCTACCCCAGCTGTTCTAGAAATACAGGAGATGGAGGTTAATAGAAGACCACTGACCTTCCTGACAGCTTTTCTAAACAACCAGGGCAGGGTCATTTTCTACATGTGGTATTCTCACGGCTCCCTCTCCAAATTGAGGATGCCCCACTGACGTCTGTGTGGGCCATCAAAGGGTGTGTGTGAAAACTTTCCTGCCCATCGCAAGCTAGAGCCTCTGGGTCAAGCCCGTGGCCAGGCGAGCCTTGCCCATCTCCTGACTCCCTCACTCAATTTGCCGACTTCCTGTTGGGCTTTCTCTTAGGGCCTTTACTCTGTCCTCTCTGTCTCTGGCTCTGATCGTTTCAAATTGCTGCCGGGAGTCTCACATATACCAGGATGGATAGCAGAGCCTTAGTCCTGAAGTTTCACTCATAACTCAAAGGGATAGGTATATTTTGTTGTAGCGCAAAATCGATTCCCATCCCCTGGGAAGCTTGTGTGTTTAGTGTGTACTTAGGTAGTGAGGAGCCCACCTGCTCACTCACTTTCTGCACAAGGAGCATTTCTGTCTGCCCGGGCAGAGACCCCTGACTCCAACAGGCCACACCCACCAGTGGTGAAGTGTGCTCAGCCAGGGAGGAAGTTCTTATGGGTAGGAAGAGTTTCAAATCTTCCTTGACAGCCCACACAGCTGTCAGAGGGCATCCTCAGTTTGGAGAGGGGGCCACAGAATATTAAGGTTTAAAGACGCCAAAGGCTCATGTGCTTCCCTTCCTTCTCTCTCTTTGTCTCTGTTTACCATGAGACTGTTTTGAAAGGTGTGCACTCTCCTCCTCTTACCCTCCTGGGGCTTCTCCTCCTGTCTCAATTGGAGAGGGACAGGGACAGATGCAGAGGCCCCCGGATACAAATGAAGAGCCTGGGCTGAACCAGGGCCAGATGGGTCTGCAGCCCTGTGATGGTCACCTGGGGAACTATTGTAGGTGTGGTGGTTTTAAGATATGACCCCAGATTCTTTGACTCTCCTTTCTTCAAGAGGTGGAGCTTAATTTCCCTCTGCTTAAATGTAGGCTGGATTTAGTGCCTTGCTTCTCATGCATAAAATAAAGCAGAGGTCATGTGTGTGAGGTCCTAAACAGTACTGCAGTTTCCTGCTTGTTCTCCTTCTCTCTCTCTCATATCGTTAGCTCTGGGACAAACCAGCTTCTATGTCATGAGCACACTCAGGCAGCTCATTGGAGAGATCTGCATGGTAAAGCAATGAGGCCTCCTGCCAGCAGCCATGTGAGTGGCATCTTGGAGCCAGACCCTCCAGCCCCAGTCAAGCCTTCGGATGCCTGCAGCCCTGGCTGACATTTTAACCACAACTTCATGAGAGATTCTGAGCCAGAATCACCCAGCTAAGCTGCTCCCGGGTTGCCAGGTGAGAAAAATGAATGGTTATGATTTTAAACCGCTAGGTTTTGGAGTCATTTGTTACACAGCAACAGATAACTAAAACAGGAGGTTATTAGTACTACTCACCAAATATTTCTGGTTCTAGCTTCCAGAATCACGGTAGGATGACCTCTCTCCCCTGCTTGGAAGTTACGTATATCCACGCAACTTTGAAATTGAGTAAGACTGGGATGTGTCATCCCCAAGAGGGCACTTCAAGAGCCAGTGTGCCATCACAACCTCTTTCTCTCCCTCTATCAAACCAGTTGCCAGTGTTATAAATAATGAGACCATGCTCTATCAGCTTGGGGCCAGGGGTTGGGGTGATGTGGAGCAGAGCTGTTAGCTGACCCACCATGGATGTGTAGCAGCGGAAGAAGCAAGCCGTGTGCTGTTGAAGCACCCACATTTTTGGTGTTACTGCAGCACAACCTGAACTATACTGACTGATGCAGGTGAGGATACACAGGGATCCTCTGTCCCTCCACCCCCAGCTCTTCATGCTCTTTGGGCCCAGGAAAGCCAGTATCTCCATTGAGGTCAGCAGGATCATGCCCTTGATGTGGGTTCCCTGTCCCCTGCCCAGGGGACCTCCACCGTGTCCACACCTGGATAAAAAGTGAGGAGCTTGGTTCAGGAGTGGGCTGGGGGCCTGGCCTGGTCATCACGACCTCTCTGTTTAGAACCCTGTGGATGGGAAAGGCTTACATGGCAGTAAGAGGAGTTGAAGGTGTTAAGTAACGGCCCGTGTGATCCAGTTCTGAAAACCACAAAGTCAACAGTGATTGATCCTTTGCTTTCTTTTCCAGAACCATAGAGAATTTGGGGAAAATACTGTCTGGCCACCCAGAAAACAAAGACCAGTTAGGATTTGTTTTATTTTCTCTTCTTCCCAGATCAATCCACAGTTCTCCAGGGACCCATTGTGGTTTTGTGCTTCCTCTGTGCCTGTTCTGCTCCTCTCCATGCACCCCAGCCCCTCCCAGTCCCCTCAACGGTCCTTCTGGCCAGGCCCATAGCCCCCTCTCTGCCCCACAGTCCTCAGGCTCCAGCTTTCTCGTTAGGAAGTGTTAGAAAGTTGCTGGAGTGAGAAATGAGCCTGTGAAACTCGTTGTCCTAATTAAACTTCCACAAGGAGAGTGACAAGAGGCGACGGGGAGGAAACGGTGCCACCACCAAGGTCTCAGCCTGGGCCCAGGTCGAGGAAGGCCTTTGTCCTGCAGAACAAAAGCCACTGTTTGCACGTGTTAAACTTCATCAAACTTCAACAGACCCAGGTGCAAAACCCCACATCCCAAATGCCATCCGGGCTTATGCCACCTTCCCGAGCATGGACCGTCCCTAGCCGTCAACCCTAATCAGGGCCATGCCCTACATCAAAGCTGCACTCCCTCCACAGACAGCTTCTGCTCTGAGATGCATTGTTCCTATGACTTCCTACACTCCGCCCTTGTCTGACGAATTAGGGCACGGAGCCCCCCCATGGCACAGCTGGGCCCTGCTGGCATTGTTAATGAGGTAGGAAGGGCGCGTTTGTCTGAGCCTGGGACTAACATAATCACATAAAGTTGTTGCTTTGGAATAGATGGAGCTGCCCCAGAGTCGATTTTCTTGGAAGCAACGCAAAGCACAGCTTCCTGGGAGAAGACACAATGCCTCCTATTGTCTCTGCCACTTCCCCTCCAGCCTCCCAGCATTTCTGCGTCTCCTCGGGAGCCACTGCCCTGTGCAAGAGCTGTTTGCTGATGCCCAGCCGCGGCTTCCAAAACTCCCGCGAGAAGTCGTTTCTGTCCACAGTCATTGTTTCCAGACCAGCCGAGCCAACTGGGGAGGAGAGGCCAAGCCCAGGGAGAGCAGTAAGAGGCCCAGCTTGCAACACAGGCCCCCGGCGGCTGGAGTCGGCTCATGGGTTGCTGGGGGGCAGCTGGTGCCAGCCCTGCTAGACATGTCCAGGGTCGGGGCAGAGGCCAGGGTGGCTCTCATCCACAACGAGGCTCCAGGAAGAGGCTCCAGAGGGCCCAGGTCCCTGGAGGAAGACAGAGGGTGGATTATCCAGTGAGTCCTCAGATTGCTCCAGGGAGACTCTACCCCTAGGCCCTCATCCTACCTAGGACTGAGGCAGCCATCTGGGTCTCTGCTTCCCTAACCACTTCCTCCTCCACCCGACCATCACCTAGTCTCAAGGACTTGGGCAGCTTCTGGAAGTGGCTGAGACTGGAAGAATGTTGTCACACCTACCAGATATCCCTACGTGTATCTCTACCACCCCCACTACATATTCTGAAGAACCAAGGTGAGCTGGGGGAATCCCCAGGCCAGCAGGGCAAGGCCTGGGCAGGAATGGAGTGAGGAAGTGAGAAGTGGGGATCTTGGGGGTGGGCGGGCTGTGGGGCTGGGCTGTGCTGCACACTGGGCAGGAGGCAGGAGATGGCAATGGAAGCGACAGCTCCCCATCTTCCCCGGCTGCATACGTGAGGGATTCTGCTGCATTCACTGAGTCACCAAAGGACACTGGAAGGCCATCAGGATTTTTGGGTGACCAAGACATGGCTCCCCTCTTACTGCCTGTGGGGAGACAGGCATGTGAACACCCAAGTCTAACCCAAGCTGAGTTGACTGAGGGCCATTTAAAGATTCCACAGAGGCTGAGAGCAGTGGCTCATGCCTGTAATCCCAGCACTTTGGGAGGCCAAGGCAGGTGGATCACTTGAGGTCAGGAGCTCGAGACCAGCCTGGCCAACATGGTGAAACCCCGTCTCTACTAAAAATACAAAAATTAGCCAGGCATGGTGGTGCACACCAGTAGTCCCAGCTACTCAGGAGGCTGAGGCAGGAGAATCGCTGGAACCCAGGAGGCAAAGGTTGCAGTGAGCCACGATCACACCACAGTACTCCAGCCTAGGTGACAGAGCGAGACTCCGTCTCGAAAATAAACAAATAAAGAAAGGTTCCAAGGATGGTCTGGAGGACAAACAAAGGAGGAGATTTGGTGCAGGAGTTAGGACAAAGACTCCTGGGACAGCAGCCCTCACTTGGGGCCATAGTGAATGAATGGGGGCCTTTTGCAGAAGGGAAATGGAGGACATGTGTGGTGAAGGCTTTGCTGAAGCATCTCTTATAAAAGGGGCAAAAGCACTTGCTCTCCTCCCAGCTCTGGCTCAGCCTCTCTCTCTTCAAGTCCCTGGCATCCCTGGAAAACCATGATTTTTCCATTCTGCAGCCAGCCCAGGCACCTCCTCCCACCCCCGCACACTGCAGTCTGGTGTGTGTGGTGGGCACACATAGAACACTTGCTGGTCTTGAAAATGAAGCCATCTTTTGGGGCCCCTAGAAATCAAAGAGACCCACTTAGCCAAGATATCACTCTTGGACACCAGCAAGGGTGAGATCACTTGATAGGTATTTTGCCGTGTGTTTCTTTTTAACTATATAAAAAACAAAAGGGTGGATGTGCAAACCCAACCCAAGAATACCTTGGCTCAGGCTCAACTAGATGAAACTTTTAAAAATGATTTAATGTTATGTTAGACTGTTGCATATTAAAGCGATGTAATGCCTTCTAAGAAACGAGAGTCAGATCCTGAAAGCGATGACTTGGGTAAATGTAAGGAGTTATAACTCACTTTTCAAGAGAGCAACTATAAACATTTTGCCCAATATGTACAGACCTCTAATGACAGTGTGCAAAGACTCTTTCGTTCCCAGATTATGAGGCTGCCACTTTCTCCTCCCCTTCCTGAGCCGCACTTTTCTAAACAGCAACTGTCGGGGCAGGGGGATGGGAAGCTCATGAGAGAAGGAAATATTTGGGACCGTGTCGGCCAGTGGAATGGGGCTTGTGGTCACCGTGTTACAGAGTCAAATCACTTCCCAGTAAACACCAGTTTCCGATGGCTCTCTGGCCAGGGTTGGCCGGGGACAAGCAGGGAGTATATGTGTCGGGTACGTTGCGTCACAAGCTGTGCAGCTGTGTAGGCCTCTCTGTCCAGAGGCATTAATGGAAAATGATTGGGCACCCAGCCCACAGCAGATGCGCTGAGGAATCCAGCCAGGGGGAGCTGGGATGCAGTGGGAGAGGGGACACGCAGGGCCTGGCTGAGAAGCCTCGCGAGGTAACCACAGGCGGAAATCTGAAAAATGAAGACGTTCCCACCAGTTCCAGAAAACAGGGCTAACTTAAAATGCAGCCCCTTTCCTTGAAGTGGGCTTGGCAGGCCCCAGGTGTTGAAAGGCAAAAGAAAAAAAAGAAAGAAAGAAAAAGAAAAAGAAAACAGCATGTTTTACATTTATCTAGCCTGCATTTCTAATGGAGTTCCCTTCAGACCCCTCACGTGCTGAATTGATGTGTGAGATCAGAACAAAAGGAATTTCGAGGAATCATTGGTATAGGCCCCAGAGCTAAGGAGATTGCAATTTGAAAATACTGTTTCATGCACTTATTAGACTAAATCAGCAAACAGAGAGCAGCGTGCCAGGTCCTCCTGGAAGTTGCCAGAAGTCTCATGGCTGTAGCCTCCCTGGCTGCTGCTTCAGGGGGTCCCCTAGACCCCTCAACCCAGAAGAGGAAGGCAAGGATCCATCTCTCCTCGTTTTAAGAGTTCCTCTTTTCCCCGCTTTATGTCTCAGAGCCCTAGCTCCTCCGTGTCCCTCATCTGTCAAGTCTGCTCTCAGGGAAAAGCGGAAACTCACTCAGTCCCAAAGGTGAATGGTAACCTCAGCTTCTTCTCAGGGTGGGAGGGGAGGCCGGTGTTTTCCCAGATCCTAAGCTAAAGTAAGCTCCTGCTAAACAGATGAGGGAATTATGCTGAGGGGGAAGAGGTTCACCCTGGACTCCTGTGAATTCCTTGAAGGATTCATGAGATTTCTCACCTCTGGGTTTTCTGTGGGGGTTGAGTCTCTCCATCTGTAATGCTCTTTGTCTAATTGGCTCACACTTTCTTTCTGCTGAATAATGTCACTTCTGTGCTTGGGAGTGGTCCCTGGGGTAGAGGATGCCAGTTGCCAAGCAAAACCTATCCCCCTTTCTTCTTGACTGACAGACACTTATATTATTGGGGCAGCTAAAGCACTACATTTCCCAAGTTTACAGACATCTGTGGCCAAGCGGGTGTAAGCAGAAGACTTTAGGGGTAGAGGATGCCTCAGAGAAAGTTATTCAAAAGGGGGATAATTAAAACAGGAGGTGAACTTTCTTCTTTGCCCTTCCCCCATGGAATGTGGCCATGATGGTTGGAGCTCCAGCAGCCATCTTGGGACCAATGTGAGGATGGACATTACAAGCTAAGAGGGCTGAGCAGAAAGAAAGAAGACATCAGACTCTGATGAGTGACTGTGGAGCTGCCTTGCCAGTCCTAGACTGCCCAAGGCCGTATTTCTCTCAGGTGAAAATAAACCTGTATCCTCTTTAACTGATGTTGTTTCTAGTCTTCATCACTTGCAGCTGAACTAAACCAAAGTAAGCCCTCCCCTTTCTGCACTTCTCCATACAACTACTCACACTTGCAGCCTCTCATTCCATGTCTGTCTTCTCCCCGCCATGTACCAGCTATGAGATCAGTGGTTTGTCTGCAGTGCCGTCTGCAGGAGCCTCAGTGCCTGGTGTGGCATCTGGCACATAAGAACAGGCCTGTAAATGTTTGCTGAACGAGATGCCCCTGCAACATGGCTCTGCCAATGGGCTGGCACACCTGAACCCTCCTTCCATGGCGTTAAACAAGATTTAAGGATATCGGGGGCTGGGTGCAGTAGCTCATGCCTATAATCCCAGCCCTTTGGGAGGCCAAGGCGGGCAGATCACTTGAGGTCAGGAGTTCAAGACCATCCTGGTCAACATGGTGAAACTCCGTCTTTACAAAAATTAGCTAGGCATGGTGGCGTGTGCCTGTAATCCCAGCTACTCAGGAGGCTGAGGCAGGAGAATCTCTTGAGCTCAGGAGGTGGAGGTTGCAGTGAGCCAAGATTGGGCCACTGCACTCCAGCCTGGGCAACAGAGTTAGACTCCATCTCAAAAAAAAAAAAAAAAAAAAAAAGATTTAAGGATATCAGGAGCCAGGGCCCATGAGAGGTCAGTGTTTAGACTAATTAGGGCACAGGAGAGGGAAAACCACCTATTTGCATTTATTTATAAGAAAACCGGCTATTTTTGAGCATGTGCCAGGAGCTGCATTGAGACTTAACAGAAAATCTTTCCGATCCTCACCGTGGGGGTGATGC
The DNA here is from genome assembly GCF_000001405.40 of Homo sapiens. Classification (NCBI taxonomy): domain Eukaryota; kingdom Metazoa; phylum Chordata; class Mammalia; order Primates; family Hominidae; genus Homo; species Homo sapiens. The sequence goes on from NC_000015.10 coordinate 100,866,263, forward strand.
AGGCAGCTGGCATTCCTGACTTTAGGGTATACCCATGTCGTGTGATCTGTCCCTGCATAGCAAACTGCCCCTGAGCTCAGAGCTTAAAACAACAGGCATTTTTTGAATTTCTCATGATTCTAAGGGTTCACTGGGGCTCAACTAGAGGGTCCCTCTGCTGGTCTTGTTTGGGGTCTCATCCAGCTGCAGTCAGGTGGCGGCAGTGGCTGGACCTCCAAGGTGACTGCATTCACCTCCCTGGAGCTTTGGCAGGAGTGCCTGGGAGGCTGGGCTCAGCTAGGACATTGGGACACCTGGGCCTGTCTGTCTCTCCTTGGGGTGCTAGGGCCTCTCCCTCTGCACATGGATTTTCCATGTCGTCTCTCGTGAAGGCTACCTGGACTTCCTACATGGATGCTCAGGCCCCCAAAAGTACAGAGGCAGAAGTTGCCCAGTTTCCCAAGGATCAGGCCTGGAACTGGCCTGCCATGACTCAGCACTCTGTAGTTGACGCAGTGGCAGGACCAATCCAGAGTTAGCATAGCCAGGGACCGTACAGAGACATGAACACCAGGAGGCTCCATTCGTGGAGCCCATCGCCAGGGACTAGCTGCTGCCCCATGAGTAGGTGTGACTGAATTTTATAGGTGAGGAGGCTGAGAGAGAGGCAAAAGAGCTTGAAGGTCCCACACCACTGAGGGGGAGAATGGAACCCAGAGCGACCCACCTCCCTTGCCTGCCTTGTCTCCTCCTCCATACTCAGCCTCTTGAGCAAAGGAATGCTCCTGAAGGTGCATTTGAGGCCAGAACTCTGCCCCAAGAGCACACTGTCAAGGGCTGCCTGCATGGGGTTGAGGATGGTCTCTAATTCATGTGTTTCATGAGTCATTTATAGCAGGAGAGAGCCCTGGGAAAATGTCACGAAGATGAAAGCTGACTTAACAGATGGGCTGACACACGGAGGCTCAGGGACATCCACACTCCGTGCCCACAACGGTGGGCTTCTCTCTGTTCACTCCATCTCATTCTTTGAGAGTCTGCCTTATTATCTCAGATTAAAGCAAACTCACACCTGCACCTTCTCCAACCAGAGATTTCTCACTTGAATCTCTGCAGGTGCAACAGGAACCTGGAGCCTCAAGAGCCGAGGTGCTCAGGAGGGGCAGCATGACTCCAGGGCTCGGAAGGAGCCCCTCAGGTAAGGTCCCCTCAAAGCCTGAGAGTTCCCTTTGTCCACAACTCATCTATTTTGCCCAGATATGTTTTTGGACACGGCAGTTCCCAGATAAGAGCAGGCTCGGCCCCCTGGCCTCAGAGCTCAGCCTTCAGGGTAGGGCAGGAGAAAGAATGTAATCAGAGTTATGGCTTAATGAAGTGAACCGTAATAACCATAAACAGACAGTCTGGGATTTGGTTTGTTATTTTGTACAAGGCAGTACCTTTCAATAGCAACTGGTGTTAGGGCCAAGCTTAAACATTTTCATCTCACCAACAAAAAAACAGTGATCCCATTGTTACACTACACTCTCCCACCTTAAAATGGGATTGGTTTTGTGGATTGGGAAAGTTACCAAAAATAAGTTTCTTCAATCACAAAGGTTAGCAGAAAGGAAGTTGCTGGATTGTTGCTAGATTGCTAGGAAGTTGCTAGATGAGAGGGGCCTATAGGTAAGCAGTATCTGTTATAGACAATGTGTGCCAGGCCATCTACCTCAAACTTTTTTCCTATTTAATCCATGTAATAGGTACCAAATCCTACACAACTTAAGGCTAAAAAATAAGTTTGCTTATGAGTCCCTATATACAAGGTAAAATAGAGATTGTTCTATGGACTAGCTTATGGCTGCAAACTACATTTTAAGAAAAGCATAACCAGGCCGGGCGCAGTGGTTCATGCCTGTAATCCCAGCACTTTGGGAGGCCAAGGCAGGCGGATCACCTGGGGTCAGGAGTTTGAGACCAGTCTGACCAACATGGAGAAACCCTGTCTCTACTAAAAATACAAAAATTAGCCGGGTGTGGTGGCACTTGCTGGTAGTCCCAGCTACCCGGGAGGCTGAGACAGGAGAATCACTTGAATCCAGGAGGCAGAGGTTGCAGCAAGCCAAGATTGTGTCACTGCACTCCAGCCTGGGCAACAGAGCAAGACTCTGCCTCAAAAAAAAAAAAAAAAGAAAGAAAGAAAGAAAAAAGAAAAGCATAACCAAGAGTGTTTTCCTTCTTGAGACCAACACCCCAAATACAACATGCCCAGGTGGTTGTGCCACACAGCCTGACAGTGCAGCTTCCTGAGCACCAGTGTAAGATGGAGGGAGACAGGTGGGGGTGTGAATGCTCTCCAACCCACCTCGGGAGGAATTCTACTACCTCTAAAAGATTGGTGGCCTTTATTTTGTGTCCCAACATAGAGGCAGGATACTACCTAGCCACAGCAAAGTCAAGCCTACTTTCAGCATTTTCAGAGTTTGAAGCCATTTGGTGACTCTCTGAGGAGTTGTCCGTCTTTAAAGCACACTCTAAAAATACCTTCTGCCAGAGATGCTAGGACTGGGCAGAAACGGCAGGCCAGCAGGATGACGGGCCACCAAGCTCCCAGCCCCAGGGCCCCAGCACAGTTGGCATATTCTCGCCCAGATGCAAAGCTGGAACTCCCTGGAGCTTTCAATATGGCTACAACAATGCTGCCGGCTTTTATTTTGCCAAAATAGAGTGACAACACAGAGGCCCAACCACACAATCTTAGACATTTCCCTCTTTTTAAAAACCTTCCCTATACCCAAGAGGACCATCCCTTACCTCTACTCTTTCCTCTCCAGGATGTCATTAGCATCTTGAATTCATCACTCATTATTCTACCAGACATAGTTATTCTCTCCATTACATTACAGACTCTTTGAGGGATGTCTTATTTTTCTGCAGTTATGGTGCCTAGCTCCTAAAATGCTTTGTAACTGAGCAAAAAACCCTTTGGCTTACCAGAAGTCCACTCTGTTCAGGATTAACCATTCTACCTCTTACAAAATACAAACCAAGAGGGTGCTTTGGCACAGGCCTGGGGTCATGGGTTTCCACATGGCATGGAAGAAGGCATCCCAGGCTGGGAGTCAGGTGGCCTGGGCTCCTCCACCCTCGCTAACAGCTAACTCCATGGCCATGGACACACGCTTGTGCCACAGGTGCAGACTTTCTAAAGACTTAGGTTTTGGAGATCTCTCTGGTCTCCGCCAGGGATACGACACTATGCTAAGCACTGACAGGGTTACTTCATCTATAAACGTCCCAGGCACGAGTGGGAAAACAAGCAGAACTTGTTTTTTATGACACCAACCTAAGGCCTCATTTTAATTTGTTCTGGAAAGACTATTAGTCCTGATGCATTGACTGCAAATCTGCTAATAAACTATCCAACTCCTAGTTGGTGAAGGTGCCAATTTTGAGTATTTGGGGACCCCTTGCAATAGTAGGTACCAAGCTGTCCTGGGTTAATGACGCCACCTGGTGGCTGGTGTCGGGGTGGGCGAGTCCCCTGCATTTTTGCGCTTCAGTTCTAGAATCAGGAGTCCGTCAGCAAACAAAGAGGAAATGTATAATCAGGGCCATAAAGATGACAGAAAGGGATGTGGGAGGGAAGGGTGAGGTCGTGGGGTTTCAGACAGACTGGTCAGGGGAGGCCTCTCTGAGGGGGCGGCATTTAAGCTGAGACTTTCCTGAGGAGAGATCAGTCATGCAAAGATCTGAGGAAAAGAGCACTCCAGGCAGGAGCAGTGGTGATCGCAAAGGCCATGAGTTGAAGTGAGTGATTCTGTTTTAGCAACAGAGGGCACCCTGGCCAGCCAGCACCGAGGCAGTGTAGAGGGAGATCGTGGGAGTCCTTGCTGGGCGGGGGGCAGCTGATTCTGAGTGGAAAGGGATTGGGAATTGGGCAGGAGAGTAGTGTAGCACTAGGCTTTATTCCTTCATTCTCCGGGTCATTCCTCATGCTTTAGTTAGTTCCACTTCAGAAGGCCTTTGTTCGGGTATCACAGAAAAATTTCTCTTCCCTCAGTCAATTTTCCATTCCATTCCATTGGGACCAATCACAAGGCTAACCTTGGCCAATAAATGCGCCGTAGCCTTGGAGACCCCTCCTTGAGCAGCTGAAGGGTGACCACACACCCAGCCAGCACCAGCACCAGCACCCCCACCTGGAGAGGTCCATTTCCTTAACATCCCAGCACAGGGACACCATGCTGTCCCCATAGCTGTGCACTACCAAGCCACCCACTTTTGCAGAGAAGGAAGCTGAGGGTTAGAGACCTCCACCAGGTACCCCAGGGGTTAGAGATGCAAGTGCCGGAGCCGGGGAGCCTGGAACTAGCTACTGAATCTCTCTCAGTTCATACCATAAATGGGAGCTCTGTCTAGTAAAGAAGACCGATGGCAAAGAAGAACTACATAAATAAATACATCATTATAATTCTGTGTCTACAAAATCATATGTATATAATAATGTGGCCACCTCCTGAGTTGGAATATGCACAACTCCTAAAGTCAATGCTCTCACGGAGGAGCCTGGGCCACTACCGGACGGGGCTGAGTGCCTGAGACAGCCTGCCTGTAGCCTTCATCTCAAGCCACTCAGCCTGAGTCAGGGCGGCTGCTCTGAGCCCACGTGGACGGCCCCACTCTGTCCTTGCCTCACCTCTGCAACCTGAGGCTTGGGGCCGTCTCTCAGTTCTGCCTTCCCATTGCCTGCTTCAACTGTCCACTGTCCACACTTGTCCCTTTGATGTCCCCCTTCAGCCATTCTGGGGAAACACTTTGTCGTGCCCTGTTGCCCCTGGGGCCTCACATCCCAAAGTGGGGCTCTTAGCCTGGTAAGATTCATTGCAGCCTCTCCGATGGGCACAGGGCCTAACTTCCACTGTACACAGAGGGTCCCTCCTTCTTCCCCAGAGTATACATCCCTTCTCAGTAAGCCTGCCTTCCTCAAGCCCCAGAATTCAAGAGCAGTATAAAGAGCAATTTGCATGCAATATAATGAAGATAGAACCTCTTGTTAATAGTCTTGCCCTGGTACTTCTAGGCTCTCATCTTATAAAAGTGTGTTGATTAAAATCCTTCAAAAACACTCCCTTGGGTATAGCTGTAAGGAGCCTCTAAACAGTGGGGGCAGTTGGGATCTTGACTGGGACCAGTATTGGGCTATCCTTGGTCTCACAGTAGAAGGTGATGTCATCTCCACCCTGAAAATAAACAGAGAACAAGAAAAAGAGGAGCTCGTTTCAGCCATTCTGACAAGGTGGGCTCTTGGTGGGGCAGGGATTGCTTTTCCTAAGAGGCCAGGTATTAGCCAGACCAGAGCCTGGTGGCCCTTCTCATACCATGATGTGTATTTGAAGCTCCTGGGTGGGGCTTTTGTCAACCTGCAGATTCCGGCTCAATAAGTCTAGGGCAGGGCCTGGGAGTCTGCATTTCTATCAAGCTCCCAGTAAATGCTCATGCTGCCAGTCTAGGGAGGATACTTGCTGGTAGCTTGTTGTTAGATACTTGTTAGTAGCTTGTTAGATACTTGTTAATAGCTTGTTAGAAGGGCAGAACCCTGAGCCCCACATCAGACCTATGAATGCAACCTGCCTGTCAACAAGATCCCTGGTGACCCCTGTGCATGTCACCACGTTAGAAGGCCAGTTTCTAGGGCTTGCCTGCATCCTGTGCCCACGAAAGACATCACTAATCAATCAGGACATTCTGATGAGAGTCAAGATCCTTGTCTACACAGTGCTGCCAGTGCCCCACCAATGCCTGAGAGGCAGCATGGGGAAGAAACTAAAAAGACTGAGAAGAATCAGCCCTGATACATGGCTAATGAAACAGGAGAGAGAGAAGCGAGTCGGGGCAGAGTTGGGTGTTCAGAAACCCAAAGCCAGATAGATTCCTAGAAGAAGCCCCAAAAGTGTCTGCTGTGTTGCAGTGAAGCATAAATACAAGTGAAGGGATGGGTGTTGGGGGAATGGAGCCTGGCATGAGCCAGAGAAGAGTCTGGAGCTGCTGAAAGCCGCCTGTAGCACAGATCAGAGAGAAGACCGGGAAGAAAGTTCTAGAAGGGTTGAGAAGCTGCCCGCCCAGCTGGAGGCTTCTTGGCCAGGGCTGAAGGAAGAGACTGAAGTCCATCTCCCTAGCAAGAAAGTCTCTCAAGTGACATAAACCGAGCATCCACCATACGCCAGGCAGGGGCTGGCCCTGTCACATCAGCGATCTCAGTTGCATTTCTCATCCCATGAAGGAGGAACCATCATCTTCTACAGACGAGGAATCTGTGACCAAGGGAGATGAAACAATGAGGCTGGCAAATGCCCCGTGGGAATCCTTCCCAGTCTACCCGCCTGCAAGGCTAAACTCCTAGGCTCATACACACTTATCCTTTGCCATTATTTATCCTTTTGCAATTCCTTTGCAAATTTCTATTGGGGGGTCTGGGTTGTCTTGTCTGTGAGAGGGACAGGTAGGGATGGGGATGAGGTGGGCACCCAGGGCCCAACAGAGCAGCCAGCTCAGGGGTGATGCCTCACAGCCAGTAGGACAAGGTTCTGGGTGGTGCTTTCTGTGAGCTTCATCAAGGGTCAGGCAGCAGTGACGTCTTGTCTATCTTCTTGCAAATGTACTTGTCGCACCTCCACCTCACCTACCCCCATGACTCCCTTGCTGAGCAGGAATTACTACTCCCATCTTCAGAAAAGGAAACAGTGGTTGAAAAAGATTAGGCCCAATTTCTCCCTGAGCTGAGAACAGCACCCACATCTGTTTGATCTCAAAGCTAGGAACCCATTTTAGGCTTATGGAGAAGCGAGTAGGCTTTTGTGGGCTAGCCTGGGCACTAATCACCAGTTCTAGCATCATGTCTGTGGTGCAACTGAAGTTTTGGGCACTGTACTGTGAACAAGCTCTTGCAATGCCATTTATTGCTAAGTTGGGAAATACCTGCTTCTCTCATAGAAGGAACTTCAGTGGCAACTTCCTACTCAACTTGGTCCTGTGACATCTAGTGGCCAACAGGAGAAGTGCAGTGAAATCTCTGGACATTGTAAGCAGGTGGAAAAGCTTAGGACTTCCTGGGATTAAAAAAAAAATGCGCTGAAATTCATGATAGCTGAAGTATCCATGGAATATAGAAGATGCACATTGACATGCACCTTATAAAGTCTATAATCCCATGTTTTGTTCCTAATATTCATGTTTATTTACTCTCACTGGTGGAAAATACACCATATCCAATTCATTGTCTCTTAATTGATGAACTATCTTTGCAAATAATATAATATATAATACAATGTAATGTATAATAGAGTGTAATGTGATGCAAACTCAGTGCTTGCAGATATGCTCAATAATAAAGGACATTATAGGTATGAAAATACTATAGGTCACTAATTAATCTATTCCCCTGGGGGTGGAGTGTTTTAGAATCACCATAATGCCATATGAAACTAGATGAAAATATACATAAATAGGTTTCCTCTCTGCTACATACATAACAGGCTTCCTGTCTGCCTAAACATGTTATAAGACATGATGTGCTTTATAGACGCTTTCTGATTACAGGGGAACCTCAAGAGTGCTGCCTGAGTAACTCTCATTACACAAAGACACAACTGCAAGAGGATCCCCAGGCATTCCCATGAGAACACAGATTCTGACAACCCCTCCATCCCCCACCTTGGTCTCCACCCCAGGACTCACAGCATGGCAAAAATCCAAGGGAAGATTCTTGGGTAACTAATGCTCCTTTACAGGGGGTCCCGGATGAAGGGCAGGGGGAAAGTCTTGTCACTGTGGGGCTAGGATAGATGAACCCAAGAGTGATTTGCCAAACGTGCACATACTCAAATCATTTTTCAAACATTTTGGGTTTGGCAAAATGCATGTTGCTAAGCCCCCTTTCCCGACAGTGGTATACCCATGTGAATTTCAAGGGAAATTCAATGTGTGTGTTTCTGATTCTCTTAGGCTTATCTCAGGACAATTATTTAGCAAGAACCACTTTGTGTCCAAGAATCTTCCTGAACCCTTTCTTTTGTAAGACCCCTTAAACAATTTTCCTTTTAACCAGGAAGTATGTTTTGTCTGGAGTAAATTGAACTGAAACCCCAAGAAGTGTGGTTCAAAATTCAGAATTCTTGAATTTTGAAGGAGATTGGAAAGTCTGCAAACAACTTCTCACATCACTGAGACTTGCCGGTGGTGGTATTGAGGGGTGTGAAGTATTATGAGCAAAATTCACTGATTATATGGAGTGACATTTTGTTTACTTTAAAACAAAGTCTGACTTCTTGCTGCCTGATTTGAGTGCTGGCCTGACCAAGTATCTTCCAGGTCTGGGTGACCCAGGGACTTTTTCAGTCACTCAATCTTTCTGAGTGTTGGTGCCTTCCTCAGTAGATGTGAGGACACAACTAACACCTATGAGCACCAGAGGATGGCAGCTCCACGGGGCTTTTGTACCAAAGAGATTCTCTTCCCTAGTAGGACCTCATCATCCAATGAATCAGTGAGCTTACTCCATTTATTCCATCCCAGAGCTAGTTTTTGTCTTTGTTTTTTAACATACTATAAACCTGAGCACAGCGCATCAAGGTTATTTGATTAAGGTCAAAATAACAGAGATGGTGATAAGAGTTTTATGTCTGTGCTGCTCCGTTTATACAAAAATGAGATCATTATTCCACTTGAGTTAAAATTTTGCTCTTCTTGTCATAGCGATGGCCAACAGCCAGCTATGCTGCTTAGGATTAAGTTGGCCACATATAACAGAAAACCCAAATGGTGGGCTTTAATAATATAGGGATTTTCCTTTTTCTCACATGAAAAAAAAATCCAAGAAAAAATATCCAGGGATGAAGGGCTGGTTCCAGGGCCATCAGGGACCCACGTTCTTCCTAAGTGTCTCTTCCAACTTCCTTACCATGGAACTTGCATTTCAGAATTGCATTATGGTTACATGATGGCTGCTGGAGACCCAGCTCTCATGTCTGTGTTCCAGGCAGCAGAAAGGAAGAAGAGCCTTTCAGCTGACTCAGTCCCATGTAAAGAGTTTCTTTGGTCCTGAACTCCTGGCCTCAAGTGATCCTCCCACTTCGACCTCCCAAAGTGCTGGGATTACAGGCATAAGCCACCATGCCTAAGAGCTTCTTTGGAAGCCCAAACCAAAAACTTCAGCTTATACTTCTGCAAGAGAGGCTGGGAAATATGTTTATCAAAGCCCACTACCACCCTCGATAACATGGGATTCCACTGGCAAGAAAGGAGAGAACTATTGGGTACTCAACCAACTCTCTCGACCTTACCCTCCATGTTCTCTCCTGGCTGGGCCACAACTCTCATCCACTGGAAGACAGACCAAGGGGAAATCTCTGGCAGCTGTGAACTGGCAGGCTGTGTGTGTGTGCATGTGTGTGTGTGCATGTGTGCATGCATGTGTATGTGTGTATGTGTGTGTGCATGTGTGTGTGGCTTCACTGGGGCCTGACCCACAAATACCATGATGTCTCTTTGCTTTTATGTAATGAGTTCTCCGTTGGCTTCTGCCTGGTCCAAGACTGATTTGCCTCAGCCTAACATTGTGTAGTGAAGGCCTTTCCCAGGGCCAGAAAGGACTGGCAGGGCTGGAGAGAAAGCAGCTGGTGGAGCTGTGTGGTGGGCTGGCAGCTCCTTTCTCTTCACCTTGTTTGGGTGTTATCAGCTCCTCTTTCTCCAACCTGGGGTGCTCCTGCCTCGATATCATCAATCACTGATGGAAACTCGCAGGGAAAAGATTTGTTTGTGTGTTCCTTGAGGACAGAACAATGTTGTAGTATTTGATGGGTCTTAATATACGGTGAGCTTCAAAGGTAAGTAGTTGCCTATTCTAGTCAGGTTGAGGCGATACCGAATGACTCACATGAAACATGGAATTGACTTCATTGATACCAGCAAGGAGGTGCTCACAGTGAAGTCAGCCCTCCCTCACCACAGGGGCACATGCCACCCCCATTTTGTAGCCAAAAAACCTGAAGTTAGGTCGCCTCCCTGAGTCACCCAAGCACTGGCCTGAGTGCTGCACAGTGGGGTGACCGGGCTTCCCTACATCAAAGAACTACCCTCAGCCCAGGGGCCTGGCTGTCTAGGAAGGGTTCAGAAGGCACACCCAAGACTCAGGCCCCTGCCTCAACTCCACAACACTGAGGGAGGTGAGTAGACTGGGTGGGAGGGGCAGCTCTGCAGCTGGCCAGAGGCTGCGGGGACACAAGGGGTACTCAGCAGACCTGGGCGTCTCTCCACAAGGCTCAGGTACCAGATCTGAAATAACATGAAACACAGTAGGGGGTTCATCAACGTCATCATCATTATTCACTACGTTTGCTTCAGACCTCAACATCACCCACAGATGATTATGGGTTTAGAAATGGAATGAGGTTGAACTTAGGGGGTGACCACCTGACTTCTGTTTTATCTTTGTCTTTTATTCATGCTTCTTTTTACTGAGTGGTCATCCGCAAACAAGCCTGCAACATGACATGTCTTGGACTCAGCTCATTTGATGCACCAACAAGACAAACAGCAGACAACGGCAGCACCACAGAGCTGGAAACAAAATGAATAAATACTTTTTCACAATGAAATGAGCAGAGGGACTGTTGACTTGGGGGGCTCCCGCAAGCCAGAGACAAGTGGGGGGAACTTGCTGACTTCCAAGAAGAAAAGCCAGCAAAGAGGAACCAGTCTCCAGGAAGAATATGAAAATGAAGAGCTGGTATGTAGGTAGCACTTCTTGAGAGCCTTATCTTGCTTAAGCCTCCCCAAACACTGTAAAGTAAGTGGGAAGGAGATTATGGAAAAGAACACTGAAGTTCAGAGAGATCAATATCCCATCCAAGGGTGCATAGCTGGGACTCAGTTCAGGGATGTGAGCAGAAGGGGCTGGGCCTCTGCCATCTCCGATGCTCAGGCACCTCATCACTGAACCAAACACCCAGCAACCCACTGTGAGCAAAAATAAATCTTCCTCCTTCCCGGCCCCTGTGGTCCCTGCCTCTGAGGCCACAGCTAGGAGATATGGTTCCTAGGAAAGGCACAACGAAAAGGGATACTCCCGCCATTTTTGACCTTCAAAGCCCTTCGTGTCTTCACTATGCCCTATGCAGCCCCAGTGACATGGGACCACCCTGGGTCATAGGTGCTCACCTGCTTGAAAGAATAGGTCAGAGGAATGTCAGAGAAGCCCCTCCTCCCTGCACTGCACCACCCACTCTCACACAGTCTGGCCTTAGTTTCTCGACCGATGGTGATGTCTGGGGCAAGTGTCTGCACGCCTCTGTTTACTCACCCGTAAAATGGGGAGAAGCGCATTTGCCTCCACCCCTCCTGCCGATGGGAGCAGAGGTAGAGCCTGCTTGTCTGGACAAGCCCAGAGCTAGGCCCATCCTCCTGACCTGCTCTCTGGGAGCCACCTACTGTGACAAAGTCTATGGCTGAGTGCTCCAGTCTGATCTCAGGCTCCCAGGATCACGTGGGTATCAAACGGAGGAGCTGCAGGTGAGCCAGTCGGCATCTTTGCAACTGGCTCCTGAGACCAGACGCCTCGGGTCACAAGGATGTCTGAGTGTGAGGTGAGGTGGCTTTCATTCCTGACTTCATAGCCAACAAAGTGGTGACTGTCTATCTTTGACCAAACAGGCTCGACTATCTTCCCTAAAGGAGCAGAGTTCTAAGCTCAACCCCATTTGCCTCCCCCATCAATCCAGCAATTATTTAATTAACACAGTTTCCTCTATAAATTTTATTTCAGATTTTTTTTTAAAATCCTGGCAGTGACATAATTTCAACCATCAAGGACCCCCGATAAAGTCTCAGGATGGGAGTTCAGTTTGTAAAGCATCTCTAGTTGCAGCTTCCTGGGGCCTGCTGCACACACTGGCCTTGGGCCCCTGGCCTCCATCCATGCAGGAGGGGTTTGTCACTACTCCCTGACGGTCCTCTTGGGCTCAGGCACCCAAACGCTAGGGCTCAGCACCCAGCCGGGGGCCGTGGCATAGCACATCTGCCCAGATGTTTTCAGGAGATCTGAGTGGGAGCCATGGGGCCAGCCAAGAGGGCAGGGAGCCCCGGATTTGCAGAAGCAGCTGAGGAAAGAGCTGGCATTGCTCAGACTCGCCAGTGTTAGCCAGCCGATATCGGTCAAGGCTGCCCCGCTCGAGGGTCCATTATCCCCTTTCCCCGGCCTCAGCTGTGCACTCCAGGCCATAACAGCACAAGACCTTTCCACAACCCCAGGGTAAGGGTCAGATGTGGGGTTTCCAAAAGCTTCAAAACTTACCCCTCTATCCAGCTCTATCCAGAAGGACACCAGGGGACAGAGAGATGGACACGGAGGCCTCAAAACAGGAAAATAAGGAGACCCCTCCCCATTGTTGATTACTTGGGGTTACCTACAGAAAGAGATGAACTGAAGGGGCTGAGCCTATCTGAGGATTAAAGCACAGCTTTTGTCAGGAGTCCGTGCCTCCGGTCTTTGTTCCAGCGACCTGAGGAATGGCATGCATCAGAAGCCGCTTCCGTGTCTCAGATGGGGCCTGGGTCAAGTCCTGGGAGTTGATGGAGCGTTTCCCAAATCGCAAAAGGAGAGGAGCTAGACTTACCTCCCCCTCCTGGGAAGTAATGCGCGACAAGAATTTAAACTCTTAAAACGATTAGCAGCAAAGGTCTCATGTGCTTTTTTTTAATTATCATTTTTTAATCGAGGTATAATTTATGCATTTAAAAAATCAGATCAATTGCCCCCCGGGCTCTGGGATGGAAGGCGGTGTGCGCCTGCGAAGGTCAGAGGCCCAGCGGCGCCAGGGCTCCTCGGCGGAGAGCCGCCCGGGTCCGGCGCTTTGCTTTCGCCTTCTGCCCCACCGCGGGCGAAGCCCCAGGGCCCCGGGGAGACTCCAGGCCGGCTGGGCCGGGGTGCGCCCGCCGGCTGTCCGCGCTCGGGCAGGGTGGGGCGCAGCGGGCGTCTGTCCTGCTAGCGGGGATCGGGCGGCTGGACCCAAGAGCAGGGCACGTGCGCAGCGACGCGGGGCGGCCCCGCCAGGAGCCCCGACCCGGGCGCGGCGCAGGGCCCGGCGGAGAGCGCGCATTCCCGAGCGCCGCGAGCCGGCCGAAGTCGGGCGAGCGCGCCGTGCGGCGGCTGGGAGTGGGCTGCATGTGCCGCGCGGGGAGCCCGCCCGACTTCGGGGAGGCAGCGGGGCGCCGTGGCCCCGCGGCTCAGCTCCCTGCCGGGTCGGGTGTCCCAGCCCTGCGACTTCCGGGGCCCGGCGGCTCCTCGGGGAGCTCGTCCACAGGCAGCCTCCGGGGCGAGAGAGCGCGCGGCGCGGGCGCCGGGACGGTCCGCGGCACGCGGGTGGAGCCGCCGGCGCTCGGGCTCCCGCAGGGGCGGCGGGCGGGGCGGGGTGAGGCGGGCCGGCCGCCCTCCCCTCTCCTCCCTCCCGCAGCCCGCCCTCCCTTCCTCCGGTCCCGCAGCCAATTAGGCGGCCCCCTCGGGCGGGAGGCGTGGGGCGCTGCATAAAGCGGCGGGGAGCTGCCACCCCGGGAGCGGGCTGCGCAGTGTCCGGGCCGAGCCGGTGCGCCGCAGACTAGGGCGCCTCGGGCCAGGGAGCGCGGAGGAGCCATGGCCACCGCTAACGGGGCCGTGGAAAACGGGCAGCCGGACAGGAAGCCGCCGGCCCTGCCGCGCCCCATCCGCAACCTGGAGGTCAAGTTCACCAAGGTGAGGCGGGCGCCCCTCCCACCCGACGGCCGCGGGCCCCTGCGCTGGGCAGCCAGACTCGGGGCGGCGGGGGCGAGGGAGCAGCGGGCCGGGGGTCCGCCGGGCGCCGCCGAGACCCGAGCCTCCCTGCCCGGGCGCGGCTCTCCAGAAACCGCACCTTTCGCGGGACGTCTCGGGCGGGATCGCAGGCGGCGGGGCTCGGCGCTGTGAGCCTCGAAGCCGGGAAACCGAGGCCGTCCAGCGCCCGCGCGGGGCCGGGCCGCCCGCATCCCTGCGAGGCCCCGACGTGTCCCTGCGCTGCCCGCTTTGATCGCGAGTGGAGGTGCGCGCCGCGTTGACTCGGAGCGCGCTGGTTTTGGGGAGCTCCCTCCCCAAAAACCCCTGCGATGATTTCCAGGGTGGACGAGTCTGGCTTTGAGAGGGTCGGAGGGTCCGAGAGCGCCAAGAGAGAGTCCGGGAGGCAGATGGCGGAGCTGCAGTTGGAAGACTGGGGAAGCGGGTCCTCCGAGCAAAGCGCAGCGGGCGCCTTCCGTGCTTAGTTTATACCCGGCTCAGCAGCAGAACGAGGAGGAGTAGGAAGGTGCTCGCTTACTGACGAAACCTCCCCGGAGCCCAGAGGTCCCGGTGTTTACACACAAGGCGCGCGCTCCGGAAGGTCGCAGACCTGGGCCTTTGGGAAGCGGTGGGTCGCGAGGCCGCAGAAGCGCACGGTTCTCTGCCTCCTCGCTCTGTGGGCTGGGAGGCTACAGCGTTGGCAGAACGGCGAGATTACCTGCCCGGGGCAGAAAGGAATAAAAGAAGATGGTGAGGCCTCCGAGGCCTCTGAGCTGGGGCTGAGGAGGGCCGAGAGACCCGGGTCCGGGAGCGCGACCCGATGGAGGACACCCCCAGGCTGTCTGGCGTGCGCGTCTGTCGTGGGCCGGTGCTGGGGCACTTTAGAGGCACAGGCCAGGCCGAGAGCCATTGCCTTAACTTTCCCCACCTTTGGCTTCTCTTGATTTTTGCTTTTACCCATAGCCCCCAACTCCAGCTGACACCGCACTTAGAGAATTTCCTCATCCGTTTTACTTTAAGAAGTAGCAATTATCTTTCTCAAAGAATTTTAATCAAGCGGAGAAAGTTGCAGGGCACTATGTGTGGCCTTCAGATTTGGGTCTCTTGGCACTTAATTCCCAATGTCGGCTGAGCCTCTGATCACAAGACATTTAAATTAACTGTTTTCAGAAGGCTCTGTAATCAACAAAGACACGTCGCTGTAAACTAAACGCTGGAAATTATTCTTAATGTAGTTTTATTTGTAATATCAGCTTCAGAGTGAAAATTCCAACACGAATTCTGGGAAGAGTGAAAATGGTACCCGAATTTTGTAAGACCCTAACCCCAGGTGCTTGGCTGCTGCTACTGATGGTTAAGTGGGGAGGTTGTTTGTTTTCTTTTGGTTGTACAGGATTTCAAAATACTGTATATAGAAACCAGACAGTAAATGTATTATGGTCCTTTTACTTTTTATGTTTTT
This sequence comes from Homo sapiens, assembly GCF_000001405.40. NCBI lineage: Eukaryota > Metazoa > Chordata > Mammalia > Primates > Hominidae > Homo > Homo sapiens. The sequence continues at coordinate 100,881,523 of NC_000015.10, forward strand.
GAGTCCTATCAGCAATCTGACCACATACAAAAAGTTTACCTCTTTCTCTATGATTTTTAGGACACTTTTAAAGTGTAGATGTAGCCCTTATGGAGACCTTAGACAATTCACAGAGCAATGGTTGCCTGTTGTCTTGGTGGGTGCGCAACCTTTGCCAGTTAAAGGGAACCAGTGCAGGAATGAGGCTGAGGGAAGCTGGTGGATCGGCCTGGAGTGCTGGGATCTTGAGTGGTCTCCCAGGCGATAAAGGCCCCAACTGCCTGACACCGGCTGCTGGCTCCTCACCCGTTGGGGGACTGTGCTGCTGCCTGCTCTGTCCTGGCTCCTGGCCCATCTCTGCAGAGACCTCCCCATAGCAGTTGTGGACCCAGGCAGCTTGTGTGGCTGAGGGTGGCCAACCAGTGCCCTGGCACAGTCCTCAGGGAGACTGGACTGGAGAGGCGGCCGAGAGTGAGGCCACCAAGAGTGCCTGCCGAGGGAAGGAGCGGGATAAACTGAAGTGCAGGACTGAGGCCCAGAGTGGGCGAGTGGCCCGGCAGGTGGGTGGCCTGGCAGGAGAGCAGACGGTGGAGCATGGGAGCCAGCAGTGGTCTGCTATTTTCCAAAATTGACTCATGGTGCTTCTCGATAATGGGGCACACACCAGAGTTGGTCCATCTGAGCCCTAGCCCCGGCAGTGCCATTTCCCAGGGTGGTCCAACTTTCAGGATGACTTTGTCAAAGCCCCTTCATTTGTCCTCACATGTTAACATTTCATTCTCTAGGGTCATGCTGTGTGATTCTGGAGAGCTGAGAGCCCCTCCAGGGTCCCCACACAGATCTCAGAGGATAGAAGTCCCTTCTAATTTAGAGGGCCTCTTTCTTTCCTTATAAAATTTCTTCCAGTAGCAGGGATTCTCTTCAAAGTTTTCTGATTTTTAAAACACCGGTTTTTATTATCTCTCTTATGAAAAATAAAATTCCCCCAAATCTCCTTTTCTGAAAACATATTCTTTTTGAGTTTAGCTGAGTGGCCTGTTGTCAGATGGAAGTTACGGGAAATCGGCATCAATAGGATTCACTTGTATGACTGTCATCTTCACCTCTGCCTGAGACACCTTACAGCTCCGTCCTGCTTCCATGTCATTCTGTTCCTTTTGTAAAATGTGAACCAGGTCTACAGCTCAATGTAGCTTAATGCTATACCTCTATAAGGTTTGTTGTATGCTAATCCACAAATCAAAGACAACAATTCCTTCTAGACCCTTTACCCTGATTTGGAGTTCAAAACAATACAGCCAGCATAATCAGTAGACCATATTTATATACCCTTTCCTTATATTTGTGCTTTTGTTTTGTTTTAATGGAGAGAAAAATCAACAGTAGAAACCACTTACAAGATTACTTACTACTGTAGTGTGGTATAAAGTAAAAGATTTTACAAAATTAAAAACATAGTGATGGGAAAATATGGTTAGAGTCAAACAGTCTGATTTTTTTTTAAGGTTGCTGGTTACAGATCAATGTCATGAACAAACAGTAATTTTTTTTGGAGGAGCATGCTTGGAGATGAAGTATAGCAGTATAGCAGACATCCGATCATTGTAATCTGTTTTCAGCCCCCTTATTTATATTCTCTTCTGCCACCTTCTCATTTTCCCTCCCCCTTGGAGTTGATACCAGGAAGGACCTAGAATCAGCAATTTTCACTGACAGTCTCTATTATCTAACCCACGAAATTTCATCTTTCTACAAATGGGCCCCTCTTCCTGGCTGCACTTTCCTCCCCGCACTAACTTAACTCTTCTTCCTCAGTTATTAATTTCTCGCTGTTACCAAGTGATGACTTGCTGGATGGCAAAAGTGAACTCTTGGATTTAGTTTCAGCTGGAAGAATAAACCTGTAATTGTAGCCTGGCCTTTTCCTGGTGCGCTTCCCTGGGGGCCTGGCCTCACATTGGAGACGCTAAGCTTCCAGAAGCCAGACAGGCAAATCCCAATGGTGACCGATGCTCTCAGTTCTGGATTCCAAACTGGGGGGCAGCTGGTCTCTGCTCACCTGCCCAGCCAGAGTCTGCCTCCTGTGCTTGGTCCCCAACCGACTCAGACCAGGCTTCCTCACTATGAGCTTCAGAGGTTTTTGTGGGTTTTTTTTTTTTTTAACATTCTATCAACTTTTAAGTTCTGGGGTACATGTGCAGGATGTGCAGGTTTGTTACATAGGTAAACATGTGCCATGGTGGTTTGCTGCATGGATCAACCCATCACCCAGGTATTAAGCCGGAGCTGTGGAGTTTATACAGGAAGCCCAATACAGAGAATGTAACCAAGACTCATGCTTAGGAGATGGCTGCCCTCTCTCATCTGTCATCACTGGGGAGTCAAATGTTTCAAATGAATCAATTTCACAATAATTGAAATTAGCCCTTGAGGGACGCAATTCTTCCTTTAAACAATTCAAAAAGAAGCAAAGTAAAGCTATGTATACCACATGCAGATAGATGTAAAAACGGAACCTGATGAACTAATTCTGTACTCAGAAATTACTGACGGCATTTTACTTGAGAGACATGCGTGTCAGCCATTTCTGCCACGGGGGTTCTTCTGATGCTGTGATAGGCTGTGATGAGGAAGCCATTCCAAGTTGGTGTAGCAGGAGTTTGTGTGTCTTCTGGCTGGGCAGCCGGGGACCTCCGTGCTGTCGGAATGTGTTTTGTATATTGTCTGTCATGTCTCTTCCTAGTTTTTTCCAAAAGCCCTCTCTTTTAATATGACATTAATAAGACAATTAGAACTTAGTGTAAACTAACAGTAAATAGTACATATGTTTCAGTGCATGGACTTCGTATGTTCTTCTTAGTCTGCTCATGATGTCTTTTGTCAAAAAAACTTTCATTCTCATCTGCATTCTGGATCATTGAGGTTCCCAGAAAAGTGATTTCTGCGGGTTATATAAACAGTTATTTGCGACATCTCTTAATGTAACCTGGAAAGTTTCTAACCCAGACATTTAACTTTGTACTTCAACGCTGGTTTATTATCAAGCTTCGGAGGTTTTTCTGGGTTTTTTTTTTTTTTTGACATTTTATCAACTTTTATTTTAAGTTCTAGGGTACATGTGCAGGATGTGCAGGTCTGTGACATAGGTAAACATGCGCCATGGTGGTTTGCTATGAAAATACACATTTTAAGGGGAATGTGCTGGGGAGGGACATGCTGATGTGCATTGGTGAAAACTGAAGGGCGATGGTGAGATCCTCCTCAAAGTGAGCTCCTTGGCAATCAATCTTGCTGAGTGTTGCCACTGAAAGGAGAAAGGGAGTGCTCGGTGCGTCCTTACCCTTCAGGGGCAGGCGGACTGCTTGGGACTTTTATGTATATAAACCTATTGACTCTTCCCCCAAAGTCTATTGGGGTATGAGATTCCATTCACAGCCTCTATTTAACCATTTAACTTAGCCATTCCTCTGTGAATCCATGTTATTGCTGAAGATAATAATAATAATTTAGAAAAAAATCTCTAAGTGACTATAGTTTTATTTGACCAAAACTTGAATTTCGAGTCTGTCCTAGTTGATCTGTTGGTCATGCAGTCCTGGGACTCTGTTCCCCTCCGGGTCTCATCTATAAGATGTCGAAGGGGAGAGGGAAGCAGCAGAGAGGAAGGTGGACAAGATGGATAAGACGTCACCTAAGGTCCTTAGCATGTTGAAATTATATGATTTTGATCTAAACCTAATTGGTTACACTTCCTTTCCTGGTTAGATATTTATCAACAATGAATGGCACGAATCCAAGAGTGGGAAAAAGTTTGCTACATGTAACCCTTCAACTCGGGAGCAAATATGTGAAGTGGAAGAAGGAGATAAGGTAAATACTTAAAATAAATTTGCTCTAAGTAATTCAATTATGGATGACCAAAGGATAAGGAAACGGTTCGGCTTAGCTATAAGACAGAACTGGCCTATCCTGGGGGCAGGGCCTGGGCTAGCTGCGTGAATTGGCATGTGGTTCTCAGACGTGTGGCACAGAATGGCATCAATTACCGATGATCCTCTGCAGAGAATCATTCTCCCTTGATAGATGTTTCTCCTACTATGAGGATGACCTCAGCTATCCTCATCATATGGCTAAAGGAAAGGTTTTCTTTTTTCTTTTTTTTTTTTTTTTATCAATTATTTGGACCTGGAGGCATTAAAGAATCTTTCCAGAAAGCATTTCCCGCTGGTGTGTTTCACGAAATGAAGCTTTCTGGCAGAAGACACTTTAGAAAAAAATAGACACTTTGAAGGAAAAAAAATAGTTGCTACCCGGGTGATGCGGGGATAGTTAACAATGTAACCACCAGATTTCTTTTCTCCTAGAAATTTACATGAGCATGGAAAGCGGTAACCTTTATCACTCTATTTGCAAGTGCAAGGTCTATATAGTAATACAGAAGCTAAGGGACTTCCGAATGTGTCCTTTATACATTGCAAGGCCATCAAATCTATTCTGAATGTCAGTGCAGAGGTAAAGCCCTTCCACTGAGGGCAGGGAGATGTAAATGTTTCCTTAGCTGCTGGAGTGCTGGACTGATGTTCTTGGTCAGCAAACTGATGACGTTGGAAGTGGATGCAGTGAAGGGCGTGTGCAGAGTAGGCTTGGATTTTATCTTGCCCATGAGTTTTTGTGACAGACGTGCAAATGCACACTGGCCCCACCTATACAGACCCCCCTCTGTGTGGCACCTCATGACAGTTAGGCTCTGCTAACAAAGAAAGTGGCACAGAGGAGCTCATAGAAAAATGTGAGGGCATTGGGGGGAAGCCATGACATGGAATGGGGTTTCCACTAGGAGACTCCCAAGTGCCCCGTACAGGTGCTAGGAGGAGAACGAGACCCTTGCCCTGGGCCTTGATTTCTCCCTTGGTCTGAGTGACTGTTCTGAGCCAGAGGCCACCACACCCTCTGCAGCTGGAAAGGTCCTGGCCTCCACCCCAGAGCCTGGGAGAAGAAATTCAGTGTCCCACATCTCCCCTGCCAAGCTTCTGCTCACCCCCAAGCCAGCTCTGGACACACAGAGACTCGGTAGAGTCACTCCTGACTGGTGTCCCACATCCACTCCCTGCTGTACCTTCCTAGAAAGAGAGAGGCATGGAGGGGCCTTCGAGATGAATGTGGCCCATTTTCCTGAGAAAAAGAGACAGTGACACTACTCTAAATGGCCCTCACTTCTTTCCTTTTAGAAAGAAGGTTCCGTTGTGATTATTCTATCAGTGCACAAAAGATCCAGTTCTGCTCCCATGGGGTGGGTGAGGCTGAAGGGAGAAAAACGGCCTTCATGCTCCTCCCTGTCTGCGAACTGTTCCACGATGGTCAGTTCTGCAATCCAGAAAGGAAGGAATTTCCCCATTCTCACTCTTGGACCACAAGTTCCCAGCTGGGATCAAATGCCAGGCAGACACTTCCCACCTGATCTGTGAACAGCAGGCTCGTGTGCGTTCACACTGAGGCAGCCAGTGGAAAGTCCTTCCGTACTTGGGTCCCTGAGAAAAATACTCTTTAGGAAATATTTTTAAATGCTTTTTATAATCAGAAACAAACATTGGTATTTGGCCACTGTAGAAATATTAAGATGTAAAGAAGAAAAAAAATCACTTGAACGCTCCCAGCCATTCAAGTGATTGAAAAACATGCTGCTGCTTGCAGCCTGTCTGCCAGCGGGACAATCTGCTGTTCTCTATAACTGATGGCCGTGGTCCCAAACTGCAGTCACGTCAAAAGATGACACCCAAACTGCAGTCACCTCAAAAGATGACACCCAAACTGCAGTCACGTCAAAAGATGACACCCAAACTGCAGTCACCTCAAAAGATGACACCCAAACTGCAGTCACCTCAAAAGATGACACCGAAACTGCAGTCACTTCAAAAGATGACACCCAAACTGCAGTCACGTCAAAAGATGACACCCAAACTGCAGTCACCTCAAAAGATGACACCCAAACTTCAGTCACGTCAAAAGATGACACCCAAACTGCAGTCACGTCAAAAGATGACAGTCTCTCTCTGTTGTTCTGGTCGCTCAGCCCGACGTGGACAAGGCTGTGGAGGCTGCACAGGTTGCCTTCCAGAGGGGCTCGCCATGGCGCCGGCTGGATGCCCTGAGTCGTGGGCGGCTGCTGCACCAGCTGGCTGACCTGGTGGAGAGGGACCGCGCCACCTTGGCCGTGAGTACATGCACTTGGGGGCCGGTGGGGGATGAGCCAGCCTCACTGAGGGTCCTGTCCACCATGGGGTATGGGAAAAAAGATCACGGTCCTGGTTTTGTGTGGTCGTGGGTCTGTTCCATCCTCTGAGACACGGCTCTCTGGCAATACTTGCAGGTGTTAATGCCTCTAGACTGAATCCCTTTCATTTTGAAGTCAGACTTTTGTCCTCTGCAGCTCAGCTTCTTGACCAAGTTGTTGTCTATAGGCAGTTGAGCTACATCAGTGGTCTCAGACTTGGGGCACTCACAGATTGGTGACCATGAGCTGGGCCATATCCTGGTACCACCTGTGTGTTTATGTACTTAACTTTTTTCTTTTTTGTATAAACTTCCTTTTATTTATTTTATTTTATTTATTTTTTTGAGACAGAGTCTCCCTCTGTCACCCAGGCTGGAGTGCAGTGGCGCGATCTCGGCTCACTGCAGCCTCTGCCTCCCAGGTTAAAATGATTCTCTTGCCTCAGCCTCCTGAGTAGCTGGGACTACAGGTGCCTGCCACCATGCCCGGCTAATTTTTATATTTGTAACAGAGACAGGGTTTCATCATGTTGGCCAGGTCTTGAACTCCTGGTCTCGAACTCCTGGCCTCAGGTGATCTACCGGCCTTGGCCTCCCAAAGTGCTGGGATTACAGATGTGAGCCACTGCACCCAGCCTTAACTCCCTTTTAAACTTAAGTTTAATCTCATCCTAAGAAACAATATTCATGAAATCACAGGTTTGATGTGCTAATTTTATTTTTCTAATACTTACCAAAATAAATGCCACCACTTAACATAGAAAAAATTGTTCCCATGTGACCTAAAATCATTCCTCAGTCACCCCTGAACTGGCTAGTAGCGAGCATATGTGGAGCGGTGGTGAGGGCAGGATAGCCTGGTTATAGGAAACCTCAGAATAGGAAAGACCTGGGTTCAAATCCCCACTCTGCCACTTACTAGCTGTGTGACTTTGGACAAGTTGTGAAACCTCTCTGAGATTTATTTCTTCATGTAAAATGTCACCGATAATGATAACTCAGTGGTGTAAGAATGATCTATTTAAGATTCTAGGCAGAGTCCCTGGCAGGCAGTAAGCACTAAATAGATGACAGCTATCATTAATAATAGCAGTTATCATAATGAGGTCATGTGAAGACCCATTTTCTAACCTCACCTACATGCACTGCTGGCCAGTAATTTCTAGATACCCTAGGTGGGGATATTGATGGAGCATACCCCATGAGGCTGAGCTGCCAAGGCATTCATCAGTTGTAAGTCCATTTTTTAGCAGGATCCTCAGACCCTCCTCTGGTCATGAGGGAGTGATCAGAGGACATCTCAGGGCCACGTTGGGCCATGAGGTCCTTTGCATCCTGTCCTTGCCCATCTCAGCCTCTTGTTTTTAAAAGTTGTTCCAAACCTTGAGGCCCGGTTGTAGGGGAGGAGATCTCCTTTCTGGCCTTTGATTTGGAAAAATGGTTTTTCTGATGTCGGGAACAAGCAGTAGGGTAGCCACTGTTTAAAGGAGGGTGTCAGCCAGGACACGGAAATTGCTGTTGCCCCTGAATGTGTTTCTCAGGGTGGAGGAACTCTCAGGCCGTACTCTTGGGTGCATTTCCCTAAGGGTGCATCCACACAGAAACTCGAGCTCCCCTTCCTTCCTTCCCAGTCAGCCCGGCCAGTCCACATGTTCCCCGGGTGAGAGTAGCTCCCTCCCAGGGTAAGCGCTTCTCTCTGAGGAGCCTCTGGTTTCTTCCTGCAACGTAAGCCAGCGTCAACCCTCAAGCTGCCAAACTGGCTTTTTCAAAAACATTTCTGTTTTCACCCGGCATGAGCTCATCGGTCGGCAATGTCCGTGTGGACTAATAGCAGGCTAGAGAGGATGTGCCCTGGGCACCCCCCGCCCTGAACCCTGTCCTTAAGTGTCAGTATCATCTTAGGAGCAGAGGCTACAAAGCCACCTTCATCTTCAGGCTGCCCCATTGTCCTGGCACGACTGTGTTTTGATAGCAGACAGCTTTGGAGGATCTCAGAATGCAAACCCAGCAAATCACTTCTGCCACTGGCACCTCGCAGCCCACGAGAAATAAGATCCAGCTCTTTGCCACAACATGAAAGGGACAAGAGAATTACTGGCAAACACGGTTTTTAAAACTCCAACCACATCACAGGAGAGCGCCCCTTGCTCTCCACCTCGATATGGTTTCCGTGCATGTTCATGGAGCGTGTTCTCTTGCCGGCTCAGTGGTTTGACAGAGCTGGGTGTTTATTTCTGTGCTCAGTGTCTGGAAACAGATGTGGGGGATCCAGCGGCCCCTGGATGGCTTTCCTTTGCTGGGGCACCCAGGCCCCAACTCTGCTCTTTGGGCGCTCATTTTGGGAGCTCCCAAACGGAAGCCCTCCCTATCCACTCTCCTTTTCACCCCAAGTGCCATTTCTGGGTCCTCTCGTTGTAAGCCCTGCCGTGCTGTTTTCCTGGCACTTCCCGTCATTCTTTAGTATCTGAGGGTTCTGATGTGTTAATTTCTCAGGAGGCACATTTTCCTCTTAAAATGTTAAAGGAAATAAACTTAGGAGTGGCTATGGTTTACTCATGATTGAGCCACAGTAACAAGTTGTTTAAAGGATGACTGTTTCAATCTGTAGCGAGCACTTGGACTCACTCACCTGCATAATTTTTTTTAATAATTTCCCGTCTAAACCTATCATGACCTGGGTTTTGCTCAGAGAAATTCCATAAAACTAACCTGGTAAATTCATGTTGTCACTCCAGTAAGCAAACTTGCTGAAGTTGACAATAAAAACAAATAGCAATGCTGGCTGAATGTTCGCCATGTACCTGGCTTGTTGACCTGTAGGATTTATTATCTCATTTCAGAGATGAGAAACTGAGGCCCAGAGAGGTTAAGTAACCTGTCCTAGGTCACCCAGCCAGAGGTGGTAATCCAGGACTGGAGGCAGAATCTTGGCTCCATGTCTCGCGCTTACCCTCAGTGCTGGATGTTGAAGTCCTCTCTCTTGTTCCATCCCAGAAAAGAGCAAAGAATAAACTTGCAATTCCACTGACAGATATGCAGATACTGTCTGGAATAGGTCAGTCTTAGAGGCCTTTTTGCACTATTTGCAATTGCTAGGCTTCCCCTGGAAAAATGAAAGTTCACGCTTGAGTGAAAATCTATAGGAACCAACACTAGAGTATACTTGATGTCACACTGGCCTGACTCAGTCCCTGAGTGGCAGCTGCTGGGGGCAGAACACACACCCCAAGCTAGACCAGTCCTGTGGTCTTTAGCAACCCAGTGCGCTGTCTGGGTCCCCAGGTGAGGATCGCCAAGCCCTTCTCTGGTGCCTAAAGGGAAGTTGATGATAGTCAGTGTAATCATCAGTGTTCTCATGTGAACACCAATCCAGCACTCACCATGGGCGGGCACTGTGGTTGCTGCTCTGTGGACACTGACTCCTTTCACTCTAACGCTGGCCCTGTGAGGTAGGAACCGTTATTATTCTTATTTTACAGATGAGGAAACTGAGGCAAGGAGTGATTCAGGGACTTACCCAAGGCCCACTTACTTAACTAGGGTTCAGCAGATGTAGTTGCCTCCTATTTAAAGGGGGCTTGGCTCATTCCTGAAGCAAAGGGGAGCTGGGGTAGCCCGAGCATCCGGAGTGGCTGCCCTGCAGTCTTTCCAGACACACCTGTCCAGGAGCAGCCTGTAAAGGCCAGTCGCTGTGCTGGCCAGAAGTAGATGCCCCCAATTCAGCTGCTGCATTACTGGGTGGCCTTGGCCAAGTCACTGGGCCGTTAGCGTCCGTGCCTGCACCTTGAAGTGGGAATGCAGTCATGGAGCTCAAAGGGTGAGACATCGGGGAGTGCGCTGGGGTTAAAGCCCTGGATCTGAGGAGGGGCCTTCTTCCTTTTTCAATCACCATCTCACTCCACTGACTCTTCCACAAGAATCCAGCCCTGGGCTATGTGTCAGGGCGGCCACTTCCTGCAGAGGCGGATGACTGGCGGTTTCAGCGCTGGGCTCAACTGGGGCCACTTGTCTGAGGGACAAAGGGGTTCTCTTCCACCCCGGCTGGAAATAGAAAAGAATCCCTGCCATTGAGTGGCTGCACACTCGCCCTGGGTAATCACCTCCCTCACCAGCAGGGCAGTCTGCTCCCTTCCGACTCTGCATCCGGCCGGCCGGGCTCTGCAGTGCAGGAGGGAAGGATTGCATCTTTGTGCTGGGGGCGCGACCCTTCTCGGCTCAGTCACTTTCCACAGCCACACTGGCCAGCCTGGCCGAGAAGGAAGAGCCTACATCTTCTCTTTCTCTTTTGTTCGAGGAGGGCAGCTCCCACTGCAGCCACCCCAGAGCCAGCTAACCTTCAGAGAGCTTCCTGGGAACACACAAGCACACACGACTGGCCACACAGCAGAGGCCACTGTGCTACAGATGGAAGATCAGATGCCAGTGTGCGTTCCTTCCCAGCACAGCTTTAAATCCGCCTGGCCTCCAAGGGGCCCTTCAAAGAGGGTGCATGTCTATGTTTTAGCCCACCACCCTGCAGCCCACTTTAGGTGTTTTGAAATAAAAGCAATCCTCACACTCAGAGACAGGCCTCGCTTTACATTTGGTGTCATGCTTTCTGAAGAGGTGCATCTGACTGTGAGGTCTACAGAGCAATGTCCTAGGACTGTGTTCTCTCCCCAACTTCCATCTTTAACAACCTGACAGTGCAAAAGAAAAGCAAGCTATGTCCGAAACAGACATCATCTTGTTATTGCAGGCCCTGGAGACGATGGATACAGGGAAGCCATTTCTTCATGCTTTTTTCATCGACCTGGAGGGCTGTATTAGAACCCTCAGATACTTTGCAGGGTGGGCAGACAAAATCCAGGGCAAGACCATCCCCACAGGTGAGCAAGGTGGATTATAGCTTCATTTGGGATCCCTTTGGGGCTATATCTTTTCATTAATCCAGAGCCCCCCCTGACTGTTTCCCTAAGGCACCATTCCCAACCCCACTCCCTCTCCAAATGGTACTGCCAATTCTTCTTCTAAGAACTTCACTTTTAAAGTTGAGGTCAAATCACTTCTCTGTATAATAGACAAGACTTGAATCTGGCACCCTTGTTGGTTTCTTTCTTGTCTTTTTACTACTTGAAGTTCCTAACCTGGACTAAGTGAGTGTGTCCTTCCCCACCATGTAACCCTCTTCCAGATGACAACGTCGTGTGCTTCACCAGGCATGAGCCCATTGGTGTCTGTGGGGCCATCACTCCAGTAAGTATGGCAGCCTTTCTCAGTAGATTCTATGTAGATCCTGCCCCACTGCCCTGTGTCCTTTGGAATCAATTTCTGGTGTGTTTTTATCTGATTGCACCAGCGTTGAACAAGCATTTTCTTCGTGGCATGGAACTCCATGCTTGGGGGCTCTTGAGATGGATTAGACCCCATTTCTGCTCTCCTAAGACCGGCTTTAGGCATGCCACAGAAAGCACTGTGGTTCCCAGCCAGAGTGGTCAGGAATGGCCAGCATTCCCAGGAAGGTGGTCTCTTAGCTGGGCCTTAAAGATAAGAAAGACTTGTTCAACAAGGAAAAGGATTTTCCAAGGAGTGGGAATGGCCTAGGCAAAAGTGCAGAGGTGGCTGGGCTACTTGGAAGGGAACAGCAGGAAAGCTGGTGGGGCTAGAGCTCAGGCAGGAGCAAAAGTGAGGAAAAGGGTGAGCACACGTGGCAGGTGGTGTGGGCCAGCTTCCAGCAGCTTTGGCTGCTAAGGGGCCGGGACTTTATTCATTGGGCGGTGGGGATGCTTATAGGTGCCCAAGAAGTGCAACAATGCTGCCTGTCTGTTTGGGAAGCCTCTGGCCATTGCAACAACAGCCAGGCAGGAAGCTGAAGAGCCAGGTGGCAACATGAAGTGAGGGTTCAAAAAGTGCCCATGGAGGCAGGGAGGAGGACACGTCTTCAGCAGATGTTTTAGAGGGAGAGGTAGAACACATGCAACAGCATCCTCTTTGCAAAGGCTGCCTATTAGTACCACCCAGAATGCAGTTTAGGAAGTGCTGTGCAGGATTGCAGTTCTGATCATTGCACACTCCTATGTTACCCCACATACCCCAAATCCAGACCATGAAAAGCAAGTGTCCTCCACAAAGGCATCGTTGAGCACATGGGACAGGGTAAGAGGGTGGATCTGGGCCTCCAAAGCCCCTGTGCTCTGTCGCAGTGGAACTTCCCCCTGCTGATGCTGGTGTGGAAGCTGGCACCCGCCCTCTGCTGTGGGAACACCATGGTCCTGAAGCCTGCGGAGCAGACACCTCTCACCGCCCTTTATCTCGGCTCTCTGATCAAAGAGGTGAGACATCCAAAAAGAAAATATCACATGTTCTTGGTAACATTCCCACTCCTAGGAACCAGGCCACCGTCACGAGATGGGACAGTGGCAGACTGCTGGCAATCGAGTGGGAAGGGAATGACTTCCAGTGTTTTGTTTGGCGACTGCACGTTCTTTCTCCTGCTTGTGGCCACTGAGCTGGAGAAACTCCATTCCTCCCAGTGGTCCTAATGAGAATGCTTAACTCTTATTATGGGCTCAAACCTATGGTTGAGGACCCAGTGGTTTGTCTAGAGAATTTTCAGGGGGGGTCAACCAAGAGGGAGCCAAATATTTGGGAGGTTCTCTGGGATTTGCATTCTCAGTTTATGAAATGGTCCATTTTTCTCTGGAGAGGTGGCCTCGTCAGCTCTAGCTGGGCGGCTGCAGCAGTCCGTGTGCCGGGTCCCTGCTAATCAGTGCCCTCTGCTCTGAATGCAATCTCTTCTCCCTCAGGCAGCCAGAACTTAGGGAAACAGAGGCTCAATGGGACACCTCCTTCCAGACATACCTTTAGTCATTCCATCCCCAGGTTGTATGGAGCAAAGATTTAGAGAAAGCAACAGGAAGCAAAGAGGGACAGAAGAAAAGATCCATTCCTTTCTCTTCTTAGTCGGGCTGATATGACCGGCAGGCAGGTCCACAGTTGCTTAGAAGCAAGGTGGGAACAGCTGGTGATGAGCCAATTTTCCACTTTCCTTTGGTGATGTGGGGCATAATTAAGTCACACTGGTGAGACTTAGGAATGTGAAAATCCCAACTGTTAAGAAACAGTGCCTAAAAATCTAAAGACTCAAGCAGCGTGCCTAAAATCTTGATTTTCTGAAATAATGTGTTCTAAGTAAGACTCAGCACAGGTGGGGAAGAGCATCCTCCACCTCGTTTGTTTTGTGTTCTCGCCTGATAAAGAGGCTTAGTATATGAAAAACACGAGGCATGAACGTGAACGAGGTGGCAGTCCCTGCCTTCCAGAAGGGCTTGCTCCAGGTGAGACCCAGGTTGAACAAGCAAAGAACTTTAAGGGAGTGATACCCTGTCACCATTTGGAATAATAACGGGTCTGATTAAAAAATGAAAACTGGGCTCACGCCTGTAATCCCAGGACTTTGGGAAGCCGAGGTGGGTGGATCACGAGGTCAGGAGATCGAGACCATCCTGGCTAACACAGTGAAACCCCATCTCTACTTAAAAAAAAAAAAATTAGCCAGGCGTGGTGGCGGGCACCTGTAGTCCCAGCTACTCAGGAGGCTGAGACAGGAGAATGGCGTGAACCTGGGAGGCGGAGCTTACAGTGAGCCAAGATCGCGCCACTACACTCTAGCCAGGGCGACAGAGCAAGACTCCATCTCAAAAAAAAAAAAAAGAAGAAAAAACAAAACTGAAGCTCTTGGCAGATATTTTGCAGGTGCCTCTGATCCTGGGCAGGGCATTCTGATCAAGGTACCCCTCTCCCCTTAACGCATACACACACTCTCCCTCACACACACACACACCCCACATGGAAAGGTGCTGTGCTACAGGCGGGCCATGGCCACCTTGAAGCATAACCACACATTTGCACTGCATATCACTTTGGGATGGGGTCCCCCCCCAGAAGGAGAAGTGGGCATCTCCCCTTGCCCAGCCTGCACACTGGGCTGGCAGCAGGGGATGAGAAGCCCAGGTCAGCTCCCAGGGTGCCCACGGTCAACTGCTTCTGGGTCCTGGGTAAATCCAGCCCGGCCCGGGTTCCCTGTGGGGATGTGAGGCAGCCACGGCTCTCTCGGCCCAAATGTGGATCCGTGGTGGATGAAGTCCGTTCTTCTTCAAGTGCTATCTTGATTTCTTCCCAGGCCGGGTTCCCTCCAGGAGTGGTGAACATTGTGCCAGGATTCGGGCCCACAGTGGGAGCAGCAATTTCTTCTCACCCTCAGATCAACAAGATCGCCTTCACCGGCTCCACAGAGGTAACCCTCCTCACAGGGTGCTGGGGAAAGTGAAAGGGGCGTGTTATTTGACACCCGTGAGCTTTTCCTTTGACAGGCTTTAATATGATTTGTTTTTCTTCTAAATTTGACCATGTTTTAGTACATAACAACCAGTTAAAAAAAGTCACTGGTCTAGTTTCCAAACTAAATAAATATCTAATAGAACTCAGAAGCCTTAGAAGAAAAGATTGAGAGATAAGATAAAGTAGAAATGTAAAATATTCATCTGTCAAACACCATAATTAAGATTAAGAGATAAATAACAAGCTCAGAGAAAAATAGTCGTGATGCATGCAGTGCTCCAAGAATTTATATCCGTCATATGCAAAGTGCTCCTACAAGTCAATGAAAAAAAAAAACCAAACTGAATGGTAGAAAAATGGGCAGTTCAGAGAATAGAAATACGACGTGCCCATTAAGCTTAAACTAGTTTGCTGGTAATCAGGAAAATGCAAATTCAAACAAAATCAGACTTTCCTTTTGCCTGCCAGATTGCTAAGAACTGAAATGATACTGCTGAGAATATGGGGAAGCAGGTGCTCAGCGACACTTGCCCTAAGATGCACAGTGTTTTGGTAGCACTCATCCAACATTTAAAGTGAAAAACTTTTCGATTCAGAAGCTCCATTTCAAAAAAAGAAAAAACTACTTAGAGAAATTTTCTCATGAGGCTTCAGGGACATATTTTCAAGGATATTATATTCATTCTCTGGAATGTTTTACAGCCGTTACAACAAGGAAAGCTGTCCATGATCTATTGTTGAAGCACAAAACAGCAAACGGTAGAAAATTACCCACAATATTTTCCCATTCGTAGAGGTGTGTGCTTGTAGAAGTAGAAATTATCTGGAAGGATTCCCAAGAAATCCTTACTGATGGCCACCTATGGGGTGGGCTCGGGGCAGAGCCGGAGGGAAGCTGAAGGCTTTCTCCCTGTAATTCACATACATCTCTATGTGGAATTACTTTTAATGAGAAAGTATTTCTTCTGTACTTAAAAAAGAAAAAAACACCCGCTGCAATCAGTGTCCCCATCCCCCTCCTTAGTTAGTCCAAGCCCTGGTGGATGCTGTTACTCTCCTTGGAGACAGACACTGCCCTGTGGATGGATTCCAGACCTCATTCAGCCATCACCCATGAGCTTGCTGATGTTTAAAATGCGCTCACACCTTAGCATTGGAGAAAACAGTCTCAGACCCGGAAGAGCCTGGGCCGCGCCTTGCTAGCTTCTGGCTCTAGGCCTCCGTGTCTGCACTGGTCTCTGAGGATCTTCCCAGCTCTGAAGTTCGTGGTGCTGGGCTTTACTTGTTGCCCTAGATAAGTCACCGAGTCATGCTGGGCCAGCCCTCCCCTCCAGGGGTACAGTGGGCAATGGGAGAGACCCCGTGGGGGCCTTGAGCATGACTGGTGAGTGGCTTTTCTGCTCATAGCGCACCCCTTCACTCCCTGCCTGTCTGCGGCAGCCTCAGTCTTAGAGTGTGTTTCCAGAGAATCGGCTCCTTCTCATCCGGAAGGCTGGCTGCCCTCGCTACTTCTCTAACACTTGGAGGTTCCCTCAGATCACACCAAAGAGCCACACAGAACCACCCCCCTACTGGGCTGTTGGAATTTCAGCTGTTTCTAGTGAGAGGTAGAAGAGTCACCCTGCGGTCCCTGAAGCCCTTTACCAGACTGGCTGGACCAGCCTGCTGGGCTCAGAAGGACAGGCACCAGGACAGGTTAGCGGGTGGCAGCCCTGTTCCCAGCCAGCTGTGTGGGCTTCCAGAGGCTCTAACTCACACCTGTAAGTGGAGCGGCTTAGACCAAGGATCCCAGGATGTCATGGTCTGGCATGGGAGGAGATGCTGGCAGAGGCCAGGACAGTGAAGGGACGGCATCGGGGCCTGGAGCGCCTGGGCCGAGAGCCAGGTGGTGGCACTGCCACCCGGGCTTGATCAGAATGTTCACTGATGTTTACGCCTGGGCCAAGTTCAGCAACATCCAAGGTAAATTGTGATCTGTGTTCTGTCCTGGAGGTTGGAAAACTGGTTAAAGAAGCTGCGTCCCGGAGCAATCTGAAGCGGGTGACGCTGGAGCTGGGGGGGAAGAACCCCTGCATCGTGTGTGCGGACGCTGACTGTGAGTCTCTGCCCTCCTGGGCTTTGCTGGGGCTTCAGGGCATCCATCTGTCTCCCCCTACTTCCTGGCCTGAATTCAAAACCAACTGAGAGTAAGATGTGTGCACACACAGTGGGGACGCTTCCACCGTGGGCATCCTGCCCACAGTCAGCCAGCCGCAGACAGGCAGGTGGACATCAAAATGCCAGCTTTACTTCTAGCAGAAAGCTGCCTTCTACTGCCAAAACGATATGGCTTGAGTGGCACCTGAGAGGCTGCCTGTTTCTGCGCCTTAGCGTTAAGTTTACCTGCCTGTTCCTGCAGAGCTGGGGTCACGAGGAGCAGGTCTGGCTTCTCCTCCAGAGCCCCCTGGGAGGAGTGGGGAGGGCAGGTGCTGCCCACTCCCAGTCATTCATTCTCCCCTCCAAGTCACATTTCCTATCATATGTTTTAAGATCCCTGAAGAGTGGAGGTGCTCTTTCCTTGTGTCTCAGACCTGATAAATCAGAGGAGGGCAGTAGCAACTGATCCTTCAAATTACCCGCTTTGCCTGGTTCTAGGCCTGCACCCCTGCCCTGGGAAAGCAACCTGCCCAGCAGTTTGGGGATAGCTTGCGTCTTGACAGCCAAACGACACAGCGTTAAAATATATGCTATTGTTGGCTGCCATGTCCACAAGAGGGAAGGAAGGGCTGGCCGGGCATTCATTCACCTGCTGACAGGGTCAGCTATCAAAAGGTGTGACTTCCCAAGTGCCTTGAAACACCTTTGCCTTAAAGAATAGCCTCCCAGACCTGTCCACGGGTGCCAGAAATTCCTGTCGTGGAGAACAAAGCCTTTCACTTCACACTCAGATAAGGTTGGAATTGCAAATATCCCCAAGAAAAATGACCCTGGCACAATTTCTTACTAAGGTGTAAATGACTGATATCAGTTCCTTTCTGGCAGCTGGCTTTCACAATGGGAGAAAGGACAGGAGGAGGATACAGGCTCTCAGGAAGGAAAGGGGAGCTGGGTGTGAAGATGGACTTTCCATTTCTTGCCTGGGTCAGTGTTCCCTTGTGGAAGCACCATTAGTGCTATGAATAGCAAGTGGTTTTTGGAGCCACACGGAGCATTTCTGGCACTGTGACTCACATTTGGAGTCCCAAACAGCCAGGACTCCTGTTTTGCTTTCCTGTGCCACCGTATCTGGATACGCCACCTGCACTGAAGTTCATCTTCCTCCTCTTGGGGAGGAAAACTGCAGCTAAAGCACAGGACTAATTGTGTTTGGGGCTTGGTTTTACTTACGAGGGTCATAAAAACATGCTGTGTAGCCACCTCCTTCTCCTCATCAGGGCGGTGCCAGTCCACAAATTACATCCTGACATAACCAGCATCCCAGGCAAGACATCAAGGGTAACAAGCCACCATTCCCCTGCCCCTTCGCCTCACCCCTAGCTCCGTCAGGAGCAGGAAATGAGTCTGTTATCTCGGAGGAGGGGCAGTTCCAAGTTGGGACCTGGCCCAGCCAGCTGCAGGGGTCAAGGGTGCAGAGAGGTACCCCCAAACCTTATGGTGCTGTCCTGCTGCCACTGAAACTTCCACAAATGACTCAGCTAGATAGGAGCAGCCTCCTTCTCAAAGCCAAGGGCACAGTCCCTTGGAGCAGCCCCTGTGGAATTGGAACGGATCACCTTCCAATGCCCAGAGCCACTGCCAGCCTCTATGCAAAGGAAAGCTGCATTTCTTAAGAAAGCAATAGTGCGGGGGTTGGTGGTGATGAAACCAGCCAACGGTTGAACACTAGAAACCCCTCTGTAGATGTAAATGACATCCCAATACCATTCTTATCCACTAAGCGTGTCCCCCAAGATCTTATTCTCTAAATACCCTCTGGCTTGGTTTGAATAACTGGTTTTAGTTCAATGTCAGCTCTGCAACTTAGTCAGCCCTTCTAAGTCACACACATGATATTATCTTACTTAATAAGACCCTTCTTTTACTCAAGGTGGAACATTTTGGCTTCTTTAGAAGTTCTCGCCAGGGGGCCTACATCAATAATTACCGAAGTTTATTCTATAAAACATTAGTCCTCTAGAAAAAGGGGAGGGGAGGGGAGTCCTCTAGAAAAAGGCAAGTGAAATGGAGGGTGCTATGACTCTCTGGACTTATTAGCATATTAAAGGTACTGAGAAGTCCTGCAGTCAGGGAATTGATTTAACCCCAAACTTGGTGGACCCCAAAATCCTTTCTCCCTTCCTCTCTATTTGGGAAAGTCTGCAAACAAAATTAATTTCTGAAATGCAGCCATCCTGGGGCCTGTTTTCTTGTGTGGGCAATTAGAATTGCAGCTGTCACCAGTCCTGCTTTAACAACTTAATCGCTTCCTCTCGCTCTGCCCGCCTCCCTCGCCCCTCCCCCTCCAGTGGACTTGGCAGTGGAGTGTGCCCATCAGGGAGTGTTCTTCAACCAAGGCCAGTGTTGCACGGCAGCCTCCAGGGTGTTCGTGGAGGAGCAGGTCTACTCTGAGTTTGTCAGGCGGAGCGTGGAGTATGCCAAGAAACGGCCCGTGGGAGACCCCTTCGATGTCAAAACAGAACAGGGGCCTCAGGTAATCCCCCTGGTGTGTGTGAAACCATGGTGCTTGTCTAGGGGCTGAAGCAGGCAGTCCCATGGCAACCGCCTACAGGGTCCCTCTCCGTGAAAGGAATGCTGACCTGTCCTGCCCAGGAGGCTTTCTTTTCTTTAGAAACTGATCAGAAACACAATCCTGTCAGGTCCCGGGGGCTCACGAAAGGGGGCAGGACACACTGAGGCATGGGAGGAGGGCGCTATTCCCAGGGCAGAAGGCCATCTGCCTGAACCCTCCACTCTCCAGGATGACCTCCCTACAGAAAAGGGGCTGTAGGCTGGCTGAAGGCAGCAGAGTGCAGGCAGCGTGTGGCCTGGAGTCTCAGTCGCAGCCCGAGGCCCTCAAGCCCACGTGGGTTACAGGACAAGGTGAACCATCAGAAATCAAACAATCCCAGACGGAGAGAGCCTGGGGCAGGAGAATGTATCTCCAGGCAGTAGGAACATGTCTCTGGAGGATGAGTTTGGGAAGCCAAGGACAGGATGAAAATGATCATAACCACGAGATTTAATATCCTCTTTAAAACGGCACATCCTGTATCACTTTCTTACTAATTATGAAGTGAAGCAGATGGATAAATATTTAAAAGAGGGCAGCCTGACCATCCCATGCATTATTGAAATGGAGCTCAGCAGTCACTCACTTTGCTTTTAGCCAAAGTCCTGCCCCAGCCATGAAATTTCAAGTCACATGTCCGTGACTTACCCACTTGTGTCTATCCCGGGAGGCTGCCACTTCCCCTACTGTGACAGCACTGCATGTTTACAGGGGAGGCTGCTGTGGATCTGAGCTCAGATTTGGCCCTGGGTTTTATGAAAGTCACAAAAACCCTTCCATGCCTCAGTTTCCTCATCTGGAGAGTGGGAGTAATCAATGAATATTATGAGAATTTCATGGCACCTAGGAAGTATTCAATTATGGGCAGGTTTTATTTTTAAACAGGAGGAAGCTTTAAATGACAGGTTCTCCAGTCTAGGTGGCAGTGAGTGTCTGTGCATGACATCAGGCTGTCCTGTGGGGATGCCCTGGCTGGGGAAGAAGGGAGGGCCTCATGGAGGAAGGATGCATTTCTGGCCATCAGTGCCCACCCTCCACTGGCCCCAGTCCACACACTCCGACGCCACGTGACCCTGGCAGAAAGCACTTCTTGTGGCTAACATTCCTTCTCCTCAGTCATTGCCTGCCCAGCCTGTGCCCCAAACCCAGCGGTCAGTGACACAAGGTTGTCTAATGGCCTCGGCTGGATTTCAGATCTGAACGCAAACATGACCACAAGTCATTATTGAATCCGCCGTGAGTTTTAAAGCTAATCCACAATCAGTGGGAAATATGTGAACTGATCCCCATACAGAAGAAACTTTTTTACCCCGTCGTTATTTGTAAGTCTCTTTCTGTGGCTCTTTTCTTGGCTTATGCCTGATGTCTGAGTCTTGACTTTTGAGGCCAGATACACCGATTTCTTCCAAGAGAACAGATAGAGGCAGAATGGGTGCTGATTTCATCAGTGCATTTATGCCACCGCTCAAAGTCCTTCTGAAAGCTCACTAAAGCCGTCTAACCTCAGCATATTATTTTAGAATGCTGTTGGGGTTTCTTTTTCTTCCAAAGTGCTTTTTCATCTACGGTAATAAGATTTTACTCTGAGAGGACTTACAGCTGTCTAAATAGTCCTGTCTGTCTCATGCCTGTAAAACAGCTAGCTGACCTAGATCCGGGTCCACGGCCGGGCTAGCGCTCACAGGAATGCTCCAAAATCATTCAGGTTTATTTGGCAACTGAGCAACGAGGCACATAAACATTATGCAGGCCACCTGGCCGGGCAGGATCCGGCAGCGTCCTCCGGGCAGAGAGCCGAGCACAGCCTTGAGCCAGTCCTGTGGGGGCCGTATTTCCCTGTTTCTGGTGTTGTGCCCTGCTGCGTCATCTCACTTCCTGGCAGGTCTCTCTTCCTGTACTGTAAGGCACCAGCTGACATTTCATGGAGGATTATTAGATTTAAACAATGTGTTCCTACGGGCTCTCCAGGGAGTGTGGAGTTTGGATGTGTAGGTTTTCCACGGGGACCCAGCACTGCCTGCAGGACAAACAGGGTCTGCCAGATGGCATATGCCCAGCAGCCAGGGAGGACCTGCGGTTGGGCGAAGCCCCTGTGTCCCTTTTGGCCCCTCAGGGAGGGGAAGAGCAGCTCAGCAGCATCTGGAACTGTTAACCTGAGACTTGGTTCACCCAGAGAGAAGTTGAGAGAACCTTGAGCTCTTCCGGGATCTGTTGCAAAGCTGTTTTTGTTACTTTTTTTGAGTGGAGTACACATACACGGGTCAAACCCCAAAACGCCTAAAAACGTCTATAGTGAAAGGATTCCCGCCCCTCCCGCCCCCACCTTTGTACACCTGGTTCTTACCCTTCTCCCCACGGTATCCCCAGTTCTTAGTTCCTCATGTTTCCCTCTAGAATGTTTTCGTGTGCATGCAAGCAGATGAATGCAAGTCCTGATTGCCTTTGTTATTTTTACACGGAAGTTTCCATGATAGTATATCATCTTGCACTTTGTTTATTGTTCCCTAAAAAAACTGGAAGAGCTCTTTATACCAGTCCATGGGAACCTGCCTGATTCTTTTTCACATGTGTATGGAATTCTGCTGGATGAAGCCACCAGAATTTCAGTAACATCTTCTGATTAGCATGCAGGTATGTGCAGTCACACACAAGGCCTCAGAGTATGTGATTTCACACACACACAAGGAAATCCCTGGGACAGCTTTCCCAAAGTGGGTTGCTAAGTGGGAACACATTTCTAATTTCCTTAAGTGTTGCTGAATTACCTTCCATAGAGGCTGAACCAACGTGTATTCCTACTAACATTCTAGAAGTTTGTCTGTTTCTTTACCCTTTCCAACAGAATATGGATTTTTGCCCATAGGAGAGTTAAAAATGCTATCTTGTTTCATTTTAATATGCATCTACCGCTTATAATAAGCAAGGTAGAACATCTTATTATATATTTAAAAACCGTTTGTATTTCCTTTATTATCAAATGTGCTTTGCGTATTTTTCTTGCAAGCTGTTAGGCATTTTTCTTATCACTTCTAAGACCTCTTTACATACATAGTAGAGAGATTAGCTTTCTATGAATATGACTTGTTAATATTTTTTCCAAGTTTGTTGTTTTGCTCTTTGTTATGATAATTTTGCCCCCACCCCATTTTTTTTACATACTCAAAATTATACATCTTTTCTTTTTTGGCTTCTGCATTTTGAGTCATTAGAAGGCACTCCAAGTTTGCAGGATAAGTCTCCCACATATAAAACTTTTATGGTTTTGTTTTTCCTGGTTATATCTTTGATCTATTTGGAGTTTGGCCTGGTATAAAGTGTGAGGTATGGATCTGAGTTAGTATTTTTAAACTGGGTTTGGAGTTTGGCCTGGTATAAGGTGTGAGGTATGGATCTGAGTTAGTATTTTTAAACTGGGTTTGGAGTTTGGCCTGGTATAAGGTGTGAGGTATGGATCTGAGTCAGTATTTTTAAACTGGGTTTGGAGTTTGGCCTGGTATAAAGTGTGAGGTATGGATCTGAGTTAGTATTTTTAAACTGGGTCCATATTTCATGAGATGATTGGTCAAGTGGCATGCACGGTTTATGCCCTCTCTCCTGCTCCTCCAGGACAGACCGTCATCCAATTGCACCACTGGGTTTGCTTCTTTTTCTGTTTATGATCATTGGAATGAAACCAGTTTTCCCATCTAAAAATCCCAGCTAAAGTAAACCTAGTAAAGCTTTGTCTCTCCCAGCCAAAGAGGAGGGAGACCAGCCACAGATCATGATAAAGGACAAGATTCCCATAGATTTCAGGAAGAAGGACCAGTGGAGGGGGCAGAAAGAGCATTTTCCCTCTTGAGCAGTCTCCCAAAAGGGTGCGCTTTTGACAACTGCTCAGTAGCGTGTTCACAAGCTGTGGGTCAGGCTGGTGGCACAGGGCAAACTCCAGCCAAGGAGACGTCTAGACAAGATAGCAAAAGGGAGAGTCTTTCTCATGAGCTGTTCCCACCACCAACCAAGGAGCAGCCCTGCCACCCCACCTGGAGGCTCATTCTGCTTTGTCCCCAGGGGTGTTGAGTAAGGTGGTTAGCTTTTCTTCTCGCTTCTCTGCACCATGACAGGAGAATTCCAGTAACTATTACCCTGATTCACGGTGCCAACTGAGCAGGGCACAGGGTTGCCAGGTGATACATGGCACCCAGGTAAACATGAATTTCAGATAAACAGTAAATGCACTTTTAGCTTAAGTATATCCCAAATATTGTTTTGGGACATACTAAAAAAAATTATGTGTCATTTTTCTGAAATTCAGATTCACTGGGCATCCCGTATTTTTATTTGCTAAATTTGGCAACCTGAGTAGAATGTAAAGAGTTGGGAGAAGAAAGACTGTGACCACTTCAGACCTGTGTCACTCATGGACTAACTTTGCTGCATGGAAAAGGGAGATAGAAGTGTAAATATGTCCCAAACCTCCAGAGGATGAGACTAGTCTATCTCCCCATCTCTCCCCTGCTCCAAAGAGCCCAGCTCTGTGCATCAGAGGAATATTTGCCTGCAAGGCTCATTAGTTACATGGATCATGGCTTGACAAGAACATGCAGAGGGAGGATGGCTGATCATGTTGAAGGCCACTGAAAACATGAGATGGCAGCCACTGCCCAGAAGGAAGCCAGGCTGTACTTCTTGTTTGTGTCTTGCAGATTGATCAAAAGCAGTTCGACAAAATCTTAGAGCTGATCGAGAGTGGGAAGAAGGAAGGGGCCAAGCTGGAATGCGGGGGCTCAGCCATGGAAGACAAGGGGCTCTTCATCAAACCCACTGTCTTCTCAGAAGTCACAGACAACATGCGGATTGCCAAAGAGGAGGTACAAGGGGGCTGTGGCAAGGCTACGACTTGCGGGGCCTTTCAAACACGAGTCCTTCCCTAGGGCCCAGGGATCCCAGAAATCCTTGTGATCTGAGTGTTTTTTTGTTTTTGTTGCTGTTGTTGTCGTTGTTGTTTTTTCTGTGTGGTCTTTCCCCTCTCCTTTGGGGTCCCTAGGGAAGCCGTTTTGTCCTGCCTCTGGCGAACTCCAAGCATGATACAGCAGGTACCTTGTTTGTTCTAGCTAGTTTTCACTCATGGCTCACCCTCTCTGGGAGCAGCAAGCCCTCTCTGATTTTCTAACACAACCGGTCCCCGAGTCAGTCATGCAGCCGCAGGTGGAGAACTGTTGCCACCTGTGGGTTTTGCCAGGAATCAGTTCAAGAACCTGTGGATTCAGGGCCCAAAGCCGCCTTCAGTGCCCCTAGACTGAATTTCAAGTGTTCACTCAAGGAACATGTCACAGCTGGAATTTTTATTGACATTTTCCACCACGGACGTCTTGAAAATGAGGGAAATTAAGGAGACTCCCCCACTCCCATAAGAGTGTAAATCTTTCTCTTTCAACTCCACTGTTACACTAGACGGGAACTGGTTCCCACACAGCATTTGTAAGAGGAGAGCTGGATCCCAGGAGGTTAGACCCTGGAGGTGGTATTTTGGGGCACATAAAAGGATGAGTCCCTGCCAAGGGCTTTCTGGGGCAGGTATTTCAGAGGCGTCTTCCTTGAGATTGTTATGTGCCGTGATGGCATGAAGCTCAGCTCCTTAAACATCCCTGTGACGAGAGGTCCTGGGGAACCCGGAAGGTATTTTGGCAGGCCAGGCACCATCCTGCCGGCTTATAATTATGTCTAATATTGAATCAATTACAAGCTCCCTTCAAAATCACCTTTAAATGTTCAAGCCTTAGTTCTTCCATTTCCTTTTCTTTGCTGTGTCACAAACTGTGGTGAATATTGTGTCATTCCTTCCCCTGGTAGTTATTATGGAAACGTTCTAGGGTGTCTTCCTTGGTAGAAAACACAGCTCCAAGAGGTAGGAGCACAGTCTTACAAAGTGCCTGCAGATATCCTTCAGGACAACTCCGAAAAAAGTTACCTAAAGGTTTTGTGTTCTGTGCATCTATGGGTTACTCCAAGGCTCTCTGGCTGGGTTTCTCGGAAACCCTGATGACAACAAGACATCTTAAACACAACATATATTTTTTGTTATTATTTTTTATTTTTGTTTCATGTTAATCCTTCCCTTCAGTCTCCAATGGCAATGCAGCTGAAGCAATGTTTGGACGTTCTTTCTTCTCTAATCATCGTTTTTCAGGCATGTGTGTGCTCTGGGCATATGAAAAACATGTAAAGAGAAGGAAATGCTTGTTCACAGCATGCATTTCCATTCAGTCATGCCTCTCATTGCCATTCTTGCAATTAATCATAGATTTTCGGGCCAGTGCAACCAATACTGAAGTTCAAAAGTATCGAAGAAGTGATAAAAAGAGCGAATAGCACCGACTATGGACTCACAGCAGCCGTGTTCACAAAAAATCTCGACAAAGCCCTGAAGTTGGCTTCTGCCTTAGAGTCTGGAACGGTCTGGTGAGTTGACTGTGTGTGTATTTCAGCTCTCCTGAGTTGCTTCTTGCTAAGTTCATTATTCTTCTATTAACTGAGAGTTTCTCATTGTTTACATTGTATATTATATACCAAGCCCTGTCTCAGTGCTTCCTTCCATCCTCATGACCATCTTCTGAGGTAGCTGCCATTATGTCTCCATTTCAGAGATGAGAAAATTGAGGCACAGAGAGATGAAGTGACTTGCCCAGGGTCACACAGCTAGCAGATGGCCGAGAGGGCTCCAGTACCTGTGCCTGTGGCCCCTGTGCTGTACTGCCCCTCCAACTTTATTTTCCATTCTGATTCTAAAAGCAGTTCATGCCCATCTGCAAAATGTGGATACTAGTCTCTGCCTCATCAGTAATTCTGCAGATTATGTTTTGTGATCCCCATATTAAAGATTAATGAATTGAGGCTCAGAGAGGTTGAGCAATAAGCCCAGAATCATATAACCAGGAAGCAGGAGAACTTTGGGGTCAGTTCTGTCTCATTTCAAAGCTAATTCTTATTCCTCTACACCCTGATTTTTCTTTTTCTTTCTTTCTTTCTTTTTTTTTTTTTTTTTTTTTTGAGATGGAGTCTTGCTCTTTCCCCCAGGCAGGAGTGCAGTGGCACACTCTCGGCTCACTGCAACCTCCACCTCCCAGGTTCAAGCAATTCTCCTGCCTCAGCCTCCCCAGTAGCTGGGACTACAGGTGCACGCCACCACGCCCAGCTAATTTTTGTATTTTTAGTAGAGATGGGGTTTCACCATGTTGGTCAGGCTAGTCTTGAACTCCTGACCTCAGGTGATCCATCCATCTCAGCCTCCCGAAGTGCTGGGATTACAGGCATAAGTCATCATGCCTGGCCCTCTCTTCTTTTTTCTCCCCTTATCATTTCATTCCTATCCCAATGAAACACACTCTGTACTTGAGGATTTCCAAATTTTAGTTGCTGATGAGAAGAATGAGAAGACAAAAGTTGAGAGCACCCTGTGTTTTCATCAAGGAAGCTTTGGCAAAAGACTGTTTATTAGACAATGCCCTGCACTGGGGGCTAAGTGGCTGCAGTGCCAGGAGCCAGGGGGTCTTCTCCAGATGACTCTGAGCTTTCTTCCATTCTTTTCTAGGATCAACTGCTACAACGCCCTCTATGCACAGGCTCCATTTGGTGGCTTTAAAATGTCAGGAAATGGCAGAGAACTGTAAGTGTTTCCATCATTCTGAGCCTGCCGTGGGCTGAACACTAGATCCACTAGATTTGCAGGCAGTGACACAGGCTCCAATCTGCTGACACCCCGTCCCCCCCACACCGCCGCTCTGTCTGGGCCAGCTGTGTCCCTCTAGGGTTGGTGGGGACCCATCCCTTCCTCTCTCCAGCCCACCCTTCCCACTTACATCCTCAGCCTGCCCCCCTCCAGGCCTCGGCTTTTGTGTCTGCCCAGCAGCCATCATGCTGGGGACATTCAGTGGATATTTGACAAAAGCTCCCTGGACGGGGACACAGGCAGAACTGAAAAAGTGTACTTTTGCCAGATGTGGGGTGTCATTATTCACACAACTCCCCACTCACAGCAGTGAAGACAGGTAAGGCTGACCCAGGTAAGGCTCCTACCTGCTGGGTCCTTTTTTCTGAGCCTAGTAGGGGACCTCCTCCCAGGAGGCATATGACAACACCTCCTGCTGGGCCTCTGCGGCCCTCTCAGTATATGCAAGCCTACTGCAAATCCCTCCACATGCGTGTGCAAACCCACTGCAAACCCCTCCATGCGCGTGCAAACCCACTGCAAACCCTCCACGCGTGCATGTAAACCCACTGCAAACCCCTCCGTGCGTGTGCAAACCCACTGCAAACCCCTCCACATGTGTGTGCAAACTCCTCAGTGTGTGAACCCACTGCAAACTCCTCCGTGTGTGTAAACCCACTGCAAACCCTCCACGTGTGCATGTAAACCCACTGCAAACCCCTCCGTGTGTGTGCAAACCCACTGCAAACCCCTCCACATGTGTGTGCAAACTCCTCAGTGTGTGAACCCACTGCAAACTCCTCCGTGTGTGTAAACCCACTGCAAACCCTCCACGTGTGCATGTAAACCCACTGCAAACCCCTTTGTGTGTGTGCAAACCCACTGGAAACCCCTCCACTGTGTGTGCAAACCCACTGCAAACCCCTCCACATGTGTGTGCAAACTCCTCAGTGTGTGAACCCACTGCAAACCCCAGTGTGTGCAAACCCACTGCAAACCCCTCCACATGTGTGTGCAAACTCCTCCGTGTGTGTAAACCCACTGCAAACCCCTTCGTGTGTGTGCAAACCCACTGCAAACCCCTCCACTGTGTGTGCAAACCCCTCCACACTTCCTTTTTTGTCCTGCCTGCTGGGAAAATGAGTTCCCTAGGTTTAGATTAATGGGTGGAACTTCTTGCGTCTGGCCCACACCCAGAGCTGGCTAGAGCAACCCGGGAGTGGAGATGTGTGGTTTCCAGCCGGACACTGTCTTCTCTCCCCAGCTCAGGATTTTATTAGCCTGTGTGGACAAACATTTTGTAGGATCAGTGTTCCCAAGGAACCATCTGTGACAACACCCCAGGTTCCTGGGACATCTCTAGGGACCCAAACTCTTCCTTTTATTTCACTAGTCTGTCCTATTTATATACAAATGTAGTCCCTTGTTTGCACTTCTTCCAGCGGGAACAGACTCAAACGCTTCCCCTCACCTTGGGCCTTGGTTGGGGCCTTTGTGTGGCTCTCTTTTGAGATTCTTAAAGATGCTGTGAAGGGATGGGCCTGGCTTCCATCCCCAAACAGATGTTCTTGACCAGTCTATGTGGAATTGGGGTCCTGTCCCCCTCCCACCTCAGTCCTGCTTTGTAGTCCATCCCTGACTCTCAGCAAATACTCCAAGGCGTCTGCACTTGTGAGTGAAGCCTGTCCATTAGCCTTCCCCCTTATCCCTGTGGCTGGCTTCGCCTTCAGCGGACATCAGTAATTGTTGGCCATGAAACCCCTTTGCAGAAATTGCATTTCCTCCCTCTAGTGGCCTGTTTGCATTTGAGTTCTGTGAGCCCCTGCTTCATCACTTCTTACACCTGCCCCTCCAGGGACAGGCAGCCAGGGCTGGGGTCACCAGGGTCCCCTCTTGGGCCCTCCAACAGCAACAGTACTGGCAACAGCTGGGATTTGCTGAGCACAGACTCTGCAGCAGGCTCGGTTGAGCTCTCTATGCCTGTTCCTTCATACCATCCTCACGCCCATCCATGAGATGGGTCCAGCTGTTTTCAGATGAGAAAATGGCACAGGAAGCTGGTAAGTGACAGTCAGAAATGAATGCTGGCAGCTTAGTCCTTGGACCCACCGCAGTGCAGGACCTTGCTCAACAGGGATCACCCTTGTCCGCCACCTGTTCATGAGGCCACCCAGGGTTTGCGTGGTCATTTGTCTCCTTTCATCTGCTGCCTTCAACCAGCTGGGTCATTAGGGCTGGGGAACCCAGACCCCACACAGTCCTCCTCCCAGACGCCAGACACAGCCTCACGCCACAGCAAGGACTCCAGTCCCCGAAGCAAATGTCCCTGGGCGTAGAAGCTGCAGGGCCCCCAATCCCTGGTGTGTACTGCTTTGCACTGGTGATTCACCCTCATTGCAACCTTCCCTCTTGCCACCCTAACAGTGCTTTTGGCTCCTTAACACCCCCTCGCCTGGCACAGAGCAGGGCTTGGTGAGGACTCACTGGACACAGCCCATGTGTCCTCCTGCCAGTTAGCCTCCATCGGGACTTTTTTGAATGTCTGTTTTTTAGGCCCTTGGCCTATATTTTCTCAAGGCTTTTGATAAAATATTTAAAAATAATTCACAAGGAGCCTAGAAACTGCCTGGAAAACCAATTTCTGTCTTCAGTTGTCTCTAATTAATGTCTTCATGTTGCAAGAAGTTCCCCTTTTTTAATGCTGGAGCATCGTGCGGGGGATTCCATGGTTTTCCCCGTCCCCGGCCACCTGGACTGGGCTGGCTTCTGGCCGCCCACCCACGGGCCCCTCCGGGAGCTGTTTCTGTGCGGGTCTCAGGATGGAGCCTGAAATTCCTCTTCCTCCTGGGAGCCTTTCTTCTGAATAAAAATGATATAGTAACCAAAAAATCTACGCAATAGAGATATGGAAAGTCAAGGCTTCCCTCCCTGACCTTCAGTCCCATTTGTTAGAGGTAAACGTTGTTCCATCATTCATTTGCTCATTCATTCTTTTGTTCACTTGGCAAATACTTCTTGAGCATCTTTGATTCACCAGGCATGATGCTAGGCTCTGAGCATACTGCAGTGAACAACACAGCCACCAGTCCCTGTGCCTCCTGACATTCTGGTGAGGTTTAACAGGAGTAAGGCTGGGCTCCTGGATAGCTTTGAACTGCAAAGTGGTTGAGACTGGCTGAGAATCCATTGAGGAGATGTCCCACTGGGTTGAATAAGAGCAGCAAGAATTTGAACCAGGACAGCAACTTCAGAAATGAAAGAATGAGAGGAGCTCTGTATTGATTCTTAAAGGAATGCTGTAATCCTACTGCATGTGTTAGTTATGTGTTAATTCAATCTGATTTCATCACTTTGTTTGCGTTTCTTTTCTTTACTAACTTGATAAATAATTATTGGCTTTGAATTTTTACAATGCAACATTGTATTCTCACTTTTAGAGTGTATTGTGCATTTTATTTGCATACAATGGATTTATATATGTGTGTTCTTTTCTGTTTTCAAATGAAATGGGAGCAAGCTACATTTCGTTATTGAGACTGGGTTTTGGATATCCTTCCGTTCTTTTTATTGATGATCTCCCATGAGGAACTTTTGTGTATTTCCAAGGGGTTCTGCTATTACAAACCATGCTGATGTACTTCCTTGTGCATACAAGTGGAAGTATACACTTGTGGGAGATTGTTTTCAGAATAAATTACTAAAATTGAGTAATCTGCCACATGAAAAATGGGCTCACCACTGTTTTGGTTACATTTCTTTAATCATGATGGCATTGAGCACCATTTTCACACTTATTGGTAATTCATATTTCTTTTTCTGAAAACTAACTATTCCTGTCCTTTGTTGATTTTTCCATTTGGGTATTTGTGTTTTTCTTGTTGGTTTGCAAGAGCTCTTTGTATATTAAGGAAAATCACACTCTGATTTTCACACAGTGTTGTAAATTTTTTTTCTAGTTTGTCATTTGGGAGTTTTTAATGGAGTCTCTGCTCTACAAAAATAGAATTTAGCATTCTGTTTATGGCTTTTATGTTTTGTGTTTTATTTAGGAAAGATTATAAAATAATTCACTTATTTTCATGGGTTCTGGAACTATTTGTTTTAGGAAATGACCTAAAAATCTCAATGGCACCTACCATTCATTTTCTGCCTAACACATAGTAGGGGCTCTACATGATTATCTGTAATTGTTATAATTACAAGGAGGTGATGGTTTTCCTATTTGATAGTTGATGAAGTTGAGGCTCAGGGAAGGCAAAGAACTTACCTAAGCAACATAGTTCTAAGCCAGTGGTTCTCCAACTTGAGTATGCATCAGAATCACTTGGAGGACTTGTTAAAATACAGATGTCGGCCGGGCGCGGTGGCTCACGCCTGTAATCCCAGCACTTTGGGAGGCCGAGGCGGGCGGATCACGAGGTCAGGAGATCGAGACCATCCTGGCTAACAAGGTGAAACCCCGTCTCTACTAAAAATACAAAAAATTAGCCGGGCGTGGCAGCGGGCGCCTGTAGTCCCAGCTACTCGGGAGGCTGAGGCAGGAGAATGGCGTGAACCCGGGAGGCGGAGCTTGCAGTGAGCCGAGATCGCGCCACTGCACTCCAGCCTGGGCGACAGAGCGAGACTCCGTCTCAAAAAAAAAAAAAAAAAATACAGATGTCTGGGCCCCACCATAGAGTTTCTGATTCAGTAAGTTTATTAGTCTTTTATTGCTCCTGCAAGAAGTTACCATAACATCAGTGGCTTAAATAACATAAATCTATTATCTTATAGTTCTGTAGGATAAAAATCTGACACAGGTCTCCCTGAGCTAAAATCAAGGGCTTCATTCCTTTTTGGAGGTTCTCAGGAGAGAATCTACTTCCTTGCCTTTTCCATCCTCTAGAGGCTGCTCGCATTCCTAGGCTGGTGGCCCCATCCTCCATCTTCAAAGCCAGCACTGCTGCTCTCTGAACCTGTTTCTATAATCTCATTTTGCTCTGCCTCTCTTCTTCTGCCAGTTTTGGGGACCCTTGTGATTACACTGGGTCTGCCTGGATGATCCAGGAGAGTCTCCCTCTTTTAAAGTCAATTGATTAGTAACTTGAATTCCATCTGCAACATTAATTCTTCACTCTGTAGCCCAACATATTCACAGGTTTGGGGGATCCAATTTTGGATACCTGGGGAGATCCTTATTCTGCCTACGATAGTAGGGCTGGGGGAGGCCTGAGAATCTACATTTCTAGCAAGTTCAGAGGTGAGGCTGATGCTGCTGGTCTGGGGACCACACTTTGAGAACCATTGATCTAAGGGAGGAGATGGGATTCTGTCACAGGTCTTTTTAACTACAGAGACTCCAGTGGCCACCTCTACCTTCATCTCTTCCTAAACAAGCACACATTTTTCTTCACCTGACAGCAGATCAAGCGCTTAGAAGGATTTAAATCTCTCCAAAGCTGCCTCTTGGGTCTTGGAAGGGAAGCTACCCTGAAGACGGCCCATGGTGCCAGGGAAGGATCACCTGAGCCCTGCAAGATTTAAAGAAAGGAACTATACCAAGGATGTGAACCCAAAAGCTGTGGCCTCCCCATGTCCACTCTGTGCTAACGTCTGCTTCTCTCATGCCCCCTAGGCTGGCCTCACTGCCTGACAGCTGGTCCCCAGCTGTGCACTCTGAGGCCAGCTTCAGGCCCTTGGTGTTCTTCCCACTGGTCCTCTGGCCACATCCCCAGCCAATAGCTTTGGGCCTCTGCCTCTTCTGTCTCCTCTTCAAGCAGCTCCCAATTGCCATCTAAAAGTTATCAACCCAGTGTAATTTCTGCCCCTCCCTCGTTCACAGACACCCCACCGTCCACCAGGCTCTCTCGTTTTGCTCTCTATTGCCACCCCAGGGAATTCACCTCTTTACTTTTTTTAAAATCCCCTTCATTCTCTAAAGGGAAACCCTTAGTCCTGGCCATTTCAAAAGCATCACACAGAAGAAGACCTTGATATTTACATTTAAGTCACATATGCAGCTACTGACACTTACTAGTGCTGTTATAGTCCTGGCTATTATTCCATGAGGTCGTCACATTTTAACCTTTTGCATAAGCCTCCAACGGCCTGATGGAATGATGAAGCCTCAGAACAGTTTCTACACAATGGCTAAGGGATGTACCCATTTTGAATTTTCCTCTTTTCTGTGATCACAGAGGTGAATACGCTTTGGCCGAATACACAGAAGTGAAAACTGTCACCATCAAACTTGGCGACAAGAACCCCTGAAGGAAAGGCGGGGCTCCTTCCTCAAACATCGGACGGCGGAATGTGGCAGATGAAATGTGCTGGAGGAAAAAAATGACATTTCTGACCTTCCCGGGACACATTCTTCTGGAGGCTTTACATCTACTGGAGTTGAATGATTGCTGTTTTCCTCTCACTCTCCTGTTTATTCACCAGACTGGGGATGCCTATAGGTTGTCTGTGAAATCGCAGTCCTGCCTGGGGAGGGAGCTGTTGGCCATTTCTGTGTTTCCCTTTAAACCAGATCCTGGAGACAGTGAGATACTCAGGGCGTTGTTAACAGGGAGTGGTATTTGAAGTGTCCAGCAGTTGCTTGAAATGCTTTGCCGAATCTGACTCCAGTAAGAATGTGGGAAAACCCCCTGTGTGTTCTGCAAGCAGGGCTCTTGCACCAGCGGTCTCCTCAGGGTGGACCTGCTTACAGAGCAAGCCACGCCTCTTTCCGAGGTGAAGGTGGGACCATTCCTTGGGAAAGGATTCACAGTAAGGTTTTTTGGTTTTTGTTTTTTGTTTTCTTGTTTTTAAAAAAAGGATTTCACAGTGAGAAAGTTTTGGTTAGTGCATACCGTGGAAGGGCGCCAGGGTCTTTGTGGATTGCATGTTGACATTGACCGTGAGATTCGGCTTCAAACCAATACTGCCTTTGGAATATGACAGAATCAATAGCCCAGAGAGCTTAGTCAAAGACGATATCACGGTCTACCTTAACCAAGGCACTTTCTTAAGCAGAAAATATTGTTGAGGTTACCTTTGCTGCTAAAGATCCAATCTTCTAACGCCACAACAGCATAGCAAATCCTAGGATAATTCACCTCCTCATTTGACAAATCAGAGCTGTAATTCGCTTTAACAAATTACGCATTTCTATCACGTTCACTAACAGCTTATGATAAGTCTGTGTAGTCTTCCTTTTCTCCAGTTCTGTTACCCAATTTAGATTAGTAAAGCGTACACAACTGGAAAGACTGCTGTAATAACACAGCCTTGTTATTTTTAAGTCCTATTTTGATATTAATTTCTGATTAGTTAGTAAATAACACCTGGATTCTATGGAGGACCTCGGTCTTCATCCAAGTGGCCTGAGTATTTCACTGGCAGGTTGTGAATTTTTCTTTTCCTCTTTGGGGATCCAAATGATGATGTGCAATTTCATGTTTTAACTTGGGAAACTGAAAGTGTTCCCATATAGCTTCAAAAACAAAAACAAATGTGTTATCCGACGGATACTTTTATGGTTACTAACTAGTACTTTCCTAATTGGGAAAGTAGTGCTTAAGTTTGCAAATTAAGTTGGGGAGGGCAATAATAAAATGAGGGCCCGTAACAGAACCAGTGTGTGTATAACGAAAACCATGTATAAAATGGGCCTATCACCCTTGTCAGAGATATAAATTACCACATTTGCCTTCCCTTCATCAGCTAACACTTATCACTTATACTACCAATAACTTGTTAAATCAGGATTTGGCTTCATACACTGAATTTTCAGTATTTTATCTCAAGTAGATATAGACACTAACCTTGATAGTGATACGTTAGAGGGTTCCTATTCTTCCATTGTACGATAATGTCTTTAATATGAAATGCTACATTATTTATAATTGGTAGAGTTATTGTATCTTTTTATAGTTGTAAGTACACAGAGGTGGTATATTTAAACTTCTGTAATATACTGTATTTAGAAATGGAAATATATATAGTGTTAGGTTTCACTTCTTTTAAGGTTTACCCCTGTGGTGTGGTTTAAAAATCTATAGGCCTGGGAATTCCGATCCTAGCTGCAGATCGCATCCCACAATGCGAGAATGATAAAATAAAATTGGATATTTGAGAAACATTGTGCTTTTTCATTTAAAGACCAAAGTCATTTGAATTCGATGGCAGGCCTTTCTCTTTCTGAGACCTGTACGAAATGGCTGATATTAAAGCAGGATCAATAATGTAAGCATAAAATTACATTTGCTCAGTCAGTCGGGCCCAGTGCTTTGCCTGAGTGTGAAACCCATTTCTGTGGGCTTGGGGGTTGACCAGGCAAGGAGCTGGGCCTCAGAGGTTCCATGTCATAGCTGGCTGAGTTTCAGCTGTTATCTAAGCTGCCTGAGTCTCCTTTTATCATAAAGTAGTGATGGTGTCAGTGTGCGAAATGGTGGGGAGGACTGCATGAGGATTGACGGACAGCATTGTGCCCCTGACGGTGAGCACAAGTGTCTGTTTTTGTCACCTTTTCCTCTAGAGAAATCTAGAGGATCTAGAGAAAGGATCAATTTGGGTTTTACTGACCTCAAGTTTCTAAAGCTTCTAACCAAGAAGCCTCAATCACCCCGTTGTGAGCTGACGCTGCCATTGGCTCAAGATCATTGCTGGTACTGGGGTATGTCCTCCAAGCTCATCCCTTGCATTTGATGTGGAAAGCCCAGATCATTTTGACATGGGTGGCAAAGCACCACCACTTTAACAAAAAAGGGAGGCTGGGATCAGATCTCTCGTAACATATGCACTTATGTTAAGAGAATTTAGACACATTATTTAGAGACATCCCATTTCTCAATCCAAATGTGAGCAGGAAACTGTAGGAGAAGGATATTTTCCCTCATTTGGTGTCCCGGAACATGACTCCCTGAAGGGAGCCATTCTGGGGACAATTGGAGGGTGTGGTATGCGTGTGCACACATGCATTTGTGTGCCTGGTGTGCGTGTGGGGGTTGGCACCTCTCTAGAAGTGGACCCTTTGGGATGTCCTAGCTTCTCCTGCTGGTGGATGAAGCCTTTCTAATGGCTTTGCTCCTTGCTCCTAGGCATGAGCTTGAAGGGGGATAATGAAGGGCGTTTAGGAAGTTGCTCAAGGAAGACTGTCTGAGGAAACTGCGTACTGGGCTGAAGAAAGACAACCGGAAAACACTGAAGGAGCGCTCAGCCACTGCACCTTCAAAAAGGCAGAAAAGTCAGTTCAGGGAGGTGCCTCCCAGCTACCCCACCCACCTCAGGAGGGGTCATTCCAACCTAGGGTGCTGAGAATCTGGGTGGGATTACCAGCAAAAGCTAGAGAACCATGGGTCAGCGACCCTTAGGAAGAAGTGGAAAGGAGTCTTAACTTACCTGCAATAACCTTCCTATGCGAAGTTGTGGCTAACGCATGCCTAATGGCTAGAATTAAATGCTGGGAATATAACGAGCTCAGCACAGGTTATCCGCGTGTCAGATGTTCCTGCTGTCTTCTACAGTGGGGACATTTCCTAGCCTATTCCCAGGCTCCTTTAGAAGGGAAGTGGAGGTGCCCCATCTTCACCTGCCGCGTCCCCTCCAGCGTCTGCCCGGGCCCTGGGCCTGCGCTCCCTCGCGGTGGCGCCAGGTGGCGGGGCTGCGCGCCCTGGAGGAGCTGCACCGCCGTCGCGGGGCTCTCTCAGCACTGAGGACACCACGCCCTGCAAATTGTTGGGAACTTGTCGGTGGCAATCACACTGCTGGCTCCTGCAAACTGGTGTGAGGCCCTCAGGGGTGAGAACAGGATTGCAGAACTGCGCTCACCCTTTTGGAAAGTCGTCCAGTGGCAGAAGTAGCCTCCCAGGAGCAGAGCGAAGCTGCTCGGTGGTCCCCTCTCCAACCAGGGACCCAAGAAGCCGCTCAAGGGAACACGGCCCCGCGGCGTCCGGGAGGTCCTGCAGGAGCCCTGCGGCTGCCCCGGTTCTGTGAAATGGCAGTGAGGGTGGGGGAGATGTGCGCTAAATCCTGGGAACGTGCGAGTCATAACTTTCCAGGAGAGGGGCCCAGGGCGCTGGTCCTGCAGGGCGTGGAACCCTCTGCTCTTCCTGAGCAGGCTTTGTCCCCGGGTCGACACGGGGAGCTCAGCGTGAGGCCCGCCTGCAGCGTGGACGCAGATCTTTTTTATGGTCTGCGTTTCTGTATTAGCCTCAGCAGCCTGGTGACGCCTTTATAAAAGGTCGAAACACGATAAATTGCCAATATTCCACGTTTTATGTATTCCCCCCAAAGCCGACAATTAACAATGACTCACCGAGCAGCAGATTCTTTGCACACATCCATAATTGAATCAGTAAAATCCATGTGTTGGAGGATATGCAAATTGCAGGTCGTTAACGCTTTAGAACGACACATTTCTGTATCGCCCCGTGAAGAGCTCTACGCACATGAATGTTCCCCGTCTGTTTAACTGTTACGGCCGCAGTGTGTGGGCCGCAGGCGCGCTGGGGGCTCATCTGCTGATTTTGCTGCCCCTGGAGCAGAGGGATAGCGAAAGCGGGGCTGAGCGCAGCACGGACCGATCCCATCGCCGCGCTCGCCCCGCGTGGAGGCAGCCGGGTGCCCGAACCTGAAGGAGGACCCGGTGCCGGAAGGGCCCGCGGACCCCGGCGTCTCCCGGGGCATCGAGCGCCATCGCCCGCGTTTTACGGCCAGGGAAACTGAGGCGGCCGCCGAGGGGACGCCTCGCGACGGTTCCTGGGAGAGCTGGCGGCGGCCTTGCTCTGCGCGCTCTTCGCGCCGCCCTCCCCGCCCGCCCGCCTCAGGATTGAGGAAGTGCGTCTGGGCCCGGCCCCGGCGCGGGGGGCAGACGGCGGTGGGACGGCCAGGCCCCGGCCCCGCCAGTGTGTCCGCCCGGCCCCGCGTCCCGGAGCGCCCGCACCCGGCCCCGCCGCCGCCTCAGGTAAGCGCCGCTCCTGCCGGCGCCCCCCGGCGGCCTGGCTGCCTCCCGGCCCCGCCCGGGGAACCCAGAGCCCGCGCCCGGCGCCCGCGGGGAGCCTCGGCCTCTGCCTGCCCGCGGGCCCCTGCGCTCCGGGCGGCCGCGTGGTCGGGCACGGGGGGCCGTTGCGCAGGGGCCGCGGCCCGAGGGGCGCGGAGGGCGTGTGGGGCGACCCCGGTCTCACGTCCCCGCTGCCTCCCGCCGCGCCCGGAGCCCAGCCAGCCTGTGGGAGGGGAGCGCGCGGGGCCCGAGCAGGGAACCCCGAAACCCCGTCCGGGCAGGGTCGGGAAAGCTGGGAAGCGGAGGCAAGAGACACGAGTCGGGAGACACGAGCCGGGGAGCCCATAGGTTTCCTCTGCCTTTGGAGCGAACCCAGTCCCTTAGCGGGGAGCGGGCGGAGTGTGAGCGCGCGGGTGAGCCCGTGCCGGGGTGTCGGCAAGAGACCGCCCGGGAGCCTCTCGCTGGTCCGGGGCTTCCTGGGGTTGCGGGGCGGCCCAGCGAGGCTTCACCCTCCTCGATGTCTGGGTCACGCTTCTTGCCCAGGTGGTCTCTGGCTGGCGCAGATACAACTGCTCTGTCTACCATGGTCTCTGCAAGCTACAGGGGACCTTCCTGGCAGGCAGGGACGCGGGAAGGAAGCCTAGGAAGGCCGGGGTCAGCGAGGAGACGCTGGTGGAGAATCTGAGAACCCCCGTGGCCATCTCAACCTACCCCTTCACAGTATGAGGCCGCGAAGTTTTTCTCCCACGAACACTTCCCCTGCAACAGGTAGAGAAACGGGGGCATATAGCTTTCAGCAAACCTCTCACCGTGTACACTAATGATAGAGTTTGCCAGCCACTCACAGGGTATCAAAATGCCCAGACATTAAAGGGATAGCTAGAACATGCACAATTTTGGAAAATGTTAACATTAAACGCCTTTTATGATTTGATTCTCTTCATCTTTGCCTATGTCCTGAAAGAGAAAATAATATAACAAACTAACCTCACACCTAATTTGTTCCTAAAGGAGGTTTTGCGGTCAGCCAAACCTTTCCCTCTCCCAAAAGTCGATGTCTCTGGCAGTGACCTCGCAGTCAACTCGGATCCTCAGATAAAAAACATTCAGTCTGTTGAATCTATGTCTAAAATGTGTCCTGATCTGTCCCCTTTTTCTTATGCCCCCACCCCCCACCCTGCCCCTTGTCCAGGGTACCAGCATCTCTTTACTGTAGGATTTCAGTTCCCCCTTCCTCCATTCTCTATATAGCAGCGTGCGTCTGTGTGTGTCTGTGTGTTTAAATGGGTAAATCAGACCATATCAGTCCTCTTTATGGAGTCCTTCAGTAGCTTCTCCTTGCAACTGGCACGCAATCCAGGAGACCTCCTTCTCCTCACACCCCCAGCTGATCCAGCCTCTGCTGTCTCGGACCACCAGGCCATTGCCCCAGGCCACACTGGCTGAGCTTGCTGTCCAGCACTGGTCCCCTGCACTGCTGCCTCCTGACTCTTCACACAGCCTCAGAAAGTCTTCCCTGGTCACCCTCTGAAAACCCACGCTCCCTCTCACATCCCTCACTCTGCAGCCTCCCTGCAGTCCCCATTCTGTACTCCTTCTTTATCTGTTTAATTTCTCCTTAATTATCTTGTGGTCTCCACTGGAGCTCTTGGGGTCAGAGACTGATCTGTCTTGCTTATTGCTGTGCCCTCATTCCCATAACTGTACAGGGAGATACCCCGTGCATGGTGGTAGAGTGACTGGATGGGGAATGGACAACCCTAACTTACCTGTGGTTTCAGACTCATGGAGCATTTCTCTCCTCCACCCTTTTTGGGCTCATCTGGGATTGAGAACAACATATTTCTCTGGCCTGCAGCTCCAAGATATTTGGATGCCCCCAAACCCATTAAACACATTTTATAGGCAAAAGCCAATGCTAGTAAGGGATGCAAATAGCACTCAAGAGATTTCTAGAATCATGGGCTAACCATTTTGACCAGGATTTTGTTTCAAAAAGGAACTAGGTGATATGAATGAGCATGTCTAGCATGCTTTGCTTGCAAGGGACTTCTAACTTCTAACTGATATCGACAGTCCTTCCCAAGCCTCCTAAAATATCTGGGCTTCTCTGCTGTCAGAAGCTTTATAGCAATTACTTAGCTGTCTGCTCCCCCACCAGCTTCACAAACTCATGAAGTTCCCTCTTCATAGAAAGAACTCAATAAGACATTTGTAGAATGAATGACAGGTTCTTCTCTTTTCTTTTCTCTAGAGTCTTGCTCTGTCACCCAGGTTGGAGTGCAGTGGTGCAATCTTGGCTCACTGCAACCTCCACCTCCCCCAGTTTAAGTGATTCTCATGCCTCGGCCTCCCAAGTAGCTGGGATTACAGGCGCCCACCAGCATGCCCAGCTAATTTTTGTAATTTTAGTAGAGATGGGTTTTTACCATATTGGCCAGGGTGATCTCGAACTCCTGACCTCAAGTGATCCACTCTCCTCGGCCTCCCAAAGAGCTGGGATTACAAGCGTGAACCACCGCACCCATCTATTTTCTTTTCCATTAAATGTTTAGGTTTATTCATTAATGCAGGTATAAATAGTTGGCAAAAGGAAATTGATGAGGTTTTGAAAAATCATTTAAACCATCATTACTGCTGAAAACCTCTTGATGCCCTCTTTAGGGTGTATAATGAAGACATGTAACTTGTAATCATCACTTGTTGGCACCTCTCTGGACCCAAAAGAAGCAGGAGGAAGCAAAGATCCGTTTGAGGGCAAAGATTGAGCAAAATTTGAATTACCTCATCTTAAAACTTCTACCTTAGAATATAAGCCAAAATAGTAACTAGAATTTTAAAACTGCTCCAGGGGCAGAGTCTTCCACTGGTAAAGTGATTTTCAAAAGGAAACTGAAAATGAAAAGGGGAACAAAATGTGCTGGGTGAGGGTTAGCCTGAAATAATTTTAAGATTTTTTTTTTTTTAGAACTTAAAAACATTGTATGGTAAGACACTTCTGTTTTCAGGAAGAATGTCTAGCGTTTGGATTTTTGAAATGCTGTTGGTTATGTGCGGTAGCTGTTTTGGAGAGGTGTCTGAAAGCAGATGGCAACTGTGCTTCTCAGTTTCTGGATGTGAATGTGTGATCGGAACGTTTATTTTAAAACAGATTCTGTCTTGCTGGCTCTTCCTCTCTCTGTCACAAGTTGATTTTCCAAATCAGGTTTTGCTATTTATAAGGCTTTCATCATCCCCTAAATTTTGCCCAGATTGATCGTTTTTCCTTTCCTCCTTCGACTTTTCAGGCTTCCCAACTTCAAACACAGGTGTTTCCCACACGTGGTTTGTGTCGACCATCCCTTTTGCCTCTGAAACATGTGCAGCTTGCACAAGGCTGCTGGAGCCTGGCTTTTCTAGCTCCACCTTTCCCTGCCTTGACGAGTCCAGTCCACCTGGGCCAGGTGCCTGAGTTCTAGGCTTTTAGGTGAGAAATTCCCACAGCCTTGTCCTGTACCTTACTTCGTGCCCCTACTGCTCACGGCATCTTCTAGAACCTACCCGCTGGTGAGGCTGGCATCTGCCCTCCAGCATTGATATTCTGATCTTATTAATTAGCAGGGAAGTGGGAGACCCGCTGGCCTCCAAGTCTGTGCGCTGGTACTACAGGTAATGACCACCCCAGCCCTGTCGTAGAGAGAGGCTGCAGAAACTTCACTTTGGTTGAATTCACACAGTAACCCCACTAGCAGGCCCGGGCATAAGGGTGGATGTCTATTTTTAACAGGTGAAAACTGAGACACACATACCTTTCAGCTGGGAGTCACACTGCGAACATGTGACACAGGCAGTCCACACCTTTAACGTCCACGCTATGCTTTTGCCTGTACAGATTCTCTTAGGCATTATTTTTATATAACCTTGATTTAAAAAATATATTTTTGGCTGCACTATCACTCCCCATTTCAGAGTTGTCTATCTGAGAGAACACAGACAAGAGGTGCTAATTACCTCGTACTTCATCACATGTAGGATATGCTATAAGAACAAGGATAGGCGCACATGCATTACTTATGGTAGTACCTCATGTCAGGCCTGAGCTAGGCATGGGTCTTACCCTCCCTCTGGTCCTTCAATCACCATACCAGGATGGGCACTTATGCCCATGGGGGGACTCTAAGCTCAGTGGGGGCCCAGCATAGAAGAGCAGCACTTGGTCTCAGTTTATCATAGTCATTAGTTTCAGAGATTAGTCTAACTCCACCCTGGAACTTTTGGGGCCAGATAATTCTTTGTTGCAAATAGCAGTCCTGTACATTGTAGGATGTTTAGCAGCATCATTGACCTCTACCCATTAGAGGCCTGTAGCACTCTCCCCCAGCCAAGTTGTGGCAACCAAAAATGTCTCCAGACATTGCCAAATGTCCCCTGGGAAAGGGGCAGAATTTTTGAGGCTCATGTCTGCTAACCTCCGTCATTTAGCTTTCTGCTAAAGCTCATGCTAACTTGACTTCATAACCAGTAATAATTCCATGTCTTTGGAACTGTTGCCTGACCACCCCCTTGGGATGACGTGCTCACCTCTGGCTTCCAGAAGAACTGGCCCCGGGCAAAAGGAGAGCCTTGTATCGTGACTAACCTTAACTATGTCTGCCCTACCCCCACTGGAGTGTGCCCCTGAGGGCAAGAGCCTCCTTGAGCCATCTTGGTGCCACTGAGCCTCACACAGAGCCTGGCTACCTTGCATGTGACAGTAGGTGTGCGTTGACTGAACAATGATTGAAGCTGTTACCAGTATGTGTTTTCCAATTGTCTGGGGTTTGTTTGAGACTCTTCTCAGGTAGACAATACCTGAGCCCCGCATCAAGATGGGATGGGGGGAGCTGTGCCTTCCCACTGACCACACCTGATGGGTTTGGCTGGATAGATGGACTACAAAAAGGAATGTTGCAGAGGGAAAACTAAATGAACCCATGCAAATATTTGCAGGGGAGGAGGACAGGAATTATAAAGGCTTTCTGTTTTGATTGTTTTTCGCCACCAGAGCAAGAAAGCTTTCTGCTCAGCCATGGCTACGAGTCCACGCCTTAATGCACCCCACAGCCAGCGGCAGTGGCAGTGACAACAGCGGGACCTGCCTTTGAAGATCGGCTGCTGCAAGGGTTGATGGCTGGCATGTCGCAAAGACCCCCCAGCATGTACTGGTGTGTGGGGCCGGAGGAGTCAGCTGTGTGTCCAGAACGTGCCATGGAGACGCTTAACGGTAAGGACAGGGCTGTGCTTATGCCTGCCTGGGTGTGACCTGCCATGCTCATCCTGCAGGGTGTCTAGGCTATGTAAGAACAAGGAGTTCTCAACCAGTGGAAATCAAATGTCCATCATTTGGTGCTCTTTCATCATATAATATATCTTGGGACTCTTAAATTCTAAAAATTGAGGAACAGTGTACAAAATTTATTGTGGACTCACAGATCTTAACAATTGGGACATCACTTCATGCTGGGTTAAAGAACTTTTAAGAAAAAGGATGTAGTTTTGTTTTTTCATTATAAAAATAATACATGTTTATTAAGGAAAAATTGAAAAAAATAATTTAAAAAAAAGGAAGAAGGGAAAGGAATCATCCAGAATCCCGCTATCTCAAACACAAGTACAATGAGCATCTTGGCATGTTCTCTCCTAGTCTCTGCTTCTCTGTGTTTAGGGGACTTTGTTTTAACCTTATTGTACTTACAAGGTGTATGTAATGTTGCATGTTGCTTTTTTCTCTTCACCGTCCATCAGTGACATTTGCTTAGGGCACCACCTGGCTCCCGCAATCAAGTGAAACATCATTTCATTTATTTTATTTTATTTTTTTACGATTTAATAATTGGATCAAAAAATGATTCATAAATTGGGCAGTACTCCGAACCAAAACAAACATCATTATCTGCGGGAGTGCTATGTGCAGTTATTGACCTAATCCTTATTCTCCTGTGGGACATTTGGGTTGCTTCTAGTTGTTTACTCCTACTGAGAGCATTTCCTTCCCATCTCTTCATACCTGGTTTCAAGGTTATTTCTGTAATGCAGGTTTACAGAAGTTGAATGATTGGTCTTGAACATCGTTAAGCTCTTGGCACGTATTTTGCCAGATTTTCCGCTACACTTGCACCACCTTTAAGACCAATAGGATATCATCGTTTACAAATATTTGTCAATCCCTTAGTATGTACCAGGCACTACATGTACAAAGTTCAGAACTTTACGAAATAATGTCATAAAATCCTCACGACAACCTGGCACATGGTACTTTTATTTCCGTTTTATAGCTGAGGAACATGAGGGTAAGAGAAGCCTGGAAACGTGTTCAAGGTCAACAACTCAGAAATCACAGAATTGCCATCTGAACCCTGTCTTAATGCTGCAACACTCATTCTTAAATGCTAGGCCACACTATGGGAGGTGAAAGGGTCAACAGGTTGGGTCTGAGAGGCCCACGTTTGTACCCTTAACCGTGTTAACTAACGATCGGCCACTGTACCTGGCTTGGCAGACACTTTGTTCAGTTGTTTGAGTGTTTTCACTCCATCTGAAATGTCCAGCAGCTGACCAGGGTGATGTTTCTGGAAGGTGTCGTTTCACATCCATCACATTATGAAATGGGAAACGAATTTGCTTCTTGACATTGCCCAGCACTAAATCTTTCCAGAGTGTTCAACTTGCATCTTTGTAAATTTTCTTTTTCTTTGTATTAGACGTGTGTCTTTTTTCAGTTGTGTGGTAGGAAGACCTTGCTCTGTTGGTGTGAGATCGAGGTGGCGTGGGTGATAGAACGCAGTCCCCGATTTGGGGGTAGCACCTCCACCTTTCCAGTGCACGTGAGGCTCCCTTATCCTCCTGCTGCTCCTCTTCGCAGCCCTGAGGGACGAGGGTGGGGACAGGGACCTTGGGTCTGTTTGGGGCCTGT
This sequence comes from Homo sapiens, assembly GCF_000001405.40. NCBI lineage: Eukaryota > Metazoa > Chordata > Mammalia > Primates > Hominidae > Homo > Homo sapiens. Next base: position 100,926,419 of record NC_000015.10, read on the forward strand.
AGGGTAGGTGACTGTGTCATCTGAAAAAGCCCACAGGAGGCGCTGCTCCCTCCCCTCCTGGTCAACAGTTGGTGATCTAAAGGAGTGCTTCTCAACCACGGCCCACACAGTCACTGGGTAGTGGCTCAAACCGGCAGGGCCCTGGCACCACCTGGACCCACTGGAGCAGCATCTTGGGGCAGGGGGGCGGGGAGTGAACAAGCATGGGTAATTTTTTCTTTTTCATTTTCTTTCTTTCTTTTCTTTTTCTTTTCTTTTTTTCTTTTTTTTTTTTTTTTTTTTTTGAGACAGTGTCTTGCTCTGTCACCCAGGCTGGAGTGCAGTAGCATGACCTCAGCTCACTGCAACTTCCACCTCCCAGGTTCAAGTGATTCTCCTGCCTCAGCCTCCTGAGTAGCTGGTACTACAGGCGTGCGCCACCACGCCCAGCTAATTTTTGTATTTTTAGTAGAGACGAAGTTTCACCATGTTGGCCAGGCTGGTCTAGAATTCCTGACCTCAAGTGATCCACCCACCTCAGCCTCCCAAAGGGGTGGGATTACAGGTGTGAGCCACGGCGCCCGGCCAGCATGGCTAATTTTTCAAAGTTCCCTAGTGATTCTAACGTGTAGCTAAAGTTGAGAATCAGGCCATCTAAATGGTTTGAGTCCCATAGAGCAGCACTTCTCAAATTATCAGGTGCACATGTCCCCTGGGGATCCTGATGAAATGCAGAATCTCATTCAGGAGGCCTGGGGCACAGACAGCCTGCGTTTCTAGGTCCCCAGGGATCCCCCGTTGATTCTTACAGGTCCCAGGGACCGGGGCGCAATGGGCTTTGGACAAACCCATCCCCACCTCCAAGCTCGTGGCAGGACAGATAACCAGAAAATGTTAAGGTGTTCCGAAAGGCCAAAGTGTGGCACTCCCCAGCCCCCATGATTCTCCCTAAAGGCCTGCATCTGAGCTTGGCACTGCTCCTTAGGAGGTGTCCTCTCCTGACTCTGCTCTGATGGCCTCTTTCCCCAGTGGGATCTCAGGAATCCCTGCTATCCCTGTTCTGTATAACCCAAGGGACACACACAAGGGCCAAGGACCCTGACGTGACCTCAGCAGCCTTCACTGTGTACTGTTCAAGGAGCTTGAAGTAGGGACAGGACAGGGAAGTGACACCCTGGGAACCCCTGAGAATGAGGGAGGTGTTTGTGCAGTGACCTAATACAGAGAACACAGAGTTGAAGAGGAGAGGAAGATAGCCTGAAACACCCCAGAAAGTTCTGTCCCCTGTTTAGCATTAAGAAAATTATGTTACATGTTAATGAATTACAATAATAACCAAATCCTCATAAGGAATCTGGTGAGAAGCTACTAATTTATACCCATACTCAGAGTTTTAAGGTCCCACAGGTGGTACCAGCAGAACTGAGCCTGTGAGCCCCAGCCCTGGAGCTCACTAACAGAAGTTATTAATTCCAGGGACTAAAGCCTACAGTGCTCCCTCTGTAAAGCCCAATTTTAACGCATTGCATGTTGGATTTCATTTTCGCAGAATATATTAATAAATGTGTACACTAAGACTACAGCCAAGGAGCAGGTAATGCTCAAAGGGTGGCGTGTGGCCACGTCTGTGTGCTGGGATTGCAGTCACTGTGCTTTGCTCATCGGTGCTGTTTATGTTTCCTGCAATATCTACACATTGCTTTTTGTTTTGTTTTGCCTTCTTTTGCATCCAGACGAATAATATTGCAAGTTATTTTTAAATTATTGTTTATTTAAGTACTGATGATTTGTGTTTAGAATCTAAACGGTAAACCTCCTGTGCTTACATCCAAAGTTAGATCTGCCTCCACTGGCCTCTTTGCCTTGAAGTCTTTCTGGAATAAATGCGGAATACTTGACTTACTATGACTGCAGCTGATCCCCCCGCAGGACTCACCCTCTGCACATGTCCCCAGAGCCTAAGCTGGATTTGTCCCATCCCACCTTCTCCTAGACTTCCTGGGATGATAGGGAGCCCTGTTTCCCCTCTCCCACCCCCCAAATCCACCAGCCTCACTCAGGGAACACTGTTCAGGCCTAATTTCCAGCTCCGGCTGAGAAAAGTTGGCCGCCAGAAGGAAAACTAACGACACTCAAAATTATGTAGGGACAGCTTTCTCATGCTTTAAAAATCCTTGGAAGATAACGTGATTGAAAACGACGACGTTCTTATTATACTTCCACGTGTGCGTTAGAAAAAGACCCACACTTTAAAAAAGAGTGTCTACTCTTGGGTGTTGGGGTAATGGTATTTTTAATTTTTTATTTGTGTACTAGGCACGCCTTTTCACACCCCCTACCTGTTGTGACTTGCGTGACCTCAGCTCATGTTTGTTTACAATGGTTAATCCTTTCAAAGCCCCTGGATGTGGGGGGCTTTGCCCAGCTGGTGTGAGGCTGGGGTCTGTGTGTGTCTGCCCTGCCGTGCGGCCCGCTGTGTGTTTGTGCAACACAATTGTGTCCCAGGAAGGTGTGTGACAATCTCAACCTCATTAGCACCAGCAGCAGTCAGCTCGCCTGCGGTGCAAGAGGAATGGTTGGAAAGCTTTGATGGGCGTAGAGTTTGCCAGCTGACAGAGCAGCTGTCAATGAGATGCTGGGCATGGGCTGCAGGACGCGCATTACTTTGACAAACATGTCATTAGATGTTCATTCTTCTGAGTATGTCTGACACCAGCCAGAGTGGAAAAACCAGTCCCGCCAGCCAAGGAGAGCTGTCCTGGAAAGTAGAGAAGTCAGGAAACTTCCACATAATTCAGGTGGAGAATACTTGGGAAGACTTCTGGATTGCGGAGGGTGGGTGGAACTTGAGCAGACATCACCCAGGCAGTGGCTCGCCCCCCCAGCTCTCTGTGAGTGGCCGTCGCTTCGGTCCTGAAAGCCCTGCCACAGTCACACACCTCTCAGAGCACTGCCCACCACCGGACCCAGCATGGACCAAAGGAGGAGAAGGAACATTCCAGAAGTTCTTCAAATCCCAGGTTGTTTCATGGCTACTTCCAATGTCTTGTTTTTTTCTCCTTTGGCTTTTGCGAATCTGTATTTGAAATACAACTCCTTAATATAGGAGCTAAGAGGTTTGCTCAAGTAGGGTCTCTTCCTGCCTTCCAGAAATAGAACTAGGAAATAGATCAAATTAGGAAGAGCCTCTAGGGTGGCAGCCAGCCTTCTTGTCAGGCCACAGCAGGAAAGTCTACGAGGGACAGATCCCCAGTGATGAGCCAGCCCACATCTCTGACCTGTTCCTCCTGTTGGATTCCTGCCTGAACGTGCTGGGCTGTGTTCACACCGTGAGAGCCACAGGAAACAGGGCAGGCAGGGCCTTGCAGGGAAGGAGATTCCAGCCTGGCTGCAGGAGTTCACCAGCCCCTCCAGGGAGCACAGCCACGTCTGGTCAGGAATCTTTTAATGAGTGAGGAGAAGGACAGGGAAGCTGATTGGTGGCCCAGGTGGCAGGCGAGGTGGCTGTGTGCGTCCATCCATGCAGGTGGCAGTTAGCACAGCTGTGCTTCATGCTTACAAAGCAGAGGCCAGCTACAGATGCTCCAGGCCCTTGATGAGCCTTTGAACATTCGTTTTAACCTGAGGCTTAGATCTTCTCCTGGTTACTTGTCTGGAATGTGCTTGCTTACTTCTAGCAATGGGGAGCTGACTCCCTAGCAAACAACGCCAGCCTTTCTGTGGGCAGCTCTGGTAGGAAGTGGATGCTGTGGGGCTCTCTTTGCACCAGGCTTTATTCATTTAGACAGATCGGAATCCCTTAACCCATTTCTTGGAGTCACTAAAAGCAGATGTGTTGCCCTCCCTGCAGATTCCTTTTTAGGCTGAGTAAGCCATCCCACGGACAGGCCGCCGGCAACTTTACACGTTCCGCTTGGATATCCAAGAGTTTTTTGACTTCTCAGTCTGTCTGTGGGCTAATTATTAGGCCATACACACCTGGGTCCACAGGGAGAGCTGCCCCTACCTGCTTCCCCACCCTGCCGTGGACCGGCTTTCAGGAGCACCCCCACTGATCCACCCCATCCTAGGTGGCCCAAGCCTGAATGTGGTAGCTCACCAGAGCCCCAGTCCTCACCCCCTCCCTGGCCTCCCCCACCCCACACTTGCTCCTGACTTGGCCTCCTTTATGTGGGGTGTGCAGGGCAGCCCTATCTGGTGGCCTCTGTGCTTGCTAGGGAGCAGCCCAGGCTCACTTGGCATGCATTCAGCCACCAAGAGAGAAGATTTTCTTACCAGCCATCTGCCCTGGCCCCCATGAAGAGATCAGTAGCCTGAGAGCAGGGAGATGTCCATGTGGGCCTCCCCAGGCCCCTGTGCAGAGCGACAAGGATTTTCACCCCTCCTGGTTTGCCTGAGTCAGACTTTGAAGGAGCCATCACTAGGGATTTTTATGAAATTCTTTAGTTCTCTGGGAATGGAGCCCTCCCACCACTCCCAATGCCATGTAAGTCTAAACTTGAGTGTGTGAATTGCACGCACATTTTTGGAAAGTTTGATGAATGAAAATAAGAAGCTGCTATTATTCTTTGGAAGTCCCAATTCTGAGTCCCTTCACTATTCAGGCCACCCTTGGGTTCAGTTTGTCCAGATTCCACTTAGCCATCTTGCTACTTATTGGGTGACATTTGTCATAAAAAAGAAACGAGAAAACCGAACAGAAACACATATCTCAAGCAATAGAGTCCTTCCTGAGCTCATCACCCCCATGCTGCACAAAGAAGCACACATTAATCAGAACTTGTATTTTCAACTGTAAAGAACTTTTGAGGATTGCAGTTCCTTTTGCTAATGCTGCTGGGGTTGTGCCTGGCGACATCCTCTCATCCTCCATTCAACATCCAGCACCCAGGGGCCGTGGCACATTGCCAAATGTTGGCTTAAAATCACCTACCTGGTCGTTTCAGGAGAACCGAGAACAAAAATAACTTACGTGACACTTTGAACTTTTCAGTGACTCAGAGATATTTAAAGGCAGAGAACATCTTAATCGATTATTTTAAATATGAAGCCATGTTACGATGCAAATTTGAGGTTAGAAATTGAATGTAAGTGGACAGGAATGGCTCTCTGAAGTTCCTGTTAGCAGCTTAGTTTGGACTTGACACAGCCGTGTGAACTCAGAGAGGCAAGTGGGTGGTCACAGGTGGCCCACACCTGCAGGGTTAGAGATGGAAGGTTCAGGGCCTCGATCTGCTGGTGGGGCTGGCGCGGGAGGCCAGGGCAGGGCTCCTCCAGTCATTCTGCCCCCACCCCAGCTTCCAGGCAAAAATGGCTCCAGTGGGCCGTCACTCCAGTCTCTGTGCAACCTTCACCAGCACCCACGGGTTCAAAAATAAGAAGCAAGCGAAGAACCGCTGCCTGACAGTGCACTATGAGCATTCTCCTGGTGCCTGACTCCTCCCTGAAGGTTAAGAAAAAAGTTATTTATATGGAATTCCACAATTCACACAGTGGATTGACATGATAAGAGAAAGCCACAGTTATTCTTGGCCCCCTTTCCATCATGCCCATGGGTAATCACTGTTAGCTGAGTGTGTTTTCTTTTTGTTTGTTTGTTTGTTTTGAGACGGAGTTTCATTCTTGTCATTCAGGCTGGAGTGCAATGGCGCAACCTCGGCTCACTGCAACCTCCACCTCCAGGGTTCAAGCGATTCTCCTGCCTCAGCCTCCTGAGTAGCTGGGATTACAGGCACTCGCCACCACGCCCAGCAAATTTTTGTATTTTTAGTAGAGATGGTGTTTCACCATGTTGGCCGGGCTGGTCTGGAACTCCTGACCTCAAGTGATCCACTCGTCTCGGCCTCCCAAAGTGCTGAGATTACAGGCGTGAGCCACAGCACCTGGCCTGAGTGTGTTTTCTTCCTAACCTCTTCCAAAGCACATGTATGGTTATCTTTGTATATATTTCTGGTTTTACATGCATATTCAGTTGTACATACTATTGTACAACTTTTTTCCCTTGAGGATGTCTCAGAGTTCCCTCTATATGCACCACATCTGGTGTGAATCCAACCATCTTTCATCAATGTCTTATTAAAGGGTCTTTAGATTCTTTCTACCTTTTGCTTCTAAGAGTTGAATATTACTGCATATGCCCCAGCAGAATGGCGGGATCACAGAACAAGCACATTAAAAATTATCAAAGGAAGGCATACCCCTGGTTAATGAAGGCTGTCAGACAGAAGGGACTATAATATAGGAAAAGCAACAAGGCCCTGCCCCAGTGTCAACTTCCCAAAAGAGTTGTTATTTCCTGTTTCTGGTTTTAGTTCTTCAGGTAATTATCATTTCTCAATGTAAAGAAGATGCCTGCACCTCTCTATTGCTGATCCGTTGAAACAGTGCCTGTTGACTTCCTGCCATAATAAATGAATATTTCCTTCCCTTTTGCACCCCATCTATCTGCTGCTCCCTCTGCATTTCATTCTTTTGGGGCTGACTCATCCCTAGGTTACATTTGTGACTTTAAATGACATGTTCCCTTCGTGATGACGAGTGCCTGGAGACCCAGTGTTCTGTGGAGCCCTGGAGATGAGAATCACCCCCTTCCCTGCTACCTCCATCGGCCTCCCGCCTCCCACCCAGGACTCTTACTTTGCACCTTTATTTAATTGGAATGCATCAGCAAGAAAATGCCTAAGAAAGGCCTCCTGGGAGGCTCCTGCAGGAGACTCTGTGTTCCTGAGGGCATCTTTATTTTGCCCTCTCCTGCGATCTCAATTGGAATCCTCTGCCTTTGGAACCTTCTCCCTTGTCCTCTGATGTGGTGTGATTCTCACTGCCCTGTGGTGACCTGGTTTTCCCTTTCAGAAGCTTTCAGAATCTTCCCTGTGTGCTTGGTCTTCCAAAATTTTCCAACGAAAGACCTGGGTGAGGGTCCTCTTCCATTCCTGCTGCTTGGCACTGGGTGGGCCAAGCATGTATCCCTTTCATGCATGGGACATTTCTTGTATTTTCTTTGATAATATTTTTCTCTTCTGCTTTCGCTATAGTTTTGTTTTGTTTGTTTTTCTGGAACTCCTATTAATTAAGATACAGGTTGCTTATCTTTTCGCTCACATTTTCCAACTGTTGTTCTTTTTCTTAATGTTTATAAACTTTTGACCAGGTCCAGTAACACACTGGTAATCACAGCTCTTTGAGAGGCTGAGGTGGGCAGATCACTTGAAGTCAGGAGTTCCAGACCAGCCTGGCCAACGTGGCGAAACCCCGTCTTTACTAAAAATACAAAAATTAGCCGGGTATGGTGGCACACACCTGTAGTCCCAGCTACTCAGGAGGCTGAGGCATGAGAATCGCTTGAACCTGGGAAGCAGAGGTTGCAGTGAGCTGAGATCACACCACTCCACTCCAGCCTGGGCCACAGTGCCAGACTCCATCTCAAAAAAAAAAAAAAAAAAAAAAAAAAAAAAAAGATTTGCTTGACTTCATCTTCTAACCTGTCTATTGAACATTTCATTTTGGAACTCAGTCTTAATTTCCAAAACTCTTTCCTGTTCTTGGTTGTTTATTTTCATAGCGTTGTGCTCCTGTGTTTTGTACACAGTATTTTCTTGAATTTCCCAGAGGATCCTAATTGCCATTTATTTTATTTTATTTTGGTGTCAGTCTTATCTTCTCAGTTAATTTTTATTTATTTATTTAAGATGTCAAAATCATGTATTGAAACCAATATTTTACAGTGAATTCCAGACAAATCAATAATTATATGATTCAAAGCATTATTAGGGAAATTTGCAGTCAGCTGACTTTATAGGCAAAGAATGTCTATAAATTACATAGAAAGCAACTTCCTAGGATACTAAGTCAGTGAAAATGCTGGCAGAAAAATATTTTTCACTGGCACTTATTTTTGAAGTTCTTTTTAATGACCTCTGCATTCTCTACATTTCTTCTAAGCCCCAGCTTTGTGTTTGTCTTTATTAATTCAGCATGATTATTTCAACCATTCTTAGGCATCCACTTGTGGAGGACACTGTTCCAGATGCTGGGGACACAGCAGGAGTGTGGCCTCTGCCCTTACAGGGCTTCCAGTTGTAGCAGGAAAAGTAGACAGCAAAGAACAAGAGAGCTGAGCAAGGTAGCTCATGCCTGTAATCCCAGCACTCTGGGAGGCCAAGCAAGTGGATCACTTGACTTCAGGAGTTTGAGACCAGCCTGGCCAACATGGCAAAACCCCATCTCTACAAAAAAAAAAAAAAAAAAAAAAAAAATTAGCCGGTCGTGGAGGCACACACCTGTGGTCCCAGCTACTTGGGGGTGCTGAGGTGGGAGGATTGTTTGAGCCTAGGAGGCAGAGACTGCAGTGAGCAGAGATCACACCACTGCATTTCAGCCTGGGTGACACAGCAAGAAACTGTCTCAAAAAAAAAAAAAAAAAAAAGGAAGGAAGAAGAAAACCAGAGAGTGATGCTCAATGAAGCATTAGAGTAAGATCATGTACAAAAGAGGCACAGTGTGGCCATTTTGATTTATTATTAGGTAAGACATTGATGTTGAATCTCAGGTCTGCTCAGTTGACCAGAAGGAGGCAGCCACAGGAAGGCTGGGAAGAAGAGGGTTTATTGAACATACTGAAAATAACAGAGAATGATCTGCTCAGCCCTCCCTCTTGTGCCTGGTCTTAGTCCTACACTCCAGGCTATGTCAGAGCCTGCTATGGTCAGGGCTCTGGGAAGCCAGGAAAATGTCCTCATGATGTTTCTATTCCAGCAGGGGAAACACAGTAAATAAACCTGCACTCTACTGTCAGGAGTGAACAGGGCCATGACAGAAATCAACCAGGTTGCAGGGATGGAGAGTGACAGGCATAGGGCACTACTGCTGGTCAGAGATCAGGGAAGGTGTCTGGGGGGAGGTGGCATTTACACAGAATGAAGTGAATGGAATCAGGTCAGTCCTGTAAAGGAGCTGGGGAAATGGTGCTCCTGGCAAGGCATCAGTGAGTGCAAAGGCTGGGCAGCGGGAATGAGCTCGGTAGGTTTGACTGACCGCAAGATGGCCTGTGCAGTTGGGGCAGAGTGAGAGAAGCACCAAATGGGGCTGGAGAGGTAAAGCCTTCACAGCAGGAGTGTAGATTTTGTTCCAAGGCTGATGGACACATCTGAGGAGCTGCATGGTTTTATTTAGGGAATTAGAAGGCTATTGCCAGAGCCCTGGAGAGAAGGCACCAGGAGGGCCAGGATGGTGGGGTAGCAGTGGGAGGAAGAGAATGCACTGGGAATAGGTCTCAAAATAAAGCTATCAGGACTTGTGTGGGTATCCACACACAAGTATGTAACAAACCACCCTATCACTTGCTGGCTTAAAAGAACAACGAATGATCATTTCCCAGGTTTCTGTGGGTCAGGAATCTAGGCAGGGCCCAGCTGGTGGTTCTTCTTGCTTCACTCCCATGTCTGGCCCCTCCGTGCTCCTCCACATGACTTCTCTCTCTTCCACACACCTTCTCATCCACCGCATGTCTAGCCCAAGCTTCTTTACAGCCTACTGCCGAATTCTTGGAGTTTAGCAGCAGAAGCCTCTAGGCCTCCCAAGGCATAGGCCTAGACCTGGTACAGCATCACTTCGGCCACTACCTGTGGGTCAAAACAAGTCAAAGGCCAGTCCAGATTTAGGCCGGCACAGGAAATAGACTCTACCTCCTGGTGAGAGGAGCAGGCTTTGATACGGGTTAGGTGAGTGACGAGTAAAGGAAGGAGGGATCAAAGATGTACCCATCACTCAGATTTAACCAACATTCGTTATTTTGTCATTTTTGCTACAAAGAAAATATTTTAAGAAGTCAAACCTTACAGGTACAGCCAGAACGCCTTTGGATCTCTCCCTGATCACTGCTCTCCTTCAACTCCAGGGGTAGCCATTATTCTGAAGTTAGTCTGAACCCTTTATGGCTGTATGTGTGTGTGTGTCTGTAAATACATGGTATCATTTCTGCCTTGCCAGGTGGATTCCCCCTGGGCTACCATCTATTGCGCAGGGGTTGGCATGAACTCCACAATGTCATCCACTGAGATTAGGGAATAGGCTTTATTAAGAGAAAGAAAATCACAAAGCCTGAATCTGCAAGATGGCATGGCATGTGGCCCCCAGCCTCTCCTTTAACAAGAAGCTATGCCAGGGCATCTACTGGATAGGGCTGGATGGGGCTGGGTTCTACTCCAGCCAAGGGTCCAGCCTGGGTCTTCCCTCTCAGAGCCCAGCCTGTCAATAGCATGCTAGCTGTGGGTGCTGGCTGCTTCTATGGGGCAACTTGGGGTCTGTGGGATGTGCAGTCCTCTATGATGAGCCACTAGACCCATGGGAAACTGAGCTTGGGTGCTATCACTTCAGCTGGGAGAAGGAGGCATCTCAGCTGGCTCATTGTCCAGCTGTGGTAGGGATGGGGTAACCAGAGTCCTGTTTTGTCAATCCTGCTCCTTTCAGAACAGTTTCCATACTAAAAATGTTGGATTAAATATTTTCATACTATGCCAGTCTTTTTGCATCTTGCTTCTTCAACCAACATAAGTTTGATAATATAAGTATGTCCTATATTTTCCAAGAAGCAGAATACATCACTTTGCCTATAAAACCATACAGGCCTGGTGCTTTTTAATGGGTAGATGTCTCACTATTGATTCTCTGTCTTTAAAGGTTATAGGTTTATGTAAATGTTCTATTTCTTCTTGAGTTATTTTATGCAATACAATTTTTAGATAGTTATCCATTTAATCTAGATTTTCGAATATTTTAGCATGAAGTTGATAATGGTTCAGGATTTTAAAATATATTTTTAAACTATCTTATTCATTTTTAATAGATGAATCATATACTTACACACAATTTAAAAGAAGTACAAAAGGGAATACAATAAAAAGTACCCATTCCCGCCCCCTACCCAAACTTACTACCAATTGCCGTCTCTTCCAAAGAATCAGGGCTACTATTTAGTTCCCCTTTTTTATTGGCCTCAGAAACCACAGTTTTTAGGCCTGGACTCAAAATGGCACATTTTTCTCTTTTCATAAGTCTTTAGCTACGTGGAACTTTAAAATGTTATATTTTTGTCTTAGATTTCTTTTTTTAAAATGTTTATTTATTTATTTATTATTTTATTTTATTTATTTATTTTGAGGCGGAGTCTCACTCTGTCCCCCAGGCTGGAGTGCAGTGGCGCGATCTCAGCTCACTGCAAGCTCTGCCTCCCAGGTTGATGCCATTCTCCTGCCTCCACCTCCCAAGCAGCTGGGACTACAGGCGCCCGCCACCACGCCCGGCTAATTTTTTTGTATTTTTAGTAGAGACGGGGTTTCACCGTGTTAGCCAGGATGGTCTCGATCTCCTGACCTCGTGATCCGCCCGTCTCGGCCTCCCAAAGTGCTGGGATTACCGGCGTGAGCCACTGCGCCCAGCCTATTTATTTCTTTATTTATTTACTTACTTACTTAGAGACAGGGTCTCACTCTGTCACCCAAGCAGGAGTGCAGTGGCGACCTCTCGGCTCACTACAGCCTTGACAGCCTGGGCTTTAGCGATCCTCCTACCTCATCCTCCTAAGTAGCTGGGACTACAGGCGCACACCACCATGCTTGGCTAATTTTTGTATTTTTTTTTTTTTTGTAGAGATGGGGGTTCACCATGTTGCCCAGGTTGGTCTCGAACTCCTGAGCTCAAGCAATCCACTTGCCTCAGCCTCCCAAGGTGCTGGGATTACAGATGTGAGCCACCACACCCGGCCACTTTTTAAAATTTTTTATTACAGAAACTTTTGAACACAGTACACAAGTAGAGAGAATATTAAAATGCACCCCTTTGTACCCATTACCCAATTTCAGTAATTATCACACATGGGCAATCTTTTTTTTAACCCTCTTGTTTTTAGTTGACATGTAATAATTGTGCTTGTCTATGGGATACAGAGTGATACTTGGATACATGTATACAATGTGTAATGATCAAATAAGGATAATTAGCATATCTATCACCGCAAACATTTTTCATTTCTTGGTGTTGGGAACATGCAAAAGCCACTCTTCTAGCTTTTTGAAAACAGACCACAAACTATTGTTAACTCGATTCCCCCTCCAGTGCTCTGGTGCACTGGAACTTACTCCTCCCATGCAGGTAACCCACCTTCTGCCATCCTCCCTCCTTCCCCCACATGGCCAATCTGCATCCATGTAAACCCCCTTCTCTCTCTTTCCAGATGATTTAGAACCCAATTCCATACTTATAGCTTAAGAAGTCTAGAAAAGAAAAAACAAAATACATTTAACATACGTTTAAATGTATGTTTAAAAGTGTATGTTAATGTATGCCCACAATAGCATGCTGTTGACAGGCTAGGCTTCTGAGAGGGGAGACCCAGGCTGGACCCTTGGCTGGAGAGGGCCGGGTGTGGTGGCTCATGCCTGTAATCCTAGGACTTTAGGAGGCTGAGGTGGGTGGATCACCTGAGGTCAGGAGTTTGGGACCAACCTGACTAACATGGAGAAACCCCATCTCTACTAAAAATACAAAAAACTAGCGAGGCATGGTGGCGGGCACCTGTAATCCCAGCTACTCGGGAGACTGAGACAGGAGAATCGCTTGAACCCAGGAGATGGACGTTACAGTGAGCCCAGATCATGCCATTGCACTCCAGCCTGGGCAACAAGAGTGAAACTCCATCTCAAAATAAATAAAAAAGTCAAAATATCAAATATCTAGTCAGTGTTCAAATGTCCTGCATTGTCTCTGTTTTTATCACTGGTTTGTTTGGGGCAGGTTTGTTGAGTCAGTGCCCTTGCATGCTGGGACATGGGACAGTACAGTTCCTAAGTCTCTTAATTTCTATCTTTCTCCCTCAATTTCTTTTTCATTGCAGTTTCTTTTGTTGATAAAGCCATATTGTTTGTCCTTTGCAATTTTCCACAGTCTGGATTTTTGGCAATTGCATTTCTATGTGTGGCCTGACATGTTCCCACCTTCCCTATGTTTTTGTAGATCCAGAGGCCTGATTAGATTTAGTAAGATGTTTTGGCAAAAATGCCCAATAGATGGTGGGTTCTTCCTCCTGCATCACCTAGTCACAGAATGTCTAATTGTCTCTCTCTGATGTTTAGAGTTTTTTAATGATTTTCAGTGGTGTCAGCGCAATCACTCTTTATAAACGTCCTAATGGTTTTTCGACTTTTCACACAATGGTTTTATCAGTCATTGATGGTTGCTTAGATCAATTATTTAATTTGAGGTTGCAAAGTGGTGTTATTTTAAGTCTATCTTACCTTCTTCATTTATCAGCTGAAAGTGATCTCTAAAGAAGAAATTTCTTCCATTAACTCTGTGGTACCCTGAGTTACAGTTTGTACAGCAAAGTCGGGGTAAATAGTTGGGTTTTTTTCTCTTAGTTTTCTTATTCATTCTACTGAAAATAAGTCAATTCCCTAGCACCTTTTGAAGGCGGCCAATGAAGGTGGGGTTTTTTTTCCTTAGTATCATTATGAACTCATGAATTTTAATTTATTTGATTCTTGATGCTAACGCTGTTCCTCTTTTGCCAGTAGGCCCCCTGAGTAGGTTCCTCTATCTTTTGGCATGACCCCAGAAGTCTTTGATAACTTCCTTGCTTTCTGATGTGACAAGACATCCAGGGCCAGATTGTCCATATCCTGCCCCGGATGCACGATGCACTGTTTCTCCAAGAATCCCTGTGTCCTTTGCTGATGATGCCATGATTTTAAGTTCTCTAATATAGTTTTATCTCTTTGTTTCAGATAATGCTTTTGTGTTCTCACATGTCCTGCTCTCTCTCTCTCTCTCATTTTGTTGTTGATCAGTCTTTCCATAAGATTGTTTATTTCACTAGTCCTTCATTCTTCTTTTTTCTAAATTTACTCTTCTTGACTAGTATCCTGTCACTTCTGAGGACTCATATTTTTGCAACTTGAAAATTATTCTTATTTATTTAAGTATATGTTTCTGAAACTCTCATTAGACACATTTTGAAAAACTTCAAAAAATATCTTCAATGTCTCTCACTCTTTTATCTCTGCTCCCGGCCTCCTTGTCTTTTGGTGCTGCATCCTCCTCTTGGTCTTCCAGATTCCTGATTTGTCCTTCAACGGTGTCTCTGCTCTGCAGCTCACCCACTGTGCTTCACAGTGCAACTCTTCTCGTTTTAATTCCCAAGAGTTTTAGTTGATTCTTGTTTGTGGATGCTGCATCCTCCTGTTTCTCTCCAAGACATCAGTAATATTTATTCTGAATTCATTCTCGCTCTGCTAACATTAATTCTGTGTAGAGAGGGGCCCTGGAGGTGCTGGAAAGCTGGAGCCTGAGATTCTGCTTAGGGAAGCTCCCATGCTAACTCAGTCTTTTCCTCCAAGATAAGGATGAACAGTTGACAATACCAAGCTGTGTTGTGAATCAGGAAAGCCCAAAGCTGTCTTATCTCAGTGACTGTGTGATTTGTGTAGGTTTGCCCCGAACAGTAATGTGAGGATGCAGCAAGATGTGCAGGCCCTCTGACCTGGCTAGACCCTGCCTTGCAGAGACATTGTCACTGTCAGCTGCTCACTTCCTCCTGGGGACTCTGAGGCCCAAGGGGGACAGTGGTGAAATATGACACAGCTTCTCCCCTAGGTGATCAGACTGCTTCCAATGAGCCTGTGCCCTTGGCTACATAAAGAGGAAACATAAATATTTTCTGTGTGTGTGTGTCTGTGTGTGTCTCTTTGTATGTGTGTCTGTGTGTCTGCATATCTATGTGTGTGTCTGTGTGTCTTTGTGCATGTGTGTTTCTGTGTGTGTCTGTATGTGTCTGTGTGTGTGTCTGTGTGTGTCTGTCTGTGTGTGTGTCTGTGTCTCTGTGTGTGTCCGTGTGTGTGTCTGTGTGTGTCTATGTGTGTGTGTCTGTGTGTGTGTGTCTGTGTCTCTGTGTGTGTCTTTGTGTGTGTGTGTGTGTGCCTGTATGTGTGTGTCTGTGTCTCTGTGTGTGTCTGTGTGTGTCTCTGTGTGTGTGTGTGTCTGTGTGTGTGTGTGTGTCTGTGTGTGTCTATGTCTCTGTGTGTGTGTGTGTGTGTGTGTGTGTGTGTGTGTGTGTAAGGTGGGATGTCTCTTCCTGCTGATCGGTGGCCTGCCTGTGTGCTGGCTTGGTTAGAGGAGTTTCGTGCTTCTCTTTATGGCGCTGCTCTTCCTCAGATGCTTGCGGGTGCCTGGGTGGATGCTGACTGTTCTGCTCGGGATTCCCCGTAGCTGTCTGTGAACACAGCATTTGTCACAATAGCCTGCGAAGAGGAGGGCCAGGGGACTGTAGCAGGCTGCCTTGGGGACATCCAGAGCATGGCTTCCGGGTGGTGGGCTCCGTGTGCCTCCTGGGAGTTGCCCAGCACACTTTCTCTTTAGCCCACATCGAGTGTAGACCCATCAGTCCCAGGCTGCCTGGCACAAGCTGGAGAGGGGCCAGATCCACAGGAGTCTGCCCACTATGGCTCCCCACTCCTCCCAGTCGCCCTGCTGGTGACCTGGGGACCCTCTTGCTTCCCATGTCCCCCAGCAGCCTCGGAGCTCTCCCAAGCCTTCTCCACCTCACGCACAGTGGATTCCGGTCTTCTCAGGTCACTTCTTTTCCCATGCTAATAAGGCTTGTTGATATTTGTAATAATTTCTAAGGATTTGGAGCAGGAGGTGGTGGCTGCAGCCGGGCTCAGCCTACTGTCTTGATCTCATCTTCCAGCGTCTCCTGGGCATCTCCAAGGTGTGCACTTGCAGGAAATACTGAGTGAGAATGTCAAGAACCGGCTCTACAGTCGGAAGGAACCGGGTTCAAATCCTGATGCTTCCACAGCTAGTCCTATCTGTGACAGGGGCAGGGTTAGAATCTGTTTGCGGAATGGTTAGCACCATACTAAGTGCACATGCTAGGCAGACCCTCAAAAAAAATGGCCTGTTCTTTTTCTCTTTCTCTGTTGGGCAAATTATGTAGCCTCAACTGGACTCTATTTCTATTAGGGAAAATGATAATAATATTACAATGATTAAAAAGTAGGGTCCTTACAAAATGGTGAGTCCGATTTTATTTGGCTCTAAGCTAGAGAAGGCATGGCTCACAGTTATGGAAGACATGGATTTAAAATGTGGCCAGTCTTCATTTCCAAATGTGTGTACACGAAAGTGTGATGACCCTCAAATCTAATCATCAAAATTAAAGCTGTTTAATTAACATTTTAAATTAAAATGTTTCAATTAAAGTCCAAATCTTTCCTTGCCTTATCTTCAGAATGCTTTTTCTTTTCTTTTTTTTCCAAATTACAAAACCTGTATGTCTCACTGAAGAAAACTGGTACAGTGTGAAGTTCGACAATTCACGGAGTAAGCAAGGCTGACGATGGGTGCCCGGAGTCCCCCTCTGGTTCTGTTGGTAGCAGCCTTGGGTCCTCATGAGGCCTCTCTGCTCACAGTGGGCGGGTGGGGTGTGCACTCACCCGGAGACGGCCTCCATGTCCATGCTGAACAACTCCCAGGGTTCTCCATCCGCCAGTGCTTACTGATCAACCCGTAGTGCTGGCCATCCCTTTTCAACAAGTTTGGAAGGTGCTTTTTTCCCGGTTTTCACAGAGTAACTCAGAAGTGACTTAATAAAAATATGCACAAACTGTCTTGGTATGTTCCAAATTGGGATCTTATATAAAGACTCCTGGGCCTAAGGCAACAGTCTATGTAAAGTGAATTATTTCACTTTCTTAAAATAGGGACAAGATGGCCTGCCTTTCCTTCAAGTGTAATTTTAATCTTTCTGTTTTACTCCAAGGGGGTGTAACAGCTTGCTGAGTCATTGTTTTCTGCCTTTTTAATAAAAATTAATTCAGTGATTTAGAGTGGAAATTCTGCCCCCTCCCTTGGGCAAGTCACTGACTCTCTGGGGACCTCTTTCTTTATCTGTAAGCAGAGCTAATACTAGCATCTGATGGGGTTAAATGAATTAACCTAAGTGTTTCCTTTGAATATTTACTCACTGCCTTTACAAAATAATGTTTCTATTCTCACTTTCTCCCCCAAATTTCTACAAAACAACAAATTTCTATCTTTGTTGTTATTGCCATATGATTTCTAAAAATTTAAATAAACAAGCAGTAGCTTTAGGAAGTTACAAAGATAAACTATCAGAAACTTACTGAATTGGATCTTAGATAATGTCCCTTTTTACTTGGTTCTTTTTTTTTTTTTAAGCTAAAAATAAGTTTAGTTCCTCCTCAGTTCTTGGCATTTTTGTGATCATTTGTTTGCAAGTGATCGTATCTTTTTTTTTTTTTTGTCACTCAGGCAGGAGTGCGATGGTGTGATCTCGGCTCACTGCAACATCCGCCTCCTGGGTTCAAGCGATTCTCCTGCCTCAGCCTCCCAAGCAGCTGGGATTACAGGCGCCCACCAGTATGCCCAGCTAATTTTTGTATTTTTGGTAGAGACAGGGTTTCACCATGTTAGTCAGGCTGGTCTCGAACTCCTGACCTCAGGTGACCTGCCCACCTCGGCCTCCCAAAGTGCTGGGATTACAGGTGTGAGCCACCACACCCGGTCGTGATCCCTTATCTTAAATGTTCAGCCTCCAGCCATTCATAATGAATGCCTTGAACACAGGTCAGAGAAAAATCATGAAGCGGGGCTGTTAGTGAGGTTTGGGTGGGCATGGGGCCTCACAGTGGGGCCCAGACATTCTCAGAGTGTTTCAGTTGCTGAGGAATCATGGAGCTTCTTGCTTTAATATCAGGATATTGCTCATGAAAAAAAGGAGGAGACCTATTGTTGTTCAGCCAGAGCTTGTACTAAATGGAAGTAGTTTGCACCATACACAAGCAGGCTTCTCCATCCAGGAAAAAGATCTGTGACTGCAACAACCACAGCGCAGCATTGATCTAACTCAGCTATGCACCAAAAACCCAGCTGCAGAGCAGTGCAGCACCCAGGAAATGTTAACTCTCGCTGCAGACTGAGGATCTTCTCAGAGTTTGTATCTTAGGTCGAAGGGGTGGGGTAGGCAAGCTTTCACTTCTGTTCAGCATTATCTTTTACAAGGATGGGTTTGTGGCATTTGCTTTAACCTTTCGGAGGCTACACTGTAATCACTCACTGGGTTCACCTCAAATCCTCACATGATAGACACCAGCCTACAATTCTACCAGCTACGGAGGACTCCTGATCTTGGCTTTTTTGCTTCTATTTTGTGTGCTTGCTTTTGTGTTTGGAAGGCAGATGGCAGTCCTAGTATTGAGACAAATCAGCTGGAGTCAATTTCTGTTGTTTGAACTTGAGGGTATATATCTCAGCCTGGAAGACATGCAGAGGAAAAGGAAGAAAACATGACCTCATATTTGTTCCCTTGCCAATATGTTAAAACTTTAGTTGTTTGAAAATGTCATACGGTCTTATGGTTCAAAAATCATAAGTATCGATCTACAATCCTGAGATTCTTACATCCTTCCAGAATCTTTTTTATAAGTAAAGAAGCAAAACAAAGATAGAGTCTGATTTTTCCCCTCTTTTACACAAAATGTAGCTGATCGCAGATGCTGTTCTGTGCCTTGCCTGTTTCTTTCACACATTAAGGGTGTCATTGGCCTCCTTTTAGTCAACTGCATAGTGTTCTGTGACATGGATGCAACTCAGTTATACAGGCGGTCTCCTCTTCACGGGCATTTGGGCGATTCCTAACATGTGCTGTAACAAATAATGCCAGATGTCTGTTCCCATGTATAGAAGCTCATCTATACAACACATTCCCAAAGTGATGGGTCACGGGGCATATATGCTTCGAAAAATCTGACAGATGTTGCTAAGCAGCCCTTCAGGAGAGTTTTTCCTGTTTATGCCCCAATCCCTGAAAACATGTGTGCGTGTCTGTTTCCCAGTGGCTGACAAGTATTTATTACCAAATGTTTGCTTTTTCCTAATGTGATATGTGAAAAATGGTACCTCAGCCTAGTTAGAATATGCACTTCTCTTACGATGAGTGTGACCAAGCATGTTTTAGCATGCGTAAGAAGTAGCTATATTTACTTTTTTAAAAACTATCTCTGCAGAGCCTCTTTTTTTTTTTTTTTTTTTTTTTTTTTTTTTGACAGAGTCTTGCTCTGTCACTCAGGCTGGAGTGCAATGGCACAACCTCGGCTCACTGCAACCTCCGCCTCCTGGGTTCAAATGATTATCCTGCCTCAGCCTCCCGAGTAGCTGGGATCACAGGCGCCCACCAACACACTGGCTAATTTTTGTATTTTTAGAAAAGAAGGGGTTTCACCATGTTGGCCAGGCTGGTCTCAAACTCCTAATCTCAGGTGATCCACCTGCCTCGGCTTCCCAAAGTGCTGGGATTACAGGCATGAGCCACAGTGCCCAGCCTTCATATTCTTTATTAATCAATTTTTGAGGAACTCTGATTTTCCTTATCAATTTCTAGGCGCTGTTAGTGTCGGCACGGTATCTATTCGTTGTTAACCTATAATTAGATGCTCTATCAAGATCTATCTAAGAACACAGAAAACTGAAATGAAAACTTTGAATATTCAAAGAGGCTATAGAGGAAATACGCTGCTTTTTTCTCTTAATTATTAAATGAATATGTTAAATATAAAATACTTAGGGGAAATAGCGGTAAATATATCAGGCCTACCTAAGAACACCTTAAACTCTTGACATAAAGGATATTTGAGTAAGAAAAATAACATATCATCTTCTTGTGTAGGAGGACTTAATATTGTAAATATATCAATTCTCCACAAATTGATCCTATCATTTAATGCATTCTCAATTAGAATACAAACAGGATTTCTTTTTGGAACATGGAAAAAGTATAATAAATTTTACCTAGAGAAATAAACCTATGAGAATACAGGAAAGTTCAGGTGGGGAGGGGATGGGGTGAGAGGAGGGGAGGAGATTAGTTGCAGCGTATGCTAAAATTTATTCCAATGCCACCATAATGACTGGGGTTGGAGACTAGCGAGACAATGCACAGAGAAAGCAATGGAACAGTGTGGCAATCTGAAAATAGGCCAAAATGCACATTGATTTTGCCTTGCTAGTTAGAATTATAATTAGTCCAGGAAAGGTTTATTTGGGAATAGCATAGGGGTAACATATTGCTTTCTCACTCCCACTCCAACATCATTTTCAGATGGATCAAATCTATAGCATGGATGCAACTCAGCTATACAGGCAGTCTCCTCTTCACGGGCATTTGGGCGATTCCTAATATGTGCTGTAACAAATAACGCTAGATGTCTTAAGCATAAAAATCAACACCACTAAAAGTCTAGGAAAATGATGAAACTAAACAGTTTTGGAGTAAAGGATATTTTTCTAAGCACAGCACCAAACCTAGACATCATAAATTTAGGAGAACTTGAATGAATGTTGAACAACATACCAATTAGAACTATTCAGTAGCAAAGCCCTTCTTAAGTGCCAGTCAACGAATAGGTAGAAAACTATTTTCAACACAGATTCCAAAGAGCTCTTTTCCTTCATTTGCAAAGAGCATTAACAAAAAGAACATTCCAATTTTCTTTCTTTCTTTTTTCTTTTTCTTTTTTTTTGAGACGGAGTCCTGCTCTGTCACCAGGCTGGAGTGCAGTGTCACGATCTCAGCTCACTGCAACCTCCGCCTCCCAGCTTCAAGCGATTCCTCTGCCTCAGCTGGGATTACAGGCCCGCACCACCATAACTGGCTAATTTTTTTGTATTTTAGTAGAGGCGGGGTTTCACCATGTTGGCCAAGATGGTCTCCATCTCCTGACCTCGTGATCCGCCCGCCTCGGCCTCCCAAAGTGCTGGGATTACAGGTGTGAGCCACCATGCCCAGGCTCCAGTTTTCAAATCAAACAAAACACAGGATTAGGCAGTTTAATTTAGTTAATAGAAAAAAATAGAAACAATTGATAAACATAGAAAATACACTGTGCCCATTCCTATGGAAAGAAATGCAAATGAAAACCAATTATGAGATATCTTATTCTGTTTTACAGATTGGAAAAATCAGAAAGTTTGGTATTATTTAATGTAGTAAGACTATCGTTTTGTTCTACTTTATATATATTTTTTATTCTCAATATTTTAACTCAATATTGGAGTTAATAATTGAGGCTATCTTGAAAAGAACTTATTGAGCAGAAATTGGCAATATTTATTAAAATTAGGACTGAGTATATCCTCTGCTCCTTCCGCTGCTGGAGATTTTATAGTTGCTACGTGGGCAGAAACGCATATGCATTTCCCAGGATGTTTATGTCAGCATTGCAGAGACTAAGGAAAAACTGGAAATGCCCTAAATGTTCATCCATGAAGACAGGAAGCTATCATGAAGAAGAGTGTGCTAGATCTCCATGTGCCTATGCAGAAGAACTTTCAAGCAGGAAAAACAAGATGCAGAACATGATTATCGTATAATCCATTTGTTAAAAAAGTAGAGGAGGAGAAATGAATATTTATGTGAGATCCAGGGAAACGTGAGCTGCTCCATGACCTTTGTCTGCACAGTGATGTATTCAAAGGAAACTCCAGCCTGGAATCTTAAAATCAACAAGCAGCTGAAGTCTTTAAGACAGTTGCTTGACAAGGCATCCACGGGGAATTCCACTGAAAGCACACAGACACACTGCTGAACTCCTTTGCCCAGCTCTTCCCAAAAAGCTCACAAAATACAGTCTCTGTCATCAATCTTAAACCTCGTTCTCTCAAGAAAGCTCCCAGGTGCTACCCCCAAAGCCAGCTTGTCTTGTTATGCATGTAGGTTTCTGTTTCTGAGTCTGTCTTCCTCCACATCTGCCCTTTCCAATGCAGACACCTCAGCCCCTCGGCACCCCTTCCCTGCCTGCCCAGCACCAGGAAGGTGCACTTGGACTTCCTTAGGGTAAAGGAGGAGGCAGAGGCGGCCAGATGGGACACCTCCTCATGGGTTTCGTCCCCGCCGTTTGAATGTGACTTATGAATGCACGGAGGTCATGAAAGGGATGTAGTTTTGCTAAGTATTGGTAAATTCCCCTCCCTGTGGGTTGTACCATTTTGCATTCTCTCCACCAATTAAAGAGCATGTTTGTTTCCTCATATTAACCCTTTGTCTATACGTTGCAAATTTTTTTTTCTAAGTCGCCATTTGTCTTTTTACCTTGTTTCTGTGTTTTGAGATGTGGAGTTGGAGTTTTTATCCTTATATGTTTAAATGTTATGTTTGGCCATAAAACAAGCCTCCATAAATGTAAAAGAATGGAAATCATACAAAATATATTCGGTGACCACAATAGAAAGAAGTTAGAAATCAATAACAGAAAGAAATTTGGGAAATTCACAAATATGTAGAAATTAAACAACACACTATTAAAGAACGAATGTGTTAAAGAAGAAATCACAAAAAAACAGAATATACTTTGCGATGAATTAAAACAAAAACACATCACGCTAACACTTAAGGGATACAGCTAAAGCAGTGCTCAGAGTAAAATTTATAGCAGCAGCTACCTATATGTAAAAAAGAAGAAAGATCTCAAATCAATAACCTAAACTTCCACCTTAAGAAACTAGAAAAAGAATAGACTAAACCGAAAGCAAGTAGAAGGAAGGAAATAACAAAAATTAGAGCAGAAAAAAATAAAATAGAGAATATAAAAGCAGTAGGGAAAATCAGTGAAATCAAAAGTTAGTTCTTTGAAAAAACCAACGATTTTTGTTGACAAACCTTTAGTTAGAATGACCTTAAAAATAAAAAGGAGAAGGCTCAAATTACCAAGATCAGGAATGAAAGAGGAACATCGCTGGCAACCTTATAGAAATAAAAAAAGATTATAGGAAAATACTGTGAACAATTTGCACCAACAAATTCAATAACCTAGATGAAATAAAGTCCTAGAAAGACACAAACTATCCAAACTGACTCAAGAAGAAGTAGAAAATCTAATTACACTTAAAACAAGTAGAGAGACTGAATTAGTAATAAATAAATAAGTAATTCCCCACAAAGAAAAGCCAGGCCCAGATAGTTTCACTGGTGAATTCTACCAAACATTTAAAGAAGAGTTAACATCAACTTCACAAACTCTTCCAAACAATAAAATATGGAAGAATACTTCCCAATTCAGTCTATGAAACCAGTATTACCCTGAAGCCAAAACCAGAAAAAGATCTCACAGGAAAACTACAGACCACTACCTCTTTCAAATATAGATGCAAAATCTCAACAAGACACTAGCAAACCGAATTTAGTAACACATAAAAAGGATTATACGCCATGACCAAGTGGAATTTATCTTAGGATTCCAAGCTTGGTTTAACATCAATCAATATAATAATCCATATTAATAGAATAAAGGAGAAAAAATATATGATCATCTCAATAGACACAGAAAAGCATTTAACAAAATTCACTACCCTTTGATGAGAAACACTCAGTAAACTAGTAATAGAAGGAAACTTCCTCAATCTGATAAACTGCATCTGTTAACAAAAAAAAAACCCATAACTAACATCATACTTAATAGTGAAAGACTGACTGCTTTCTCCCTAACATCAGGAACAAAACAAGGATGTCCACTCTCACTACTTCTATTCAACATTACACTGGAGGTTCTTGCCAGGGCAAAGACAAGAAAAAGAAATGAAATCCAAATTGGAGAGGTAAAACTATATTTTCCGGTGACATCATACTGTACGTAGAATATTCTAAACAACACACAAAAGACAATTAGAACTAATAGTTCAGCAAATTTGCAGGATGCAAGATCAAAATGTAAAAATCAATTGTGGTTGTATGAATTATCACTTAACAATCTGAAAATTTAATTAAGAAAACACATTTACAATAGTATCCAAAAGAATAAAAAATTTGGGAATAAATGTAACAAAAGAAGCGTAAGATTTATACACCAAAAACTGCAAAACATTGTGGAAAGAAGTTAAAAAGAACCTGAATAAATGAAAAAACATTCTGTATTCATGGATTGGAAGACTTAATAATGGTAAGATGGCAATACTCCCCAAATTGACTTATGCATTCAATGCAGTCTCTTTAAAATCCTAGCTGAAATTCTTACAAAAATGGCAAGATGATTCTAATATTCAAATAAAATACAAGAGAATGGCTAAACCTATAAAACTCTTAAAAGAAAACAGGATTAAATCTTTATGACCTTGGATTAGGCAATAGTTTCTCAGATACTACACCAAAAACACAAGCGACAAAAGGAAAAATAGGTAGTAAGTTGGACTTCATCAGTTAAAAATTTTTGTTCTTCAATAGACATAATCAAGAAAGTGAAAAGAACCTGTGAAATGGGAGAAAATATTTCCAAATTATTTATCTTTAAAGGACTTGTATCTGATTATATAAAGAACTCTCACAATTCAGCAACAAAAAAACAACCCAATTTAAAAAAGAGCAGGCCGGGCGCGGTGGCTCGCGCCTGTCATCCCAGCACTTTGGGAGGCCAAGGCGGGCAGATCACGAGGTCAGGAGATCGAGACCATCCTGGCTAACACGGTGAAACGCCATCTCTACTAAAAATACAAAAAATTAGCCGGGCGTGGTGGCGGGCGCCTGTAGTCCCAGCTATTTGGGAGGCTGAGGCAGGAGAATGGCGTGAACCCGGGAGGCGGAGCTTGCAGGGAGCAGAGGTTGCGCCACCGCACTCCAGCCTGGGCTACAGAGTGAGACTCCGTCTCAGAAAAAAAGAGCAAAGGGTCTAAACAGACTAAATAGACATTTATCCAAAGAAGATGTGAAAATGGCCAATCAGCACATGAAAAGATGCTCAACATCATTAATCATTATGGAAATGCGAAGCAAAACCACCATGAGATACCACTTCACACCCAACAGAAAGGACAACAGAAAGACAGATGGAAAATGGCAAGCGGTAGTCAGGATATGGAGAAATTGGAGCGTTCATTCATTGAAGGTGGGACTGGAACATGCTGCAGGCAGTTTGGAAAATGGTTTGGCAGTTTCTCAACATTTTGAACATGCAATTACCATATGACCCAGCAATTCCACTCCTGAGTATATACACAAGAGAACTGAGGGCAGATATTCACAGAAAAACTTGCACATAAGTGATCACGGTAGCATTATTCCTAATAACCAAAAAGTGGAAAAACCCAAGCTCCCATCAGCTGATGAATAAATAAACAAATGTGGTCTATTCATACAGTGGAATATTACGCAGCAATAGCAAGGAAATAATAGCATTACTAGCAAGTATGAATTAATACTTAATAATTAAATAATAAGGCCGGGCATAGTGGCTCACACCTGTAATCCCAGCACTTTGGGAGGCCGAGACAGGTGGATCATCTCAGGTCAGGAGTTTGAGACCAGCCTGGCCAACATGGTGAAATCCTGTTTCTACTAAAAATACAAATATTAGCCAGGCATGGTGGCATGCGTCTGTAATCCCAGCTACTTAGGAGGCTGAGGCAGGAGAATGGCTTGAACGCGGGAGGCAGAGGTTGCAAGTGAGCTGAGATCGCACCATTGCACTCCCACTTGGGCAACAAGAGCGAAACTCCATCTCAGAAAAAAAAAAATAATAATAATAATAATAATAAAATAATAGTATTATTAAGAGTAAGTACTAATATATGCTACAACATGAATAAGTCTTGAAAACATGCTGAGTGAAAGAACTAAGTCACAAAAACCATATTGTATTATTCCACGTATATGACATGTTCAGAAGAGGCAAACTGTAGAGATAGAAAGTAGATTAGTGGTTGGCAGGGACCTGGAGGAGGAAGTGGGAACTGACTGGTATAAGCGTATATTTGCAGGGTGGTACAAATGTTTTAAAATTAGAAAGCGGTGATAGTTACACAACTCTGTGAATATATTCAAACCCACTGAATTGTACACTTTTAAATGGTGAATTTTATGATACGTGAATTATCTCTCAATAAAGCTGTGATCTTTTAAATGTGACCGATGTATCCATCTTTTATTACTTCTGGGTTGTGAGCCACAGTTAAAGGGGTTATACACTCCCAGGCTAAAAAGGAATTTGCCTGTGTTTTCTTCTAATGCCTACATCGTTTTATTTTTTTACATTATATCTCTAATTCATTTGGAATTATCTTGGTGTTTCACGGGAGTAACGGATCTGATCATATATTTTTCCATGTGGCTATCCAGTTGGACAAACACCATTGATTAGCCCACTCTTCTTTGTGGGGCCCTTCTCACAGGACCTGACTCCTGCCCTGGCCCACTCTTTCCTCTGATGGAGACAGCATTCAATCCCAGCATACCTTTCCCTGGAAATGGTATCAAATGCTTGTCAGGCTTTCAGGTACATCCACGTTTTATCACAGTAATCATTCCCATCAGTGATTTTTATGGTGATTAACCAGACAATTAACTCGGCTGCCTCCAGGTTTTAAGTCTGCGTCATAAAGCTTACATCTTACTTGGGAATATTACTGGGCATTCCTTATGCTTTAAGCAAGATCTTTTAACAGAATCTATTGACCAAAATTAACTCTAGGGCCACTCATTTGAATGTTGGCTAATCTCATTAAGCAGCATTTTTATTCACTTACTTTACAGTTTTATTGAGGTATAATTGCCAAATAAAAATTATATATTTCATGTATATAATGTGATTATTTGATATACATAAATGTTGCAAAATGATGAGCATAATCAAGTTAATGAACACATCTACCATTTCACATAATTACCTTTGTGTGCCCGTGTGTATTAACAACACTTAAGATCTACTCTTTTAGTAAATTTCAAGTATACAATTCAGTATTATTAACTATATACTCAACAGGCTGTACATTAGATCCCCGAACTTACTCATCTTATAACTAAAAGTTTGTACCCTTCAACCAACACCTCCCTATTTCTCCCATGCCCCAGCTCTTGGCAACCACCATTCACTCTCGGCTTCTTTAATTTGGACTTTTTAAGATTCCACATATAAGTGAGATCATAGAGTATTTGTCTTCTGTGTCTGGCCTATTTCACTTAGCATAATGTTCTCCAGGTTCACCCATGTTGCAAATGACAGAATTTACTTCCTTTTAAAGGTTGTATAGTATTCCATTGTGTGTGTGTATGTGTGTGTCTATATATATATATATATATATATATACACACATATGTATATGTATATAAGCCATATTTTCTCTCTCCATCTGTCAAAGGACACAGGTTGTTTCCATATCTTGGCTCTTGTGAATAATGCTACATACCGTTAATATGGGGTTACAGATATCTCTTCGAGATACTGATTTCCTTTCCTTTGGGTAAATACCCAGCAGTGGGATTTCTGAATCATAGGGTAGTTCTATTTTTAATTTTTTGAGGAGCCTTCATACTTTTTCCCATAATGGCTGCTACCTTACATTCCCAGCAACACTGTATGAGTGTTCCCTTCTCCTTGTCAACATGTGTTATCCTTGTCTTTTTTATAATAATCACCCTAACAGGTGTGAGGTAATAACACATAGGTTTTTTTGTTTGTTTGTTTGTTTTGTTGTTGTTGTTGTTTGAGACACAGTCTCACTGTGTCCCCCAGGCTGGAGGGCAGTGGCACAATCTCGGCTCACTGCAACCTCTGTCTCCCAGGTTCAAGCAATTCTTCTGCCTCAGCCTCACCAGTACCTGGGTCTACAGGCACACACCACCACGCCTGGCTAATTTTTGTATTTTTAGTAGAAATGAGGTTTCATCATATTGGCCAGGCTGGTCTCGAACTCCTGACCTCGTGATCTGCCCGCCTCGGCCTCCCAAAGTGCTGGGATTACAGGTGTGAGTCACCGTGCCCGGCCTAACTCATGTTTTTAATTTCCATTTCCCTGATGATTAGACGTGCCGACAACCTTTTCCTATACCTTTGGTCATTTGTATGTCTTCTTCGGAAAATTTTTATTCAGGTCCTTTGCCCATTTTAAAAATCAAGTTATTTAGCTTTTTTTGCTATTAAATCATATGGGTTCTTTACACATTTTGAATATTAACCCCTTATCAGATATATGGTTTGCAATATTTTCTCTCATTCCATAGGTTGCCTTTTCATTTTGTTGATTGTTTCCTTTGCTGTGGTTTTTAGTTTGATGTAATCCCATTTGTTTATTTGTGCTTTGGTTGCCTGTACTTTCAGTGTCATATAGGAAAGATCATTGCCAAGAATAATGTCAAGGAGATTTTTTCCTATGTTTTCTCCTAGGAGTTTTACTGTTTCATATGTTTTAAGTCTTTAATTTATTTCTAGTTAATTTCTGTGCATGGCATAAGATATGGGTCCAATTTCATTGTCTTGCATGTAGATGTCCAGTTTTTTTCGACACTATTTATTGAAAAGGCCATTCTTCTCCATTGTGCATTTTAGGCACCTTTCTCAAAGATTAGTTATTTGTATATGCATACATTTATTTCTGGACTCTCCATTCTGTTTCACTGGCCTATGTGTCTATTTTAACACATAGACCAATGCATACAATTAGAACCATACTGTTTTGCTTATAATTTGTAACACAGTTTTAAATCAGGAAGTGTGATGCTTCTAGCTATGTTCTTTCTCAAGATTGCTTTGGCTAATTGGGGGTCGTCTGTGGTTCCATACAAATTTTAGGATTTTTTTTTCTATTTTTGTGAAAAATGCCATTGGAATTTTGACAGGAATTGCATTGAGTCTGTGGATCACTTTGAGTAGTATGGACATTTTAACAGTATTAATGCTTCCAATCCATGGAGACAGGATATCTTTCCATTTATTTGTGTCTTTTTCAATTTCTTTCATCAATGTCTTATAGTTTTTAGTGTATAGATCTTTCTGCTTCTTGGTTAAATTTACTCCTAAGTATTTTCTGTAGCTATTGTAAAAGGGATTGTTTTCTTAATTTCTTTTTCTAAAAGCTTATTGTTGGTGTATAGAACTGCAAATGATTTTTTGTATGTTGATTTTGTGTCCTGCAACTTTACTGAATTTATTTATTAGTTCTAGGAGTTTTCTGGTGGAGTCTTTAGGTTTTCTGCATATAAGATCATGTCATCTGCAAACAGAGACCAATTGACTTCTTCTTTTCTTATTTGGATGTCTTTTATTTCTTTTTCTTACCTAATTTCTCTGGCTAGGACTTCTAGTAGAAGTGGCAAGAGTGGGCATACTTGTCTTGTTCCTGATCTTGGAGAAAATGCTTTCAGCTTTTCACCATTAAGTATGATCATAGCTGTAGGCTTGTTTTATATGGCCTTTATGATATTAAAGTACATTCCTGCTATAACCAACTTGTTGAGAATTTTTATTTTGAAAGGATGTTGAATTTTTACTAATGTTTTTTTCTGCATTTATTGAGTTCATTATATGATTTTTATCCTTTATTCTGTTAATGTGGTGTATCGTGTCTGTTGATTTGCATATGCTGAACCATCCTTGCTTCCCAGGCTTAAACTGAACTTCATAATGGTGTATGATTTTTTTAATGTGCTGTTGAAATGAGTTTGCCTGTATCCTCTTGAGGATTTTTGCACCTAAGTTCAGCAGGGATATTGGTCTGTAATTTTCTTTTCTTATGGTGTTTTTATCTGGCTGTGGTAGGAGGTATTGCTAATCTTGTAAAACAAGTTCGAAAGTCTTTATTGTCTTCAATATTTGGAAGAGTTTAGGAAGGACTGGCATTCACTCTTCTTTAAACGTTTGGTAGAATTCACCTGTGAAGCCATCTATCTGATTCTGGGCTTTTTATTGTTAGGAGGTTTTTGATTACTTCCTCAGTCTCTTTACTCATTATTGGCCTGTTCAGATTTTCTATTTCTGTATGACTTATTTTTGATAGGTAGTATGTTTCTAAGAATTTATCCATTTCTTCCAGGTTATCTAATTTGTTTGTGTATAATTGTTATAGTAGTCTCATAATACTTTGTACTTCTATTATACCAATTGTAATGCCCCCTATTTCATTTATAATTGTATTTATTTGAGTTCTCTTTCTTTTTTTTCTTAGTCTAGCTAACGATTTGTCAATTAAAAAAAAAAACTCTTACTTTCGCTTTTCTTTCCTTTTTTTTTTCTTTTTTTTTTTTTTTTTTGAGACAGAATCTCACTCTGTCACCCCCAGGCTGGAGGGCTGGAGTGCAGTGGCACGATCTTGGCTCACTGCAGCCTCCACCTCCCGGGTTCAAGCAACTCTCTGCCTCAGCCTCCTGAGTAGCTGGGATTACAGGCGCCCACAACCACGCCTGGCTAATTTTTGTGTTTTTAGTAGAGACAGGGTTTCACCATCTTGACCAGGCTGGTCTTGAACTCCTGACCCCATGATCTGCACTCCTTGGCCTCCCAAAGTGCTGGGATTGCAGGCGTGAGCCACCATGACCAGCCTGATCTTTTCTATTATCTATTTAGTCTCTATTTCGTTTATTTCTGCTCTAATACTTATTTTCTTTCTTCTAACTTTGGGCTCAGTTTGCTCTTTTTCTAGTTCCTTAAAGTGTAAAGTTAGTTTGTCTAATTAAGATATTTCTTTTTGCTTAATGTAGGCATTTCTGGCTGTCAACTTTCATCTTAGAACTGCTTTTGCTGTATCCCGTAAGTTTTGGTATGTTGTGTTTCCTTTTCGACTTGTCTGAAGATACTTTCTGATTTCCTTTTTGATTTCTTCTATGACCCATTGGTTGTTCAGGAGTATGTGGTTTAATTTCCACATATATGTGGATTTTTCCATTTTCTTCTTGTTATTGACTTCTAGTTTTACACCATTATGATAAGAAAAGAAACTTGATAATATTTCCATCATCTTAAATATGTTAAGACTTGTTTTATGGCCCAACATATGACATTTCTTGGGGAATGTCCCACGTGTGCTTGAGAAAAAATTATATTCTCTCGCTGTTGAAGGCATTGTTCTGCATATGTCTGTTAGGTCTATTTGGTCTATAGTATTATTCAAATTCACTGTTTTCTTATTAATTTTCTGTCTGGATGATCTATCTATTATTGAAAGTAGGGTATTGAAGTCCCCTACTATTATTATATTGCTATATATTTCTCCCTTCAGTTCTGTTAATATTTGCTTTACTTATTTATGTGCTCCAATGTTAGGTACATACATATTTAAAATTAGTACACTCTTTTAATGAATTGACCCCTTTATCATTATATAGTGACCTTCTTTGTCACTTCTGACAGATTTTGACTGAAAGTCTATTCAGTCTGGTATAAGTATCGCCATTCTTTAGCTCTTTTGGTTTCATTTGCATGAAATATCTTTTGTCATTCCTTCACTTTCCATCTATGTGTATGTTTAAAGCAAAAGTGGATCTCTTATAGGTAGCATATTGCTGGTTCTTGGATTTTTTAATCTATTCAGCTACTGTGTGTCTTTTGATTGGAAAAGTCAATCCATTTATATTTAAAGTAGTTACTGACAAGTAAGGACATACTTTTGCCAATTTTTTAATTATTTTCGGATTGTTCTGTAGTTGGCTGTTGTTGTTGTTGCTGAGACGGAGTCTCACTCTGTCACCCTGGCTGGAGTGCAGTGGCGTGATCTCTGCTCACTGCAACCTCCGCCTCCCAGGTTCAAGTGATTCTCCTGCCTCAGCCTCCTGAGTAGCTGGGATTACAGGCAGCCACCACCACACCCAACTAATTTTTGTGTGACAGGGTTTCACCATGTTGGCCAGGCTGGTCTCAAACTCCTGACCGCAAGTGATCTGCCCGCCTTAGCCTCCCAAAGTTCTGGGATTACAGGCATGAACCCCCACACCCAGCCTGTTCTGTAGTTCTTTTGTTCTTTTCTTTCTC
The DNA here is from genome assembly GCF_000001405.40 of Homo sapiens. Lineage (NCBI taxonomy): Eukaryota > Metazoa > Chordata > Mammalia > Primates > Hominidae > Homo > Homo sapiens. Next base: position 100,958,188 of record NC_000015.10, read on the forward strand.
TCTTTGTATCTTCCTTTTTAATTTGTTGTTTTTCTGTAGTAGGTTAAGCAGCATTTTTAAATAAGGGAACTATCAGAGTAAACAATTGGGGCCCTTCATTTTGGCACAAACATGTATACTGAATATTTATTGAGCTTCAGCTGTATGCTGGGCAGCATGCAGGAATATGGCTGTTTCCACTGGTATATACTGTCCTGTCTGGAGTTGATGTTTGGGTGTTTTGGATACGTCTGTACCTCTGCTCCCCAGCAAGCCCAGCAAGGGTGCTAAAGCAAGGCTTTTGTCTTCCACTTCTTGGCCTCACTAACATTTGACCCATAGCTAAGTAAATAAGATTCCAATACCCACTGACTTATTCATTTGAATAGGCATGATTCATCCCAGATGGCTAAGGAATAAGATAGAAACCCCAGACTTCACAGTTTTCAGAGAGGGGCCAAATTTCTAACTTAACTTCAAATAACAATAATAGTAGCTAGCATTTATCTAGAGCCTCTCGGGGTCAGGCAGTGTTCTAAGCACTTCTCGTGCTTCCATCCACTTGACCCTCACAATAACCCCTCTGAAGTAGGTGCCACCATCCGAAGTGGAGAGGACGGAAATGTGCAGGGCCTGGAGGTGGGCCCAGGAAGCAGCGCGGGGTCAGCATGGTGGTCACACTTCTCCGTTTCTCTCCCGGGCTCTCTGTGCTCTGGGACTTCCTTCCCTGCCAACGTTTTGCAGTCATGTATTTCTGGGCAGTGTGTATGACTAAGGTCTCAGATACTTTTATGACTTGGAAAGCCCCCACATATTATCTTGAAAGAGTTTACATTTTGACCTGATATGAACCCTACCACTGTTGTGCTGAAGTGACCAGACCTTAGGGAAGGGTTGGAGGGGGATGTGTGGCTGAGTGGCCAAAAGAAAATCATTCTTGGAAAGGAAAATTTAGAAGTGCCTGAAGGCATCATTCTCCTCCTCTTTTGCTGGGAGAATTCTGTACCCCTGTGGCCGTAACTGTAGATGGGCAAAATTATAGACGACCCCCTTACTAATATGCAGAGAGCTCTGGACGGTCAACAAATTGAAGTGGAGAGGCTTTCAGTGATACAGTCTAGATAGGCACCCACGGCAGTGAGTAAGCAGAACCCAGCCTGCGGGCAGCCCTGGGCAGAGCAGGAGGCTGGCAGACCTACTCTGCAGGGGACAGTCCAGGACCCAGGTCAGACCACGTGCAGGCGGAGAAAGGAGAGGCAGCCCGCTGGGAAATTCTGCAAGTCCTTTCTGGGGTGCACCCCTGCGCTAGGCTAGAAGGAGGAGAATTTCGAGAAGCATGGAAAGCGTAAGGGCTCCTTCCAGATAAGGCAGACACAGGAACAAAAGCTAAGGGAAGCTTGGTCCATAGAGGAAATGAGAGTGCAGTCTGGCAGCCTCACAGGCACCTGGAGTAGGGAGGAAGGGGCCAGGCCTCCTGGAAATCACCCCCATTTGTGTGCTCACCGCTTCTCTTTGTGTATGTATTTTTTTATTCATATGCATTGTGCAATATCTTTTATATGTGCCATTTTCTTTTACAAGAAGATGATAATATTCAGACATCTTAAATACTTGCCAAACACCATGCTATGTCAAATAGCACAGCTGGGGCTTGAAACCAAGTCTTCCAATGTACAGAGTTCAGTTCTTCCTGTAACTGCGGGTTTTCACACAGTTCTCAGTAGATGGCATGATTGGAAAACTCTCGGTGCCTCATCCTAAATGTTCCTTTCAGATTGAGACATTTTCTTCCTTTCCTTGCACTCATTTTTGTTGGGAGGAAGTTAAATCCAGTTAGCAAATGTACTTTGTCAACCTGAAAAGCATTTTTTTTAATATAACAATGTTGTTATAGTAGTAATAGAGAAATAACTGGAAAATAGAGAAAAGGGTCTCGAGAAGTTCACCTTGAATTCCGCCACGTAAGAAAAACCAGAGTTATCGTTTTGGGGGCTTCCTCCTTGACAGTTTTCCTGTTTGTGTAGTTCCAGGGTCTGTGCATTATAATTGTCAAAATCACCGTTCTTTGCTCTACTGAACAGTGCTGCAATCAGCATCTACGTTCATATTGCTTTTTTTTTTTTTTTTGCATAGTGCTTTTTAAATGTGTAGAACTATTCTTTTGGAATCAGTTTCCCAGAAGCAACGTGGCAATGTCAAAGGGTGTCCTAATCCTCCAGTATTTATAATCACAATCATCTTCCCCAAAATCGGAGTAGGACTGACTGTGTGTGTGTGTTTATCTTCGAATTGTACCATTTTCTATAGTATTACTGAGTATTAAATAAATGAACTGTCCTATTTATGTGATTTTTAATTTTCCAAAAAGATGGTTCTCCTTTTTTTACCAGGTCAGTTTTTGTCTGTTGGCTCTCCCAAGTCCCTCAAGCATCCCCTTTTGGGTAAAGGGCATGGTTTCTGTTGTGGGTGTTTGAAAGTAAACTCTGGAAATACTGTAGCAGCGCACTTGAGCTCTTTCTGTGTGTCTCAGCAAGCTGTGTCCCCAGGGTCCAGCTCAGCACATAGGAGGTACTAAATATTTGTAGAACGAATGAGCAATAAATAAATGAATTTTTGGAAGAGGAACAAAATCTAGGAAAGAATTCATCTTCATAGCTTTGTATTTCTGTGTTTCTCTTCTTCTACAGCAGAAAATTAATGGAGGGATTGGTTTCCATTTCCTCTCCGTTTTTTCCATCTAATGAGACAGGGTCATCTCATGTTTTCGTTCCCACATTTCTGCCATGCATGTTAGGTGCTGAATAAGAGTCTCATGTTTGGCTGTTGTCTTAGTTCGTTTTCTGTTGCTATAACTGGATGCCAGAGACTGGGTAATTTATAAAGAAAATGAATTTGTTTCTTACAGTTCTGAAAGCTGGGAGGTCTATGGCTGAGGGGCTGCATCTGGTCAGGGCTTCTTGCTGGTGGGGACTGGCTGCAGAGTCCTGAGGTGGTGCCGGGCATCACATGGCAAAGGGCCTGAGTGTGCTGGCTCAGGTCTCTTTTCCTATTCTTATAAAGCCACCAGTCTTATTACAGGGTCCCCACCATAGTGACCTTATCCAATCTTGATTATGTCCCAAAGGCTGCAACTCCTAATACCATTACAATGGGGATTAAGTTTCAACATGAATTTTGGAGGGGACATTAAAACCATAGCAGTTGGTGGCTGGGCGCGGTGGCTCACGCCTGTAATCCCAGCACTTTGGGAGGCCAAGGCGGGCAGATCACGAGGTCAAGCGATCAAGACCATACTGGCCAACATGGTGAAACCCTGTCTCTACTAAAAATACAAAAATTAGCCGGGCATGGTGGTGCGTGCCTGTAATCCCAGCTACTCGGGAGGCTGAGGCAGGAGAATCACTTGAATCTGGGAGGCAGAGGTTGCAGTTAGCCGAGATCGCGCCACCGCACTCCAGCCTAGCAACAGAGTGAGACTCCGTCAAAAAAAAAAAAAAAAACCATAGCAGTTGGGAACACACAACCTAGGAAGCAGAGGATGAGCTTTGATGGCAGGTGCTGGGGGTCCAAATCTCAGCTCTGTTGTTGGGAGCTGGGTGGGGGAAGTTTCTCTAACCACTCAGGGCACTGGTCACCTTGTGGTGAGTGATGATGAGAAGCCTAGCCTTGTATGGGTGTTGGGAGGAAGTCAAATGCACGCAGGACACTTTCTACAGCATCCGGCAGGACTCAATAAATGGCACCAATGACCAATACATGAAACATTATTATAAACCATTTTATTTTATCTTTCAAAATCTGGGACACCTGTGCCAATTTTTGTTCCATGAGACTTCCTTGCTCTCCATCCTTTTTTCTAGAGCAACTGAGTCAAGATTCGGTAGATTGAGAGCAAACAGTTGCTTCAATATAGATAATACCACTGAAGAACTGGTTCACTAAGCCAGGGTGAAACACAGTTAACATTTTGCTGGACATACTTCATCTTTTAATTTTTTTTTCTTAATTTCAGCAGCAATACAAGTTACTGCAAAAAATATATTGAAAAACACAGAAAAATAGAAATATTTTTAAAACTCCAGGCTGGGCATGGTGGCTTATGTCTGTAATCCCAGCACTTTGGGAGGCCAAGGCGGGTGGATCACTTGAGGTCAGGAGTTCGAGACCAGCCTGGCCAATGTGGCGAAACCCTGTCTCCATTAAAAATACAAAAATCGGCTGGGCGTGGTGGCAAACACCTGTAATCCCAGTTACTCGGGAGACTGAAGCATAATAATTTCTTGAACCTGGGAGGCAGAGGTTGTAGTGAGCTGAGATCACAGCACTGCACTCCAGCCTGGGTGACAGAGTGAGACCTTGTCTTAAATAAATAAATAAATAAAATTTTAAAACTCCAGTCATTTCATCTGCTGAAGGGGACGGCTACTGTAATTTTTGTGTGTCCTTTAGATTTTCTTTCTAAACAGAGACAGGGAGAGGGAGGAGAAAAGAGTGTCAGGTTCAGGTTTTACAAACAAAAATAATAGACTGTATGTATTATCTATATTCATAGACTCATTAGGGACCTTTTCTCAAAGGATTTTAATCACAAATAATCAGAGAACCTAGAATAAATTATTTCATTTTGCATATATATATATATATATATATATATATATTTTTTTTTTTTTTTTTGAGATGGAGTTTCACTCTTATTGCCCAGGCTGGGGTGCAATGGCGCAATCTCGGCTCACCACAACCTCTACCTCCCGAGTTCAAGCAATTCTCCTGCCTCAGCCTCCTGAGTAACTGCGATTACAGGCATGCACCACCATGCCTGGCTAATTTTGTATTTTTAGTAGAGATGGGGTTTCGCCATGTTAGCCAGGCTGGTCTTGAACTCCCGACCTCAGGTAATCTGCCGGCCTCGGCCTCCCAAAGTGCTGGGATTACAGGCATGAGCCACCACGCCCAGCCCATTTTGCGTACTTTTAAATGGTGTCCATCTGTGTTCTGTGTTTTTCCTGTGGTTTGTCACGGCCTCTGTCCTATGTTCTACTTTTAGCTTGATAGCTGGTAAGCATTTTTTCACCCTTCTCCTTAGTCTTCATTGTCATAGGTTCTGATGGCCGCATCCGAGCCCCTTATTCTGAAGCACCAGCAGGTATTAACTTAGAAAGCCGAGTAGCAGCGACTCTGTGGGCCCCAGCGTCAGGATGCTTCCCCTCCGGCTGCTCGTTGCCAGCGCTGTTGTTCTGTGAACCTGTGTCACTGTCTTGGCCTTGTTCCTCTGTAAAATGGCAGCAGAGTCACCTCCTTCCTAGCGCTGCTGTAGACGTTAAGTGACGTGAGTCCAGTCCCCAGGCCTGTGCTGGCCCTTGGGCACCACCCTGCTCTACACCACTCCCTAATCCTTGGCCTGGGCCGCTTGTCTGCAGAGTTGCTCTTACCTCGGCTGTGGCAGGGACCTCTGCAGAAGTCCTGGCTCGGGAGTAGTCTTTTAGTGTGCACCGTGTCATTTCTGTAGGGAAATGCCTAGAAGAGAAAACCGTGGGAGAACAGGCCGACTTCCCGCTTTTGTTATGTAGTACTGCCCTCCCGCTTTCTGAAATGACCATCCGGTTGGCAAGGCCTCCCACGATGGCCAATGGACCAGAGGATGCACCCATTTCCCCACACTCATGACAGCAAGGAATGTTATAAGCCTTTCAATGTTTTACTGTGTCAGGTGGACATAACATAGCATCTTGTGATTAATTATATTTTTATTACTAAAGCAAATAGCACTTTTCCATGCAATTTTCCCCCAGGAGACCAACCTGTCTATATGTATAACCATCCATCTCCCTCTTATTAACAAAAATTCCTAGTGATTTGGTGAGTATATCCACAAAATGGTAATCTATGCCGTGAAGCATTTCTGCAGTGAGAAATGCTAGCCTCTGGGCCAGAACTGTTAGTGAGAGCCCGCAGAGCCCGGCCCTGGCTTTTGCTTTCCTGTCTGATGCGGGTGGAGGGCCTGGGTGATGGGTGCAATGGCCCTGAGCACCCACCATCTGGAGAGGAATTATCACCGCAGATCACCCCGGGGCTGGGTGACCCTCCCTCCTCTGCACACCCCCAACCTCCACATCTTTCCCAAAGACGTCAAGGGTTGGATTTCACCGTAATATGACCCAGAGATGTAAACGGCTGCTGATGCTGAAACGCTAGAGTGATATCTGGTGAAAAAAGAAGCATCCTTCCAGTGGAAGGCTGGCAAAGCTAGGGCAACAGAGGGCGAGCCCCCAAAGTGCCAGGAGGGTGTCACCTCCCGGGAAGGCCAGCCCCGTTTCCCTGGTGCTTTGGCCACATGGGGACTCAGTGGCACAGGAAGGTCGTTAAACAACTATGACCAGGTCAGTAGCATCCTGAAGTTTACTTTTGTTTGTTCTGCAATGAGCTGTGGGCTGGTAGATCATTTTCACTTTTTGCTGCTCTATTGACGGAGGCAAATGCAATAAAATAAAGTCATGGATATGCAAATCAAACGGCAGTGTCTTTTCTAAGATTTACAGAGGATGTCACACACTTCAGATTGACCAAAAACATTTGCCTTTTATTCTAAGTGTTTTCCTTGGTGGGGAGAAGAGAAATACACACACACACACGTGCACACGCATGCGCGCACACACACATGAGGCCAACATTTAGAACTTACATAATTAAAGCCATTTTTTTCATTTCATTTTCTCTATTTTCCTAGATTTGTAGGGAAAAAAAACAGTACAAAGAGAATTTTATTCCAATGATTGGGACAGGAGTGATGACTTAACAATTATTGCTCTGGAACAAAATGTAAGACTGTCTCCTTGGAACATAAGGACAGACAGAACCAGGGATGGACAGACTGGGGCGGTGTCTTTCAAGGTGTACCTGCAGAACAGTGAGCTGCCTGCCGTCAGAGACACGGTTGTCACAGCCAGCATTACTCTGTCATATTCATGGAATTCTGTTTTATTACTCTTTCAGAATACTGAAAAAGAAAAATAATTTCTGTTAGTTTTTCTGTAATTAGAATAATTTGTTTTTTCTGAAACATGAGTTATGGAAATGATGTTTAAAGACTGAGTTATTGGCAGCTAAAATCACTTCTTCTTGAAATGGCTGACTGTGAAACACACAGTATCACTGAAGGTATTTCTTTAAAAATAGTATGTTAAATTGAAAGCAATTATCAAGAACTAAATGGTGTTCAGGTCCTACAGGTTTTTAAATATTTTATGTTTTTTCTAACCAAATGCTTCTTTATGTAGGAACTTTAACTTACCATCCATGGCCGGCACATTGAAATACCAGCATACAGTGAAGACTAACACTTATCAACAACCAGAAATATGTTCACTTACAAGCTCAGAGCTTATTGTAAATGTTTCTTGTCATCTTGAATGGCTGCACATGTGCTGACTCCATAACCCTAGCTATTCACTGCATTTATAATTTCATTTTCCCTAACCAGTTCCTACTTCTAACCACTGCCTTTAAAAATCAAACTAGCAACACCAACCAAACCTGAAAAAAAAAATCTCCCTGGTGCTATTCATTTATCCTTCTCCTCCTTTACTTCGTTAAATACTTCATTGGAATGTATTAGCTTTACATTAAAAGCAAGTAAGATGCCTGAAAATTTGGAAATTTTCATCACCATATATGAAAATAATGACATAAATTATAATTTAGAGAACCAAAAGGATTTTCTAAAATTTGAAACTGCATTATAGCAATGTTCTACTATTATTTTCCTACTAGCTCTAGCTACTTATTTGGGACATTAATGTGTTATTGAAATAGAATGTTTGCTCCATTTTATTTTTTAATATGAATTTGAAATCTTTATGAGGAAAATATTTAGAACTGAGATATTTTACTGTATAAAAGAATATAATTATGGATAATAGTTGATGAATAAGCACAAGTAACTGAATAATCTCAAATAGTATAAATGTGTTTCCTACATTTTAAGTTTAAATCAAAAGTTACCAATTCTCAAATACAAAACAATAGTATTTTGGAGAAAAAAATGACTAAATAAGTATTATCTCTAGGAAAAGGTGCAGAAGTTCTAAATTTTGATGAAGCCTAATTTAACAATTTTTCCTTTCCTGGTTATTGTTTTCTGTGGCGGTGAGGAGGGGCTTTTGCCTTTATATTTATTTCTGAACTATTTAATTTTTTTTCAGTGAGAATGTGTTCTTTCATTACTTTTGTAGTGTCTGTAAAGTTTTGAATGAAGCAGTCATATATTCCCATCACGCAGGTCTTGGGAAATAAAGAAGAAAAATCTTTTCTAGTTCTGTCATGAAGTCCCCCATGGCCCATGCCTAATACTCACTATGGTCAAAGCATTTGGGTCTTTTTTCTTTCAATTTAAATAAAGGTTAACCATTCTCTGTATAATTTCAGGAAATTAAATGAGATTGGCAGATTAAATTAAATGCATACGCATTAACTGGTGCCTTTTCCTAATGTCCTTCCAACAACTTGATTGGACCAGACCCTCAGCCCACAGGGTCGGTGAGAGTGGATATGGTGTCACCCTGCAACTTAAGAAAGTCAGAGTCGAAACAGATAAACACCACAACATTTTTATAATGTAAAGAAAACTGAGCAGGTTCTAGATTCTTATTACATCATTTACTCCACACACAAGGCATGATTGAAAAATCAAGTTAAATCACCCTTGTAATCTCATGGGCACCTTATGGCCTACATATGCCCTAAGTTCCACCTTCAAAATGTCCCTTAACTTGGGCTTAAAGGTTTAGCTGTTTGTATGTATGTTCCTAACATGGACAGAAGAGGCTACTTCATACCTGCTTGTGCATTCACACATACACATACCTGCACATGTCTTTTACTGGATAAGCGGGTATTTGTTTAATTCTGAGAGACAAGCAATGACATAATTAAGTGCCCCCATCTGAGGGATGACAGCAGTTGATTCTATTCCTTCTGGGCCCTGCTAATGGCCTTTCTCCCTCTGGCCTGCTCTCACATGTCCCAGGGGCTCTGCCTGTAAATAATTAATGGTGACTGTTAATGTGTGTTGGGAAGTGAAGCTGCCTTATTCACACGTATAACCGCTTACACACCAAGCCTTTTCCCGATTCCTCTTTTCAAAAGCACACAGCCAAGACACAATAATCTCCACTCAGACACAGCAATTCTGTGTTGGCATCTCAGGAATGATACAGATTGTGTGTGATGGTCATCCATTTACTTGGATTTTCAGGACGATTGCCTTTGAAATGGAGCAAGTCATGGCTTAGCGTGAGTTGTAAAGACCCTGGATTGGTATTAGGGGCTTTGCTCCGTAAGCAGCTTGCCTTTTTTCTTTCTGCAGAGCAGGATTTTTCCTGGGAGCAGGATTTTCCAAAGGGAGCTCTTTGGTGGCAAGAGCTCATACCTTGTGTCATATGGCAAGCCATGCATTTGGAGTATAGACATTAGGACTCATATTTTCTCCCAACATTTTGTTATGAAAAATTTCAAACATACACTAAAGTAGAAAGAATTGAACCATCTATATTCATATACCTACCACTCAGATCACACCATTAACACTTTCCAAAATTTCTCTCTTGCCTTTCTATCCAACCATCCACTCATTTTTAATGCATTTCAAAGCATATTGCAAACATCTGTACACTTCACTCTTAAATACTGTAGCATGCATAGTATGGACTAAGGTTCAATATTGTTTGTAGTTTTTTTAGGTAAAATATATATAAAGTAAGATGCACATATCTTAAATGGACTGCTTGATAAGTTTTGACAAATACAGCAACTGTGTAATGAAAACTCCAGTGAGATATAGAACCACCAAACTGATGTCCTTGTGCCCCATCCACAGGAAAACTCACTGTCTACCATATGGCCACGATCCACCCTTCTGATTTTTTTTCACTATATCTTAGAACAGCATATAAATGGAATCATTTTTGTACAAGGTTTCTTTCACTCAGCATTATTTTTTTTGAGATTGCTATCAGTCTTTCCATAGATCAATCGGTCCTTCCTTTTTATTGTTGAGTAGTTACTGTACCACGGTTTGTTTATTCATTCTCCTGTGGATGGACACTTGGGCTATTTACAGTTTGGAAATATGAATAAGGCTGCTGTGAATATTGTTGGATACATTTCTGGACATATTTCTCTTGGTTAGATAAGAATGGAATTTATGGGTCACAGGGTAGGTATACATGTAGTTTTATAAGAAACCACCAGACCTGTTTCCAAAGTGATTGGACCATTTTGCACTCTAGCCAGTAAGGTATGAACATTCTGGTTGCTCCATGTCCTCACCAAGTAGTGTTGGCCTTACAGTTTTAGCCATTCTGGTGAGAGCATAGTGGTATCTCATTGTGGTTTTAATTTGCATTTCCCTGATGACTAATGACATTGAGCTTTTTGAATATTTTTTTGCTGTTTAAATCTTTGCCCTCTCTCTTTCTTTCTTCCTTTTCTTTTTCTTTCTTTCTTTCTTTTTCTTTCTTTCTTTCTTTCTTTCCTTCCTTCCTTCCTTCCTTCCTTCCTCCCTTCCCTTCCCTTCCCTTTTCCTTTCTTTCTTTCCTTCCTTCCCTTCCCCTTTCCTTCCCCTTTCCTTCCCCTTCCCCTTCCCCTTCCCCTTCCCTTCCTTTCCCTTCCCTTCCTTCTGTTTTGTTTTTTTGAGACAGGGTCTTGTTCTGTCACCCAGGCCAGTGGAGTGCAGTGGTGTAGTCACAGCTCATTGAAGCCTTGACCTCCTGGGCTCAAGCCATCCTCCTACATCTCAGCTTCCTGAGTAGCTGGGACTACAGGTGTGCACCACCATGCCCGGCTAATTTTTAAAATGTTTTGTAGAGACAGGGTCTACTTGTTTCCCAGACTGGTCTCAAACTCCTAGGCTCAATGGATACACCCACCTTGGCCTTCCAAATTGCTGGGATTACAGGTGTGAGCCACCAGGTCCAGCCTGCTCATTTTCAATTGGATTGTTTGTCTTTTTATTATGGAGTTATACGAGTTTTTATATTCTAGATACCATTTATTTTCAGATATGTTTTGAAAATACGTTATTGTAGTCTATAATTTGCCTATTTAACTTTAAATGGGGTCTTTTGAGGGGCAGAAGTTTTAAATTTTGATGAAGCCTAATTTAGCAATTTTTCCTTTCCTGGTTATTGTTTTCTGTGTCCCATGTAAGAAAGTAAGTAAAGACTTACTCTCAAGTCATGAAGATAATCTCCGCTATGTTTTCCTAGAAGCTTCATAGTTTTAGCCTTTATGTTTAGGTCCATGATTCATCTCAGTTATTTTTTCTTTTTTTTCAAGTTTTTTTTTCAAGTTCAGGGGTACATGAGCAGGATGTGCTTGTTTGTTACATAGGTAAACATGTGCCATGGGGATTTACTGCACAGATCATCCCATCAGCCAGGTATTAAGCCCAGCATCCATTAGCTATTCTTCCTTATGCTCTTTCCCCACCCTCCCTCACCACAGGTGCCCAGTGTGTGTTGTTCCCCTCTTGTTTCCATGTATTCTCATTGGTCAGCTCCCACTTATAAGTGAGAACATGTGGTATTTGGTTTTCTGTTCCTGTGTTAGCTTGCTGAGGATAATGGCTTCCAACTCCATCCATGTCCCTGCAAAGTGATAATCTTATTCCTTTTTATGGCTGCATAGTATTCTATGGTGTATATATGTATCATATTTTCTCTGCTTTTTTCTTCTTTTTTTTTTGAGACAGAGTTTTGCTCTTGTTGACTAGGCTGAAGTGCAGTGGTGCTACCTCAGCTCACTGCAACCTCTGCCTCCCAGGTTCAAGCGATTCTCCTGCCTCAGCCTTCATAATAGCTGAGATTACAGGTGCCCACCACCACGCTGGGCTAATTTTTTGTATTTTTAGTAGAGACGGGGTTTCACCATGTTGGCCTGGCTGGTCTCGTACTCCTGGCCTCAGGTGATCCACCTGCCTTGGCCTCCCAAAGTGCTGGGATTATAGGCATGGGCCACCGCATGAGCCACCGCACCCAGCCACCACATTTTCTTTATCCGGTCCATCACTGATGGGCATTTGGGTTGATTCCATGACTTTGCTATTGTAAATAGTGCTGTAATGAACATGTGTGTGCCATCTCAAGATGATATTTGTATATGGTGAGAAGTAGGGGTCAGGGCTGCTTTTTATTAAATGAGGGTGTCCAGTTGTTCCAGCACTTTTTACTGAAAAGACTTTGCTTTTCCCATTGTACTGCTTTGGCTCCCTTGTCAAAAATCAATTGAATGTACAAGCACAGGTCTATTTTTCAACCCTCTGTTCTGTCCCTTGGAGCCATTTGTCTATACCAGTACCATACTGTCTTGATTACTATAGCTTTGTAGTTTGTTTTTTGGAAGGATAATGGCTTCCAACTCCATCCTTTCCAAGTCTTGAAATCAGGTAGTGTACATTCTCCAACTCTCTTCTTTTTCAAGATTGCTTTGGCTATTCTAGGTCTTTCAAATTTCCATATAAATTTAAGAATCAGACTGTCAATTTCTATCCCGCAAAAATGACCCTATTGGAATCATAGTTGGGATTATTGAATCTATAGATAAAATCAAAGAGAATTAACATCTTAACAGTACTGATTCTTCCAATCCTTGAAGATGGATGTCTTCCCACTTATTTAGGTCTTGTTCAATTTCTCTCAGCAATGTTTTATGTTTTCAGCGTACAGATCTTGCCCATCTTTTGTTACATTTTTTTCTAAGAATGTAATTTTATACTATCATAAACTATTTTTTCAATTTTTCAATGTTAACTGCTATTATGTGATTCATTTTTGTGAGGTGTATGTTTGTGAGCCAACCGTGCTATGCATTTACATTTAAAAAGAAAAACAAGGCCAGGCGCAGCGGCTCACGCCTGTAATCCCAGCACTCTGTGAGGCTGAGGTGGGTGGATCACTTGAGGTCGAGAGTTTGAGACCAGCCTGGCCAACATGGTGAAACCCCATCTCTACTAAAAATACAAAAATTAGCTGGACTTGGTGGCGTGCACCTGTAATCCCAGCTACTCAGGAGGTTGAGGCATGAGAATCACTTGAACCCGGGAGGTGGAGATTGCAGTGAGCCGAGATCGCGCCACTGCACACCAGCCTTGGAAGCAGAGTGAAACTGTGTCTCAAAAAAAAAAAAAAAGAAAAGAAAAAGAAAAAGAAAAAAGAAGAAGAAAATCAATCCAAAGCCTGTCTTATTCATCCTTTCAGAGAGGCAGCACAAAGATGGGTTGGGTTTAGCTTGAGAGCTGGGAGACCAAACTTCTGTCCCAGTTTGCCTCTACTGGCTGCGTGAACTTGGCCAAGGATGATAGTGTTGAAGTCAAAATAAAAATGTAGAGGTGAATTTTTATTTTTATTTTTTATTTGTACACATTTGTGGGGTGTATGTGACATTTTGTTATGTGTATATAGTATGTGGTGATCCAGTCAGGGCATTTAGGGTGTCCATCACCTGAATACAGTACATTTTTGTTAACTATAGTCACCCTACTCTGCTATCAAACATTGAATTTATTCCTTCTTACTGTATGCTTGTACCCTTTAACCCACTTCTGTTCGTCCTCCCTGCTCCGACACTCACCCTTCTCAGTCTCTGTTAGCTGTTTTTCCCATTTTTCCAGTCTTTGCCTCCATGGGATCAAATTTTTAGCTCCCACAAATAAGTGAGAACATGGAATGTTTGTCTTTTTGTGCCTGCTTATTTCACTCAAGATAATGACCTCCAGTTCCATCCCTGGCTGTTGCAAATGACAAAAGAATTTTTTTTTTTTTTAGACAGAGTTTCGCTCTGTCACCCAGGCTGGAGTGCAGTGGTGCGATCTCAGCTCACTGCTACCTCAGGCTCCTGGGTTCAAGTGATCCTCGTGCCTCAGCCACCTGAGTAGCTGGGATTACAGGCGCGTGCCACCACACCCGGCTAATTTTTGTGTCTTCAGTAGAGACGGGGTTTCACCATGTTGGCCAGGCTGGTCTCGAACTCCTGACCTCAAGTAATCTGCCTGCCTCGGACTCCCAAAGTGCTGGGATTACAGGCATAAGCCACCACACCCAGCCTCAAAAGGATTTTAAAATCTAATGTTTTCTTGGGATATAAGAATTGTAATTTGGGATATATATATATATATATGAGAGAGAGAGAGAGAGAGAGAGAGAGAGTGTGTGTGTGTGTGTGTGTGTGTGTGTGTGTGTGTGTGTTTTGGTATGTTTGAAGAATAAAGAGAAGGTTGGCAGTTTTGTAATAAAAAGGAGAAATGTTATGTGTGTTTTTCAAGAAAACTTATTAGTATTAGCAAGGTTTTGGAGAGTTGGCAAGTTATGATGGGTGAGTGACAGTTGTGGGTAAAGCTAGTTTTAAAGTCGTTTTAGTAGTTATTAGATAAAACTGGTTTTAGTTGTGGTAGGCATTTTTAGTAGTCGGACTTGTAGAGAATCATGTTTTTGGAGTCATGTTATATGCCCCGAGTGCTTTTTCTTCTTGGCTTCTCAGCTCCGTTTTAGTTGGGTGTAAAAACAATAACCCAATTTGCTTGGTCACCTTTCACAACAGTATTCTTTCCCTATTTCTGCTATCACTCCACACAGTCAGAATTCAACTGCTCATCCATCGCAGTCTTTCCGTAATACCTATGGAGAGAAAGCTTTTTACTGTTGTTCCCTAACCTCTTTGGAAATCTGGTAGAAGCTTTGAATTTTGTCCTCGAAAAACTGTACACACACACACACACACACCCAGTTTTGTGTACAATTTTAGGGTGTTCAGGGAACTTCGGAAGCCTGTCAGCCTTTCGGGGTCCACAGGCCCTCACTGTGAACCCCTTCTAGAGTGGAAGCTCGGGGAGGGCGAGAGGCCGCCTTCCTTTCCCTCGGCTCCTCCTGCACCCAGCGAGGGCTCGGCCTGCCGTGGCCGCCCCGTGAGTGACCGCCGCTTTTGCTGAACGGCCCGGGCGCTGGGTCGCGGCCTCCCGCAAGGCTGGCCTCTCCTCCCGAGTGGCAGCAGGTGCTCGGATGACCGGGAGCAGCCCACGCTCTGGTGAAGCAGCGCGACCCGAGGCCCGGTGTCGTCCCCCATCGTTACGCAGCGCGTTCGTGCCAGGGCAGGTCTGGAGTGAGGGCGGCTGATTTAAATCCCACGCCCTTCGTGGGGTTTTCTGGGCAGGGCGGGAAAGCGTCTGGATGTCCACACCCCCGGGAGGTGGCCTGTCTTTCCCCCGTGGGCACCGCAGCGGGACAGCGTGGCTGAGACCCGCGGCTCTCTCGCCAAAGCCCCTGCGCCTCCGCTGCTGTCGGCGAGGTCGGCCCGGCCGCTCCCCCGCGGGCCGCTGTCCCCGGTGCCCTGGAAGGGCTCCAGGTGGCGGTCTCGCTGCAGAATCCTCCGAGCTGCGCTCGCCGCCCGGTGCCTTCGCAGCGGCCCCGGTTGGGTTGCGGGTCGCGGGGCGGCGAGCGCAGGGAGCGTCGCGGGGCCACCCCTCTCTCTTCCTGAAGCCCCCGCGATCGTGCAACGGGCCGCGCCGCCTCCTGCTGTGTTCCACGGTGATTCTCAAGAGCACGCGGGCAGTGGGCGGTGACGCCGTGTGTGTGTGCTTCCTCCCGCGCAGGTGCCGGGGACACGGGCGGCAAGCCGTCCACGCGGGGCGGTGACCCTGCAGCGCGGTCCCGCAGGACGGAAGGCATCCGCGCCGCGTACAGGCGGGGAGACCGCGGCGGCGCCCGGGACCTGCTGGAGGAGGCCTGCGACCAGTGCGCGTCCCAGCTGGAAAAGGTAGGGGAGCGCCTGCCCCTGCGGCCACCCATGCAGCCCCGGGCTGGACGAAGGGGACCGCTCAGATGATTTTCTCGTTATTGTCATAACGGTAATGGGCGTTTTTACTGTGTTCTGGAAACGCCTCGCTTTGCGTATAAACTTGTGGGCGCCTTTCCTTTCCAACTGACTTCTCAGTCTGATATCACCTAAGCAGGCCCCTGCCACCTTTTCATGGGAGGCCTTTGAGGGACGGGGGTGTGGTCACTTAAATGTAAAGAACAAAATGCCACCCAGAGGCTTAACCTACTCTATTCTTTTACGTTTTTGTCGTTATAAAAAGTAGCACATGCTGGAAAAATAAAATTTAGAAAATATGTCAAAGTAGGAAAAATGGGACAAAAAAGTTACCAAATTCCTGATACACCCTAAAACCCACTTAACAGTTTTGCTGTATTTTCTTCCAGCCTGCCGATCTGAGCATACATGGTTGTTGTTGTTGTTTCTAATATAGATGCAGACAGATTGCATATATGGTGATGCAGCTGCTGCTCGTACTTTTATAACATTATTTTAAGAATTTTCCAGATGATTAAAAATTCCTTGTAGGCGTCTCCTTCAATGGCTACGTGACACTCCATCTAGAGGGACCGTGTCTACCTGGCTATTCATCTTGGCTGATATTAGGATTGCTTCTCATCTCTTACTAATATAAACGATGCTCTATTGAATGTTTTTGCCTCATTCTTTTCTTATGGTAATGTTATTTTCTTAGCATAGATCTGCAGGGATTGAGAATGTGGATATGAGGACTTTTAAAGTTTTGGAATACATGCCAAGCTGTTTTCCAAAAATCTTCTACAGATTAACCCTCCCAGCAAAAGTTGGAGTGGACCATCACCACATTTTTTGCCCCTGTGGGGGCTTCTTACTGGCTATTATCATGAAAATACCTTAAGGATGTTTTATTTGCATCACTTTGATTAGGACAGGCTTAACATGCCTCCATTTAATTGATAGTTAGAATTCATTCAATTCCTAAAACTCCAACCTGTTCTCAGAAGTGTAAGAGATTGGGAGAGGGGCAGTACAGCATGCTTGGGAATTGTTAAGCAGAAGGAAGGCATTTAAGATCCCTCTGATTAGGAATTCATGGTGGATATGGAAAAGGATCATTCTTCTGCACAGAGAGAGCTGCGCTGTGCACACGAGCAGGTCAGAGCTGTGGGCTCCTCGGGTGCACCCCAGTGGCCTCAAGCAGGGAGGAGCTGGGCAGCAAACACAGCCTGGCATCCCTGCCAAGTGGCCAAGCAGCCAGAGATAGTGGCTCATTCCAGAGCTGTGCAGATTCAGGGATGTGGCAGCAGCAGGAGATGCTGACGGGGGAAGATGATCATGGAGAGACCTGAGAGCCAAGGGGGATGTGACTTCATCCTGAGGGTGGAAAAGCTGTTAAAGGCAGTGGCATCATAATTTGGCAAAGAGCACTCTGGCCCATATTTGAATAAAGGAAAACAGAGTCCAGGGTGTGTGTCTCTTCTCTGTGGCATCATGGACAGTGGCAACTCAAAATCGAGAAGGTTCCTAGAAAGCTGCCTCTCCCCTGAATACAGGACTGATGAAATCCCAGCTGATTGGACTTTGAGAAGACAGTGAGGAAAAGGATGGATACATCTGTGTTTTCATAAAAATGTAAAATTATAGTTCCAAAAAATACCATAAATAAGAGTCAACGGTTGATGCAAAAGGAGAAAGTATATGGCTAATACCCTTCATTGACAAAGAGCTTTTACAAATCAATATGAAATAATAACATAATTTTCAAAAGGGCAGCAGGACATGGAAACAGCAAAATAAAGGTAAAGAAAGTAGAAGCCATGAAACTGTAAAAATAATTTGAAAGTTTTGAAATAGAAAGCAAAGTAGAAAGAAGTAGAAATGACCACTAAATCAAAAATTGGTTCTTTGAAGAGATTAATAAAATAGAAAATCTCTGGTGAGAGTAAAAGATAAAAAAGAAGAAATAGATAAATCAGGAATATAAAAGAGAACTTCATGACAGTTTATACAAGCATTAAAAACATAATAAGAGAATGTATTATGAACAAGTTTATGTTAAAACACTCAAAAATTTAGATGAAATGAACAAATAAAAAGAAAAATTTAACTTTAAAAAGAAACAGAAAGCATGAATAGTCTTTCAACCATGAAGGAAATAAATCAATCATGTAAAACCTTCTGACAAAGCAAATTCTAGGTCTACATGGTTTTACTGGTGTGTTCTACCAATAATATAATCACTTGTCCAGAAAATAGAAAAAGAGGGTGCACTCACCTGTTCCTTTAATGAAGCTAACACAACCTCAATACCAAGAGTAGGTGAGAACAGTACCTGGAATGAAAATGACTAAGGATATGAATAGGCAAATAGACACACACACATCTGAAAGATATTCAGATAGATGGTACACATATGTAAAGTTATTCAACTTCGTTAATGCGTATAGAAAGGCAAATAAAACAAAAATGAAGCAGCCTTTTTAAGCTAATCAGATTGACACCTTAAAGTTTGATAAAAATCAGAAGGAAGGCTATGGGAACTTACACACCTTTATTCAATGCTACTAGGAAGGTACTAGGAATGTGTGCAGCCTCTTTGGAAGGCCATCTGAAAATGCTTGTCAAATTTTCAAATTTCATTATCTTTGACCCAGCAAAACTACTGCTAGGAACTTACCCCTACAGATTTACTTGAAAAAAAATTACCAATTTGTATGTGTAAGGATGTTCATTCAAGTTGTGTTTAAGATAGAACAACCTTGAAAACTGCCTAACTGTTCCATCCACAGGAGAAGGCTGCTACAGAAATCTCAGTCTGTCCTGGTCCTAGAATACCACACAGCACTCCAAAAGGACAAGATAATCTCTAGCAGCTGTTTTGGAAAGAACTCCAGTGTAACTTAATGTAATAAGTGCAGAACTTCTGCTTCCGGGAAGATGGAGGGAATATGGAGGTTGTTTACTTTGCCCTCTTCTTCTCACTAAGTGCACTGAAGCTCTAGACGTTACATGTAAAACAAACGTAGGATTCTAAAAGGTAGAGAAAAGAAGGCAGAGTAGCTGGTGGCCTCAGTACTCAAGGAAATCACAATAGTACGTTTTTGGGTTTTATTTGTATCTCATACATCCCAAACCAGATACTGAGGAAGTTGGCAATCCAGAAACACAAACTGGCACAGAGAAAAAAAAAAAAAATTCCAAGGAAAGCCTGCTCTCTCCAACCAAAGCACCAGGAAAGGAACAGCAAAGCCAGGCAGGAAACTTACAGGCAGTCAACAACCCTCTTCGGCAAAACACTGAAGAAATATACTTGCAGCCCAGCCCCACCCCTCACCAGCAAGGGCCAGGTGGAGAGCTTAGATTTCCACCCTTGCCAGGCTGTAACAGGCACCCCAATCATCCCCACCCCACGGTGTCAGAGAAGGCTGTGAGGAGCTGGGGTGCTAATCCCCACCAGGTGGTGACAACATCCCCCATCACCATCAGTGGACAGCATGTGGGGAGCCTGGACTTCTGTCACCACCCAGCCTGGCAGTAATGAGACATGCATTCCCCATCTAACTAGGGCAGAATTGAAGCAGGCCTAGAGGAGAACCTGAAGTCCCAACGCTGCCCAGCAATAGCAAGGAGCCCCTGCTTACTGGGTGTCAACTGATTCTAAGTACAGCCCCCAGATTTCCACCCCACCAGGCAGCAATGAAGGGGCATCCCTGTTTACCCACCAGAGTGGCGTCAGAGGAGACCTGCCAACACACAAGATTGAAGTAAGATCCAGAGTCTTAAAACATAAAGACCCAAATATCCAGGCCACAATAAAAAATTACTCGTAATTACCAAGACCAGAAAGATCGCAAACTCACTGAGACAAGACAACCAAGAGATGCCAACACTAGGATGACTCCAATGTTAGAATCATCTAACAAGGATTTGAAGGCAGTCATCATAAAAATGCTTCTGTGAGCAATTATAAATACACTTGAAACAAATGGAGTAATAGAAAGTTTCGGCAAAGAAATAAAAGACATGAGGAGAGCCAAATGAAAATTTTAGAACTTAAAAGTACAATACCTGAAATTTTAAAATTAAAAAAAAACTCAATGAATGGGCTCAACTGTAGAATGGAGAAGAGAGGACAGGGGAAAGAATCAGGGAGAATACAGAACAGTAGAAATTACCCACTCTGGAACAAAAGCCAAAGCAAAAGAAAATAGACTGAACAAAAGAACAGAGCCTCATGGACATGTGAGGATTTTAACAGAAGATCCAACAGTCATGTCATCAGAATCCCGGGAGACTAGACAGAAGGCAAGACTGAAGGAGAACTCAAAGAAACAATGGCTGAAAGCTTCTCAAACTGGCAGAAGACATAAATGTTCAGATTCAAGAAGTTGAAAACAAACAGGATATGCCCAGAGAAATCCATTCCAAGCTCATCATAGTCAAGCTTATTAAAACTAAAGACAAAACAAAATAAAACCTTGGAAGTAGTCAAAGGGAAACATTGCCTTTAGGGGAAAAAAAATCCAAAAGACAAAAATCACCAACGTCAGAAGGGAAACACAGAACATCACTACAGATCCTGCAGATATCAAAAAGATAATAAGGGGACATTATGAACAGCTCTAAACACATACATTGGACAACTTAGATGAAAGGGACAAATCCTTGAAAAGTAGAAATTACCTCAACTTAATAGGAAATGCATAATTTGAATAGCCTTTTAACTATTAAGAAAATTCAATTCATAATTTTAAACTTCCCCAAAAAATAAATTTACAGGTTCAGATGGCTTCACTGGATAATTCTACCTAACATTTAAAGAATTAATACCAATGCTACATAGTCCCTTCTAGAAAATAGAAAAGGGAACATTTTTTAACACTTTTATGAAGGCTGTATTACCCTGACACCAAAACCAAAGACAGTGTTAAAAAAAGAAAAGTACGGACCAATGCCCATTATGAATGTGGATGCAAAAATTCTTCACAAAATATTAGCAAGTACAATTCTGCTATATGTAAAAGGAATTATAAGCCATGACCAAGTGGAATTTATTCCAGAGATGCAAAGTTGCTTCAGTTTCAATCATCAATCAATGTAATCCTCCTTATTAATAAACTAAAAAAGAAAAGTTACCTTATCATATCAATTGATACAGAAAAAAATTGACAAAATTCAATACCATGTTTTTCAAAAACTCTTAGAAAATTAAGAATAGGAGGGAACTTCCTCAATTGGGTAAAGAATATTGACAAAAACCTACAACTAACATCATTCTTGATGTTGAAGACTGTTTTCCCCTGAGATCAGGAACAAGGCAAGAATGTCCATTCTCAATATAATACTGCAAGTTCTATTCAAGAGCAACTATAATATCATTGTATTTAAAAAATACTATTCAATGTATTTAATATATTGCTGGCAATTCTAGCCAATGCAAGAAGGCAAGGAAATGAAATAAAAGGCACACAGATATGAAAGAAATAAATTAAACTGTCTCTATGTGTGGATCACATGACAATCTATACAGAAAATCCATAAAAGAAATGATTTATGAAAGAAAAATTGGTAAACTGGACCTCACCAAGATTAAAAACTTTTCTCTGAGAAATACCTAAGACAGTGATTCTAAAAAAAGCTACAGACTGAGAGAGGTATTTACAAATCACTTATCTGACAAAGGACTCATAGCTAGAATATATAAAGAACTCTCAGAACTCAACATGAAAAAGCAAACAATCCAAATAGAAAATGTATGAGATATGTGAAGAGACATTTCACTGAGGAAGATACACAGATGGCAAATAAGCACATGAAAAGATGTTCAACATCGTTAGCCATTAGGAAAATGAAAATTAGAGCAATGATAAGATGTCATTGCACAGCTTTATGAACAGCAAAAATAAAAAATAGTGACAGTACCAAATTCAGATTGGGATGCAGAGAAGGGGTATCTCTAATGTGTTGCCACTGAGAATGTAACATGGTACAATCACGCTGGAAACTAGTTTGTCAGTTTCTTTAAAAAAACTAGAAATACACTTATGAACCAGCAATTGAACTCCTGAACATTTAGTCTAGAGAGAGGAAACTTACATGCACATGAAAACTTGCTCATGATGTGTCATACCAACTTTATTTGTAATGGCCCAAAACTGGATACAACCAAAGACTCTCAGTAAGTGGATACTTAAACATATATGGAGTACTACTAAGCTATACAAAGGAGCTCTCCTGAAACACGCAGCAACTCAGATGGATCTCAGGACATTATGCTGATTTAAAAAAAAAAAAAGCCAATCTCAAAAGATCATATTCTCTATGATTCCATTTATGTAACATTCTCAAAATGACAAAATTTTACAGGTGGAAGAGAGATTAGTGTTTGTCAGGGGTTAGAGATGGTGAAAAGGAAGAGAATGAGTGAGACTACCATGGGTGCGTGGCATGAGGGAGACCTTTTGATGGAACAGGTGATGGAACAGGTTCGTATCTTGATTGTGGTAGTGGCTACTCAAGTCTACATGTGTGACAAAATGCAGAACTATATACATACATTGTACTAACGTCAAGTATCTTGCTACAATTATGTAACATATTGCCATCGGGGGAAACTGGATGAAGGATACTAGGGTTTTCTCAGTACTATCTTTGTAACTTCCTGTGAATCTCTGATTATTTCAAAGCAAAAAGTTAAAAAAAAAATAGGTAAAGTATAATTCCACTTTTACAGCACTTAAAAACTGGCAATAGTTAATCTGTGGTGTTAGAAGTCAGTATAGTGGCTACACACCATAGGGCAGTTACTAGAAGGAACAAAGAGGGCTTCTGGGCACAGGTGATGTCCTGGTCTTTGGACTGAGGCCAGTTACATGGGTGTATTCAAATGCCTTGCATGAAACTGAACATTTAAAATATTTGCATTTTTCTGCAGGTGTGCAGGTGTGTTATATTGTTGATTAAAAGGTCATAATGAATTAAGTGAAAAAAGCATTTGGTTGTATATGAGATTACCTGTGAGTACTATAAATAAATATGTTCTGGAAGGCATCCTTTGCAGAGGGCGACTGGGAGGTAAAGGCATAGAGAGAGGCCTACTTCCTGTTTTATACTTTTCTATGCTGTTTGAATTTTTTCAAATACTCACTATGGAGCCTCCAGCCAGAAAGCCAGCTTTCACCTTTTCCACTGTCTGGGTCCCTCTTGGCCTTGGGCTGGCTCCTATGACGTCACTTACCACCTCTAGAGGATGGGGCTTTTAAGCCTCTAACCGACCGAGTCTAGACAGCTGTTAGTTGTGGGCAGTGAAGCATTTAATCAATCACTGTGGCTTTTATCCATAATGCAAATGCTTTCCTGGAATGACAGGGCTACTGGGCCTCACCCTGGGCAGAGTGGCAGGTGGGTGGGCTTTTCTTTTCTGATCATATTGAATGTATGAGTCTACCGTCCTTCACCTGATCCCAGCCCCTTAGACTGTTCCTCTCCTCACGTGTCAGACATACCTCCCACTGCCAGCCCATTCACTCCACTAACAGAACCTGAGCCTTCCTCCAAGTCCCATGTTTCCAGGAAGTCTTGGATGCAACAGAGACTCTTGGGCTTTAGAGCTAGACACATCCCAGTTCAAACTCTGAGTAGTTCTGCTGATGATAAACTCCCTAACCATGGGCAAGCTTTTATTTCCTCTTCCATAACATAGAAATACAGGCACATTCCTGGCATGACTGTTAGGAGGATTGAATGTGGCCATGTGAATAAAGTACTCAGTCCAGCATCTGGCACCTGGTGAGAGCTTTGATAAATGTTCACTCCCTTTCCTGGGGGCTCCATTTTACCCATTCCTGCCCAACTTACCTAAAATGATCTCCAAACACACTTGTGTTATAAACTATTCAGCAAGTCAAATGTGCTTGTCGGGGGCTGTTTATGCATATTCCCACCTCAAACTTAATTGTAAATCTGTGGAGGCCAGAAATGGCCCCTGGCATCCTCAGTGCCCAGTCCCACCTGTCACACACAGTAGATCCTCAGTAGGTGTTGATGGGGGCACTCGCCATCCCTGGCATCCTGAGTGCCCAGTCCCACTCTCACACACAGTAGATCCTCAGTAGGTGTTGATGGGGGGCACTCGCCATCCCTGTCATCCTGAGTCCCCAGTCCCACTCTCACACACAGTAGATCCTCAGTAGGTGTTGATGGGGGACACTGGCCATCCCATTCCAATAGGGGATCCCCATCTACCTGCTTGACCACACTGATGTTCAAGCCCACAGGAGGCAGCCAGCTTCCAAAGGACTTGACATTTCAGAAACGCAATCAAACACTTGACATGCCAATCTAGCAGCTATCTGAGCATCCTTTTCTCAGACCCAGAGAGCTCGTGATAAGTCAAGGCCACTTTTACACTGGTCAATGATAGCCACTTACTAGCTATGTGGTCTTGGGCAAGCTCTGAAGCCTCTCTGAACCTCCACATCCTTGTTCATATATTAACACATGGCCCTCCTCCTGGGACCTTTACATACCAGAAGGACTGGAATGAGCAGGAACTCAGGCTTAGGTCCAGTTTCCACCATATCCTTTCCTTCCTCTGGGCCACCAAGTCAAGAGTCCCTCTGCATGCTGCTGGAGGATCTTTGTCCCAGGATTCAGATCTGTGAAGTCCCCTGGTGTGTCACATTCCATTTATGAATACATTGCAGGATGGTTCTTCAGAGAGCTGGTTCCCTTCCCCCTTCGCAAGGCTGACTTAACATGTACCAAGTGGTTACTGAGCTCTGGCTCTATGCCAGAAGGGGCTATGCACACCGTCCCCTTCCTCATGAAGCAGGTAGTCGAGAGCAGCAAATGCGAGCCACATGTATATATCATATTTTCTAGTAGCCACATTAAAGCAGTAAACAAGCACACACCTATAATCACAGGTATTCCGGTTGGAGGATCAGTTGAGCTCAGAAGTTCGAGACCAGCCCTGGCAACATAGCAAGATCTGGTCTCTACAAAAAAAATAAACAAAATTAGCCGGTGTGGTGGCATGTGCCTGCAGTCCCAGCTACGCAGGAAGCTGAGGCAGGGGGATCACTTTAGCCTGGGAGGTCAAGGCTGCAGTGAGCTGAGATTGCACTACTGCACTCCAGCTTGGGTAACAGAGAGAGACCCTGTCAAAAAAAATAAATAAAATAAAGGAGCAAACAGAAACAAACAAATAAAATGTTAATATTATTTAACATGAATATATTAAAATCATTGTTTCAACATGTAATCAACATAAATTATTGATGAGCTAGCTTACCCTTTCTGTACTAGGTCTTTGAATTCACGTGTGATTTTATACTCTCCACCTCTCACTTCTGAGGAGCCACATTTCAAGTGCTGCCCAGTCACACTTGGCAGGTGCTGCCGTTCTGGACAACACAACTCCAGTCCTGCTCCGGGACCTGGTGAAGGGTTTAACGTCAGTTGTCTTGGCAGTTCCTAATAGAGCCAGTCTCACTGGAGCCCTGTTCTGTTTTGACCAGGGCCAGCTTCTGAGCATCCCGGCAGCCTATGGGGATCTGGAGATGGTCCGCTACCTACTCAGCAAGAGACTGGTGGAGCTGCCCACCGAGCCCACGGATGACAACCCAGCCGTGGTGGCAGCGTATTTTGGACACACGGCAGTTGTGCAGGAATTGCTTGAGTCCTTACCAGGTAAATCACAGGGCATGAGCTCTTAACCGTGTCTCAGGGCACCCTCTTCTTAGGCTTCACCCCAAAATGTTTACTTCTTCATGCTTTCACCAATAATGAGATCAAGAAATACAGGGTAGGCCATTGACACCCAAACAAAGTGAAGCTTGCCTGCCAGCCACATTCCACCTCTCACTCCCATGAACTCATAAGGGAAATTCTCAAACACCATATTTCATAAAGAATGTAATTAACATTGCTTTTTAAAAAAATAATTAATAGACCTTGGTCTTTTTAGAGAAGTTTTAGATTTATGGAAAAAATCAATTGGAATGTACGGAGTTCCAGAATTAATGATTTGGAGGTATGTTAACAGAAAACAGGTGATCGCTAAATCACTTACACAAGAATATCTAGGTAAGAGAGACAGTAATCATGCTAGTAACTTCTATTGAGATGGGGACGCATCAGTCTCAGGAGGCAGGTGCTATATTTCAGAACCATGGTTTTAAGATGACGAAAACAAAGCTCAGAGAGGTGACCCTCCACTGTGCGCCCTCCACATGGTTTTCCCTATAACTCTGTTTTGTGTTAGTGTGGGACATTTGTGACAACTGATCAACTAATATTGATACCTTCTTACTAACTAAAGTCCATCGCTTACGTTGCAATTCATTCTTGCTGTTGTATATCCCATCGGTTTTGACAAATGGATAATGACACGTGTCCATCATGACAGTATTACATAGAGCAGTTTCACTGCCCTAAAAATCCTCTGTGCTCCACCCCTCCCCTGGCCCCATCCCTCCCTCCCTCCCTCCCTCCCCTGGCCCCTGGCAACTACTGATCTTTTTTACTATCTTTGCCTTTTCCAGAACATCGCTCTAGTTGGAATCCCACAGTCTGTAGCCGTTTCAAACTCACTTCTTTCCCATAGCGATATGCATTTAAGGTTTCTCCATGCCTTTTTGTGACTTGATAGCTCATTTCTTTTAATGGCTGAATAATATTCCATTGTATTGGTGTACCACACTATGTTGCTTTTGTAGGAACTATTTTTTTCTCTGGTGAACTCAAGATGTCCTGGTCTCCTGTAATTTCCCGTGGTGGTCTTGGCTCAGAAACACTGCACCAGTCTAGGCAGGCATCGCTACAGCTATAGGGTGAGGCACACCCTAGCCATGGTCTTTGGGATTTGAGATTTTGCTTGGGAGCCAGGGCCCACCTCTTGGGTGGGAGAACATGCAGTCACCCAGGGCCCTGCACCTAGAAGGGCCCACGTTACGTTTAATACTCTGTACTCACTATCTTAAAATGTTTCATGATTTTTAAACAAGAAGCCCCATTCTTTTCATTTTGCATTGGGCCTCACCCCTTATATAGTGGTCTTGTTTGAGGGTTTCCAGCTGTGGGCTTTGATAGATCTGTGCTCAGCGTTGGTTCCAAGCTAGTGTTCCCCTCATGTGTCTGAACAGAATGAGGTTATGGGCAGAAATCAGGGCAATTTTAGGGCCCATGAGAAGCATACTAAGACAAGACATAGGAGGGCAGAGAGGAGCTTGGGTGCTCCTGAGGAGCCAAAGGCTGACCTGCCTCTTCTCGGGGAGCCCCAAGATTAGCTCTGTTCTAGCCCTGAAGAGTCTGCACCAGCTGACTCCGTCACCTAATGTTAGCTAATATTTATTGAATACTGTCAAGTGCTGAAAACTGTGTAGAACG
The DNA here is from genome assembly GCF_000001405.40 of Homo sapiens. Classification (NCBI taxonomy): domain Eukaryota; kingdom Metazoa; phylum Chordata; class Mammalia; order Primates; family Hominidae; genus Homo; species Homo sapiens. The sequence goes on from NC_000015.10 coordinate 100,985,398, forward strand.
TGAGAGACAGATAATTTTTTTAAAGATTTTCCCAGCCATTTAGTACCTCCTGGCCAAGCAGGGGAAATTGAGGCAGAAAGGAGTAACACTGTGCAATGTAACTACACTGAGGTTGAAGTATTTTTACGCAGAGGTCTGGGAGCACACATCAGGGGGCAGGGTAGGGTCTCCGAAGGGAGGCTGACATCTGACCTGGGCTTTGCAGAGTGAATAGGAGTTTACTTGGCAGACAAGTGAAGGAAGGACTTGGGTTGCCTGCTTTTGCAGAGCAGGAAGTGTGGCTGAACCTCGTCATGGTTTTCAACTGCTCCCAGGAGCATCGTATCTTCAGCTCAACTCTGAGCAAAGCTGCTGAGGACTGAAGGATTTCAGACCATTGTGGTGGGCTTTGCAGAAAGTGCAGAGATGGGCAAAACAGTGTGTACCCATCCCTGCACTTCCTGCAAAGGAGTTCCCAAGCTGGAAGGGAAGTCAGCCATGGTCAGGAGTAAGTCAAGACAAGAAGACAAACAAGAGTCAGGCTGGACATGCTGGCTCATGCCTGTAATCCCAACAATTTGGGAGGCCAAGGCAAGAGGATCACTTGAGCCCAGGATTTCATGACCAGCCTGGGTAACATAGTGAGACCCTGTATCTACAAAAAAAAAAAAAAATTTAAATTAACCAGGCATGGTGGCACATGCCTATATTCCCAGGTACTTGGGAGGGTGAAGTGGGAGAATGGCTTAAGCCCAGGAGTCCAAGGCTGCAGTCAGCTATGATCACATTACTGCACTCCAGGCTGAGATAGAAGGAGACCCTGTCTCAAACAAAAAACAAAAACAAGAAGCAGCTAGAGAACAAAGGAGGGTTTGAGAAGAAGAGGGATGAGAGGTTGATGGGATGCATTCTTTGAAGCACGTTGTTATGTGATTCCTGGTCTCTGAAGCTGAGCAGGGAGGAAGAGGGGCTCCTCTGAGTGTCGTTGGCCTTAGGCTGTAGAGAGTACCTGTAGGGGTTTTGTGTGGTTAAGAGAGCACCCTTTGATTTTAGACAAAGCAAGGTTTAAGTCTTGACCTTGCTATTTACTAACTGTGGGACCTTCAAGAAGTTTCCCTGCCAGGTGTGTCCCACAGACCCTGGCTGATGGATGAAATGAGTACTCAGACACAGGTGTACGGTGTAAGAGCAGCTGAGTCACTGCCTGGCTCTGTTGGCCAGAGAGCAGCCCGAAGAAGCTAGAGCTGCTTGCTTTCATTCAGTGCAGGCACAATGCCGAAAACCTGGAGCCAACACAACCTGTAGGTAATTAACATTTATTGTTCCCCTTTCAGGGAACATCAAGCCAGCAGATGATCAAAGGTCAGTTCCTGGTCAACATAAGTAAACAAGCCTGTTTAAGATACATTCCCCTACACTCCTTGCCCTCTGCCTTCAGCTGTTCTCCCCCAGGGCTCTGCAGAAGCTTCCAAACTTTCAGAAGGTTTGTGTCCTTTCCCTGTAGTTTTTCCTACGACTCTGACCAATCTCCTACATTTCCAAACCTCTCTGAGCTTTGGTTTCCTCATCTTAAAATCATGGTCCTGAAATATAATGCCTGCCTCCAAAGACTGACACATCCCCATCTCAACAGAAGTTACTAGCATGGTTACTGTGTTTCTCTTACCCAGATATTCTTGTGTAAGTGGATTAGGGGTCACTTATTTTCTGTTAACATACCTACAAATCATTAATTCTGGTTAACAGTAGAGGGAGAAGAAGGGATATTTACTTGGCACTGGCTCCAGCCTCAGCCCTATGCTACATGCTTTATTTGGTGAATACAGGGCCATCCTGACCCCGGTTTCCTGATCAATGTCCTGTCGCGAAGGAGAGAGTCACTCTCTCCTCACTTGGGAGCACTTTGATCCCTAGGACTATGTGCCTCTGGAAATGAGGCAGTGTTATGATGCATTTGGGAAGTGTCCCTGCAGAAGATGAGGTCATTTTTCCATGGCAACTAGACCCAAAAGATATTGCACTATTTTGAACTTGAAGATATTGTAACATTTCAGCCCACACTGCCCCCGTCAATTCAATGTGCTAAGTGTTATTTCATCCTGGAATTAAGTAGGTGGTTCTACTGGGGAGAAATTGTCACTTTTAGGCCTGACAGATCTTTCACCAAAGCTTTTATTATTATTATTCATGAAAGTAATATATGTATATTATAGATAATTTTAAAATGTGGGAAAGTGTCAGTACTTTAATAATACAATGACACAACATCATGAGTTAGGGTTTATTGATCCAGGCACTTGACATGCATTTTGTGATGTAGTCCTCACATTAAACTTGGAAGAATGAGTATTATTATTCCGATTTTACCAACAGGCAAACTGAAACAGAGAGAGATTAAGAAATGTGTCCAAAATTACATACTAAATTATTTTATTTCTAAAATGCCTGTCTCCAAAGTTCATACTCCTGCATGTAATGTTACCCTAGGGGAGGGGTGAGGGCAGGGGAGAGCCCAGAGAAAATACCACAATGCTGGGGTAGTTGTTTCTAGTCTTATTTCCACACACCCATTTTTTATTTGGCTAAGATCATGCTGGATACGCCATTTTTAATCCTCCATTTCATCACTCGGCATTATCTGACAAGCAGGTGGGTGACTGATGTGGGGAAATGTCATATGCAATTCAGAGAGACTATTCCAGAAAACACTATCAACTCAACAGAAGCAACTTTCAGCTGGAAACAGGACAGCTGGGTTTTGTTTTGTTTTGTTTAACTTTTACTTTAGGTTCAGGGGTACATATGCAGGTTTGTTACGTGGGTAAACTGCATGTTGCCGGGGTTCGGTATGCAGATTATTTCGTCACCTGGGTAATAAGCATGGGACTCAATAGGTAATTTTTTAACCTTCCCCCTTTTCCCTCCCTCCACCATCAAGTAGTCCCCAGTGTCTATTGTTCCCTTCTTTGTGTCCACGTGCATTCAATGTTTAGCTCCCCCTTATAAGTGATAACATGCAGTATTTGGTTTTCTGTTGTTGCGTTAGTTCACTTAGGATAATGACCTCCAGCTCCATCCATGATGCTGCAAAGTACATGATCTCATTCTTTTTTATGGCTGTATAGTATTCCATGGTGCAAATGTACCACATTTTATTTAACCAGTCCATTGCTACTAGCGGTCTAAGGGAAGAGCAGAGTGGGAACAAACAGCACCCTTCAGTGGCACTTTCCCTTTGTCCTGCCATCTCCTGCCAGGTCCCTGCAGTCCCCAGCGGCTTCTGAACTGGATGCTGGCCTTGGCTTGCCAGCGAGGGCACCTGGGGGTTGTGAAGCTCCTGGTCCTGACGCACGGGGCTGACCCGGAGAGCTACGCTGTCAGGAAGAATGAGTTCCCTGTCATCGTGCGCTTGCCCCTGTATGCGGCCATCAAGTCAGGTGGGTTTCCCCACTACCCTGAGTCAACCCTGACCGTGCAAACCATCTCAGCCTCCAGATGTGGGACTGTGTCTTTATTCTCACTCTTGGCTCTCAAATCACCTCTGTGAGGAGACTTTTGCAACTCCTGTTCTATGTTTCTTTTTCAAAATATCTGCACCCTTCCTCATTTCCTCCTTACTTGCCCCCGCAAGGGGATTTCAGTGACAGAGACTGACTGTGGCTAATGGGACTGTTGTACGAGGCACTCCAAAGGGCAAAGCCCCACAGAAATTCTCCCACTAACAGAAACTTGATGCACCAAGGGAAGTAAATAGAGAAGTCCAACATGCACAAGTACCTTTTCAGTTTCCATTCCACATATCAGAGTCTGCCCTTCCAACGACTGTGACACTAGCATCTGCATGCCCTTAGCTTTTTGGTTTTGTTCCTTTAGGGAATGAAGACATTGCAATATTCCTGCTTCGGCATGGGGCCTATTTCTGTTCCTACATCTTGCTGGATAGTCCTGACCCCAGCAAACATCTGCTGAGAAAGTACTTCATTGAAGCCAGTCCCTTGCCCAGCAGTTATCCGGGAAAAACAGTGAGTAGTCACTGCCTGTGGAGTGTGTTTTAGTTCCTTTTGTGCTGCTGTAACAGAATCCTGCAGACTGGGTAATTTATAATAAACAGAAATATATTTGGCTTACAGGTCTGGAGATTGAGAAGTCCAAGAGCATAGTGCTGGTATCTGGTGAGGGCCTTCATGCAGTGATATGAAGGTGGAGGGCAAGAGACCAACAGACTGAGAGAGGGAAGAACTCACTTTTATAACAACCCACCCTCAAAATAACAAACCCACTTCCACAATAACAACATCAATCCATTTATGAGGGTGGGGCCTTCTTGGCCTAATCACCTCTTAATGGTCCCATCCTTATCACAACAGCAATTACATTTCATCATGAGTTTTGAAGGGGACATTCAAGCTATAGCAGGGTGGGAGCTGAAATCTGGGCTTCATCCCCCTCCCAGAGTTTTTGTTTTTGTTTCTGGTTTTTTTTGGTTGTTTTTTTTCTCTTTTCCTTTTTTCAAAAATTGGTTAAATATATCATATTTAACATATTTCTTTTTTAAATTTTTATGTGTTAAATTTTAAAATTACTAAAGTTATGAATGATTGTTATAACAAGTGATCACAATTGAGAGTGGTAATCAAAATTATGAATCTTCTGCCCTTGAAGTAAATAGTTTAACAACCTGGTAGGGATCTTTTCACATCCTTCCACATGCAATGCTATAAAAACATTTACAAAACTATACAGGGTTTAGTTTTAATTTCCCATTTTAATAACAAAAATATTATTGCGTTATTTACATTGTCTTCAACTTGGCTTTTTAAATTTAGTATTCTATCATGGACTTCCTCTAGATCAGTTATTGTGGCTTCAACTCATTCTTTTAGGGACGTTCTTTAAATACATAGAGCCAGTGTCACTTAGTTGACATAGCTCTCCTGCTATTGGTGGACATTTGAAATAGTTCTTTTTTTTTTCCTGTTGCAATATAGCCTGATTTGCTATGGTATGTTTGCTTATGTAGAGCACAGTCCTAAAAGTGGGCTGCTTTGGAAACACTGCCCCCCAACACTCTGGTGATTCACATTTTCACCAGCAATAGGTGGGATTCTCTGTCTCCACCCCTCAGCCAGCAAGCAGTAGGCATCCTGGAGCCTATTAATTTTCATCAGTGTGAGGCAAAAATAATTTCTGCTTATTTTAATTTCCATGTTATATTAGTAATAATACTGGATATCTTTTCATATGTTCATGAACTATTTGCATTCCCTTTATGTGAACTGCCTGTTAATGTTTGTTGATTATTTTTTCTAAAGGATTGTTTGTCTTTTTTTCTCACTTTGGAGGGTTTTTTTTTTTTTGAACATTAGAGATTTTTAAGACTTTATCATAAATGTTGCCAATATTTTTCCCAATCCATTATTTTTCTTTTTTTGTTATCTTTTGTGATAGCAAAGGTAAAATAATACATAATTCAATATGTTCATCTTCTCCTTTCTGGTATGTGGTTATACAAGAAGGCCACTTTCCCTCTAATTTTATTTCAGTATTCTCCTGGAGTTCCTTGTAATGTTTTCATTCATTTAGTTTTTACATTTTAAGCTTTAACCTTTCTGGTATTTATTTGTGTGTATTGTATGAGGGAAGTGGCAGAGGGTGGAGGTGGCTAGCTTTTATCTCTTCCAGATAGCCAGCTACTCTAGCACAGTTTTTAAAATGAAGTTTTCTTTCTCATCTGAATTGAGATGTCACCATTGGCATTTTCCCCAGTACCTATATCTGTATACATTTTGGGATTCTCAGTACTGGTTCACTGGCCTATTAATCTGTTTCTGGCAAATGTCATATTGTTTCGATTATAGGCACTGCATTTAAGTTTTACAATCTGTTAATGCAAGTTTTCTGTTCATTAGTTTTTTTCAAAGATATCTTGACTGGACTATTATCGGACATTTGTTCTTCTATTTTGCTCATTTCCCACAGTGACTCTATTTGTGTAGCTTTTATGTTCTTTAATGAGATTTTTTTCTTTTCTTCCTAAAACTCCTGGACCTGTCTTGTCTGTTAGTGACTTTTATATTGTTTTTGCTACCATTTTAATGAACTATCTATATATTTATATAACTCTTTTCCATTTCTATTCCAACCTGATGTTACTGGTATGGAGAAAAGTTATTTTGTTTATTTCTGTTTTATCCAGTTCCTTTCCCATCTTCTCTTATTCACTCTAATGTAGTTTTTACTAGAATTCCTCAATACTTTTGGATATATGATCACATATTCTACAAATTCAAAACAAGTTTATCTCTTTTTTCTAATATTTATACAACTTATTATTCCATGTCTTATTGTGTATCTTTAGAAATCTCAAAAACTGAATAATCATGACTCTAGCAGTTATATCTATCTTGTTCCTGATTTTAAATGTCTTGGTGTCACCAATTTATAAGCATTTGCTCTGGACAGTTAGCAAATAGGTTCTTGTTATATTTAGGTAGTTTCCATGTATTCATTTTTGCTTTGAGTTTTTATTAGGAAACATTACTGAACTTTTTCAAATCCCTTTTTGCAGCAATTAGTGTATTCATATAGCTTTTCTACTTTATTGATTTAATAAATGATTTTGATAGATGTTGACTCAACCTTGAACTCCTATTATAAATGCTCATTGTCTTTTTTTAACTGCTGGATTTGATCTATTGATATTTTATTTACAGTTTCTGCATCTGTGTTTATAGGTGAATTGATCTATAATTTTCTATTTTTAATGTTTCTATGTGGTTTTATATAAGATGATGCTAGCTTTACAAAATAACATGGGGAACTTTCCATCTTATTATTATCTGGAGAAGTCTCACAGGAATTATTTATTGTTAATGGTTAATTAGATAAAGCAGATCTTTATTTTCTGATTCCTTTTGAAGTCATTTGTCAATTCACATTGTCTGCTTTCCCTTATATGCAAGTCAGGAAATTATATTTTGGTAGAAAATTATCCATTTCCTTTAGGTTTTTGAATTTGCCATCATAATGTTGCATTGACATTTTTCTCATTCTTTTCTTCTATATCTATACTTATATTACTCTTTTCATTTATGCTGTTGAACAGTTTTACTTTTTCTCTTTCAAACTTAATCAAATTAGCCAGAGATTTATGTTAAAATACAAGGAACTGTCAAGGAACTTGATAGATTTTTTAAAATTACTTGTTTTGTTTGTTATTTCATTAATTTTCACTTCTGTCTGTATTAAAACCCTCTTCATATGGTTGTTTTTGGGGTTTTGTTTTGTTTTGTTTCTGTTCTTGTTTTTTGAGATGGAGTTTCACTCTTGTCACCCAGGCTGGAGTGCAATGGCGTGGTCTCAGCTCACTGTAACCTCCACCTCCCGGGTCCAAGCAATTCCCCTGCCTCAGCCTCCCAAGTAGCAGGGATTACAGGTGTGCAACACCACACCAAGCTGATTTTTGTATTTTTAGTAGAGATGGGATTTCACCATGTTGGTCAGGCTAGTCTTGACCTCAGGTGATCCACCCGCCTCGGCCTCCCAAAGTGGTGGGATTACAGGCATGAGCCACCGTGCCCGGCCCATATGTTCTTTTTTGAGAGTTTTGTTGATGGTGTTGAGGTTAAAGCAAGGCCTTGGCATGAGACTTCCTGGTTCTTATCTGGACTCCAGGCTTCAGTACTGCAGGGCCTTCGTCTGTGTCTTGGTTTAATGGGAAAAGCAATAAAATACCTGTCTCAGAGGGATGCTTGACAAATAAGTGTAGTAATATTTGTGACATCCTAATAGCAAAGCCTGGCACGTAGCAAACGCCTAATAGATGTTACCTGTTTCTTGAGTTGAATATTTATTTCTTCCTCCTTTTTCTCTAATTTTAGCTTGTTGATTACAGTATTTGAGCCCTTTATGTGCTGCCTGTTTGTGCTAGCTTTCTTTATCAGAGCCTGAAATATAGATATAGAGATATATAGATATATAGAGATGTACAAGTGTACATACATCCATCGATACAAGTACATATATTTATTTCCCACTTCTGATGATTTTTAAAATCTCATTCTTCTTATGTCTCTACAAGGTTTTGCTTGACATACCTGGTTTCTGGCTTTATGACTCATCAATACCTATTTTGGTTATATCAAATGGCCACCTTAATCCTGTTGATGTCTCTGTCCTTGAAATTGAGTTTGTTTTCTCTTCACGTGTCCACTTTGCCCTGTTTTTCTTTGTGTCAACCTTGGATAAGTTTTCCCAGATATTTATTTTCAGGTTTTTATTTGTCTCTTTGCCGTAGGTATATTTCTTGTAAACAGCATTTGGTTTTTAATCTCATCTGAGTGTGTTTCTTTTGAACGAGGGATCCACCCACTTCATATTTGTGTACAACCTGTCCTATTAGTATATATTTTTCCATCTCTTTAATTTATATTTATTACTATTTCCTTTTTACCCTTCCCTTATTCCTGCTGGTTTCCTAGTTTCTAAAGAATACTGATATTCTACTTTCTGTATATTTCTACCTATCTGTTCCTTGGTTGGTTTTCTCAGTTATAAAACAGGGATAACAATGCCCTTCACAGGGCAGCTGTGCACTTAGCACAGGCCCTGGCACATAATAAGTGCTCAATAAATATTAGTTATATTGCTATTAGCCGCACATCACCAAAAGAAATGATGATCATCTAACCCTTACATCTATGTAGTGCTTGTTACTTTTCCAAGCACTTTCTTAACTAATTTGGTCCTTATAACACCTCGGTAAGAACTGCAGGGAATAGCATCTGTTTTACATATGAAATTATTGGGGTATAAAGACATTACGTTATTTGTCCAAGGATGACAAATACTAAACAGTATTGATGCTTAGACTCCCGAACACAGTTCCTGAACTGTACCGCCTAGGTTTCACATAGACGAATGATTCTCTGCACATCATAATCCCTGGGAACTTTTTAAAATCCTGATGCTCAGACCACATCTTACACTGATTAAATCTGAATCTGTAGCGTGAGACCCGGCATGAGGAGTTTTAGAAATTCTCCAGGTGATTCCAATGTGCACCCAAGGTCAAGAGCCAGTGGCTCCGATTTTCTTGGTGTAAGGGTAAAAGCAGAAACAGCTGTTATCTTCTACCTGTGATCTTTTCTGTGAGGCAACTCTTCTTACACATGCCAAGGTTGGCATAGAGCATGGAGGAAGCGATTACTGCATTTTGTGAATGAAAAGACAAGGAAAAGGCAATGGTGCTTTTCCTCTAACTGGCTCTGTTGCGTGGAATCAGAAGAGGAAATGAAATTTCAGCGCAACCTGAGTCTCAAGGGCTCCTTGAGCTTCCCCAAAGCAGGTGGTATTTTTAGCATTCAAGTGAATTTCAGAGGCAAGTACCTTGGAGTGGGTGTGCCTGGCTGCCCCGTCATCTCTAACCTGCAACAGCACATTCCTTCGGTGCTGCTGGCAGAAGAGAACAGAGAGGGGTCCGGGCAGAGGGTTCCGGCAGTCAGGAAGGATGACTCAGGAGCCAGAGGTAAGTGCTCCTACCTTCCCAGGTATCCAGTGGGATTAAAGTGACAGTTTGGGTTGGTTCAGAATATTACACAAGGGTAGGTATTAAAAGGGTGCTTCACTGACATGACACATGGTCTGAAAAGGCCTTTGGCACTGCTGGCACTCATGGCTGTGACCTTGTTGAAGTAACGGTCCCTTCAGGGCACGTGTGACGGAGGTTGTTGCTCCAGCCCTGGTACAACAAGCAGTCACGGGCCACGCGATGATGTCTTAGGGAGATCATGCATGTGCCATCGTGTTTTTTGTGTGGTTGAGCTCTGCCTGACACACCAGCTGGTCAGTATTTTTTAATGTAATTGCTGCGTGTGTGGAAGCCACAGCCGACCCAGGTACAGCAGCCCCTCTGCATGTTTCTGGGCCAAGCATAGCCCGAATCCACCTCTGCCCGCAAAGGGAGAAAATACAGAGAAACCCACATTTGTTTTCCATTGGCAGTGGCTGGCTGCTTGGGTTTTGCTGGTGTTTGGATGAAGAAGGTTCCAGAGGCCACACTGTATGGTCTGGACTGCTGGGACACACTCTCTAAGAAACAAAAGTGAAGTAAAGTCAGACCTGGCCATGCTGTTTGCCTGGCTGGGCAGTGCTCCTCTTAAAGCTGCTAAAGTTTTGCCTGAACATCTAATGAGACGGCCCGCGTTCGTGGTGAACATCGGGTCAATGTTTAGCTGCGTTGCCATGAGAAATAGCTTAATGCTTTGATGTTGTCACACCCAGAAAGGAACAAGAAAACTCAGAAATGCCAGGAAAAGCCTAATCAGATCCCAGAATAACCACGATGTTCGCTCCTGTTCAGCAGTTAGAGGGCCAGGCTGAGGGCTCACTGGGGCTGTTTTAAGTGTGGAAGTAGAGCAGACCTGAAATTAACTTTCAAACAACCCAATGGGGAAATTATTAATTTCCTTTTAAAAGTCTCTAATGATTTCAAATCTGGCAGCTAACCTAAAGAGAGAGGGACATCTATTATTACTGTTTGGATCAGTTCCGGCATATGTAGCTTTCAAGTTCCTGGTGCCCCACCCTTCATGTCTGTGTGTCAGTGCCCTGAGCGCAAGCAGCCCAGCTGCACATCCTCAGGGTTAAGGCAGGCGTTTTACTGGGGCCATGCAAGCTGCTGCTGGAGGCAGCTGAGCCAGGGCTGCGTGCTCATGAGAGTGCCTGATGGCTGGGGGCTGGTGGCCTTTCCTGAGGGACACCTGAGGCCTCTGGGGAACAACCCTGTCTTAGATAGGACCTCACATTTGGTGCAGAGGGTGTCACTCCAGAGTTTCGTGCATTGCAGAGCACTTCCGCACACATCACCACCGCCCTGGCGCCACATACCCTCTTCTCAGCAGGCGGTGCTGCTGTAGGAGCCAACGTGGGCACTGGCATTCCCAGAATTCAGCCTGGCCCAGCAAGGCCCCCATGGTGACAGCCAGGGCTGGGGCATGGACCCTGACTCCTCTTGGCCTGGCCTGTTCCACAGTCGCTCGTGTGAACAGAAGAGGAGGCCCTTTTCCTACCCTCTGAGGGTCATGAAGTAAACCCTGGACTGTTCCCAGCATCCTTCCACCAGTTCCACTATTCTTGTGTCCTGGTGAGCAGTTCAGTCCATTGTCCCACACATGCCCATTTTCTCCAGGTTCCAAATACTGAAGCTTTCCCTGTCCTCTTCCTCTGCCCATATGTTTTCCCTGTGGAATAGGAGACAAATGTGATGCTATCCATGTGCATGTTAGTGCTTCATAGAACTCGAAAATGGGTAGCCAGGGTCACGTGGCAGAATAAGTGAAGGGGAACAGCGCGTGGCTTCTCAGTCCTGTGTTCATGTCGTCCTGCTGGATTTTAAGACATCCGACAAAGCAGTGAGCATGTCAGTCACTTGTATTTAGTTAACGACAGAGAAAAATGATTAAGCTAGACAGGCAGAAACAGAAAAACTATTATTTGAACTTCAGTGACAAACTAGAAGACGTAATGAGAAAAGAATAAGAAAGAGAATAAGAGTAAGAAACATTAGCCAAGGCTGTGAGAACTGTTGGAGTTCAGCACAGAGATTTAGATTCATTATGATACAAATGGATTCTAGACAAGTTAGCGTTAAGCTTTGAAAACTCATCAGAATATGCATATCTATAGATATGATTATTAATATAATCATATCTATAGATCTTATATCTATAGAGACATATATATATTTAAAAGCATGTTTATCCCAGTTATAAGAGGGAGATGACTGCCTTTCAATTTCTAAACATATATGAAGATATATGATCAGAAATAACATGAACATTAAAGCAAAATTATTTATACTAAAACATAATTTTAAAAAGAAAAGACATGGAAAATATTTCGGAAAAAATAACTGACAAACACTTAAATCCAAGGTAGATCATTGGTGCAACTCCATGTCAGCTGATGATCGAATTTAATTTAGCCAAAGTTTATCGATCTCCTGCCAGATGCTTGGGACCCAGCAGTGATGGCCAGACCTTTGCCCTGGCTGTCACAGTGCTCACAGATTCCAGCAAGTAAAAATTTGAGAGAATGAACAGTTAATTTACATATAAGAAAACACTGGCAGTAAATCATGGCATGGAAACATACACAACATCACTGGCAATTACAGAAATTCAAATTCAAACAGCTTGCAAGTACTGTCACACACCTATTAAACTAGCAAAAATAAATATACACAATGAGTAAGACATTTGGCAGAGCACAGAGCAACGGACACACCAGGGTCTTGCTGCTGGCACTGTGAATTGGTTCCATATGTGTGGAAAGTAATTGGCATCATGTGGCAAAAGCTATAAACCTCTTTTCTCCCAGTGAACTGTTCTGAATTCAATATTTCCTTTCTGAAGAATACCTCTAGGACAGAATTCAAATGAAATCAATAGTGATGGCCACAAACATGGCCACAGCACTGCTGTTTATGATAAGAAGACATGGGGGAAAGAAACCAACATGTCTGCTGGGTGCGGTGGCTCACGCCTATAATCCCAGCACATTGGGAGGCCAAGGTGGTGGATCATCTGAGGTTAGGAGTTCGAGACCAGCCTGGCCAACATGGTGAAACCCCCCCGTCTCTACTAAAAATACAAACATGAGTTGGGTGTGGTGGTGCATGCCTATAATCCCAGCTACTGTGGGGCTGAGACAGGAGAATCGCTTGAAACTGGGAGGCAAGGTTGCAGTGAGCCGAGATAGTGCCATTGCACTTCAGCCTGGACGACAGAACAAGACTCTGTCTCAAAAAAAAAAAAAAAAAGAAAGGAAGCCAAAATATCTGGTGGCAGGGAAAGACTATACCATCCATGCTGTACCAGCAAGCAGACCACGCCTAGCCAGGAAAAAGCGAGCCTGCCTCCTCAGCACTCAGCACTCAGCACACTGCTCCTCCTCGACCCAGGACACCCTGCAGATCCCCACACAATATCCTCAGGAAAGCCTTCCTTAACCCTCAGGCCTGGTCACTTGCCCCCACCCCAACCTTCTATGTCTCAGAGCTCCCTGTCAGTTTTATTCAAAGCACTAAACAAAGTTTGGGTTATTTGTTTGGGTGACATTCTTCTTTAATCAATTTCTCCACATGACTAGAAGCTTCCTCAAAGCAGAAACCTTGGCCAATTTTGCTCACCCTGTGTTTGCCCCTCCGTATAGGACTTGGAACACGATAGATAGGTGGGTAGGTAGAAAATGGATGGGTGGGTGGGTGGGTGTGTGGATGGATGGATAGATGGATAGTTGCTTGGATAGATAGATGGGTCAGTGGATGGTTGCATGGATGGATAGGAGGATGATAGATGGATGAATGGATAGAAGGATGGATAGATAGATGGGTGGGTAGACAGGTGGGTTGATGGTTACATGGTTGCATGGATGGATGGATGAATGGATGGATAGATAGATGGGTGGGTAGATGGGTGGGTGGATGATTGCATGGTTGCATGGATGAACAGGTGGGTGGGTGGATAGATGGATGGATGAATGAATGGGTGGATGGTTGAAATTTTTGTATGCAGTAACCTCCTTTCTGTTTACGTAGGGCCTCATAGCTTTAAAAAAGTACTTTGCCAAACATTGTATTTTAATCTCTTATACAGCCTGTGAGGTGGAAGTTTTGTCTTTATTTACAAGTTGAGAAAACTGAGGGTTCTCTCGAAAGCAAGTTAAGTAGCTTAGTTAACTGCAGACACCATATTTTTATTTCTTGCATTTTTTTCCCTCTTTCAAATAGCTATTGGCAAAATTCCTAAGCTGGAACTAGTGACAGGAGATTTCTTGTAAGTTTCCTATTTTTAAAAGAAATGACTGAAATATTACAGAAAAAAGTACAATGTTGCTTTTTGTTTTAAAAACCTCTCTACCTGTTTTTTAAGAATTTTAGCAAAGAAAAAGTGATGAATTTTACTAAACACATCTTTTGGCATTCACTTGCTTAAAAGAGAAGCTCAGTTTCCCTTTCTCTGATAGGGTGTGCTGTGCTCCTCCCTAAATTACTGTCACGCCCTTGTCTTTGTTCAGACCCTACCTGGCCAGAGAACTTAACTCTCTGAGTTTAGTTGTAGCTGATTAAATATTTTGTTGCAGTTTTGTATCCATGTGCGTACATGTAATTGGGCTGGAATTTTAATGGCCCTTGCAAAGTAACTGGTTTTGACTCATAAAATGAAATGAGTCCTGTATTAAGGAACCACTTACATAACATAGGAACTATTTGTTATTTGAAATATTTGACTGGGAAAAAATTATATTGAATTAGGAGACTTGGGGAGCTGATTCTCTATTTTCCTTGTTTGTTTCATACAATGTTTGTTTTTTCTCTGATCGTGTCACTGATGATTTTTATTTTGGTAAGTAAATCTGACATTTCTACTTCCAGATTGTTTGCCTAGAGTCTGGACTTGTAGCCACAGATTGTTACAACGACTGTTTAGTACAGATTGTTACATGTTGACTGTTTAATATATGATCAGAAGTGTATCTTGTAAGTTATTTTTGTACTTAGGTTTCTCATTTATCTGGTTTCAACGGTAATATTTCCTTTCTTTGTTTAAACATATTGGCAGCCAACCACTAATTCTGATATTTACAATATTTTTTAACAGACATGCTATTGTCAAAACTGACTTCATTGTTTTATCTCATTCAGTCTTTTATTTAAGTGGGTAAACCCCTCTAAGATTAGAAGGAAACTGTCCCCCATTTTCTTGTCTCTCCTTTCCCTACTCCCTGTGGTGGTTATTCTCAAGTCCTTTCTGAAATTCTCCATTTACATCATAGAGTCCTCACAGGCTTTCCCCAAATTTAATAGCTGATTTTTCTGTCATTGTCATTACCTTTTAAAATTACATTTCTAATCTACTTAGCAGGAATGCTTTTGGCTTTCTAAGAGTCTGTTCCTTGCCTTTCCTTTTGTTATCTGTGTGATCATGACCATAATCTGTGTCAATGGAATGTTCCCAGCTCTCTGGTCCCAACCTCCCCTCTCTTCCCTTGACTCATTACCATCTGAATTCTTAGAACTGCTGTAACAAAGCACCCAAAACTGGGTGGCTTAACACAACAGAAATGTATTCTCTCACGGTCCTGGAGGTCAGCAGTCCACGGTCAAGGTGTTGGAAGGGTCGGCTTCTCCTGGAAGCCCTGAGGGAGGGTCTTTCCCTGCCCCTTCCAGCTGCTGGGGACTGCTGGTGGTCCCCAACACTTCTCGGCTTGTGGCCACATCTCCCCCGTCATCTGCTGTCTTCTCCCTGTGTCTTCACATCGTCTTCCCGTTGTCTGCCTCTGTTCACGTTTCTCCTTTTTCATAAGAACACCAGTCATGTTGGATGATGGCCCCCACAATAACCTCATTTTGGCTAGATGACCTCTGTTTTTAATTAAAGTCACATTCCGCAGTACGGGGCGTTAGGACTTCAGCATATCTTTTTGGAGGGACACACTGCAACCCGTCACACCATCCTTGCTGCCTTCACTTCATTGCCCTTGGCCTGGATCCACCTGCCATGGGCCACCTTAGATGCCAGGTAGACGGCCAGTCAAGGTACAGTGTCCTCATCCTCCCGTTTTCAATGCCTCCTTTCTCCTTAAGAGCTTGTCTCTACCAGAGTGCAGGAACTTGAGAAGTAGGTGTTTAGAAAACCCACAATGAATATTCCTCCTGGGAGCAGAGATGAGGCACAGTTTGTTTGGTTCTGTTGTGGCCTTTACATGCACAAGGATGCTGGGACAGAGCTGCTGTCTGTGGTGTTTCCAGTTCTCTGTCACTGAATCCCTGTCACTCAGGGCCCCGTCTGATGGTCTGAGTTCCCAGAGTTCTCTGGGAACCTGTAGCCTTGAAATTTACCTTCAGCTTGTGGGCGTCGGTGCACAGACGCTCTCTGCAGCCATCGTCTCATCTCTACTATAATCACTGGCGTCATGCAGATAACCTGGGATGAGCCTTCAGATGCCATTTCTGGGCCTGCTGCTCTGAGCATCTTTGTTTTCAGGGCTTCTTTTGGCATTTTCTCCAGGCCTTTGAGTGAGTCTCCCCATTTTAGATTAGGTTCATTGATTTTGCAGCTTCTTTGGCTGTTCAGTTGTTCTTATTGTTACTTCTGCGTATCAGAATGTGGCTCTTGTCTTACTGGCTGGTTCAACAAGGAGGAGGCACCGTCCCAGGAATCTTTGCTTAACTGCAGAAAGAAAGACTTGGGGTTTGTATGGGCCAAGAATTGACAAGTTCAAGAACTTTCTGTGTATTTCCCCCCATTGTAACGTGTGTCTTCATTGAATAGATACCTATTAACTGCTTTTACTGTGGTGTGCCCTTTTGTCACTGAGCTATAGTCTGTGCTCTGAAGGGATCTACGGTTTCTAGGGGGGAAGATTCTTACTCATGAGCCATAAGCAAAATACTGACCAACTGACAGGAACAAGGAGCTGCAGACACAGGAAGAGCTATGAATTCTGCTGTGGGGTCAGTGAGACCTAGCAAGGAGCTAACATTACAACGTCACTCCGGCAAGGCTGCTCTTGACCCCACAGAATCGTACAGAGGAACACCTGTGTGCATATGTCACAGGGGCCAGGAATCGTTTTCGGAGTCTGCCCTGGGCTGGGGTGCCAGCCACATCTGCTGAGGTTCAAACCAGGCTAAAAGCTTTGTAGATGCCAGCTCTTCATTGAACAATTTTTTTCTTCAACTAATAGGTTTGCACTGATATAAAAACATAAGAGATGTCATTGTGGGGCAATGCCTCATTCACTGTGACAATTTTATGGCTAACATCTCCAAGAAGCATCATGTGAAGGTGTCTAGCACCCTCCTGAACAGCAGCCTCCATCACCAGATGAGGAGATCTTTCTTATACATCAGTCTCTAATGAAGCAGTTGCCCTTAAATACACCTAATCCTTCTTGAAAGCAATCCAAGTCACCACCACTGCCGTGGAAAACAAGTTTCTGAAATCATTGCACTGAGCCTTCTCGAGAAAGTGGTACTTCCTTTTACTTGGACTGAAATTTAAAGGGCTCATGCTTGAAAAACCAACATGAACACATTCTCCACCTGTTTGTGATAGGGTGGGTGGAGCTTAACCACTCCTGTGTTGAATTGATGGCTTCTCCTTAACCAGCTGTCTTTGATTTTGTAGTTTAGCCTTCATGGATAGGATTATATAATTGCTGGCTTTGCTCTCTCGGAATCTTGTTTATTGTGATTCTGCCTGGACTAGACACAAATAAATAATGAGGGCTAATGAGGGCTTCAGGGCTGGAAGAGTTAGGTTTTAATGTCAAGTGCATGAACATCTTTTTATTTATTTATTTTTTATTTTGAGATGGAATCTGGCTCTGTCACCCAGGTTGGAGTGCAGGGGTGCAATCTCAGCTCACTGCAACTTCCATCTCCCGGGTTCAAGTGATTCGGCCTCAGCCTCCCAAGTAGCTGGGACTACAGGTGTGCACCACCACACCTGGTTATTTTTTCATATTTTTAGTAGAGACAGGGTTTCACCATGTTGTCCAGGCTGATCGTGAGCTCCTGGCTTCAAGTGATCCACCTGCCTTGGCCTCCCAAAGTTCTGGGATTACAGGCATGAGCCACTGCGCCCAGCCCTGGACAACTTTTTTAACTGTGCATTTTTTCTAGTTTCTCTCTGCCACTTTGTGGACACCTGGGCACCCTGTAATGTCTGTGCTTGAACAAGAAAATAACTTTTGTAAATCAGTTTTCAGACTAGCCCCAGACCAGGTAGAAATTGCACAGGTTTTTCAACCTCCATCCAGCCCAGAAACCATTTCCAAGCATGTCTATTTTCCGAGTGTCAACATTTTTGCAGACTTCTGCTTTTTACCACTTCCCTCCCAGCTTGAGTTTATCAGATGTCAGTCCTGCAGAAGCACAGTGGGTATGTGCCTACAGAGAGCTCTGGGAACAGGCAACATCTGCTTTCTCCAAGAGGAGAAAGGAGGTCCACTCTAAGGGTGTATGCAAAGACCCTCTGTATTATTCTCTTTTTACACTGCTGATAAAAACATACTTGAGACTGGGTAATTTATAAAGAAAAAGAGGTTTAATGGACTCACAGTTCCACATGGCTGGGGAGGCCTCACAATCATGGCAGAAGGTGAAAGACACGTCTTACATGGCAGCAGGCAAGAGAGAGAATGAGAGACAAGTGAAAGGGGCTTCCCCTTATAAAACCATCAGATCTCATGAGACTTGTTCACTATCATGAGAACAGTATGGGGGAAACCGCCCCATGATTTAATTATCTTCCACCAGGTGCCTCCCACAACACATAGGAATTATGGGAGCTACCCGTAATTCTCTATCTCCTTCAGGATGAGATTTGGGTGGGGACACAGCCAAACCATATCACCCTCTTAGCTCCAGGCCCAGCCCACCTTGTACTTCCCATGTTGTCCTCCCATCTTGGCCCCTTTGGTCACCATGGTAACCCACATTCCAGTAGGGAGGCGGGGGAGGTCTGCAGCCCCAGAGCACCCCAGCAGCCCTTTGAGCACATGGGCCAGTCAGTTACCAACAGCACGGCTACACCCTTGTGGTCCCCAAAACCCTTCCTACAAATGTCAATGTTGGGCCTACTTGTGAGCCCTGCAGTTGATTTATGAACAAGCAGTTTCTGCACTTTGATTGGCAGCTTTTCCTTGGCCTCGAATTCCCCTGCCCTGGGAGTGTGCCCCTTCCCCTAATTTCTTTTACCCAGAATAAATTAACCCCACAAATCACTGCCAGTAGGAAGGCAAAGGGCATCGCTATAGATCAGAGGCTGCTCTGGGTGGGCAGGGAGAAGCTATGAAAGAGGCAGGAAGACATAAAGTTGGAAAAGTGGGTTGGAGCCAACTGGGGGGCTGTCAGGCTGCAAAGGAGGGACTTTGGATGTTCTGCTAAAGGCGGAGTGGGCTAGGGAGAGCTGAAAGGTCTTGCGCAGACTTTGATATTTCAGGATGATTGATCTGGTAAGAAGTGCACAGAGTGGATAGCTTGCAGGTCTTGGTGGCTTGAATCTCTTCAGCTCACAAACACTGATTTAGTGTCTGCTGCATAGTGGGTATGAGGTTGAGCTGCAGAGGCAGCCAGGCAGGGCTCTGCACTGTGGGGTGTGCAGTCCGGGTTCCGGTTGGCCATGCTGTCTGCCACAGCAAAAGAAATGTGGGCTGAGTCAGTGCCACACAGATCAGTGGAGAGGTTAATACAAAGTGTCTCAAGCTGAACAGAGCCCAAAAAAGTGCTCACCTCCACTGCGGCTTGCCCAGAGTCCACGTGGAGTTAGTTAAGCAGCCTGAGGCTGAGCCCCTGCTCCTTCTGCAGTTCAGGGCTCCAGCCCCAGCTCAGGGGATGTGGAGGAGGTGCTGAGAGGGAGGCTGCCATTGTAAGGACAGCCACACCTAAGCCCTTCCCCAAGGTATTTGTACCATAATTGGGTCATGTTACAGTAATAATTTGATTACTTGCTGTTGTTTTGTTTATTTTATGATGGTCCCCAGAGTTTTATTTAAAGATTTTCAATAGAGACTTAAGATTTGTTGTCAAAGCCAAAACCATAACCAGCCTCCCCTGCATCTTGCATTTGGCTGCCATTTCAGTTTGGGTACCAACCATTCCATACGGAAAGACCATAATGGCCACGCAGAGTGAGTGGAGAGGGTTGGATTGCAATCTGGACACCTTGATTCCATGTTCAGCTGTCTGGCCCTTGCCCCTGAGACCTGGGTGTGTCTCTGTGAATCCAGGAAGGAGAGGCAGACAGGCCCTGTGGAGCCTTTTTTGACTTGGCATTGCAAAGTCCACATGGTGACCTTCCTGTCAGCCTGTTGCTGGGCTGACTGTCATGCTTATCCAAAGACTCCTACCCAAAGGCCACTGTACTTTGCAAGACGACCACCGGAAACAATATTGGGACGAGAACTGACCTAGGCATCATCTGATCCAAGCCACTTATTTAACAGATTAAAAACAATGATAATGGAATGAAGAGTGATACAGTCGTGAATTGTGGATTATGGAAAGATGAGGGAAAAAAACCCCTTTGCTGCATTGAATTGGAGGCATCAGAACACACTCATGTTAAATACAGAGCTGTGTCCCATCAATGGGCTGAAAAGCAGTGACACCCCAGCGGTGATGAGCACACCTCACACCCAGATCTTGGTTTCTAAATACCAATTTTTGCTCAAGGGAATCAAGGCCTGGGCTTAGAAAGTACAAGAGGAGACTGGAAGATCTTGTTTTGCCGGGAAGTAAGGAGGCGTCCCAAAATTGACAGCGATATGTCACAGGAACACAGGGGGCTCTCTCCCACCCCAGTGGGGCTCCCCCTGGACAAATTGGGGATGACTTGGGTGTCAAAAAAATAATGATACTTGGGAAAAAAAAGAATCCATGAGTCCATAGTGATACTTAAACAGGTGAGGAGGCAATGCTTTTCTATACAGAAGAATGCCAGGTAATACATGTAGAAAGAAAGGTAGCTTTAGCAAAACTTTCTCATTGCAACCACCGTTGTACTAATTGATTCAGGCCAGGATCAGCAACGGAGGCTAAACCCATGGGGCAAAAGGATGCAGAAACACAGAATTGTCACATAGTCTCAGAATATCACCCCATAGATTGTGTACTAATCGCAAAGGGTATAATGTTAACCTTTACAAAGGAGGGACTGATAGACACCACCTTAACCATGAGACCAAACAGGGCACCACCTGTAGCAGGAACACCTAATATCAGGTGCCCCGGGTGGGGTTTAGTGGGAACCACTCAACTAGACTCTAAGGTTGTTGCCCAAAATAGCTAACTTTAATCTAAACTTTAGGAAAAACTTGAGTAAATTCAGATTATGGGATATTCTATAAGACAAGCAGTGAAACACACCAGCATCTGCCCCCGATGAAGAGGCTAAAAGTTGCAGGACTTAATGCAACGACAATGTGATAAAAAAAAAAAAAAAAAAAAGAAAAGGCATTAAAAGGTGTGAAGACTCTTCCAGATGAAAGAAAAGTAAAGAAACATACAGTGTAATGCAGTGTGTGATTGCAATGTCATGCAATTGTCAAGGGATCCCAGATCAGGACACAAAATAGTTATAAACCACATTTCTGGGATAATTGAGAATATTCTAACATGGGCTGTGAACTTAATAATATCGTATTGATGTTACACTTACTGAAAATGATAATTATACGGCTGTTGTGTAGAAAAATATTATTCTTCAGGGATACATGCTGAAGTATTTACGGGTGAAGCATCACGATGTATAATTTACTGGCAAATGATTCATCAAAACATAAAAAGCGTGTGTATTTGTGTGGAGAAAGAGGGGCAAAAGCCTATGTGACAGCGTTTTAACAATCAGTGAGTCGAGGTGGAGAGTGCACAGGTATTCACTGTGTCCTAGTGCAACTTTTCTGAAATTTAAAAAATTTTTCAAAATTAAAATGTGGGGAGTAAAATAGTAACAATCAAACAGGCCCAGGGCAATTGAGTGACTTGTCTTAAAAAATCAGCTCAGAATCTACCCTCCTGGCCTAAGATCCAGTGCCGCCCTTCCCTTTTCATCCATGTGAACAGAGAGACAGACAGACAGAGCGACAGAGTCCCTCATTCCTCTGGTTCAAAGACCGGACGGAGTGTTGAGGGGCGTAGGCCCAGTCTTTCCAAACTCCTGGAGTGGGCGGAGGAGGAGCTAAAGACAGGCGCTCATCGCCATCTGGTGGCCAAATAGGGATGCCCGTCACCTGCCGCCAATTTTTGAGGAATTCATCCCACGTTATTGGGACCTTTCTCGTAGCCTCTGCTTGTTACATTTTCCCATTTGCGAAGCACTAATTTTTGTTCATATTTCTGCTCCTCTAATTTTCCAATACGGATTTCCAGTTGCTTCGAAGAAACAGACCCAAAAGCAGATTTCTTCTCCCCAGAAACCTGATTGAGCCCAATATTCTTCGGTAATCAGGAAGAAAGAGCAAAGTCCTGCTCCCATATATTTCGCCAGGTCCCTTTGACCACCCCATGCCGGAAAACCGCTGGCCCTTCTGACTCCCTCTGGTGGAAATAAAGGAAGACCAGTGAGAAATGAGTGGAGCAAAGACATTTTGTTTAGCAGGACTTCAACGGCAAGAGCGCCAGCCACCAGGACTTGCGTGTGGCAGAGACCCACAGGCTGGCAGAGGAGCGGGAGCTTTCTAGTGGGACAAAGGGAAGGCCTCCGGGGCCTCCTGCCGGGAGGCCGTTGTCGTGGGGAAGCTGGGGGGCCTCGCTGCAGGCTGGGCATCCTATGGGATTGGTAGGGGTGCAAAGTTGGCTCTCTCGGGTTGGTCCTAAATGGAAAGTGAGGACAAAAATTAGAGAATCGGTCAGTTATTAACCAAGTCCTGGCCATTTTAGACTGACTTTTACGGAAATGATGGCTTAGCTTCCTGGGTTGTTACTAGAGATAAGAAGTGGCTCATGCCTGTAATTGCAGCACTTTGGGAGGCCAAGGTGGGTGGATTGCCCGAGGTCAGGAGTTTGAGACCAGCCTGAGCTCGACGAACATGGTGAAACACCGTCTCTAATAAAAACACAAAAATTAGCCGTGAGTGGTGGTGCAGCTACTGAGGAGGCTGAGGCAGGAGAATCGCTTGAACCCGGGAAGCGGCGGTTGCAGTGAGCCGAGATCGCACCACTGCACTCCAGCCTGGGCGACAGAGCGAGACTCCATCTCAAAAAAAAAAAAAAAAAAAAAAAAAAAAAAAAAAGAGGCTGGCCTCCTGCAAGAGACTGGCTTCCCGGGCTGTTTGCTATAGATAAAGAGGTTGGTTTCCTAGGCAGGTCACTGTGGGTCGTGGGCCAGAGTTCTGTTTTTTATATATTGTGTGGCCATCGTCTGTCTGTATCTCAGGCTCGCTCTGAAAGCAGCCTGTCCACCAAGCACCCTGGCGCGGTGCGGGCAGCTGCAGGCGGCAGCTCCTCTGATCACAGGAAAGGCCGCCTTGAAGGGAGGTCAGAGACTTGGGTTTGGGAGTCAGCTTTCTTCTCCAGTCTGGGGGAGGCGCCTGGACGCTTCAGCGGTCTCCTCTGTACGTGGACAATCCCGCCGCGCTCTTCCCTGTGAGCCGCCTCTTGAGGGGCGGCACTGAGCCCGCGCCCACCGGCGCCCTCTGGAGGTTGGAGGGTGACTTGCAGGCGCTGTGCACAGATTGCCTGTGAGACGCAGGTGCCGATGGGAACAGGTAGCTCTTCTGCACCCACCACCGTGGCAGGTGCCGGCGGCCGAGAAGGACATGTGCAGGCCTCTTGGGACCCGGGCTGGAGCAGGCACACAGACGCGCATTTGCATTAACCCTTGCTTTATTCCAAGCCCATGTGGGCCCTGAACTCACCCTCCACATGTGCTTTTCCTTTCTTTCCACCACCAGGCTCTCCGTGTGAAATGGTCCCATCTCAGACTGCCCTGGGTAGACCTAGACTGGCTCATAGACATCTCCTGCCAGATCACGGAGCTCGACCTTTCTGCCAACTGCCTGGCGACCCTCCCCTCGGTTATCCCCTGGGGCCTCATCAATCTCCGGAAGCTGAACCTCTCCGACAACCACCTGGGGGAGCTGCCTGGCGTGCAGTCATCGGACGAAATCATCTGTTCCAGGTGGCTCCCCGGGGTGTGACCGGAGCCGTGTGTGACCCCGCTGTCACCGTTGTGCTCCTGCACATGCTCCCGGGTTGTATTTTGTGG
Source organism: Homo sapiens (assembly GCF_000001405.40). NCBI lineage: Eukaryota > Metazoa > Chordata > Mammalia > Primates > Hominidae > Homo > Homo sapiens. The sequence continues at coordinate 101,009,151 of NC_000015.10, forward strand.
TTTTGGGGGAAAAATGTTCTGGCTAAAATAGGAGAAGGAGTTTTGCCTACCCTGAGGCAAGCCTCCCTTTCAGGTTAAAACAGAGAGGTTTAGAGAGATCATTTGTCTGGCCCAAGTTTACACAGCTCACCCGGGGACATGCGAATGCTTGCCTGAGATGCTTGTCTTGGTCCTGCCCAGGAATCAGATGAGGGCAGCCAAACCTTCCCACACTGGTGGATGCAATGGGGCTCTGAGGCACCAGCTTTTACTCTGCCTTCCAGGGAAAGTGGGAAGGGCCTCAGAGAAAGGGTTAACTCTGCAGGACTCTGGCAGCAGGTGGACAGTGTGGGCAGTCCAGGCTTGCTTCTTCTGGAGGCCTTGGAGGGAGACCTGAGCCTTACCCCTGAGCTTGCATGGAAGGAGGAATGACCTTAGTTGATTTCTTTATTTTTTATTTTTATTTTTATTTTTTTTGAGACGGAGTCTCACTCTGCTGCCCAACTGGAGTGCAGTGGCATAATCTCGGCTCATGGCAACCTGCAACTCCCTGGTTCAAGCAATTCTCCTGTCTCAGCCTCCCGAGTAACTGGGATTACAGGCACATGCCACCACACCCAGCTAATTTTTGTATTTTTAGTAGAGACGGGGTTTCACCGTGTTGGCCAGGATGGTCTTGACCTCCTGACCTCATGATCCGCCTGCCTCGGCCTCCCAAAGTGCTGAGATTACAGGCATGAGCCACCGCACCTGGCCTGATTTCTTTTGGACACATAACTGCAAGTCCTCATTCCATAAAGGGTTGAATCGATTTTTAAAATGAAAAACCAAGGCTCTAAGTGAAGCAAGAGTCAAGAATGTTGGAAAGAGCTTGGGGTAGGCATTAATCCATGGGACTCCCAAGTGAGAACGGGAAAGAAGCCTGCACACCAGAACTTAAAAAGCAAGTGCCGTCCAAGTGAGGCCCTTCACCTGGGCCAGATGGACAGGTCCAGAAGGTTCAAAGCCCTGCTCTGTGGTCTCAGCAGCTTTCAGGGAACCTACTCATTTTGCTATTACATGCCTGCGAAGGATTCGAATCCCTGTTGGTCAGTGGAGCCAGGGCCCACCGATGAGAGGTTTGTCTTTATCTACACAGGACACAGTAAGAGTTCTTCAAAAGAATTAAAAATCATATGCACTACATTTTCAATGCACACTCTTTAACCTTGCATGGGGAGAAAAAGAAAAAAAATACACCTCTTGGTTTATAGAAAAATATGTAAATTTGGTGTTTTCCCTCTTTATTCTGATGCCTGCCTTCCTTCTTCTCCATCGCAGGCTACTTGAAATTGACATTTCCAGCAACAAGTTGTCCCACCTCCCTCCTGGATTCTTGCACCTCTCAAAACTTCAAAAACTGACAGCTTCAAAAAATTGTTTAGAAAAATTGTTCGAAGAAGAAAATGGTATGTTTTCTCATCAACTTGAGTGAATTAGTCATTTTCTTCTTGGTAGGGATATTTTTACCAATTCATACTTTGGGTCTTTTTTTTTTTTTTTAGCCACTAACTGGATAGGTTTACGGAAGCTACAGGAACTTGATATATCTGACAATAAATTGACAGAACTCCCTGCCCTGTTCCTTCACTCTTTCAAGTCCCTCAATTCTCTGAATGTCTCCAGAAACAACCTGAAGGTGTTTCCAGATCCCTGGGCCTGCCCTTTGGTGAGTATCACACCAAAAGTCATGAAAGCCACAGTCAACTCTGCCTCTCAGCTGGCCTCAGAGAGCCCTCAGGTGCATTATGTCAGTTCATCCCCTCAGCAGCGAAGCCGGGTAGAAGGGCCCGGTTCCCACATTGTAAGCATCGTCACTCAGCATACAGCGAGGCTGTGTCCCAGGCAGATGACTCACCTGAAAGCCAGCCTGCCTGGCTCTGGGTTCAAGAGCCACCCAGCAACACCCACAGAACTTTACCCAGGGACAGCTTTCACCCTGGCACAGGACGACTCATGCCTGAAAAAAGGAGGGTTCAGTTCTTTTAGGACAACTATCACATAAGAGTAAGAAATCAGGCCGGGCGCTATGGCTCATGCCTGTAATCCCAGCACTTTGGGAGGCCAAGGTAGGTGGATCACAAGGTCAGGAGATTGAGACCATCCTGGCCAACATGGTGAAACCCCGTCTCTACTAAAATTAAAAAAAAAAAAAAAATAAGCTGGGCGTGGTGGCACGTGGCTGTAGTCCCAGCTACGCAGGAGGCTGAGGCCAGGGAATTGCTTTTACCGGGGAGGCAGAGGTTGCAGTGAGCCGAGATTGCACCATTGCACTCCAGTCTGGTGACAGAGCAAGACTCTGTCTCAAAAAAAAAAAAAAAAAAGCATCAATCTGCACTCGTAGCACTGCTGATTAAATGCTGTTTTTGCATCTGGGGAATTTTGCTTGTTAAAACAGATGGAATAGCATGAAGAATGTGTGTGTGTGTGTGTGCATGTGTGTGTGTGTTATGGCTGTTGGTTTTAAACCAGGAAACTCTTCATCACTGGCATTATCATTCCTAGTTTGGCCATTCGTGTAGGGGAAACCAGCTTCTCTCTCCAGTGTGGTCCTGAATTGTTCCATTATTTCCAAGGACAATGGGCCGGATGTTCTGGAATGAAGGAAAAAGACCATGAGCTCCCCCAGGAAACCCCATTCCTGTCCCTTCCTTGGAGTAGGGGCGGGAGGACAAGGACAGTGAGGGTGTGCAGCCTTCCAGCAACACTCAGTCATCTTCATTACAGGACATTATTGTAATGGTCCATTTTTAACATCAAATTTGGAAACAGTCTCAAAGGCACCACTGCATTTAAAGAGCTAACTAATATACATTTTTTTTTCTCGTCAATCTCTTAGAAATGTTGTAAAGCTTCCAGAAATGCCCTGGAATGTCTGCCAGACAAAATGGCTGTCTTTTGGAAAAATCACCTGAAGGATGTGGATTTCTCAGAAAACGCACTCAAAGAAGTTCCCCTGGGACTTTTCCAGCTTGATGTAAGCCTAATAGCCCTTTCTTTCTCATTTTCGGCTTTTGAGAGAAAATTGCTCCGTGTTGCAGTGAAATGTATGTGCTTTTCCTGAGCTTCTGAGATAAATATAAGGGGAAAAGATGAAGAAAAAGTTCAGCTATCAAAAATATGCATGGCCACGAACAGCGATGAGGGTGGCACGTGGACAGCAGAAGCAGCTGTGTCAGGTGGTGGTGGGGTTATGGTTCGTATCCCTCGGGACTTTCTTTAAGTCCACGGCCTGCCCATATATGAGGCTGAGTGGACACTGAGAGCTCCAGGAAGGGCCTTTCCACGGAACCCTGTGTGCCTACCCCAGAATACGGGTACCTTCTCGCTTTAGGTTGTTTTAGGTGGTTGGCGGGTCCTTAGGCAGACAGGCCGTGGATCACACTCATTGCTTGGAGCTCAGGGCCAACCCCAGAAGGGGCCCCATCAGGGCAGCCTCACCAGGGGCCCTGTAGTGGACCCCCAGGCAGAGTGCCCAGGCCACCCTGCACAGGCTTCAGCCCCCGGTCCTGCCAGGCCACTGCCAGGACCCCCACGGGCACTCCTCCAAGGCCTGGTGCAGCCTCTTGTGTGCGGCGACCCCCACAAGGCAGCGAAGGCCCCTTCAGCATGTGTATCCTCAGAGAGGATGGGCTATCATGTCCTAGGCTCCTGACAAGCACAGGGCAAAGCCAGGGACCCAGGGACAGGACTCACGCTTCTCAGAAGAAAGGAGCCACGCGGGGTGCCCCCGGGGGGGGGTGGTCCCACATCATACTCCTCGCAGGGTACTCCTGGCCTTCAGGCCTTGTCCACAGCCCCTGGGCCCCTGTTCTGAGTCTGTCTTCTCGTATTTCACACCAACAACTAGCAGGCTTGGATTTTTGGCTTCCCCCAAAGCCCAGAAGCAGCAAATCAGGAGAGGCAGAGCCTTGTCCAGAGCTTCACTGTGGGCCTGCAGGGAATGTGTCTGCTCGAGGTCTCCTTCTCCACACTGGGAAGGGGTGGGTGGGTATGTGGGGGCTTGGGGGACCCTGAGGTCTGGCACATGGCAGGGTCTCCATAGAATTTCAGCAGGAGGGGGCTGGCTGCAGCGGTTCTGATGGTGGGCGGTGGCGTGAGCCCCTTCAACAAGGAAGGAGACAAAAGCACCAGGAGGAGAGAATTTAATGTGGGGCAGCAAACAGCCTGTGGCCCTCCTGAGGCCGCCCTGGTTGTGGGCGGGATAGTTGGTGGCTGTGGTGATGTCCTCAAGCAGGGAGATAGCATGTCTAAGGTACTCCTGCAAAGTAAAACGTGGGCCAGGCATGATGGCTCAGACCTGGGCACGGCGACTCAGAACCGTACTCCCAGCACTTTGCGAGGCCAAAATGGGGGGACTGCTTGAGGCCAGGAGTTTGAGGCTGTAGCAAGCTATGATCACACCGCTGCACTCCAGCCTAAGAAACAGAGCGAGACCCTATCTCTAAAAAAGTAAATAAATAAAAAGAATAACAAAAAAAGAATAAAACGTGTTACAGGTGCAAGGTAGCCCCTCATCCCCCTTGGTGACTGGGTTCCCTGCAGGGTCTGTTTGCAGTAGGGCTGAGGGAGGGCTACCCACGAGGGGCACCCCAGACATGCTGATAATCCTGAGGGGCCCAGCTTGGGACTGTGTCGGCTAGCAGAGGGCATGCGGCTAGGACAGTTACCCTTGGTGGCACTGCCACCCCGTCCCCAGACCTGGGCTGGCCCAGGAGGCCACCCACCAGGAGGTGGCAGACACCAGCACTGTACTGCATGCCCCATGCCACCCCCACCAGCCGTGAGCCGTTGTCCTCCAAACCATCAGAGTCTGGCACTTTCCCCAGAGAGACACACCGGTAATCAGTACTCTTAAGAATCCTTAATGCTGACAGCTGCTTGGGCTCCTTTCACTCTAGAATAATTGCCTCTCACTGCCTTTGAGGGAGGAGCTCCTGTAGATAGATGGCCCCGTCGCACTGTTTGATATCATTTCGTGAGTTTGAAGAGGCTGCTGGGCCCCACACAGCTGGGATCTGCGTGAAGGAAAATTGGTTGGAATCGTTTGACTGCGCGTGGTTGGGAACTGACTGGCTCTTCAGTCTCCCCTCCCTTCTTGTATCTGATGCTATCTTAGCTTCTCTCTCCCTCCCTCTCTCTCTCAGGCCCTCATGTTCTTGAGGTTACAGGGGAACCAGCTGGCGGCACTTCCACCTCAAGAGAAGTGGACCTGCAGGCAGCTCAAAACCCTGGATCTCTCCAGAAACCAACTTGGCAAGTAAGCAGGGGCCTCTCCTCCCTGGCCAGTTCCAAAGCGTGTGTGGGGCCACGGTCGAGCAGGTCCTCTGAATGGTGGCATGTGAGTCTGCGAGGGCTGCTGAGCCGCCAGCTGGGGGCTTAACAACAGAAATCACTGCCTCACAGCCCTGGGGGCTGAAGTCCGAGGTGAGGGTGTGGGCAGGCCTGGTTGGTTTCTCCTGAGGCCCCTCTCCTTAGCTTGCAGATGCCGTCTTCTCCCTGTGTCCTGTTGCGGTCAGGCCTCTGTTCACGTCTGTGACCTAATCTCCTCTTCTTATAAGGACACCAGTCGGATTGGATTAGAGTCCATCCTAATGACCTCATTTTAACTTAGTTACCTCCTTAACAGCCCTGTTTCCAAATACAGTCACATTCTGAGGAATTGGAGGTTAGGGCTTCGACACAGGAATGTGGGGGGAAACAGCCCCTAATGGTGTCCTCTCATTTTTAATTTTTAGTCTGCTGGAGAATCTTGTCTCTCACTTCAGCCCAATCTGTAATTCTGTTCAAAAGTCTCTGCTGATCACTAACTGAAATGGACGTGGAATTGAATAAAAGCACCCAGCCCCAAAGCCTTCCAATAGGTGGAAAGCCGGGATGAGCCCAGCCAGCCTCTGGAGACCAGCCGCCCCCGTTATCTGCAGAAGGCCACTTCTGCAGTATCACGGTGGAACTTGCACCCCAAGGAGGACCTCTGCGGGGAGGGGTGGGGGCAGTGAAAAAGGCAGCCGCCACTGCAGCGTGCGCCCCTGCCAGGCCCTGAAGAGTTGCACATGAATTGCTCCCTATCTCCGTGGCTTGGCATTATAACATCACAGCCAAAAGTAATGCTTTTGTCGTGCTGTCCTCAAATTTTGTCTCTTTTTCCTCCCCCCAGAAATGAAGATGGACTGAAAACGAAGCGTATTGCCTTTTTCACCACCAGAGGTCGCCAGCGCTCCGGGACTGAGGCAGGTGTGTGTGGGTTGGGAGACGGTGTTCCCAGATGAGACAGCCGGGGTAGCCTGGTTCCTGCTCCACCAAAGTGGGGATCGCCCTTATCTTGGGCCTTCCCCTTCAATGCCCTGTTGCAATGCCACAGATGTCCAAGTTCAAATGAAAACCCTGCATATGAGCTGCGCCCATTCTTTCTGTCCCACGTGTGACACGCAAGTATCCTCAAGCCCCACTCTCCTGCGTGGAGGCCAGTGATGCCAGCAGCTAATATGTGCAGCTGATCTACACACCAGGCAGTGCCCTAGGCAGGTTACATATGTGAGAGTTTCTCATCCTCACAACGTGAGGTATGGGCCACATTTCCCCATTTTGCACGTGGGGAGACTGAGGCTCCCAGGGTGTCTGAGCTTGGCTGCCACACCAAAATACCACCGACCGAGTGCTTCAGCAGCAGACACTTATTTTCTCACAGTTCTGGAAGCTGGATATCTGAGAGGAGGGTGCCAGCACTGTCAGGGGCTTGCGAGGGCCTTCTTCCTGGCATCCTTCTCTCTATGTCCTGAGATAGTGAAGAGAGAGAGGACTCTGGTCTTTCTTCCTCTTCTTTTTTTTTTTTTTTCTTTGAGACTGAGTCTCGCTCTGTCGCCCAGGCTGGAGTGCAGTGGCGCGATCTTGGCTCCCTGCAACCTCCGCCTCCCAGGTTCAAGCTATTCTCCTTCTTCAGCCTCCCAAGTAGCTGGGATTACAGGCATGTGCCACCATGCCTGGCTAATTTTTGTATTTTTGGAGATGAGCCACTGTGCCCGGCCCCTCTTCCTATAAGAACGTTAATCTCATAAGGGCCCCACCCTCATGACCTCATCCAAACCTAATTACAGCTCAAATATCCCATCTCCAAATAGTAATTTTGTATTTTAATACAATACAGGATGCCAGGAAGAAGGCCCTTGCTAGCCCCTGACAGTGCTGGCGCCCTCCTCTCAGATATCCAGGGTTTCACCATGTTGGCCAGGCTGGTCTTGAACTCCTGACCTCAAGTGATCCGCCTGCCTCAGCCTCCCAAAGTGCTGGGATTACAGGTGTGAGCCACCACGCCCGGCCCCTCTTCTTATAAGAATGTTAATCTCATCATAAGGGCCCCACCCTCATGACCTCATCTAAACCTAATTACAGCTCAAATATCCCATCTCCAAATGGTGTCACATTGGGTATTAGAGCTTCGACATATGAATTTGGTGGGGGGCGGGGGACACAGTTCAATCCATGGCATAGGGACTGACTGATTTGTCCCAGGTTGTGTGGCTGCTTCTCAGTAGCAGAGCCAGGTTTCATCCCAGGACTGTGGGACTTCAGCCCTGGACCAGCAGCTACGTGCTGTTAAGTCTCTACTGCCACACGATGGTATCTTGCAAAGCCCACATGGATCACGGCCGCCTTTGGACCCACAGGCTGAGGTGAGGCCAAGGTTGCACAGGGGCTCGTGGTCTTCCCCAAAACTCAACAGAGACAGAACTTTCCTAGTTTTTGTGCTGGTCACACAACAAGGCCAGTTCAGCAGAGAGTACATCTAGGTAAACAAGCTCTTTTTGTTCCATTATCTTCTGTGAGACACAGGGGAAGGTATGGAGCTGTCCCTTTCATTAAACAACCAGCTCTGCTTCTTAACCTCAAAGCTACAACTTCCAAAGCCAGCTCTGCTCACAGAAATATCCCTCAGGATGCTGGCCCAGAAAACCAGAACCCACATCCAGGTTGTTTTAAACATAATACAACTTTCTTCTTCAGTTTGATAGATGGTTGTTGGCAAGTACAGATAGTATGAGGTAGGGATGAGTGACGCCACAGAGGCCAGGACACATTTGCAGGAGGTGAACTAGGGAGTTTGCCGCTGCTACGCTCTTGGATGAACTGGTGTGCTTGTGTGTTGAGTATGATACACATAGAGATCTGTCCCATAAGAGCGTGTGTATTTATATGTGACTGAAAAAGGAATATCAGTGGACCAGATAAAAGAGTCCAAAAATAGACCTCAGTAAACATAGAAATACATCGGGAGTCCCCAGCGCCCCCCAGGAAGCGAACCGGTATTGGTCCCTGGCCTGCTAGGAACCAGGCCACACAGGAGGAGGTGAGCGGTGGGCCAGTGAGCATCAGCGCCACCTCCTGTCAGATCAGCGGCAGCATTGGATTCTCATAGGAGCGCGAACCCTATTGTGAACCGCGTCTGTGAGGGCTCTAGGTTGTGCCCTCCTTATGAGAATCTAACGCCTGATGATCTGAGGTGGAACAGTTTCATCCCTAAACTGTCCCCCTCACCAATGCTGCAGTCCATGGAAAAATTGTCTTCCACAAAACCGGTCCGTGGTGCCAAAAAGGTTGGGGACTGTTATTATGTAATATATGACAAAGGCAGAACTTCAACTTAGTGTAAAAGGATGCTTGCGTGCGTTAATAAACGGTGTTGATATTCCTGCCTGGAAGGGGGACAAAACACGATACTAGATTACAACAATCAGGTTTAAGTATAAAAAAAGAAAACAATAACATTTAAGGAATATAGGTATAACTTTGCTATGAGGGAGATCTTTAAAATCTAGTTGGAAAATCCAGGAATAATTTTTTAAAAAGACTGAAATCATTGGCTTCATAAACATTCAAAAATTGTGTTCAGTGGGAAGCATCATAAACCAAGTCATAATGCAAACAGACTAAGAAGAAATATTTGCAACACAAATTGTTGCAACACAAATTGGCTTAAGTCCCTGATATACAAAGAATGCTTACAAATTGATTTAAAAAAAAAAAAAAAAAAGACAACACAATAGGCAAAAAAAATGGGCAAGGGATATAAACAATTTTCAGAAAAGGAAGTCCAGAGGGCCAGGAAACAAATGAAAAGGTCCTTAACCACACGAATAGGGAAATGCAATTATGAATTTCATAACTGATCCTTTTATAAATGAAGAGCCTTAGGACTGTAGAAATTGAGTCCAGACATAGGGATTTCACTTAGAAGGAAGGGGAAACAAACACCATCTTCTCCTTCATGCCAGGCGGGATGATGGGTATGAGAACAGGAGCTAGTGTAGACCTCGGTCACGCAAGCCACTTGCTGTGTGGATTAGAAACGTGTCTCCAGTTTAGAAATGCCGAATCCTTCCTGGGACCACGGAGGAGTGTGCAAGGAAGTGGGCTCAGCACTCAATGAGACGCCAGTGGGGAAAATCACAGGCATGCATGGAAAAGCACCATAGGACTACGCGCGGTACCAATGCTCTAGAAAGTGACAGCTGGCAGCCCGCAGAAGTACATCTGGGGAGCCATGTGAGGGGGCCGCGCCCCTGGGAGGTTCTCTGGCAGAGGTGAATCTTGGCCTTGGCAGATGACAAAGGCCTCTTGATTCTTTAAACTTCATCTAGAAAGTTGAGGCCCACACCTGAGTGAAAAGAAGGCGGCTCTTTGCAAACCCTTTTCCTCAGTAGGGTTATTCTCCCAGGGCCATGGACCCTTGGGTAAGGAATTATCTACAAAAGACAGCTTGTTTGCAGTAGGATAGTAAAATTCCAAGTAGATTTATGTACATCCAAATAGTCATATTTGTGCAGTGGCCTCATCCAAAAATAATTTGGATGGCCGTTTTTACGGTAAAAATCAGACCAGCAGAGTCATAAATAACTTATGAATAAATAATTACAGTTCTTAAATACCTTGAACTGTGTTCTCCCCAGCTCAGTGCCCATCGTTTTCAACACTGGGCCAGGAGGTCTGTTACAGGTGTTGCCTCTGTTTGCAATCATAGCTCATTATTCCAGCCATCTCTTACTTAAAGAGGCTTCATAAACACCGTAGCGAAACTTTAAAAGTTTGGAAAGCACAGAGGCCAGGTGTTTAGAATGTGTTCTCTGGGGAGAAAGTAAGCCTTTCTCATTATGACGTTCTTTCATGAAAATGTGAATTAGGGCAGGCTAATATTGATCATCTTTTTTCATTGAAGGAAAAAAAAGGAAGCTTTTTGAACATTTCCTTACCTAGCAAGGACTCATACAAAGCCATCTTTAGAAGGCCGGTGCACCTTTATTTCCGCAGGAGCCCCTGCAGTGAGTCCCATTCACAGTACAGCTAGCTGGGCAGATTTTCCAGGCATTGGTTTTGGTATTCCATTATCGGCTCTCCCTGAATGTTCTCAGAGGCCAGGTTACCCATTACCATTGTTATTGCAGCTACATGTGTGGAGGAAAGCCAGAGCCGAGGCGGGGTAGCTATGATCAAGGGCAACCGAGCCTGGTTTCAGCCCAACAAAAGAACTCCGGCTTCTCTATTTTCCATGTCTGGCAGGGAACCCTATGAGAGGGCTTTGAGGCAGTTGTTTAATCTTGAATTCTCCGAGCTCCCAGGCATGCTGTCCTGCCCCCTCTCCAGGCCTTAGTAGGGAGGATAAAGGCACTTCAGAGATTCTGCTGAAATCCAAACCTCTGATTCCCATCAGTGTGCGTTTCCAAGCTCTTTCTCAACTCAAATGCTCTGGTGCCCGTGGAAACAGCAAATTTGACATGATTTTCATGGTAATCTCATAGTGAGCCTAATTAATAAAGTCACTTAAATACTAAACAGTTGGCTGGCTTTTCAAAGAATGGCATTGTAAGAAGCATAAAAACAGCCAACTGTGGTATATTTTCATTAACTAGCTTTTTTTCATGGAAAAAGCAACGCATGTATATTTTAAAACACCGTTTTTGAACAGTAGCAAAGGGCATGGGATAAATATTCAGTCCTCTAGTAATTCCTTTCCCCAGAGACAACTATGGAGTTCAGTGCATCTCTGGTAACCATTGTGTTCCTGTCTAACAACTGTAACCTCTGTGCATACACATGTGCAGGTGTGGTGTGTGTGCATATAACATATACATGGTATGCGTGTGTGTGCATGCATGTGTGCACACATTTTCTGCTACACTAATAAGCCTTCTAGATATCCGGTTCTGAACTTTTTTTTTTTTTTTTTTTTTTTGAGATGGAGTCTTGCTCTGTCACCCAGGCTGGAGTGCAGTGGCACAAACTCAACTCACTGCAACCTCCACCTCCCAGGTTCAAGTAATTCTCCTGCCTCAGCCCCCCCGAGTAGCTGGGATTACAGGTGCCCACCATCACGCCTGGCTAATTTTTGTATCTTTAGTAGAGACAGGGTTTTACCATCTTAGCCAGCCTGGTCTTGAACTCCTGACCTTGTGATCCCCCTACCTCGGCCTCCCAAAGTGCTAGGATTACAGGCGTGAGCCACCAGCCTGGCGCACCTTGCCTTTTCAATTGATGGGTAGCTCTTGAGTATTACTTCATACCCCCATATATGTAGACCTGCCCCATACTTTGTAATAGCTGCAATTATTCTATTACTCATTGAACCAACCCCCTGTGGCTGGACACATAGGTTGTTGTAGATTGTCCTCTATCTCTGCCACTGAGTGTCCTCATTCTCACATCTTTGCCACACATGCATGCAAAGCTATCTGTAGAATGAGAATTGCTAGGTCGATGAGGTGAGCATTTTGTTCTGATAGGCTTGCCAAAATGCCCTCTGGAGGTTGCATCAGTTTATACGCCCACCTGGTCACCACGCTGTGACGGTCCAGAATTATTTTTAAATGCAGTCTGCTTTGCCATGTCTTTGCAGCAAGTGTGCTGGAATTTCCGGCCTTCCTAAGTGAGTCTTTGGAAGTCCTTTGCCTGAACGACAACCACCTCGACACAGTCCCTCCCTCGGTTTGCCTACTGAAGAGCTTATCAGAGCTCTACTTGGGAAAGTAAGTACACATCTGGAGGGGCCGTGCTGGCTCTGCTGGCCCAGAGAGGCAGAACGCCCATCCCTAAACCAACTGGGACACAGAAAGCCAGGCAGAAAGAAGCCATCTACTTTCCAAGAAGCAGTAGTGAGATTTTCGGAACAGGGCTTGATCAAGGAGGTGGGGAGAGAGGAAGACGGAGTAGCAATGCAATGATACACACTTTCACTACATCACTTGGGCTGTGATGAGGAGAACCACTCAATCATTCATCCTTTCATTACTGAGCTCCCATTGCATGCCAGCTACTGCCAGGGGTTCTAGGCAGTGTGCAAAGCTTGATGAGAGTGTAAAATGTTATATTAATATTAAAGGGACATCGCCTTCTCGGGAAGAGGTAGTGATCATCTTTATGGGGATGTACTTAGTAGCAGAGACAGGAAAGTTGGGGGAGGGGACTCAATTCTAAGCCGTGGGGATTTGCAGAAGACAGAGCTGCCGTTTCTATCACTGATCCTCCAGGAGAAAGCCTTTGGAATTAGTGTTGAAATCAGGGCTCAAAGTGTGGGGTCTGGGGTACAGGCTGCAGAGGCTGACAGGAGCCACGTGTGTGCGTGTGTGTGTGTGTGTGTGTGTGTGTGTGTGTGTGTGTATTCTCTCGTGGTGGACACATCTGTCTTCAGCAACCCTGGCCTCCGGGAGCTCCCTCCTGAGCTGGGGCAGCTGGGCAACCTCTGGCAGCTGGACACTGAAGACCTGACCATCAGCAATGTGCCTGCAGAAATCCAAAAAGAAGGTAGGGCTTCCGCAGCCCTGTCCCCTGCCATCACCTCTTGGAAAGACAACTCCAGTCCACTTGTTAAGTTCTGGGGGTGGAGACAGTTGGTGACCCATGGAGCCCAGCTCCAGGTTCCAGATTTGACAAGATGCTATAAAATTGTCCCTAAAGCAATCGTTACTGAGGGTCACTATACTGAGAAGGACCAGGTGATACAACTGTGACCTCCTGGGCAGCAAGGATTTTGTCCATAGGTTCTTGCCTCTTAGAGTTCGCTTTTAGGGTGGTTAGTGTCATGCCTTCCCTCCCCCTGATCCAGTAGTCTTCCTTAACTGTCCCCACTAAAACACAAAGAAGGAGTTCCTTCACAACAGGATTTTGTGTCCTAAGAGATGTGAGCATGTGCCCACGCAGCTACCCTTCCCCTTAATGATTTTGCACAGGCCCCAAAGCAATGCTGTCTTACCTGCGTGCTCAGCTGCGGAAAGCGGAAAAGTGCAAGCTGATGAAGATGATCATCGTGGGTCCCCCGCGCCAGGGCAAGTCCACCCTCCTGGAGATCTTACAGACGGGGAGGGCCCCCCAGGTGGTGCATGGAGAGGCCACCATCAGGACCACCAAGTGGGAGCTCCAGAGGCCGGCTGGCTCGAGAGCCAAGGTCAAGGATGGTCTGCGTGCAGAGTCCCTGTGGGTGGGAGGAACATCCCTTGGACTCCTTCTCCCTTCTCCCCAGAGAGCCCAGGATTTTCTCAGCCTGGTGTCCAAAGCTCAGGCCCTTTGCAGGAGCCACTGTGTACCATTCCATACCAGCTTCTGCCAAGAGCAGCGAATCATTTCTTAATGTGACTTTGTGATGTTTTCTTTTTCTTTACTTTTCTTTTTTTTTTTTCTTGAGACAGGGTTTCACTGTGTCTCTCAGGCTGGATGCATCCTCAACCTCCCCAGCTTAAATGATCCACCTGCCCTGTATGTTTCTGTTATAGTTACTTGAGGCTCTGGGACAGTGGTTCTTAACCCCGGCTGTCTGTTAGATTCCCTTGAGGGGCTTTTAAAGATAGCAATTCCCAGGCCTCACCTCACTGCTCTCTGACCCCAAGGATTCAAGTTCAAGTGGTCTGGGATAAGGCACCCCCAGGGCTGAGAGCTAACCACTGTTGCAGGCAGTGAAACACACCAGCATCTGCCCCCTGATGAGGAGGCTAAAAGCACTCTGGGACTTAACACCCTGCCGTCCCTGACACCTGCTTTCACCCCAGGTTCTGAAAAGTCCTGTTTCTAAGCCCTACTTAAAATGAATCCATCACTGCTTGAACCCGGGAGGTGGAGGTTGCAGTGAGCCGAGATCATGCCACTGCACTCCAGCCTGGCGACAGAGCAAGACTCCATTCAAAAAAAATTTTTTGAGTCCATCCATAAACTTCTTAATCATCTTGCTTTCCATTCAGTGCCAGGCAAATGGAAATGAACATTTTCCTGTTCATGTAACAGAGAAAAGAGCCATGGACTGTTGGTGGGAACTCCATCCCTGGAATAGAGCAGGGGCAGTTAGCCCTTTCTCTGAGCTCGGGGAACGAACACACATAGATAAGGCCATCCTCATCAACTGTATTTGGATTTCTGCCACCCTGTGATTCCTCGGGATCCAAGGGGCAAGAGGCTGCTTCACTGTGGAAAACTGAGGAGGCTTGAGATCCAGATGGTCCATGATTTTCCCCCAAAGCTCCCACGCACAGTGCCAACCAAACACTGCAGCTTCTTCCACACACAACCACTTTCCAAACCTGCTTTGAAAAAGTAGGCATTGAAGCTGTGCATCTGTTCTAACACGAACTTGGAAGCTGGTCCTCCAAGGGGTGAAGCGCTGCCTGTTGGGGCCAGAACAATCAAACACGACAATCAACGCTAGGCCAATCCTAGAACATTCCAGGAGCAAATCTAGCTGACTCGAGTCTGAAGGTTCTCTCCAGGAACCAGAATCCTCTGCATTCTCTCCAGCTTTGCCTTTTTCTTAACAGTTATGCAATCTCATTTCTTCTCTTAGCTTCCTCTAGCTGAGGCCTGAGGGGTGAATTCGTGCTTCTATTTTTCCTGACCTTCACCCCCACTTCCTTTCTGCGATGATTAAAACCCCCTACCCTTTAGTGGAAGGACAATCCTGTGAAGGCTGAGCCCGCCGCTCTCTCTGTGGCCGGCCTCAGCCAGTTGAGAACAGCTGTTTTCATCTTTATACAAAACCAGGTCAGCACACTGTGTCTTGGAGGCTGATGCTGCCTCACAGAGATGACTCCTTTCTGTAGAAAACTGCAGCCTTAGCATCCAGGGCCAGACTCTTACCTCATGCAATGATAGAGAAACCACCGTTTACACAGCCGTTCCCGGCAGCCCAACAGCTCATCTTTTGTTTGATTCCCACAGGGTGGGAGGGAGTTTCCCAGCATCCTTGGTGGGCGCCACCCTCTGAGCCCCACAAGTTCAGAGGCCCATCTCCTCCTCTTGCCCTGGCACACAGGGAGGCTGAACCCCAGTGCAAGCCGTGACATCAGAGCACAGCTTCCTCCCACAGGGCATCCCCTACCCATCTGCAGCCCAGACAGAGCCAGGCCCTCTGAAGTCTGTCCAGGGCCTGGTCTCTGCTCTGCTAGGAGTAGACAGAAGTCCCAGAAGCCCACCCCCATGCCACCGGGCCCCTGTCCCTCGCCCAGATAACTGTTTCCTAAGAAACAATAGAGTGTCCAGAACTTTTCCACGGTTGTTTTTTCAGACCCCCGAGTCCAGCCTCCAGAGTTATCCGTTGTCTCCGTTTGATTGACTGAAGCCTTTGTCTCTAAAATGCCTCCCTGTCGCTGCCTTGTTGCTCAAGTAGGTTGAGTCCGTGGAGTTCAACGTCTGGGACATCGGGGGACCGGCCAGCATGGCCACTGTCAACCAGTGCTTCTTCACGGACAAGGCCCTGTACGTGGTGGTCTGGAACCTGGCGCTGGGGGAGGAGGCCGTGGCCAACCTCCAGTTCTGGCTGCTCAACATCGAGGTGAGGACACCAGACGCCAGCCCTGCCATTTCAGTGCCCAGAGCTTTGCAGGTCCCACCGCTTCCCTCAAGCATCCCCTGTACTGAGAAAAAAAGGGGGTTATGTTGCCACAGAGGGCCCCAGAACCGTGGTCCTGCTTGCTTTTCACAGTGAGGCACTTGAAACCTTCCTCTGCTGAGGGCTGGTGATGTAATTTCCCCGCTTCCCTTAAATTTAGGAACCCCCACCCTTGGATCCAAAAGCAGAGCAGGGTTCCCTTCCTGTTATAAAGATGTCCTTGTCTCCCTGCCTCTGATGGCTGCTGTCATGTCTGAAGGGTCAGAAATCCCTCCCCACAAGTCCAACTCAGCACCCTCCGTGGAGGAGGTCACAGAACACCATAGACACCCCTCAATGCAACAGTCCCTCAGGTTCACGGAGAATGAGGAGCACAGGTGCTGCCTGGGCTGACATCCTGTAGCGCAGTCTGTTTTGCATTACTAGAAAGGAATGAGACTGGGTAATTTATGAAGAAAAGAGGTTCATTTGGCTCACAATTCCGCAGACTATACAAGCATGGCTTCAGCATCTGTTGGCTTTTGGTTAGGCCTCAGGAAGCTTTTAGTCATGGCAGAAGGGAAGGGGAGCCAGCATGTCACATAGTGAGAGAGGGAGCAGGAGAGACAGGAAGAGGAGCCAGCCTCCTTTCCACAATCAGCTCCTCTGTGAACTGACATAGGGTGAACGCACCCATTACTGCAGGAAGGTGCCAAGCCATTCATGAGGGATCTGGCCCCATGACCCAACCTCCCGTCAGGCCTCACCTCCAACACTGGGGATCACATTTCAACATAAGATTTGGAGGAGGCAAACATCCAAACCGTCTCAAGGCTGCAGATTGGTGGCTGAGCAAGGGCCGTGGCATCCAGGGTCAGCGCACCTGCACAGCTGGGAGCTCTGTCCTGTCCCTTGTTCCATGAACAGAGACAGTACTCAGCCGTGGGGTTCTCTGTTGCAGGCCAAGGCCCCAAACGCCGTGGTGCTGGTGGTCGGGACGCACCTGGATTTAATTGAAGCCAAGTTCCGTGTGGAAAGGATTGCAACGCTGCGTGCCTATGTGCTGGCACTCTGCCGCTCCCCCTCCGGCTCCAGGGCCACAGGCTTCCCAGACATCACCTTCAAACACTTACAGTGAGTGCCCAGCCTCGGGCAGCTCCTGCCTTCTTGTGGGTGCCAGTCGCTGATCTTTCCTGGGATCAGCTTGCAGAGAGCTCCTGAGTCTGGGTGGGGCTAGGCCCCTTTCCTGGCCAAGGGTGGCCATCCACAGAGCTGACCCAGCCTTGGGGAGGGTGAAGACCTACCAGACGGCTGGCTGGTTGAGGCCTGGAGGTGCCCCTCTTTGCTTCCTTTCTGCCCCATCCCCGCCCCAAGGGCCAGTGCTGAAAATGCATGGTGCCTATTGAACCAGGAGACTGAACGTGGGCACCACCCAACCAATTGCTGCCCATCTCATTTGTTGATCACTGATCAAGGACAGACCCTGGGGAGGGAGGGCCAGTCCTTCCATTGGGTCTGAGTGGTCCTGATAGCAGCCTTTGAGTCACAGAGGGCCAAGAGTTTGGAGGGGCTTTCAGTTAGGCATCACGACGTGTCCATACAGATAAGTCCAATTGCCCTGGGCTGACTGCCTGTCACTGGACTTTCACAACAGCCCTGCAGGTTGTGGGGATTGTTTGCCACTTTGTAGGTGAAGAAGATGAGGTTCAGCAAATTAAGTGTGCCCTAATGGGAGTAAAATACACTGCATATTGCATTATCTGCACTGATGGCTCTCAGATTCCCTCGCCCGGGGCAGAGCGCCACGGGTATTGGTGCATGGGTCAGCCTGGGACACATTGGCCTGGCTCGGAATACAGGATGAGGCTGTCAGGAATTCCTGCTTTGCCCTTGAGAAAGTCCCATGGGGTCTGTGATAAGAGGAGTCCTGGCTCTGGGTCAGAACCCAAGTCCAGCCTGTGTGAGCCTGTGCCTGCCCAGCCTGTACCCTTGGGGGTCTCGGTGTACCTCTGCACCTCACTTTCCTCCTCCGTGAAGTGCCATGTTTAGTCTGGGAAGACAGACTAAAGCGACACAGTGTGGGGCACCCAGCACAGTGATTTGCACAAAGCAAGGCCTCAATAAACTTCTTGTGTTGTCTTTCACGAGTTCTCCAGACTTGCCAGCGTTCAGGACAAACCTCTCAGGGAAACAGAGAAGCAGCAGCGCTTCCTCGGAGTGGGGCATGATGAGTAAAGACGGGTCTTTTTGCTCACAGTGAGATTTCCTGCAAGAGCCTGGAAGGTCAGGAAGGGCTGCGACAGCTGATTTTCCACGTCACGTGCAGCATGAAGGACGTGGGCAGCACCATCGGCTGCCAGCGACTGGCAGGGCGGCTGGTGGGTACCTTGCTGGTCCAGTTTAAACCAGTCTGCCTGCTTCCCATTGTTGGGGGTCCTCACTTCCCCCTCTCTCCTGTGAAGCCCATGTCTGTGTGGCAAGGCTCGGTGGTTCCTGGTGAGGGAGGGTCAGGATGGAAGATAGTGGGTGGAAACGTCCCACCCCCTCAGGCCACAGGGGCCGGGCAGGATCTGCCCAAGCTGGCAGGTGTGCCTTGGGACCTGAGAGACCCTGCCTCGCCCAACTGTCCCCCAGATCCCCAGGAGCTACCTGAGCCTGCAGGAGGCCGTGCTGGCAGAGCAGCAGCGCCGCAGCCGGGACGACGACGTGCAGTACCTGACGGACAGGCAGCTGGAGCAGCTGGTGGAGCAGACGCCCGACAACGACATCAAGGACTACGAGGACCTGCAGTCAGGTGGGTGGGGCTGGGGTAGGTGGCAGGGTGCCCGTGAGAAATGGAACTGTCTGTACTTGCTAACTTCAGCTTGGCCTCAGTAATGAATGAGAGACCGACACCCAGCCTGCGTTTCTGCCTTCCATCCCCCTCCCCTTCCTTCTTCCCTCTCACCCTTCTTTCCTTGGAGGGAGAGAACACAAACAGCTACTCTACACCAGCATTGTGTTTGCCACGAGGACAGACATACAAGCTGATGGACTGGCGCCTGCCCTCCGGGGCTGATATTCAGTCAGGGAGACAGAGGTCAAACAGTTACAATCGATTCTCATTAGCCACAGGACTTAACGTTCTGTAAAGTCACCGCGATCACTGAAATAGCAAATACGGAACCAGTGCTCCTAGGAGAGACGCAGCGTTGGGCTCCTGCGAGCCTCTGGTCACCACATACTCACCAGCCCGTCAGTACAGAACCTTGTTTTATGTGTGTTGCTGCGTAAAGATGCCATACTTAATATATGTTGTTGATTTGTTGGCATTGAACTCACGGCTGACAGCACTATTGCTCATTCATGAACAAAGCTTATCTAACACACAGGTTTCCTCCATAAGGCACATCGCAGCCTTCTCACGCTTAGGGAACTACACAGCGTTTCAGCACTTCACTAGGGACCATTTTGAACAGTGAAAGCGTCAACAAAAAGCACAAAAATTCAAAAAACGTGGCACTGACATAGACCACTAAGCAGGCAGCTGTTTTCAGCATGAGAGCTGAGAGAGTTGTCCTGTTCAGCCTCCGCTGGCAACGTGCACATTGGTCAATGCAAATTTTTCACCACTCAGCACATGTCTGCAAATAACCGCAGGAGTGCTGATTTGGAGGTTGCAGATCAATCTTAGCAAGAAGGTGAATTTGCAAAGGCAAAATCCACAAATAATGAGGATCAAGTGTAGTTACCCAGGCGGCCATCAGCCTAGGACTTTGGCAAGAGTTACCAGGGGCCACCAGGGCACCTGTGATCAGGCTGCCAGCCCACCTGAAGGGTCCAGCATGTGGGACATGTTGGTTTCTTCTCAGGAATAATTTGTGACCTGGGTCCTCTTGGAAAGAGGGCCACCCCAGAGTCCCTTTCGCTCCTTTGTCTAACTGCTGCTTCCTCCTCTCCTTGCCTGGGGCAGCCATCAGCTTCCTCATAGAAACCGGCACCCTGCTCCATTTCCCGGACACCAGCCACGGCCTGAGGAACCTCTACTTCCTCGACCCTATTTGGCTCTCCGAATGTCTGCAGAGGATCTTTAATATTAAGGGCTCTCGGTCAGTGGCCAAGAATGGGGTGATCAGAGCAGAAGACCTCAGGATGCTGCTGGTGGGGACTGGCTTCACGCAGCAGACGGAAGAGCAGTACTTCCAGTTCCTGGCCAAGTTTGAGATCGCCCTGCCCGTCGCCAATGACAGGTGAGGACACAACTTAACACGCCAGGCTGTGCAGGTTGCTCCCCGAAAGAGGGAGTTGGGGTCTGGAGCCACTGGTGGCCTGAACAAGATTTCCAGGGATCAGTGCTGCCACTGCTGCCCCCTACGGACAGGCCAGCACCCGATGACCTGCCTGCCGGGCCTGGGTCAGCAGGACAGTGAGCACGGCTGGCCGCTCCCTCCTGTGCCACGGGCTTCTCTGTTCAGGGAGTTAAAAGAAATCCACTTATTGAAAAGGTGTAGGAAAACATGGAAGGATGTCATTAAAAATAATTTGTGGGAATTTCACTTTACAGGGGCTTGATTGCTTGATTATTTGGTAAATGAGAGTGAGTGGCCAGGTGAGGTGGCTCACACCTTTAATCCCAACTCTTTGGGAGGCCGAGGTGGCCAGATCAATTGAGGTCAGGAGTTCAAGTCCAGCTTGACCAACATGGTGAAACCCCGTTTCTACTAAAAATACAAAAATTAGCCGGGCATGGTGGTGCATGCCTGTAATCCCAGCTACTTGGGAGACTGAAGCAGGAGAATTGCTTGAACCCAGGAGGCAGAGGTTGCAGTGAACAGAGATCACAGCTCTGCACTCCAGCCTTGGCAACAGAGCGAGACTCCTTCTCAAAACAACAACAACAAAAAAAGAATGAGCGACTAGGATGTGCATACTAATTACACAGCCCAGTTCCAAATGCAGTCCAACATGATTAAATCATGAGAGCAACATCATCAGCTACTCCAGGGTGGATGGTCCGAGGGTCAAATAGAGGCATTCCATATAGTAGCTGATCATTGCCTCTTTCTGTGGACTTCTCCTGGATCTGTAACATACCCAGGTCTCCCCAGTCCTAAACTGCAAACAAAACAAATGAGCCTCTCCTCCTTTTCCTCCTTTTCTTGCTCCCCAGCACCTGCCGCTCCTCATGACTTTGTGCTGGTCGCCAGGTAGCCCTCTAGGTGCCCCCAGGTACCTCTCCTGTCCTCTGCTGACCCTGCCCCAAGTACTGACCCTCCCCTCTGGAGGGCCTTCTCCATGAGAGGACCTTGCCACCCTCCCTTCCAGCCCGCAGTGTCCTCAGCAGGCCCCTCCCCTGCACTTTGCCCAAGCCATCAATTCAGCTGCCTTGGTCCTCCATGCAGCTTTGGGGTCCTCCTTGGTCCGCCAAAGGAAGAATCCTCAGATTTTCAGCAGGGCCCAGCCTCCAGAGGCTCAGGCCTGAGCTTCCAAATTGCTCCCACCTGGAAGTCTGGCACGGTGACTGACACAGCATGTCTGAGACACCTGCCTTCTCTCCTCTGCTGTGTGGTCCCACCGATCACCTTCCCCCACGCCCCACCCACGGAACTGTGCTCAGGGAGTGGCACTCTAGGCTCCAAATTCCTCCCTGTACCCCTGACACCCACTCCTCACCCCACCTGGAATGACATGGCCCTGCCATCTCCCAGTGAAACAATTCTGTTGACAGCCCCTTTCCTCCTTGTGACACCCATACCTGCTTCTGTTTTTGTTTGTTTATTTACAAAGATTTTTTCCATCAGTTATCGGGGTACAGTTGGTATTTGGTTACGTAAGTTCTTTAGTGGTGATTTATGAGATTTCTGGCGCACCATCACCCGAACAGTATACACTGCACCCTATTTGTGTCTTTTATCCCTCGCCCACCTCCCACTCTCCCCCAAGTCCCCAAAGTCCATTGTGTCATTCTTACGCCTTTGCATCCTGACAGCTTAGCTCTCACATATCAGTGAGAACATACGATGTTGGGTTTCCCATTCCTGAGTTACTTCACTTAGAATAATAGTCTCCCGTCTCCTCCAGGTCACTGCAAATGCTGTTAATTCATCCCTTTTTATGGCTGAGTAGTGTTCCATCATAGGTAAAGTTTACTTACAGTGAAATGCCCGGATCGCTAGTGTTCAAAACAATGACTTTTGACAAATGCATACAACTGTGCAAGCAGCACCTGCCTCAAGACACAGAATGTTCCTGTCATACTGGAAGTTCCGCCAGACGCCCTTCCAGTCGCTTCCCATCCGTGTCAGCACCAGCACTCTGACTTCCAGCACCAGAGCCTACTGTTTCCTGTTCTTGAACTTCTCAACCGCACAGAGTCACGCAATATGGTCTCTAATTGGCTTCTCGCACTAAACATCATGCCTTTGAGATCCATCCATGCGGTTGTGTGTATCAGGAGTTTGTTCTTTCTGTTGCTGAGTAGTATTCCATTGTATGGCTTTACTGCAATTTGTTTATCCACTCAGCTCTTGATAGGCATTTGGATGGTTTCCAACTTTGGGCTATGATGAATAACACTGCTGTAAACAGTCTTAAGTCTTTTTGGAGACACATGTTTTCATTTCTCTTGGATCAAAACCAGGAGTGGAATTGCTGGATAATAGAGTGTAAGTTTAATTTTATAAGAAATCACCAGGCTGTCCCCCAAGAGACTGTATGCTCCTCCAAGAGACTGTACACTCCATTTCCTCCCCACTATTTTTTTTTTTTTTGAGATGGAGTCTCGCTCTGTCGCCCAGACTGGAGTGCAGTGGCACGATCTTGGCTCATTACAAGCTCTGCCTCCCGGGTTCTTGCCATTCTCCTGCCTCAGCCTCCAAAGTAGCTGGGACTACAGGCGCCCACCACCGCGCCTGGCTAATTTTTTGTATTTTTAGTAGAGACAGGGTTTCACCATGTTATCCAGGATGGTCTCGATCTCCTGACCTCGTGATCCGCCTGCCTTGGCCTCCCAAAGTGCTGGGATTACAGGGGTGAGCCACTGCGCCGGCCTCCTCCCCAATATTTGTTGTCTGTAGGTCTTTCTGATTTTAGCTATTCCAGTGGATGTGAGCTTGTACTTGACTGTGGCTTTACTTTACATTTTCTTCATGACTAATGAGGTCTAGCACCTTTCGTGAGCTTATTGGCCGTTGGTATATCTTCTTCTGTGAAGTGTCTATTCAAGTTTTATGCCTATTTTATGATTAGAATGTTTTCCTTTTTGGTACTGATATGTACTTCTTTATATCTTCTGGATACAAGTTCTTTTTTTTTTATTCTTTAAGTTCTAGGGTACATGTGCACAACGTGCAGGTTTGTTACATATGTACACATGTGCCATATTGTGCTGCACCCATTAACTCGTCATTTAACATGAGGTGTATCTCCTAATGCTATCCCTCCCCCCTCCCCCTACCCGATACAAGTTCTTTCTCAGATATATGATTTGCAAATATTTTCTCCCAGTCTGTGACTTCCTTTTTTTATATTAATGAAGTCTAACTTTTAAATTGTGTGATTATTGCTTTTTATGTCATCTTTAAGAAATATTTGCTTATACCACAATCTTGACAATCTTTCTTTATTTTTCTTCTAGAAGGTTTGTAGTTTAGCTTTTACTTCCAGGTCTATAATCTATGTCAAATTAATTTTTGTATATGGGGTGAAGTAGGGGTCGAGGTCCATTTTTTTCCTGTATATTATCCCATTGTTCCAGAACCATTTGTTGGAAAGACTTTCCTTTCCCCATGGAATTATCTTGGTTTCTTTATCAAAAATCAGTGATGTGGGTTTATTTCAGGACTCTATTTTGTTCCACTAATATATATGCCTATCCTTATGCCAGTGCCAAACCCCACTGATTATTGTAGCTTTAGAGTAAGACTTGAAATCAGGTTGCGTGAGCGTTTTGTATTAGTTTCCTGTGATTGCTGTAAGATACCATGAATGTGGCATCTTAAAACAACACACATTTTTCTGGAGGCCAGAAGTCCAAAGTAAGTTTCCCTGGTCCAAAGTCAAGGGGTCAGCAGGATCATGCTGCCTCTGAAGGCTCTAGAAGAAAATCCATTTTCTTATCTTTTCCAGTCTCTAGAGCTGCATTTCTTAGCTCACATTTCTTTTATCAATACATAATATTTTACGTATTTATGGGGTACAGGTGAGTAGTTTTTACATGTGTAGAATGTGGAATGATCAAGTCAGGGTATTTGGGGTATCCATCACTTTGAGTATTTATCCTTTCTATGTGTTGGTATCATTTCAAGTCCTGGCTTCTAACCACTTTGAAATATACCATATATTCTTGCTAACTATCGTCACCCTAGTCTGCTATTAACCATTAGAACTTATTTCTTCTAACTGTATGTCTGTACCCATTCACCAACCTCTCTTCCTCCCACTCTCACACCCTTCCTAGCTTCTAGTATCTGTCATGCTATTTTCTATCTTCATAAGATCAAGTTTTTTAGCTCCCACATATGAGTGGGAGCATGCAGTATTTGTTTCTCTTTGCCTGGTTTATTTCATTTAATGTAATGACTTACAGTTTCATCCATGTTGCTGCAAATGACATGATTTCATTCTCTTTTACAGCCAAGTAGTATTCCATTGTGTATATGGACCTTTCTTTATCCATTTCTCCATTGATGGACACTTAGGTTGGTTCCTTATCTTTGCTATTTTGAATAGTGCTGCAATAGATAAGGGAATCCAGGTATCCCTTTAATACCTGGGTTCTTTTCCTTTGTATAAATACCCACTAGTGGGATTGCTGGATTGTATGGTAGTTCTATTTTTAGTTGTTTGAGAAATCGCCATACTATTTTCCACAGAGGCTGTACTAATTTACATTACAGCCAACAGCGTATAAGAGTTTTTCTTTTCTCTGCGTCCTCACCAGCATCTGTTATTTTTTGGTTTTCTGATAGTAGCTGTTCAACTGGGGTTATATGATATCTCATTGTGGTTTTGATTTGCATTTCCCTGATGATTCATGGTGTTGAGCATTTTTCATATACCTGTTGGCCATTCATATGTCTTCTTTTGAAAAATGTCTATTCATGTCCTTTGCCTTCTTTTGAGATTATTTGAGTTTTATTGAGTTGTTTGAATTTCTTGTAAATTGTGGATATTAGTTCCTTGTTGGATGAATACTTTGCAAATATTTTCTCTCATTCAACAGGTCTCTTCACTCTGCTAATTGTTTCCTATGCAGTGAAGAAGCCATTTAGTTTAATATAGTACTATTTGTCTATTTTTGTTTTAGTTGTTTGTGTTTTCGAGGTCTTAGCCATAAAACCTTTGCCTAGACCAATGTCCTGAAGTGCTTACCCTGTTTTCTTCTAGTAGTTTATAGTTTGGGGTCTTAAATTTAAGGCTTTAATCCATTTTGAGTTGATTTTTGTATGTGGTAAGAGATAGGGGGTCTAGTTCCATTCTTCTCCATATGGATATCCAATTTTCCCAGCACCATTTATTGAAGAGGGTGTATTTTCTCCACTGTAGGTTCTTAGCACCTTTGTTGAGAATCAGTTGACTGTAAATATGTGGATTTATTTCTGGGTTCTCTATTTTGTTCCATTAGTCTAGGTGTCTATTTTTATACTGATATCATGCTGTTTTGGTTACTATAGCTTTGTAGTATATTTTGAAGTCAGATAGTGTGATTCCTCCAGCTTTGTTCTTTTTGCTCAGGATTGCTTTAGCTATTCAATCTCTTGTTTGGTTCCATATGAATTTTAGAATCCATTATTGATCTGTTCAGGTTTACTTTTTATTCCTGATTAACTTTGGGTAAGGTTTTATATTTCTGGGAATTTGTCTGTTTTTTTTTCCTAGGCTTTGCAGTTTGTTAACATATAGTTCTTCATAGTAGTCTCTGATGATCTTTTGTATTTCGGTGGTATCAGTTGTAATGTCTCCTTTTTCATTACCAATTTTGGTTATTTGGGTCTTTTCTCTTCTTGGTTACTCTAGCTAGTGATTTATCAATTTTGTTTATCTTTTTGAAGAATCAACTTTTCATTTAATTGATCCTTTGTATTGTTTTTTAAGTCTGTATTCCATTTTATTTCTGCTCTGACCCTTATTTATTATGTGGTTTCTTTCCTTCTGCTGATTTTGGGTTTGGTTTGTAAATGTCTGTAAGGTCCTTTTGGTCTCAAGTCATTTAAATCCAATGTTTTTTTGATGAGTTTCTGTCTAGATGATCTGTCTAATGCTGAGAGTGGTATGTTTAAGTGCCATACTATTATAGTATTAGAATATATCTCTCTCTCTAGATCTAGTAATATTTGCTTTATGAATCTGGGTGCTCCAATGTTGGGTGCATATATATTGATATTGTTATATTCTCTTGTTGGATTGATCCCTTTATCATTTCTTCTTTGTCTTTTTACTGCTTTTGACTTAAAGTCTGTTTTGTCTGATACAAGTATAGCGATGTCTGCTTGCTTTTGGCTACTATTTGCATGGAATATCTTTTTGCAATGCTTTACTTTCAGTCTATGTGTGTCTTTACAGATAAAGTGAGTTTCTTATTGGTAGCATATAATTGAATCATGTTTTTTTAATCCATTCAGCCAGTGTACACCTTTTAAGTGGAGAATTTAATACACTTACATTCAAGGCAATTATTAATATGTGAGGTTTTGTTCCTGTCCTATTGTTAATTATTTTCTGGTTGTTTTTATATATTCTTTGTTCCTTTATTTCTCTCTTACTGCTTATCATTGTGGTTTGGTGGTTTTCTGTGGTGGTACCATTTGAGTCCTTTCTCTTCCTCATTTGAGTGTTTGCTTTACCAGTGATTTTTATACTTTTGTGTGTTTTCATGATGTTAAATGTCACTTTTCTTTTTGCTTCCAGGTTAAGGATCCCTTGAGCAGTTCTTATAGGGCCAGTCTATTAGTGACATAAGGTTTCTGCTGAGGAATCTGCTGTTAGTCTAATGGGGTCTCTTAGGTGACTAGATTCTTTTCTATTGCTGTATTTAGAATTCTCTCTTTGACTTTAGACAACTTGACTATAATGTGCCATGGAGAAGACCTTCTTGCATTATCTCTGTTTGGGGATCTCAGAGCCTCCTGTATCTGGATGTCTAAATACCTTGCTAGACGTAGGAAGTTTTCATCTCTTATTTTGTTAAATAGGTTTTCCTAACCCTTTCATTCTCTCTTCACCTTCTGGGACTCCAGTAATTTAAATACTTGGTTGCTTTATGGTGTCCCATATATCACTCATCGAGAAAATATTTACTCATTATTTTCTTCATTTTTCTTTATTTTTGTCTAACTCTGTTTTTTTCATAAGACTTGTCTTCAAGTTCTGAGATTATGATTCTGCTTGATCTAGCCTATTGTTGAAGCTTTTGAATGTATTTTATATTTCACTCAATGAATTCTTCAGTCCCAGAATTTCCATTTGGTTTTTTTTAAATGATATTAATATCTATCTCTTTGGTAAATTTATCATTTGTATCCTGAATTGTTTTTCTGATTTCTTTGTATTTTTTTTAGAATTTTCTTCTATCTCACTGAGCTCCTTTAGTATCAGAATTTTTAATTATTTTTCCAGGATTTTATAAATTTGTTCTTGATTAGGCTGTATGGCTGGAGAATTATTGTTTTCCTTTGGAAGTATCATATGTCCTTGCTTTTTCATGTTTCCTGTGTCCTTACATTGATATCTGTGCATCTGGTGTAACAGTCACTTCTTCCAGTATTTGAATTTGCCTTCACAGGGGAGAACTTTCTCCTGAAGAGGCATCTGTGGTGTTGGTTCAGTAGGGCACTTTGGCTTTCATTCTATGTAGATGCAGTAGTGTAATCTGTATTATTTCTTTGGCTATAAACAATGTCAGTGGCATCTGTGATTTCCTCAGTAATTTAGGGTGCAGTTGTTAGTGGAGCTTGTGGGGAAGTTTTGCTGGGAACAGGGATGCCAGGTGGGCCAGTCTTTGGGCCCCAGTGGTGGCAGCAGGCATGCCTCTCCTTGGACCCCAGGGTGGTATACACTGGCACCAGTGTTAGAGGGTCCAGACAGGCCTATTCTTGGGCTTCCAGGAGGCTTACTTGGATGTTGGTAGTGGCATCAGTGGGCCAGGTAGGTGGCTGGGTTCTCAGGTCCCTAGGCAGCTGGCATGGTGTGGGTAATGGCAGTGGAAGTGGCAGGAAAACCTTGTAGGTCCTGAGCAGTGCATGCTGGTATTGGCAGTGGCTGCAATGGGCTGGTTGGGCTTGTGCACAGGGCCACGGGTGACATGTGCAAGTAGGTACCAGCTGTAGTGGTAACAGCAGAGTCGGTAGGCCCAACCTTAGGCCCTCAGGAGAAGTGGTCAGGTACCACTGATGGTGGACTGAACCACTGAGCTGGGCAGTCCCTCAGCCCTAGTCCACATGCTCTGGCACAGGGGCCAGGGGACATGAAGCCAGGTCAGGTGGGCTTGTATTCAGGCCCCTCAATGGTGTGTACAGGTACCAGCCATGGTAGGCAGGAGTGAAGTGATCCCCAGGCCAGCAATGGAATGCTCAGGCTGGGGACATCAGTGGCCACACTGCTGCCCTGCCACTGGGGAGGGTGGGCCACCTTCAGTGGCAACAGATTAGGCTGGTGGGTGGGGAACATATGCCACTCACACCTTAGCCTTTAAGGTGGTAGCCTATGCCTCACTCACACCTCAGCCCCAGGGGTAGCAGCCCACATTTCTCTTGCACCTCAGCCCCAGCACCACTGGGCTCCCGGACAGTACACAGTCTGTTGGGGACAGGGCTGTAAAATGGCTCCTTGCAGATTTCTTAAAGAACTAAAAGTAGGTTACCATTTGATCCAGCAATCTCACTACTGGCTATCTACCCAGAGGAAAAGAAGTCATTATACAAAAAAGATACTTGCACACACATGTTTATAACAGCACAATTCCTAATTGCAAAAATATGGAACCATCCCAAATGTGCATCAATCAATAATTGGATTAAAAAAATTGTGGTATATATACACCATAGAATACTACTCAGCCATATAAAGGAATAAAATAATGGCATCTGCAGCAACCTGGATGAATTGGAGACCATTATTGTAAGTGAAGTAACTCAGGAATGGAAAACTAAACATCATATGTTCCAAATTATAATTGGGAGTTAAGCTATGAGAATGCAAAGGCATAAGAATAATACAATGGATTTTGGGGACTCAGGGGAAAGGGTGGGAGGGGATGAGAGATAAAAAACTACACATCAGGTACTGTGTACACTGCTCAGGTGATGGGAGTGCCAAAATCTCAGAAATCACCACTGAAGAACTTTATCACGTAACCAAACACCACCTGCTCCCCAAAGCCCTATTGAAATTAAAAATTAAAATATAAATAAATTGCCTCCTTAGTGTGGCTGCTCAGGTCTCAGAGAGTGTGAGACCTAGAGTGAGCACCCTCCGAGCAGTGCCATTGCACAATCTCCCATCAGTTAGTTTCAGGGCCCACAAAGGGTGAGGGGCTCTCCTGTGCCTTGGATTTCAGGAGTCCAGAGTGGGAATGTCGACCACTGGGGATCTCTCACTTACCTTTCCCCACACTGGGGAGTCTCTCTCAGCTCTCAGCCTAGCAGGCTGCCTTGCTTCCTTGTCCTTCCTTGCCTTAGGTATTTCCTGTCACTTTTCTGTTGAATTCCAGTGTTCCCTCTTGGATGATCTATTCAACGTGTGATTATCTACTCACTATTTTGCCTCTTCTCAGTGTCAGAGGCAAGTCTGAAATGCCTCTAGTCAGCCATCTTGAAGCCGTCCCTCCCAGCAGCATGGCACCCTGCGCCAGTGGCCATCTTGCCTTCTTCTGTGCAAATCTCTCTCTTCCCCCATCTTTTAAGCACACTTGTGGCTGCACTTAAGGTCCACCCAGATAATGTGGGATCTTTCCCCCATTTCAAAGTCC
Organism: Homo sapiens; assembly: GCF_000001405.40. Taxonomy (NCBI): domain Eukaryota; kingdom Metazoa; phylum Chordata; class Mammalia; order Primates; family Hominidae; genus Homo; species Homo sapiens. The sequence goes on from NC_000015.10 coordinate 101,038,949, forward strand.
ATAACTTAATCACATCTACAAAGTCTCTATTTCCATGTAAGGTAACAATCACAGTTCTAGGGTTTAGGACCTGGATATTTTGGGGCTCATTATTCAGCATATGACACCCTCCAATTTTGTTCTTCTGTTTCAAGATTATTTTGGATTATTCTAGATCCTTTGCATTTTCATCTAAATTTTAGAATCAGCTTGTCTGATTCTTAAAAAACCGTTGTGATTTTTATGGAGATTACATTGAATCTATAGATCAAAGAAAGCTGACATCTTAGAAATATTGAATCTTCCAATATGAACATGGTATATCTCTCATTTATTTTGGTTTTTAAAAAGTTTCTCTCCACGGTGGTTTGTTTTCAGTATTCAGATTTTCTGCATCTTTTGTTAAATTTGTGTCTACATAATTTATGTTCTCCGATATGGGTAAATGACATATCTTCTAATTTGATTTCCATTTCTTGTTGCTGGTATACAGAAATATAATTTATTTTTAAATATTTACCTTATATCAAAAAACCTTGCTAAATTCACCTATTAGCTCCAGTAGATTTTTCAGGATTTTCTAAGTATGCTTCTTTTTTGAAAAAAAGACAGTTTTACTTTTTTCATTCTAATCTTCACATATTTTTTTGCTCTGTTTGCCTGATTGCATTGGCTCGGATCTCTAGCGAAGGTTTAAATAGAAGGGATGAGAGAAGGCGTCATTCTGTGTGATCTCAGGGGGGAAGCATTCAGTCTTTCACCATCAAGTGTGATGTTTTCTGCAGAGCTTTGTTATCCATGGAAACTTTATCAGATTGAGGAAGTTCCCTTTTATTCCCAGTTTGCTAAAAGCTTTTATCATAAATGGGTACTGAATTTTGTCCCCCAAAAATGCTTGTTCTGCCTCTGTTAATTTTTTTCTTCAGTTATTTTTCTGTTAAATATGTTGATGGATTTTCAAATGTTAAACCAACTTTGTATTCCCAAGATTCATACCAAGTGTTCATGATTTATTATCTTTTTTATCTAATGCTAGATTTCAGTGGCTCCTATTTTGCATAAGAATTTTTTAATCTATGTTCATGAGGGATATTGGTTGGTACTTTGATGAAAAGTCTTTATGGGTTATCAGACATAGGCTGTCTTCATAAAATGAATTGAAAAGATTTTTTTCCTTCTCTATTTTCTTCAAGATTTTGTATAAGATTGGTGTTAGACCTTCCTTAACAGTTTGATAGAATTTATAGCCTGGAGTTTACTTCACAAGAGGATTTTTAATTACAAATTCAATCTATTTATTAGCTATAGGGTTATTAAAATTTTCTATTCTTGTGTCAGTTTTGGTAAGTTATTTTTTTTTCAATAAATTTTTTCATTTCATCTATGGTGCAGAATATATTAATATAAAGATATTTAAAATATCTCTGGAATGTGTAGTGATATGCTCTCTCTCCTGATATTAATAATATGTCTTTTCTCTCATTCTTTCTTGATCAGTCTTGCTAAGTGTTTATCAAATTTTTGGAACCGTTTTAAAGAACGAACCGTTGCCATTGCTGATTTCTTCTATTATTTTTCTCTTTTATTTCATCTATTACTGCTCTTTATTATTGTCTTCCTTCAGCTAACTTTGGGTTTAATTTGTGCTTCTTGTTCTTCCTTCTTAAGGTAGAAGCTTAGGTCATTTATTTTAAGCCTTTCCTATTTTCTATGTAAGCATTTAAAGCCATAACTTTCTAAGCACTGCTTTATATGACAAATACAACTAATTTTGCTATGTTGTGTTTTTATCATTTAGTTCGAAAGATTTTCTAATATATCTTATATTATTTTGGTCAGAGAATATATTCTAAGATTTCTGTATTTTGAAATTCACTGAGACTTATTTTATGGGCCAATGTGTGATCTTTCCCAGTGAAAGTCTGGAGTGCACACAAGAAACGAGTTTTCTGTGTTGTGGCTGTAGTATCTTATAAACCTTAATTAGCTCAGAGTGGTAAACAACGTGTTCAAATCTTCCGTATTCTCACTGATTTTTTTCCTACTCATTCTATCAATTACTAAGAGAGAGATGGTAAAATATCTAATGATAAGTCTACCTCTCTCTCCAGTTCTGACAGGCTTTATTTTATATATTTTGAAGCCATTATTGGTTACATATACACATTGGTGTCATGCCTGTGTAATGAAGTGACCCTTTTTTCATTATACAATGTTTCTCTTTATCACTGGTAATACTCCTTTTCTTGAAGTCTATTTTGTCTGATGTTAAAATAGCCACACCAGCTCTTTTAGTTCTACCTGGGTTTTTTCCCTATTCTTCTAGTAGCAGGTTATGATCTCTATAAAAAAGGAATCTCTTGCTGACAGCACATTATCCAATCTGATAATCTCTGCCTTTTAATAGGAATATTTGATTCATTCACATTTATCATAATTAATTATATGGTTGGGTTTAAGCCTACTATTTCTCTATTTATTTTGTATTTATACCATCTGATTTTGTTATTTTGTTCATTCTTTCCTGCCTTCTTTTGAGTTAAATTTTATTTTAGTATTTTCATGCTCTCTGTTGGGTTTTTGGCCATTCTTCCTGGTACTGTGTTTTAGTGGTTACTCTTGGGATTAGAATATGCATCCTTACCTTATCACAATCTACTTGTAATTAATATTATACCACCTTGAATTAAATGCAAAAACCTTAGCACGATACCAGGACATTACTCCTCCCAGCACCCTCTGTACTCTTGCTGTCATCCACGTTTCTTCTATACAGTAGTCCCCCTTATCCACAGCTGGTGGATTTCCAGACCCCCGTGGATGCCTAAAACTGCGATAGTATTGAGCCCTACATATACTATGCCTTTTCCTTTATCTACATACCTATGATGAAGTTTAATTGTAAACCAGTAAGTGATTAACAACACATAGAAATTAACAACAATAACAACAAAACAGTATAATTATGATATACTGTCACAGAAGTTACATAAATGTGGTCTCTCTCTCTCTCTTTCTAAATATCTTGATATTTTTGGACCAGTAATTGAAACCATGAAAAAGAAACTGCAGATAAGGGAGGACTACAATATATGTAATGAACCCCATAATATAGTGTTATTACTTTTGCTTTGAATAATTAAACAATCAATAGTCTTTTAAGAAATTAAGGGAAAAATGTTGATTGTTTCTGGTGCTCTTCACTTCTTTCCATCTGGTATAATCTCTTTTCATCCTGAAGAATTACGTGTAGCATGTCTTAAAGTCTAAGTCTGATGGAAACAAATTCTCTTTTTTAGACAAGACTTTTGTTTATATGAAAATGTCTTTATTAACACTCTAATTTTTTGCTGGATAATTTTCTTCGATGTAGAATTCTGGGTCATTTTTCTGTCAGTCTTTTTAAAGGTGTCACCCCATTGTCTTCTGGGCAGACAGGGGTCCTCCTCAGTCTTCGTCACCCCTGACCCCTCGCTGAGGACCTCTGACCCCATGCCACCTCCTCTCATGTGATCAAGGATGCCCAGCCACCTGCTCTGCTGCAGCCCAGGGGCCTCTGAGAAGCCTACTGCCCCTCCGAGAGCTCTGCCACCATCCTCCTGTGGCTTTTACTGCCCTTACACTCCCCTACTTGTTACCTCTTACCCACCTGCCCGGACCCTCAGTTATGCTGTCAGCCCTTGAGCATTGGGCAGCACACTTCTCTGCCTCCCCACAGCATGTGCTCTGGCCCTGGCATTTGGCCCATGGAAGGCAGGGGAGAGGGAGTGAGGCCCCCTATCCTTACAAGCAGGGTGCTCTTGTCGGGGGATTTGTGCAGACTCTTTATGAGCTATTACTTAACTTTTCTTCCTTCAAATTCTCACTTTTGAGGCTTGGTTTTCATCAAAACCAAGTGTAGTGTTGGCTTCTTCTTTCCTCCTACTCTCCTCTGTGCTACCCATTGCCAGGATATATCTTCTGAAGTAGCTGAACTGAACGCCTCCCCTCGGGGTGGGACCCCTACGAGGGCCAGGCTGGGGGAGCACACGAGGGGTGAGACCTGCCATGATGCTCTGCCCTAAACCAGCTTGGTCCTCAGGCCTCTGAGTACTAGTTTCCATATCAGCCGCTTCCTGGGTTTGATGCTGATATTGGCAATGAAGCTGTATCCAGGATCCAAATCCACAGGATCCAAATCCACAGAATGTTGCCATGCAGCACCCAGAGAACACGTCGCCACTCTGCGTCCTCAGCTCCAGATCTCTACAGGGGTGTCACCTGGAGACTTCTGGGGAGCAGGCCTGGATCCTGCACAGTGAGGCCAGAGACCCGGCCACCTGGGAACCAGCCACTGGCCCCACCTTTGCCTGAGGCCCCACCCACCTCCCACTAGGTATGGGAGGGGCCTCAAGTCTTTCTTGCTGCTCCAGCTCTCTGGGTTCCTTACAAAATAAAACCCCAAAGAGGAATTCAAAATTCCACAGCCCCTCATAACATGGCCCAGCGGTGTCCTTAACTTTGGTCCATGAGAACGTTCAGAGTAAGGCAGCCTGTGTGTTTACAACATTGCCGGATCTGACAACTTTCAGATTGTTTTATCGCAGGTTAGAGGAGTGAGGAGATACGAGTACTCAGTAAAAGAAAGTCAGTTATCTATATGAAGTCAGTTTTTATATGTATAAAACGTACACGTATTTATAATGTGTGTGTGTGTGTGTGTTGGCCTGAACAAGACCATCAGTGTGATCACGGCCAGGTCCTCACCAAGGCTTATGGCACAGCAGGTTAGAATATGAAGTTGGGACGCACAAGTATGAATCCCAACTACCTTCTTTCTCGTCTGCATAATGGGTATAATATAATTACCATAAGTATGATAGTTGTTGTGAGGATTAAATTAGATAATACATGTAAAATATTCAGACCAGCAGAAAGAAACAGTAGCAGGCATGTCCCAGGGCCTCCTGCATGGGAACAGCCACTGACAAATACATGTAAAATACTCAGAACAGTGTCTCTTAAGCTCCCAAGACATCCAGTATTGACAGTCCAGTTATTGTTACTGTTTCTTCGTGGTAGGTACTCATAGCCATGGTGTCGGGTTCTGTACACATCCAGGAATAGTGGGACACGTTTCATCTCAGCACAGGCATAATGGTTCCCTTGAGCCCCAGGCAAGTCCCCGCTCCTGGCATCATCAGCTTTCTAAGGCTGCTGGGATCCCTGGATCTGTGCAAACAGACACATTTGCGGCTCCTCTCAGAGCATGGTTTCCCACCTGCAGTGAACCCCTCCAGCCCCTCAGAAAATCTCCATGAACTCCCTGGAAGTACCATACAGTTTTAAGCCTTTGTGCTTCTTTCAGGAGGAAGGTCCTTGCCTCTCAGCAGACTCTGAGAAGGGCTGCGGCCCCTGTCTGAGGCTGTCTCAGTGGGGTGGCATGAGCCAGCACCTCCGTGCAGACACTGTGCCCTGCCAGGGTTTCACTGCTTTACGTTCATCAAACACATGAAGAATTTACCTCTTAGGACCTGTCCTGCCGACTCACTGGTCATTCCCTGGGACGGCCTTTCCCAGCTCGTAATTGCTCTGAAACCCGGAGCCAGCGGCCTCCACTACCTGGAGACCACTGCTTCCCTTGAGAACTGGCTTCTGTGGCCACTCAGGATCTCTTTATTTGCCATGTCACCTTCTAAACCTCTGCCCTCAAAAACATCATGGAGCACCTCTTCTGTGTGCCACCGCACATCGTGCTGGGACGCCTGGGGACAGAGAATGCTCCCCCCACTCTCTAAGCACACTCCGACAAGGAGAAGAGCAAGACAGACATGGGGCACCACCACTGTAAGAGGGCCACATGAGAGACCCAGGATGCATGAGATGAAGTAGAAAAAGCAGAAAGAAACAGCAGGCACGGCCCAGGGCCTCCTGTATGGGGAACAAACACTGAGCAGATAGAGAAGCAAGGACTTTTCAGATGTAAAGGAATAAGACAGGACACTCTGATGAAGAGGCATCTAGCGAGAGGTTGGGAATGTCCTTTCACTCAAGACCTGAAAGGCTGAAAAGGCCTCCTGCTTCACCACCTGTGTCTGCTGTGTCATCTGCACAGCCCCCGTCTACCTTCACCAGCCCTGCCAAGAGGGGATCCTTTCTCTCCCCATTGTATACCCATGTGTCAGAGCGTGTAAGTGAGAGCCGAGACTTGCGCCTGTATGCTCGGGCCATGGGCTGTCACTGAATTTTCTTACAGTTTAGGGAGTCTTTTCCAGAAAGTTCTAAGGACATTTATTGGACTGAAATAGATTTAAGATTAGGAGAGCTGAAGGTAAAACCTTTATTGGGAAGGAGTGCAGCATCTGCACACCAGGGGCCGTCCTGTACCTGTCCAGTGCCTGCCCCCGCAGCCCCACAGGATGCAGCCGTTGCTGGTTTTCGGGCACCCTTTTGGAGGGACCTCCCAGGTTTCAGCCGTGAAGCCCTTGCCGATGCAATGATGCAGCATTTTTATGATGACCGAGAGTGTTCTCGTAAAACATCCCTCTTCCGCACAAAACAGGCCTATTCTAACTTTTAAGGCAATCGCGTCGTGTCAACGGGCCAAGAATAATAAATAGCTTTAAAGGCCAAAAATGTTACTCTGACCCTAATATCTGCATTGTCCTTGAAACCTTGCAGCTGTGTTTGTTTTTCCTTCATCAACCAAAGTTAATGTTATTTCCCCAACTGCAACCCCGTTTATAGAGAATTGAGTCCCATTTGCTGTGTCTGACATTTTTAGGACCATGATGTTTTCATGTCTTCCCTTAGCCTTATTCTAGTATCTTAGAAACCATGATAGACTCATATTAATGGGACCAGTCTTCATTTTCCTTTGGAGTATTTATTCTTAGCATATAAACCACGCTTCTCTTACTAATAACAGAATTCCAAAGGCCCTGGGAGGAAGGAACCCAGCAGCCTGAGGTGTTCCAGCACAGCCTGTCCCCAGATCAGGCCATCTGCTGGGGTCAGGGCCCTGCAGTGGAGCTTGGGCCCCACTGTTCACCAGTCCCCCTTGGTGTGTTTCAGCTACCTCCTGCCCCATCTCCTTCCATCTAAACCTGGCCTGGACACCCACGGTATGCGGCACCCCACAGCCAACACCATTCAGAGGGTATTTAAGATGAGCTTCGTTCCCGTTGGCTTCTGGCAAAGGTTTATAGCACGGATGCTGATCAGCCTGGCGGAGATGGACCTGCAGGTATTATGGCTGCGGTTTCTGCATAGACAGATGCCCGAGAGCCACCTACAGTTGTACCACTGGGGGAGGGGAATGCCCTTTGCTGGGGGGCCCTGCCTGGAGACCCTTCTCCTAGAGCCATGCCACCAATGTAGTGCCAGGGGGCAGGTGTGGCATGGGCTGCTGGCCAACCCACTGAAGCCATCCTGGGAGTTCCAAAGCAGCACCCTCCTTAGACAGAACACGCCCTTTATAAACAGTGGTTCTCAGTGTTAGCCCACCTCAAAACCACCTGGAGTTTGTTAGAACACAGTTTGGTGGCCCCACCCGAGGTTCTGATTCAGTAGGTGTGGACTGAGGCCAAGAATTCACATTTCTATCCATTCCCCGAGGTGATGCCGCCGGCCCAGCAACCACACTTGGAGAACCGTGAAGTTAGAAGCACGGTTTTGCCGTCCTGGCTGCACGCTAGACTCGCCTGGAGGAAATTCTAAAAGACACAGACCACACTCCAGACCGATTGAATCAGGGTCTTTGAGTGTGGCATCATTTGAAAAAGTGATTCCTCTTTGGTATTTTTAAGGCTCCCAGGCGAGTCCCCTGTGCAGTCCAGTTTGAGAACCACTTGTGCAGAACTGTACGTTGGTTCTGGTAACACGGGAGACCCCCCGCCCAAGGAGTTAGCTTCTGTGGGTTTACCTGGGGTTACAGGAAGGCGTCCCCGCTGTCAGACAACATTAATTTCATGCAGGGCAGGAACATGGAAGCAACATTTGCTACAGTGGTGTTTTTCAAAGTGGGGTTCCTATACCAGCAAAATCAGCCTCACCTGGGAACGTGTGAGGAACACACGTTCTCAGGCCCCACCTCAAACCCACTGCATGAGAAACTCCAGGGGGAACCCCGCACTGGTTTTCACAACCCTCCAGGGGATTCTGACACACTTTTGGTTTTGCGAACCTCTGGCATAATCCCTGACTGTCAAATCCTTGACATTAAACTCCGTATGAGTTTACTGTTGCTACATCCTAATTAGAAAGCCCTTATTGAATTATAACTTCTTAGCTCTATAAAAATGTTCTTTGATCTTCCCATTTTTACCGAAATGGTAAGAAAAAAATCAATGCAAAAGCCTTAAAGTCCATCGTGACAGTAGCAGCCTGTGCTAGCGGGGAGGGAGATGGGTTAATAGCGCCAGAAGGGTGCACTGATTGAAGGAGTGGGCGCAGGCGCTGGTGCTCCTACGTTCCCATTCCTCTGCCCTCCCTTTGAACTCTGTGTGCCGCTGTCTTCTCAAGGGAGGGTCATGGAGCACTAGCATCGTGGGAGGCTGAGCTGACAAGTGGGGCCCAGCTGGGCCTGGAGGCCAGGGCGCCCTTCCGGGCAGCAGCTTCCCTCACTCGAAGTTAGGAAAGAAGTCCTATTGAAATTCAGATGGGTGACAGGAGGGGGAAAAGAGTGCAGTCTCATCACTCATCAAAGGCATGCAAATTCAAGCAGCAGTGAGATGCCAGTTTTCATCCATCACATTAGCAAAAAGCTGAGCCGTAATCCCCAGCCCGGGGCACGGAGCGGCCCCGCGCACACTGGTAGTCAGCGCACAGGACAGTCTCGTCGTTCGAGAAGCGATTCCTCGGGATACATCCAGAGCTTTAAAACGATCAGACCCTTCGACCAATAATCCGACTGGTAAACATCTAAACTGAGGACATCATTTTCAATCAGAGAAAGCTCTGTGCCTTTCTCATGTAACTCAAGGTGGTTTTGAGGGAGCAAAAGATTGGCACCAACTTACACTTCCAGAAGAGAGTGGTTCAGGAAATTACTATGCTTAATAGAATATTAAACTTTAGAAAAATGAATTTTATGTGTGTTTTTAATGGCATAGGAAAGGTGGGGTTTTTTAACATATACGAAATTAGAAATCCAATATGGCTTCAGCTGTTTTTCACAAACATATGGAGATAGAAAAAAAAAAAATCCTGGAATAATATATACCAAAATCTGAATGATCTCTCTGCTTGGTGTTAAATTGGTGTTTTGTTTTCCCTCTTACATTTTTCTGTATTTTCTACATTTTCTAATATGAATTTTTGCTTGTAAAGTCAGAAAGGGAAAAAAATTTTAAAGGAAAGCCTATTTTTCAATTCTTTGGAAAAACTGTGTTTCCGGAATTCCCTGGAGACCCCGTCAGCTAATGTAACGTTCAATTTGGCAGCAGGGATGAGCAGCGTGGGAGGAGAGGGTGGGAAAGATGGGGGACATTTATCAAGATGGGGCCCAGCCCGGCCTCTGCAGAGCTCTGCCCAGGGCCAGCGAGGAGCCCAGAATACTTAAGCAGGGTCTTTTCTCTGTCTTTCAGCTTTTTGAAAACAAGAAGAATACTAAAAGCAGGAACAGGAAAGTCACCATTTACAGTTTTACAGGAAACCAGAGAAATCGCTGTAGCACATTCAGAGTGAAAAGAAATCAGACCATCTATTGGCAGGAAGGGCTCCTGGTCACTTTTGATGGGGGCTACCTCAGGTAGGAACACCTGGAAGCCCACCTGCCAGGTCAGCAGGTGCCACAGCAGCCACCGCGGGGCCACGTCAGCAGGATGCCTCATCCTCTTGGTGTCCAGAATTTTGCTCGTGAGAGCGGCTCGTCATGGCAGCTTGCTAGAAATGTGAGGCCCTCCCACGAGTGTCCCAGAGGCTCCGGTCTCCTCACCCCTGCTGAGCCCCCCTTGCAGGACGGGAAAGGCAAAGGCAGATGTGGCGGCCACAGCTGAGGACTTGAGGGACGTGGCGGCCATTGAGCTCAGGAGAGCCTCAGGCACTTCCCATGGTTATTCAGGTCACCATGGTGACCTTGCAGCCATCCTGCCCGTCCCCTTGTTCTGTGAGAAGCCAGGCTGGGGACAGGGGATGCTGAGACTCCTCAGCCCCCATCTCCACTGCCCATAACCAGACACGGAACTCAGCTCCCTGTGCCATTTATTCTTGGTTTTTTGAGAGCGGTAGACCTAAAGTCAGCCCAACAGGTTTAACGAATGATAAACACCCAAGATTATTTTAATGTTTACAATGAACTTTGCAAAATATTCTTCAGCTCTGTGAGAGGAGAAGAAGGGAAAAGGGGAGGTAACTTTACAGAGGGCTTGATTGGCACCTGCCTCTTCCGCATAGATGTTCTCACTTAAGGCCCAGGGTTGCTGCTGGACAGATGAGCATACTGAGGTTCAGGGAGGTCTGGGAACTTCCTTAGGGCCTCACCTGAGGGTCAGCTCCCAGGCTGAGCGTCCCTGACTGCAATCTTCCTCGTGCCTCCTTCACCAGGCCAGGTCCGGGGCAAGAACAAGGCAGGGCCACGCACACGTACATACAGGGAGGAGTCCCCCATCGGTCCTGCAGGGCACAGAGTCTCTCCAGGTCCCCGGGGGTTGGTTCCTGTCCCTGGGGGTAGGGATATCATCCCAGGGTCCCCCAGAGCCAGATCGCAATGGGCTCCTTTTGGTCTCTGGATTGCAGTGTGGAATCTTCCGACGTGAACTGGAAAAAGAAGAAAAGCGGAGGAATGAAAATTGTTTGCCAATCAGAAGTGAGGGACTTCTCAGCCATGGCTTTCATCACGGACCACGTCAATTCCTTGATTGATCAGTGGTTTCCCGGTAAGAGGAGATGCTAGAAGCAAGCCCTCATTCATGCTAATATTTCTTATGAATCAGGGTGGGGCTGCTGCTTTCGGGGTGGACAAAAATCCCACTGGGATTCAGCCCAAGAAAACTAGGGGGTCTTAACAGCACTTTGGTGGGAGTCCTGGCCCCCGAGAAGTCCAGCTCTGTCACTGGGGGGAGTCCCACGGGGAGGACTGGGCTCGGACACCACTGGGAATGTGCAGGGAAGCGGCCTGCCAGCTGCCCACAGGCGTGGCAAGAAAGATGACACTGGTACCACGAGTGGTCCACGGAGATGCTCAGTGTGAGCTCACACGTGTCTTGTTTTCATAGTGAGGACTGTGTGGCTGAAATTGCAGGGGAGCCGGCAGATGGAAATTTATCCCCTGCGCAGGGGCAGGGATGGAGGGGAGCCGTGGCAGCCAAGGGGCCTTGCTCTCCTCCCCTGCCACCCCACCCATCCCGGCGGTGATCAAACCACTAACACCGCCCTTCTCAGACCCTTTGGATCTGTTTCTTCATTGATAGTTCACCCAAAAAAAGTACTCTTTGAGTGAAGTTCCTGAGGCCTCCTGTTTGTTTTGCTCCTGGGGTGGAGACGACTCCCAGAGCAGCCTGCCAGGGGGAGGCCATCTGGGGTTTAATGGGGCAAGCAGCTGTGGGAGGGGCTGCCCTGAGAGCTTCAGCCCTGAACGCTGGAGGCCAAGCAGCTGTGGGACAGGCTGCCCGAGAGCCTCAGCCCCTGAACGCTGGAGGCCAAGCAGCTGTGGGAGAGCGGGTTTGGAATTCCAGTGCCACCCCTGCAAGCCTCGGCTGGTCCCCCGGCCTCCTGGGCCGGCCTCACCTGCATGCAATGCCTGCATCCCAGACAGCATCAGGGAAGGTGGCTAAGAGGCAGTGGCAGAATGCACTCAGGATACACATTCCAGATCCCAGGGTCTGGTCTCTGTCAGGGTTGGGGTCCTTCACACTGTTGGCAGGAAGGGTGACCTACAAGGAAAAAAGGCTTAGAAAGGAGCCCTCGGAGAAGTCAGCTGGGTGTGCGTGTCATGGTGATTTGGGAGGCACTTGGCTGTCTAAGGGGGCCCTTAGGCCCATGTGAACCCTTCTGGGCACTTTGCAGCTCCCCACCAGCCAGTGTTCCCCACACAGCAGGTGCTGGGCAGTTTGACAGGTGGGTCCCTTAGACAGTCACCTGAGATGGAAAGGGCTCTGGTGAGCACCTGAGACAGATCGCCTGGAGCCAGCATCCCCAGCCAGGGGCCCCTCCCAACGGGATGCCTTACACATGGACCTGCAGATATCAGATGTGCCTGGAAAGTTCTAGGCATCCACCTCCTACCTTGCATGAAGCAGGCAGTTGGCCGGCCCTGAGGGCACCTCCACAGGGCATCTTGGAGGGTGTTTCTCTGCACCTCCTCTCAGAGGCGTGGGGGAATCCCGTGTCCGGTGACTGAGTTTCGTCTATGATAATTTGCACTCATTTCTGCCCCTGCATTGCCCTTCATGGACATTGTAAACCTGATGTTTCTAATTGTAAGAAGGGTGCCTTCCCCACTGCCGTGATGGTTGGAGGATAGCTCACACCTAGTCTGCGATGACCTGTTAGGGCCCAGTCATGCAGGAGGGATCCCCCCACTCCTCTCAGGCCCCCCAGCCAGCCTGCTCAGTGTCCCGACCACTGGACAGTTCTCGGAAGCATCCTGAACCCTCCCTGGACACATCTTTCAGGACAAACAATTGCGCTCTCCAAAAAGGCACCCGAATGTGGCAGTGGGTTTCAGCCTGTCTCTTGGGTACAGGCCAGGACAGGCAGCTCCCCTGCTGCGAAGGCCTCAGGGCCTGGGGTGCAGAGTGCTGCTCGGGGGGCCCTCCTGCACCACCTTCTTGTGAAGCTGTCTCCTGCTCTGTCCTTATTTAGCCCTGACAGCCACAGAGAGCGACGGGACGCCACTCATGGAGCAGTACGTGCCCTGCCCGGTCTGCGAGACAGCCTGGGCCCAGCACACGGACCCCAGTGAGAAATCAGAGGATGTGCAGTACTTCGACATGGAAGACTGTGTCCTGACGGCCATCGAGCGGGACTTCATCTCCTGCCCCAGACACCCGGACCTCCCCGTGCCGCTGCAGGAGCTGGTCCCTGAACTGTTCATGACCGACTTCCCGGCCAGGTATGCCCCGAAGGCCCCTCCCAGAACACAGTGCAGGTCACAGGGGGCGTTCCTCGCTGTGCAGTTGCCGAGTGATCTCCAGGAAGACCCCTCTGGGGCGGGCAGGTGCCCCGGCCATGGCTTCCCACCAATCTCAGTACCTTTTAGGTTCCCATCCTCGGCTGCCTGAAAGGAACCAGGCTGCCGGCTTTCCATTTTGGAGGCCTTGATAGGCCCAACTGGGAAGAGTGCTTTGCAAGTGCAGCCATCCTGCCTCCCCATACGGCTCCCCCTTCCCCTCGTAGCCAGAGCTGCTCTCTCCTGAGCTGCCTCTCCTTTCCACTCCTACCTCCCCACCAGCTCTAGGGCCAGCAGATAAGTGCAGCCAGTGCTCCTCAAGCATTCAGGAAGGGGAGAGAAGGGAGAGCTCCCACCCAGAGCCTTGTTTACCTTCTTTGTCAAACGCTGACTCCTGTCTGTAGCCCTAGCGCTGAGCTCCCACCCAGAGCCTCGTTTACCTTCTTTGTCAAACGCTGACTCCTGTCTGTAGCCCTAGCGCTGAGCCTTGGACCCCTCAAATCTGTTCTTAGAGTTTATTGTACCTATGCTAACCCAAGATCATAACTAGAGAGAGAATCGGGGAGGAAATAGGAAACGTCACCTTTCAGAAGAAAACTTCCAAAGGGGTCCTTTCTCTACGGCCACCACTTCTGTGGGGTTCACCCTGTGCCAGCCATCACCACCTCTGAGGCCGTTCCTGTCCTGAGAGCCCTCTGTACAGAGGAGACTGAGGCTTAGCAAGCCTGCATAACCTACCCAGGTGTGCTCACCCACAAGTGGCAGGGCCGGGGTGGCCCAGATCTGTCCAGCCTCACAGATGGCTTTGAACCATGACTCTCGGCCGTTGGGGCAAATGACCCAGCCCAGGACCCACCCGCATCAGGGCGGGGGGGATGTGGCTGATGCCGGGCGTGTGTGGCAGGCTCTTCCTGGAGAACAGCAAGCTGGAGCACAGCGAGGACGAGGGCAGCGTCCTGGGCCAGGGCGGCAGTGGCACCGTCATCTACCGGGCCCGGTACCAGGGCCAGCCTGTGGCCGTCAAGCGCTTCCACATCAAAAAATTCAAGAACTTTGCTAACGTACCGGCAGGTAAGCGGGTCCCAGGTTGGTGCTGTTTTTCTCAGACATATGCTGCCCGGGTCTAAGCTCTGTGCGGCCTTAGAGAGGCCTGAGGCTGCAGGCACCCCATGTCCTACTGGCTGACACTGCGCTGTCCCTGGCAGACACCATGCTGAGGCACCTGCGGGCCACCGATGCCATGAAGAACTTCTCCGAGTTCCGGCAGGAGGCCAGCATGCTGCACGCGCTGCAGCACCCCTGCATCGTGGCGCTCATCGGCATCAGCATCCACCCGCTCTGCTTCGCCCTGGAGCTCGCGCCGCTCAGCAGCCTCAACACCGTGCTGTCCGAGAACGCCAGAGGTACCGCGGCGCGCCGCCCCACCCGGCCCCGGAGACCGACAGAGCCCCGGGCGCCTCCTGCCTGGCACGGGGGGTAGAGCCTCAGGTGGCCTTGGCAAGCCCAGGGCACGCCCAACCCATGGCTCGTGTGACCATCCCCTGGCTGCGAGGCCAGGCTCCCCGCCAGGTCCAGTCACTAGGCAGAGCCTTGGCGAGGACGGGGGAGCGCACACTCTGGAGTCGGCTAAGACCAGGCTCTGCCGCGGTCCGGAAAGCCGCTGAGTTTATTTGCCTGTAAAAGGAGGATGGTAACAGGCCTCGCTGGGAGGGCACCGAGCACGGGAGCTGCATTGAATCACTTTCCCAACTGCACACGTACACGGCTGCTGAGACTCTGAGACCGCAGGGTCAGTGGGACCATATTTTAACATAAAATGTCGAAGTAATTTACCTTGAGAAAAGAGCAGCTAAACTCCAGAGTGGCCAGAGGGTGAAAGGTAGCTGTCTTTTGACTAAGGAAGAAGAAATGCTATGAAAATCAATCACTTCTGCCTCAATGGAAGATAATTTTTTAAACAGAATTCTTTACTTTTTTTTAATACAGGATCTCACTTTGTTGGCCAGGCTGGAGGACAGTGGTGCAATCTCAGCTCACTGCAGCTTTGACCTCCTGAACTCAAGCCATCCTCCCACCGCAACTTCCCGAGTAGCTACAAGCACACGCCACCACACCCAGCTAATTTGTTGTTGTTGTTTGTAGAGATGGCCTTTCACCCTGTTGCCCAGGTCGTTCTCGAACTGTGAGCTCAGTCGATCCCCCCACTTTAGCCTCCCAAAGTGCTGGAATCACCGGCATGAGCCACACGCCCAGCCAAACAAAATGCTTCTACTTGCCTCTCACCCCTTTACGTAGGACAGCCTTGACCTGAGGTGAACTCTAGAGATTTCGAACCCTTGCTCATTCAGCAAAATGCCAGCAATTCCAGGAATAAGATATCAGGAATGAAGCTACAGCGATGAGCATTTCTATCCTAAATACTGTTTCACTTAACCAGGCCATTCTCTGTCCTTTATGGCAGTCTGGTGAATAGTGAGAATGTGTCAATGGAATATAAAGTATCTAAGGGCCAGGCGCAGTGGCTCACATGTGTAATCCCAACACTTTGGGAGGCCCAGGCGGGCAGGTCGCTTAAAGCCAGGAATTCAAGACCAGCCTGGCCAACATGGTGAAACCCCATGTCTACTAAAAATACGAAAATTAGCCAGGCATGGTGGCACGCGCCTATAGTCCTAGCTACTCAACTTGGGAGGCTGAGGCAGGAGAACTGCTTGAACCCTGGAGGCAGAGGTTGCAGTGAGCCAAGACCATGCCACTGCACTCCAGCCTGGGTGATAGAGGGAGACTCTGTCTCAATAAAAGAAAAAAGAAAAAAAATCATAAAGTATCTAGGGAGATCGGAAGACAAAAAGACAGTTGTTATCATGATAATTTGATTCTATCAAAACTGAAATTTTGATACATTTGAAAATTGTTTTTCTTTGCAAGATTCTTCCTTTATACCCCTGGGACACATGCTCACCCAAAAAATAGCCTACCAGATCGCCTCGGGCCTGGCCTACCTGCACAAGAAAAACATCATCTTCTGTGACCTGAAGTCGGACAACATTCTGGTGTGGTCCCTTGACGTCAAGGAGCACATCAACATCAAGCTATCTGACTACGGGATTTCGAGGCAGTCATTCCATGAGGGCGCCCTAGGCGTGGAGGGCACTCCTGGCTACCAGGCCCCAGAGATCAGGCCTCGCATTGTATATGATGAGAAGGTACGTGCCTGGATCCCCTGGCCCAGCCCCACAGTGTAGGAGCCCAGCCCTCAGGCTAGCCGGGCAGTCCTGGAGGCACCTGAAGCTTCGGGGCTCAGCATCCCCAAAAGCACATTTTTCTCACTCTCCCTTGCTCAATGAGGGAGGTTCTGGCTTGAACCAGAAGGGTGCAGGGGCCTGTGTCTGTCTGCTTGTAGCAAAGTTGACTTCTCCTTAGCATCAGCCTTCTCAGACCTTGATTCAGTAACATTGTAGAGGCTGTAAACAGCAGATGAAGAGTCCAAGAGAGAAACAGGTCTGGATTTGGGCTCCAACTCACATTTAGATGTCCACAGTGAGGACACAGGACCAGCCTTGCAGGGCACTCAGGAGGAGCAGACAGAATAAGGACGGTAAAGACCCTTGGCCTTAAGTCCCGGCCACAGGGTGCTGGCCAAGTTGAATGCCAAACCAGGAGAAGAGTGAAAGAGCAAGCTGGCATCCCCTGGCAACTGCACTGCCAGCCTCAGTTGAGACAATGACTAAATGTTGATCTTCTGATAACATTTATCCCTGATGGCTACTTGGTAGATGCAGGCACACACACAACTTGAAGTCATCTTACCACGCATGTATTACATCTAGTGCCAGCCTTGTTAATTGATCACCCAGCATTAAAATTCCCTTGTCTATAATTTCTTATTATCTGGTGATTCTACAGATGGTCATTGACTAATTCCTGTAGGAATGACCTGTGCATGTATGGATTAGCTCAGCACCTGTGGTTGTTGCCCATAGAAAAGGCAAATCAGAGCAACAAAAATAAGAGCTTCATAATAGTAGCTGACTTCAACAAGGAGGTCACCTTGAAACTCAGATTATCATGGAAACATTCACATTAAAAATTCTCAAGTCTATCTATCTCAGTCATTCTCCTGCTAAAATGTTATTTCTTGACCCTTATAGGGGTCTGTATAAATTTTTCCTTGCTGGACCTTTTTGATTATGAAAATTAGAGGAGACAACATGTTGTGATCCAGGAGACGCTCCTTTTTTTATGAGTTGCAATACATAACACTTTTAGTACCAAGCACATTAAGCTGAGGGTGTGTGTTTTCCTGCCTTGTCTTGGTACTCAAGAATAAGGACCATGACATCCTTGGAGTCCTTAATCAGTGACTAACAGCAAGTTCTCAGTGTGTTTTATTGGATGGAAGGATGGATCGATGGATAGATGGATGGATGGGACAATGGGCAAATGGACAATATGGTGGGAAGTCAGATGGATGGGTGGATGGAAAAGAGGAAGGATAGGAAGACAGATGGATAAATGTGCAGGACAGGTGGTCGGATGGATAGATGGATGGACAGATGAGAAGAATGGATAAATGTACAGGAAGACAAGCAAATGGATGGATGGGTGGATGGATGGATGGAAAGAAGGAAGGGTGAGAAAATGGATAGATAAATGGATAGAAGAGAAAGTGGTCAGATAGGTGGATGGATAAATGGATAGAGGGACATGGTCAGGTGGTTTGTTGAATGTTTGTTTTCCTTGTCTAATTGTGTCTCCCTGGTCCCTCCACCTGAGGGCCACCTTGTGAAGGCCACTGGGCCCAGGCAGCGACCTGACTTGGCTTGTTCTGTGCCCAGGTAGATATGTTCTCCTATGGAATGGTGCTCTACGAGTTGCTGTCAGGACAGCGCCCTGCACTGGGCCACCACCAGCTCCAGATTGCCAAGAAGCTGTCCAAGGGCATCCGCCCGGTTCTGGGGCAGCCGGAGGAAGTGCAGTTCCGGCGACTGCAGGCGCTCATGATGGAGTGCTGGGACACTAAGCCAGAGAAGGTACTTGGGGACACAGAGCCCAGGGCCTGGGACCTCCTGCCATGTGAGGAAGCTGTGGGTCCCCAGGGGGTGTGTGCCTGGCTGCCCAACCATCACCATTGGCAACCCTTCTCTGCTCATTTCTTCTAGAGGGTGATGTTTGCTGCTCCTAACATACCTACTTTCATTGTCTTTGTGTGTGCGTGTCACTCTTACGAAACAAACTTCCTTTTCCTCCCCGACTTTTGTGTTACTTCACCGTGCAAACAAAGTATATAAACCCCTTTATAACAATACAGTCCCTATGCAAGAACAGAGAGAATGTGGGTGTCTCTTTGTAAAGTGATGGGGAAAAGGTTTCGTTGTGAGAATCAGGGATCATATTACAGTGTTCAGGCTAGTTTTTTGACGGTGGTGTTTTTGTGTTTTTGGAAGAGGCTAGTGGTTTCAAAGTTAAAACTCATTTATTAAATCAGACAGAGCTAGTTTAATGTATGGGGAGTAAACAGGGTATTCTTTAGAAGAACGCATGTCCTTATCTGGGCATGGTGACATGGACTTATAGTCCCAGCCACTGGGGAGGCTGAGGCAGGAGGATCACTTGAGCCCAGGAGTTTTAGGCTATGGTGCGCCCTGATCGCACCTGTGAGTAGGTTCTGCACTCCAGCTTGGGCAATATAGTGAGATGAAGAGTGTATGTCCTTGGGCCTGGGTTGGAATACCCAGGGTTCAGCTAACCTGACCAGATGAGCTTAAATTGCCGTAGCCAAAGGTGACCCAGATACCTGGATGGGTTTGCTCCTGACGTCTGAAGCTGTTTCAGCCTCTTGTTTGGATCTAGTCTGAATGAACAGAATCCCTCATTCCTCCCTGGTTGGGGCTGGCTGATCTCATGGGCAGAACGGGCACCAATCCGGTTGTAAGTGACCTTGCTCTCTTCTGGTGGCTTCTCTCCCTCAGCGACCGCTGGCCCTGTCGGTGGTGAGCCAGATGAAGGACCCGACTTTTGCCACCTTCATGTATGAACTGTGCTGTGGGAAGCAGACAGCCTTCTTCTCATCCCAGGGCCAGGAGTACACCGTGGTGTTTTGGGATGGAAAAGAGGAGTCCAGGTAAGCTCCTGCGGGCTGCCCTGCCCCCTTTGTATTTGGGGTGGGAGGCCGCCGTGGAATCTGGGAACACAGTCGATGTTGACCACAGTGAGAATTATTTAGCAGACGGTAGGGTCCAGAACCTGGTTAGACTGCACTCAAGAAAGAGCAGGGAGAGCAGAAGAAAGTCCACACAAAGAGACGTGCATGTATGGTTTTGTGGTTAAGAGATGCCAAAAATGGGTAGTATCTGCCAGGGTGTCTGGGGACGTGAGGGCACTGTGGCATGTGCCTACAGTCCTAGCCACTCCAGAGGCTGAGGCAGGAGAATCACCTGAGCCCAGGAGTTCAAGTTTAGCCTGAACAACATAGCAAGACCCCATCTTTTAAAAAATTAGAAAATTTAAAACATTTTTAAAAACGAAATGAGGCCTGTCGGCCTGGTTATGTGACTTTCTCAAGCATGTTCTGCTGCCCCAGATTGCAGAAGGGGCAACGGGGGGGGGCGTCTAAACAGAGTTGGGGTTTTGCCAAAGGGAGAGAGGGGCAGAGGCATTGGGGTGTTTTCAAGGGAGTGATACAGAGATGGACCAAGGAACCTAAGTGAGGCCACAAATTCAGGGAGCACAATGCAAAGTACTAAAGGATCCTAGGTATTGCCAGAGTTAAAAAAAAAACTCAAGAGTTATGGTTTCAGGTGGGATGAGCCGAAAAACTAGGAGGCGGTGGCCAGACAAGACGTGCTTGCCGTGGGGTGGGTGGGAGGCGCACAGTCGGTAGTAAAGACGGCATCTGGAGTGTGACCTTTGGGGAGGATGCCTGGGGTAGAGTGAGGAATGAGCTTGAGACATAATAAGATAAACGGAACAGACTTCGCAGTTTCTCTTAGGTCAGTCTTTGTGAGTTTGCGTCAGGTTTTATGCCACTCGGACTGAGGGTTGTGACACAGACGTACTCTAAGAAATGATGCTGTAAGGAAGTTTTTCTGACCAGGCCTTGTGGCTCATGCCTGTAACCCCAGCACTTTAGGAGGCTGAGGCAGGTGGATCTTTTGAGTTCAGGAGTTTGAGACCAGTCTAGGAAACATGGTGAAACTTTGTCTCTACAAAAATAAATAAATAACAAAAATTAGCTGGGAATGGTGGCGAGCACCTGTAGTCCCTGCTACTCAGGAGGCTGAGGCAGGAGGATTACTTGAACCCAGGAGTTTGCCACTGCAGTGGGTGGTGATTGTGCCACTGCACTCCAGCCTGGGTGACAGAGTGAGACCCTGCCTCAGAAAAAAAGAGAAGTTATTCCAAAACACAGCGATGGAGCACGCCTTCCTGATGGGATGTACTCTAAGGACAAAACAAAAAGCAAACATATTAATTAAACAGGTTTCAGTAATTATATTGTTGGCAGCACTGTTATGATTGTTACTCTAAGATGCTGCTTGTGGTTGTGGAGTCAGTTAATGAGTAATTATGTTGCTGTTGCTGGAAACATGAGCTAAAGGGGAAAGAGATGTAAAGTCGGGTAAGTAAAAGCCTGCAGTTCTGAATCGATTGGATAGACTCGTGACATAGTTGAAAAATAAACACAAATATCTCAGTTCTGCTCACTGAAAAGGCCTAAAAACAAGGACCAACCAAATGCCAATATGCACCCCTAGGACCCAGACTGTGGTCTCTAAGTACCAAAGTGAACCAGGGCTCATCAGAATCATGGCAGAGTCCAGGTCCGGGGCAGGGAGTGCACCTGGAACATCTGCCACCCTAGAAGCAAGGACATCGTCAGACTTCTGAGGGTGAATTGGAGGACCTTGGGCCAGACTGGTCCTGGGAGGCTGGGCCGGGCCCTGCCCTGCTGGCCTAGAGACACACACGCGGCAGGTACCTGAGACAGTTCCGCTCAGGGCTCTGAAGACTCATCCCAGAGGGAAGACAGAGGCCTCTTCCTGTGACCTGTGAAGGTTCTTTAAAACTCACTGCGGCCTGAAGAGAGACTCACTCACAGGAAGGGAGGAGGGGGCTGGCTGGGAGCACACGGGCAGCCAAGCAGGGGAGCCAGGATGGAACCGGACTTGACTTGAGATCTGTCTGAGAATTAAGGAAGGAAAGGAGGCAGGAGAGGCAGGGCAGACGAGCAGGTAAACAGGATACGCCTAGGACACAATTCCAGTTGCAGGGAACAGGGGCAATTATTCTTTATGACTCTCTATATTTTTAACTGTTTGTTTTCAAAGTAAAAGCTATTCAAATATCTTAGTTTTGTTTTTCTGATGCATAAAAAAATGATGGGAAAAGGAGACAAATACACCTGAAGGAAGTTTTTGTTTGCTGTATTTTCTACCATTTCTATCATCTGCAAATACGTTATCAGTCAACAGCTTTTTAAAATTTGGTGGCAGGAGAAACTTTATATTGAGAACTGCTATCCGCGAGCTTAACATATTCTCTTGAGTCTGAGGGACAGAGCTGCGTGATGCGGGGTACATAACTTCCCAGCCCCATCAGCTTCAGCCTCCTCTGCCATGCAGTGAGTGCTCAGGATGCCCGCCACAGCCTGAGGGGAGACAGCGATGCCGGGGACAGCCGGCCTGGTGAGCCAAGGCTCTCGCAAATGACAAGCCATTAGTTCTCAGAGCACTCGTGCTGGGAGCACATTTTGAGTGCCCCCCCGCCCCAACCCAATCTCCTCTGGAATTCTCCCAACTTGTCTTTAGCCCTGGCTTTGTCTACTCTACAGTGAGGAGCTCCCCGCATAACAGGGGCGGGCAGGATATGGCCGGCGGGAGGGCCCCTCCTTCGTACTGGGGGCAACCGTCTCAACCCTGAGGGGTCACGGAAAGAGGACAGCCTTTCTTCTCTGGCGAATGCCCTTCCTGCGGGCGACGGTCAAGCATTACCCTTCGGGCAGAACCCGGCTCTGCCCTCTCAGAACACAGGATGCAACCCTGGGTGGGAGCAGGGGAGGTAGACGAGGCTCGCAGCTGGCAGGCCAGGCTCAGGGAAAGGAGGCAGCCCCTGGCCCCCGGGCACTGACAGCACAGTTTCTGCCACTTACAGGAACTACACGGTGGTGAACACAGAGAAGGGCCTCATGGAGGTGCAGAGGATGTGCTGCCCTGGGATGAAGGTGAGCTGCCAGCTCCAGGTCCAGAGATCCCTGTGGACAGCCACCGAGGTAAGCACTGCCCGCAGGCCTGCCCACCGAGGTAAGCACTGCCCACTGGGTGCAGCCCTGGGTGGGGGCCACATTCATAAAAATACAGGACGCCAGGTCAAGTGAACTTTCAGATAACCCCCAGCGCATCCCCGTGCAGTCCCCAAGTAATGCCAGGAGCCCCGAGAAGTAGCAGCCTGTCACCAGGGGCAGCTCAACCCTGCCTGCTGCTGGCTGGAGGCCGGGATTTGCGATGGTGAGGACCAGATGTAGACCCTCAGCAGGAGACGAGACCCAGGAGGCTAGGGACGTGCCTGTGTTTCCCATAACACTGCTAGTCACTCAGCTCTGAAGGCCTCTTGCCTTCACATCAGGGAAATCAGGGAAGTCACTAGAAGGCCCAAGGAGGGGTCTTCTGAGAAGTCCCGAGACAACTGGCCAAACACAAATGTTCTGAGGCAGGCTAGGCACAGGGGCTCACGCCTGTAATCCCAGCACTTTGGGAGGCCAAGATAGGAGGATCACGAGGTCAAGAGATTGAGACCATCCTGGCCAACATAGTGAAACCCCGTCTCTACTAAAAAATACAAAAATTAGCTGGGCATGGTGGTGCGTGAGTGTTCCCAGCTACTCAGGAGGCTGAGGCAGGAGAATCGGTTGAACCCAGGAGGTGGAGGTTGCAATGAGCCAAGATCGCACCATTGCACTCCAGCCTTGCGTACCACTTAAGCCTCAGAAATCTCAGTGTTAAGAAACATCTGACAACAGATTAGCCGAAGTAGGTGCAGCCCAGTCCCAGGCATCCAAGAGATGCTCCCACAACATTTCCTCCTAGAATGGGCGAGAGCAAGGGCTCTGCCTAAAGCGTGCTGTTGCATGGGAAGAACAGTGAACATTTCCTCCTAGAGTGAGGAAAGCAAGGGCTCTGCCTAAAGCATGCTGTCTCACATGGGAAGAACAGTGAGAAGACAGCATTGCGGCGTGAGTCCACTTTGCCAGTACCAGGTGCACACACAAATACCACAGAGAACTTCTGAGAGGCTGTGCCCCCAGATCCCAATGTTGGTTTTCTCTGGGGAATAGATGACGGGCTATTTTCTGTTTCCTCTTTAGACTAGTCTGTCTTTTTCAACGTTTCTACAAAGAGCAGAAATCCATAAACAACCCACCAGAACGTGTCAATCCATGTAACTTTCCAAGACCCATAGGGGATCCCCAAGTCCAAGTGCATCCTCATGGGAATGGCTTGGGAAATGCCAGACACTTTCCAGCCTGGGTCTCACAGTGGACCTGTCTGCCTCTGCAGGACCAGAAAATCTACATCTACACCCTCAAGGGCATGTGCCCCTTAAACACACCCCAACAGGCCTTGGATACTCCAGCTGTCGTCACCTGCTTCTTGGCCGTGCCTGTTATTAAAAAGGTGAGGTCGGGGCAAAGGCAGGTATGCAGGTCTCTGATGCACTTCCACGCCTAGGAGGCGTCTCCTAGCTATGTCAGGGTGGCGCCTGCAGAGCCACACCTAGGACCACCTGGCCTAGGACGTAGACTTAGAGACGGTGGGAGGAAAGATATCAGACCTGGTCCGTCATTAGTGCCTTCCGGTTTGCAAAAACCTAAGTCAAGTCCCCAGCCAGACTGCAGGCCGAATGAAAAACCCCCTTTCACATGCAAATGCCCTGACTCAGGTGGAAGGACTGTTGGTACAAATGGCACGGTGAGCAGTCATGCGTGTGCCCTTCCCCTATCCGGAGCCTCTTCCCCACCTGCCCAGGCCAGAGCCACCTCACAGCCACTTGATCACCAGGTCCTGGAGGTCCTGATCTCCCTCCCTCCATCTCTGCCTCCCGCCAAGTACTCGCCGTCTTACACCAGACGCAGTTTCTCTTTGTGCAGCATAGCCCTGCAGACTCAGCTCTTTAACCTCCTAGCCCTGGCCTTTCTAAATGAGACCCCAAGGGGCACTCTCCCCATTAAAGGCCCAGCCAGCTGTGCTGCACCTTGGGATTAGCCCCAGCCTCTATGAGGCTGGCCTCCAGTCCCTGCTGGGCCCGGCACCCTCCCCACAAAGCACCCCACTCTGTGCTGGGCCCTTGACATCCCAGCCTCCTCCAGGAACAGCCCCTCCACGCACCTCTTCCCAGACGGCCTCCGATTCAGTTCTCAAGACCCGGGGCCTTGTCCCCTCCTTTGAGAAGCTGCCCCTCAGTGGGGGGCAGCTCCCTGGCTTTTCCGGGCTCCTCCGCCCACAGGATTCAGGCACGGCTCAGCCAGCTCTGGTTTCATCCACCCTGAGGGGCCTGTCTGTGCATAGGCGCCCTCACTAAATGCACAAGAAGCCTTTACTGGTGTTGCTTTGTTAAAATGTGACTGTCATCATCCAATTCCAGTTTGCCCATCTACAAAACAGGTATAAGAAGAGACAGAAGGCCTAGCATACCCAAAGGTCTAGGCCGGTGTGCTTGGTAAATGAGTATTATTATTACTTCTGGATGGTCGCAAAATACATGAACTCTTCTCTTCACCCTTCTTCAGTTTCATTTAAAAAAAAAAAAAACAGGTATGAAATGAACCTTAGAGTCATTTATGACCATGGCCCCACAGCGAGGCTACGCAGCTTGGGACCAGGCCCGTACCAGAGCGCAGGAGAACACGACACAAAGTGTTATTGAGGCCACCGCTGGCGAGAGCCCCCAGCCAGGGCACCACCTCCTGCACGACCAGAGGGAATAAAGCCTGCTCTGTGCAGGGCCTCCTGGGCAGGGTGTCTGCCCCCTCCAAGGCCGCCAGCGCGAAGCCTGCATTCTTGCACGCGCACCCACGTTCACACCCAGCCGGGACGTGGCACTCACCGCCCTGGCCGGGGCCTGAGCCAGGACTGCAGATAGAGACCTGGAGCCTGTTTGCCTTGGCTGCCTTCTTTCCCTAAAGTCCTGGGGATGGATTTCGATACGCTTTCTTAGAGCATGTTGTCCTGGACAGTGAGCTACGGGTCTCCACTCCATTGCCCTGCACAGCCAGCCTCCTGAGCTCCCCCAGCTCCCCACAAGGAGGCTTTCTGCCCTGCCCCCTCACTGGCATGAGGCCCAGCTCCCTGCTCTGCCCTGACTCCAGCTTTGTTCTGCAGACCTCTTCCCACCCCCACCACAGCCGACGCGGTGTCTAGGCTGCGGAGCTGCACTCTGTTCCTGGCTCTGCCCTGGGAGGTGCCCCGGGGCGGTCTGGGGTGGGCCCAGCATTCAGCAAGGTCCCTGCAACTTTGGCCTCTGCCCGGTGACCTCTGGCGGGTGTAGAAGAGCTCATGCTTCATTGAGGGGGTGGGGGGCACCCTGAGGACCCTGTCAACGTCAGCTGAACCACAGGCATCTCGATAGATGTAAGCTGGGATGAGGGCTCAGCAGGCTGAGACAGGCCTCCAGAAGAGGGTTGAGTAGGAAGCGATTTCTTCCAGAATTAGTTCAGCAAACACATGTCATCCACTTGGAGCAGGAGCCAGGTGGAGTCACAGGGCCACCAAGATGAAGGAGACTGAGCCCTTCCCTGTGCCAGGCTAGTGCCACGGGGATGCTGGTGGGCTGGGAGCCCATCCTTATGGAACACTCTGCCTGGTGGGGGGGGTGGCAGGCAGGGGGCAGTGCACAGATGCTTGCCATGCCCCCACTGCTGTCATGTTAAGCAGCACCGAGAAAAGGGCGGGGGCACCAGGTCCTGCCTCTGAAGGAGGCCTTGGTGGCCTCAAGGAGAAGGCAGCTCCCTGCTGCTCGCCCTGCAAGAAGCTGGCAGAAGCAGAGGCAGCCCATGTGGTCCAGGTGACACGCAGCCTTACTTGGTGCCACAGGCCCTGCCTCTGGGTGGCACATTCCTTTCTTTGCTGCAGGGATGGTAGATATGGCTCTGCGGAGTCAGAGCTGCACTTCTTTAGGAGTAGCCCCGGCCTTTCTAAGAGATTTGCTGCCCTGAGGCGCACTGGTGGAAAGTGACTGCCCGCCTGGTGTGGGTGCAGATGAGTCCAGTGCCTACTCTGTGTCTCTCTTGGAATGTGTGAAATGGAAGGATGTGACACATCCCTGTCTCCTTCCTTCAGAATTCCTACCTGGTCTTAGCGGGCCTCGCCGATGGGCTTGTGGCTGTGTTTCCCGTGGTGCGGGGCACCCCAAAGGACAGCTGCTCCTACCTGTGCTCACACACAGCCAACAGGTCCAAGTTCAGCATCGCGGATGAAGACGCACGGCAGAACCCCTACCCAGTGAAGGCCATGGAGGTGGTCAACAGCGGCTCTGAGGTCTGGTACAGCAATGGGCCGGGCCTCCTTGTCATCGACTGTGCCTCCCTGGAGATCTGCAGGCGGCTGGAGCCCTACATGGCCCCCTCCATGGTTACGTCAGTCGTGTGCAGCTCTGAGGGCAGAGGGGAGGAGGTCGTCTGGTGCCTGGATGACAAGGCCAACTCCTTGGTGATGTACCACTCCACCACCTACCAGCTGTGTGCCCGGTACTTCTGCGGGGTCCCCAGCCCCCTCAGGGACATGTTTCCCGTGCGGCCCTTGGACACGGAACCCCCGGCAGCCAGCCACACGGCCAACCCAAAGGTGCCTGAGGGGGACTCCATCGCGGACGTGAGCATCATGTACAGTGAGGAGCTGGGCACGCAGATCCTGATCCACCAGGAATCACTCACTGACTACTGCTCCATGTCCTCCTACTCCTCATCCCCACCCCGCCAGGCTGCCAGGTCCCCCTCAAGCCTCCCCAGCTCCCCAGCAAGTTCTTCCAGTGTGCCTTTCTCCACCGACTGCGAGGACTCAGACATGCTACATACGCCCGGTGCTGCCTCCGACAGGTCTGAGCATGACCTGACCCCCATGGACGGGGAGACCTTCAGCCAGCACCTGCAGGCCGTGAAGATCCTCGCCGTCAGAGACCTCATTTGGGTCCCCAGGTACGTTTCCCGAGGTGAGGGCACCATCCAGGGCACGCCCACTGCTCCTGCTCTGGGGACAGAGCAAGGGGAAGCCCCCTGGCTTCCTTACAGGTCATGTGGGGAGGCAGGTGCTGTTCTTCCAAGAGGGTTGGTTTCCTCCATTGGGAATGGAAGCGATCGCTTTAGCAAATCTAAGAGTGGCCGCACAAAAGCTTATTGCCTGCCAGAGAGCTTAAGGTGCCACACAAGGAAAGCCACAGTCAACTGTGACTCAGTTTCCACTGAGAAAATTCTCCTCTGCTTTGAAGTCTGTCCCCTCCCCATAACTTAATCCCTTAGCAGAAACTGCATGTCTGTTGCCTCCCTCCCGCACCTTTCTGCACACCGGCTTCACTCCCCGGAGAGCACGGCTACCGACAAATCGCTTCCCCTTCTGGGTTTTGGTTGCTTAGGCGCGGTGGAGATGTTATCGTCATTGGCCTGGAGAAGGATTCTGGCGCCCAGCGGGGCCGAGTCATTGCCGTCTTAAAAGCCCGAGAGCTGACTCCGCATGGGTAAGACTGAGTGGCAGCTCCTTTAGGACCCAGGCAGCAGCATGAGCACAGAAGGCCCTGCAGCCAGGTCCTGCACAGTGGCTTTGCTGCCCTTCCATTCTCCCAAATAGCATAGCCACTAACGTGGCTGTAAGGCAAAGTGGAAACAAGATGGGGCCCCTCAGACAGCTCCTAGGGGCTCCGCACTGGCCATGGCTGCCTGTTTCTGGAGTACCCAGTGCACCTGTAGATCAAGTACCCTACCTAGTACCCTACCTAACGAATGTCTCCAGGGCCAGAGTTCAGCTGCAATCGACATGCAGATGCATCCAGGTCATTGATTCACTGTTCTTCCTGCCAAGCAGGAAACCCTACCCGAGGTGTCCACCAGCCCACACAGCACCCTATGGGGACAGATGACACAGGCACACCTTGTCATCTCCAAGCCTGGGGTCTCAGCTCCTGCCCTTCCTGGGCTGAGACATAGCTCAGTACCTGTCTGTGGGTGGGGACCCCCAGGATTATGCCAGTCTCCTCTGTGAAGGTATGCTGGGCAGGGTGGCCTGTCCGGGACATGGTCTACATGGTTGCAGTGATGTGAGGCTGGCGCCAGCTGCAGCTCCCCACAGTGTTTACACCCCGCACTTTGACTACCGAGCCCCACACGGTAAATCTCCCCTACGAAAAGTCCTCAGTTCAAATGTGTGTGTGTGTGTGTGTGTGTGTGTGTGTGTGTGTGTGTGTACTTTGGAGCTCTTCCATTTCACACTAGGCCTGTTTCCCTGCAGCATGAGTTATCCCCCATCCCTGGGCAAGTGGGTTTTTATTTCATCTGGAGCATAAGAGGGTGGAGAAACACCAGTCAGCTTGCTTCTCCCAAAGCAGGACAATGACAAGGACATCCTTGGCAGTCGCACTCCCTTGCCTGCCAGCTTTGAACTTTTGCAGTGAGTCCTGGGCCAGTGACCCTTACTCTGTAAGTGGTTCTGGAAGCAAGATCTGGATCTGCTCCTGAGCTCTGGCAGAGCCTGTGGGTAGAAGCCTTGAACTGATGGAGTTCCCAGCTTGCAGGTCGGGCTTCTGGAGGAAATGGGTGTGCAGCACCCAGGTTAGGACCTTGGCATACCTGCCATTAATGTCCTAACGTTTAGCTGTTGTTTTTCTCCTATTCATCCCTAAAGCCAGATTTTACCTCTTTCTCGCTAGAGGGAGGCTCCTCCCCTAAGGGGAGGTCCTGGCAAGGCCACGCGGAGTGAGAGGTCCCTGGACATCCCAGTTTGCAGGAGCACCTCAGTGCCACGCAGGCCGCACACACGGGACACAGAGGGAGGAAAGGCAATTAGTATGTGCTTGGGGTGGGGCACCACCAGGGCAGGGAGGCCACACTGTGGCCCAAAAGGAAACCTGTAGCACACACCCACCGATCCTGCAAAACTGTCCACAGTTTCAAAAAATGTATATAGTGATGACTTTGGGGCAGTAGGTTTTCCATTTAATATATGATCCTGTATTTCCTAAGCCTGTAGAAACAGAATGAGAGAAGAATCTTACTGAGCTTAGTGGCAAGGGAGTTGAGTTAAACTCGGTCATGAGCCATTCACAAGCAGAAATTTGGGTCAGTGGTGTTTTCTGGACGCTTTGGGAGCTGAGTCAAGGATGCATGATCTGATTGCCTCTGTGGCCTTCCAGGGAGTCTGACTCTTACAGACAAAGCCCATGGACGCGAACTCATGCCCACAGCCCGTCTTTGGACTTTATAAAGCCTAAGCCCACAGGCTGGCCACTGGGGAGAAGTGGTGCATCTCAGCACACCCCAGAGAGGGCTGGCAAGCAGACACACTCCCCTGCCCTTAGCCAGCTCCGCCTTCCTCAGAAGGCACAGGGGGAGGGTCCCAACCCCACCCGAGTGGGAACCCCTGTGAGTTTCCTCAGACCCCCTTCTCTCTGCAGGGTGCTGGTGGATGCTGCCGTGGTGGCAAAGGACACTGTTGTGTGCACCTTTGAAAATGAAAACACAGAGTGGTGCCTGGCCGTCTGGAGGGGCTGGGGCGCCAGGGAGTTCGACATTTTCTACCAGTCCTACGAGGAGCTGGGCCGGCTGGAGGCTTGCACTCGCAAGAGAAGGTAATTCCTGTGGAATGACTGTCACACATCAGAGCTGGCTGGCCCGGGGCTGCAGCCTGACCCCTCTGCCATCGGCCTCTAGTTCTCCAAGGACCTAGAAGACAGATGGAGTTCTCCCCTGAACTCCTTGCTGCTAAGAAGTGCTGAGAAGTTACTCGCCTGGCGGTGGCTCCAGGGTTCTCTGGTTCTCTGGAGCAGAGTTCTCTGAATACCCCATCCCCCAACTGCTGATTTTACAGCCCCAGGGAAGACAGTGGTATCAGGCTGGGAGCGGCCTCCTCTGGCCTCCCCCATCAGTTTGCAGGAGCAGGGGTGCAGGATCCTGTTCTGAGCTGGGTCAAACAAAGCAGGGCCGGGCCTTCCTGCCATCCCCAGGTCTCAGATGGAATTACACTAGAGGCCCTCCGCTGGGAAGCACTTGAGGTAGGGCAGGAGGGGGGCTGTGACCCCTGCCCTTTCCCCGCCAGAGACCTCAGGCTCTCAGCACATTCCACAGGCTCCTGAGTCCCCGAGGCCTGGGCCAGCTTGGGCAAGCCAAGATCAGATGTCTCTGTGTTCGGGAAGGTCTCCGTGTGGGAAAGCCCTTGGGGGATCCCGGGTGAGGAGTGTTGCCCCATCCAGAGAATGAATGAGTTCCTTTAAGTGCCACCGCCAGCAAGCCCAGAGGCACACAGTCCGAGTGCACCCGCTTAGCCTTTACATTCCTCTCCACCGACAAAAGGAAGGGGAAACTCAATCAGCAGGACTTCAGAAAGGGCCTTGTGTTTATAGCTTTGTCAAGTAAATTTGGACGCAGCTGGAGCACAGGCCCTGTTTGTTTGCACATAATAATCTTGTTTATCACTTTAAAAAATTCAGTAATATCTCAGCAGTCAGGCTTCTGGTTGTGAAATCACATTGTATGGGATTTATACCAAATTATGTATTTGCTAAACATTCACTGCACACGTGTACAGCGGAGTACGAAAAGGAACGTTGTCCACAGGGGATTTATGGATACAACAGCAAACATTTTATAAACTATGCACATGCATTACACACATGCACACACATATGCACACACATGTGCAAACATAGCCACTTTTTTGTCAAGAGTTACCCTTTGGGGCTCCTTAAACCAGAATGGGAGTTTGAAAGAGAGATCATACTCCAGCTGAAGTTTGTTGACCCTTTTCTAAAATTAAAAAGATCAAATTTAGTATTTGCTGGATATGCAGGGAGATGAGACTCTTTTAATCTCAAAATAAACAGATTCTTTCAAGAACGAAGCTGTGGCCTCTGTCTTTTGAGCGCTTATGACCACAGCACGGGCTCAGTCCCTCCCAGACCCACTCGCTGTCTGGGGATAATGGGCAGCCCCTCCTTGCCCACTGTGCCAACATGCAGGTGGCCCCTGAGCAGCTTCCATGGGTGGAGACGCTGCTCTGTCAGTCACAGGCTTGGAAAAAGCGAGTCCCCCCACTCTTTTTTTTTTTTTTTTTTTTTTTTTTACCAACCTGGGCACCAAGTCCCAGGGGGCTGAGGGTCTGTGCTTCCTGTCTACCTCCCTGCCATTCTCTCACCCTCATCCCACAGCAGGGTCTCAGGAGTCCCACTCTCCCTCTCCTCTCATTCCAGTGCCCCACAACTGCCCAGTTAACCCCCAGATGCAAGCCAGATTCCATCTGCCCCAGGCCCCAAGCTTTTGCTTTGGCATCACGCGAGGCCAGGCTGCTTTGCAGGCACCAAAATTCACCCTCTCCTACTCCTGGAAAAGCCCAGCCCCAGGCCTCACAGAGCCAGGGGAGGGGATCTCATCACATCACAGTTAGAAATCATACAGGCCTAAAGTCCCAGCTACCCAGGAGCCAAGGCAGGAGGAACCCTTGAGCCTGGGAGTTGGAGGTTACAGTGAGCTATGATCACACCAGCTTTCTAGCCTGGGTGACAGAGCAAGACCCAACTCTTAAAAAAAAAAAAAAAATACAGGAAATGACTAATGAACTTGACTCCATGAAATTGAAACTTACGTGGAAAATTAGTCCAAAGCCTAAAAGACTAGCAACTGAGAAAAAAAAACATTGCAACACAAATGAGAGACAAAGACCTCACTTATCTTCATTACAGAGAGTTCGTAATGTCAATAAGAAACAGAAAACCGGAAAGGCAAACAGGTTAAGGGCATGGGCAGCAATTGAATTACAAAGAAACAGACAGACCCTTAAACATCAATGCTTGACCTCACCCAACAGCAGGGAAACAGTCTCCACAACAGTAAAATGTTGCTGGGATGGGCCCAGCATTCAGCATGGTCCCTGCAACTTTGGCCTCTGCCCAGTGACCTCTGGCGGGTGTAGAAGAGCTCATGCTTCAGTGAGGGGGTGGGGGGCACCCTGAGGACCCTGTCAACATCAGCTGGACCACAGGCATCTCAGATAGATGTCACTTACCACCCTCATGTTGGCAGAGGGTGGTAACCAGCCAGCATCTCCTTCTTAAACACCTACTAAGTGTCAGGCACTGTGACCGGAGACACAGTCAAGAATCTCTGTGTTTTTTTTGTTTTGTTTTGTTTTTGTTTTTTGAGACGGAGTCTCGCTCTGTTGCCCAGGCTGGAGTGCAATGGCGCGATCTCAGCTCACTGCCACCTCCGCCTCCCAGGTTCAAGCAATTCTCCTGCCTCAGCCTCCCGAGTAGCTGCGATTACAGGCGTGCACCACAATGCCTGGATAATTTTTGTATTTTCAGTAGAAACGGGGTTTCACCATGTTGGCCAGGATGGTCTTGAACTCCTGAGCTCAGGTGATCCGCCCGCCTCATCCTCCCAAAGTGCTGGGATTACAGGTGTGAGCTACCTGCGCTGGCCGAATCTCTGCTTTTAGGAGCTCACTCCTCATAGGTAGAGTTGACAATAAGCACACAAACAAGTGAGATAGCAGGGCAGCCGGACCACCCAGTTGGGCAATTCGTGGCTTGGCCTAGGAACGTTACATTTGACTGAGGCTGGCGAGGCCTGCAGCCTGCACCAGGAGGTACAATGTGAGACTGAGGAATGGGAAGAAGGCATTCCATGGAGCTCTGAGGGCACTGGGTGCAAGGGCCTTGCACATGCAAAGACCCTGTTGTGGGTTCAAGCCACTGTGTGGGAGGGACAGGAGAGCCTGGCGTGGCTGCGGCCTTGAAGGAGGGGACTGTGCACACAGAATTGCAAGTGGGGGTCTCCGCGGAAGCTCCTGGCAGTTTTAAGCAGGATTATTAGATGATTCAGTCAACTTTACAACTCACTTTGCTGAATGGAGGGTGGATTAACGAGGGGGTAGTTGGAGGCTACCCCTTGGAGGGCATTCTGGACTTATCTACCAAAATTTCAAATGCACATACCCTCTGACCCAGCAGTTCCACTTAAGTATTTGGTCCTGAAATCTTGGTAAAAGTGCCCAAAGATACAGAACAAGGATGTTCACTATAGCATCTCTTAGAATATGGCCCCAAACAGGAAGCAACCCCAACCTCTATCATGAGGGAGGTCATAAAATTCCTGCACATGCAACAGTGCCATCCTCTGCAGCCTGTCAAAGAGGCAGGCAGCACTAACTGCTGGACTGGAATGTTCTCCAAGATATAATAAATGCATTTGTTTGAAAGCAGCTTGCAGCACAGTGCGTCAGGCCTCTGAGCCCAAGCCAAGCCATCGCATCCCCTGTGACTTGCACGTATATGCCTAGATGGCCTGAAGTAACTGAAGAATCACAAAAGAAGTGAATATGCCCTGCCCCGCCTTAACTGATGACATTCCACCACAAAAGAAGTGAAAAAGGCCGGTCCTTGACTTAACTGATGACATTATCTTATGAAATTCCTTCTCCTGGCTCATCCTGGCTCAAAAAGCTCCCCCACTGAGCACGTTGCCACCCCCACTCCTGCCCGCCAGAGAACAAACCCCCTTTTTCCTTTACCTACCCAAATCTTATAAAACGGCCTCACGCCTATCTCCCTTCACTGACTCCCTTTTCGGACTCAGCCCACCTGCGCCCAGGTGAAATAAACAGCCTTGTTGCTCACACAAAGCCTGTTTGGTGGTCTCTTCACATGGACGTGCATTAAATTTGGTGCCGTAACTGGCGCGGGGGGAGGGGGGGGGGAACCTCCCTTGGGAGATCAATCCCCTGTCCTCCTGCTCTTTGGTCCATGAGAAAGATCCACCTACAACCTCAAGTCCTCAGACCAACCAGCCCAAGAAACAT
Organism: Homo sapiens; assembly: GCF_000001405.40. Lineage (NCBI taxonomy): Eukaryota > Metazoa > Chordata > Mammalia > Primates > Hominidae > Homo > Homo sapiens. The sequence goes on from NC_000015.10 coordinate 101,073,068, forward strand.
CTCACCAATTTCAAATCCAGTAAGCAGCCTCTTTTTACTCTCTTCTCCAACCTCCCTCACTATCCCTCAACCTCTTTCTCCTTTCAATCTTGGCGCCACACTTCAATTTCTCCCTTCTCTTAACTTCAATTCCTTTCATTTTCTGGTAGAGATAAAGGAGACACGTTTTATCCGTGGACCCAAAACTCCAGCGCCGGTCACGGACTGGGAAGGCAGCCTTCCCTTGGTGTTTAATCATTGCAGGGACACCTCTCTGATTATTCACCCAGGTTTCAGAGGTGTCAGACCACGCAGGGACGCCTGCCTTGGTCCTTCACCCTTAGCGGCAAGTCCCGCTTTTCTGGGGAATGGGCAAGGACCCCAACCCCTTCTCTCCGTGTCTCTACCCCTTCTCCGCCTTTCTGGGGGGCAAGAAACCCCCAACCCCTTCTCCTTCACCCTGAGCGGCAAGTCCCGCTTTTCTAGAGGAGGAGCAAGTACTCCAACCTCATATCTCTGCGCCCCAATCCCTTATTTCTGTGCCCCAACCTCTTATCTCTGTGCCCCAATCCCTTATTTCCATGCCCCCACCTCTTATATCTCTGCACCTTGATCCCTTATTTCCACATCCCGACCTCGTATCTCTGCACCCCGACCCCTTTCCCACTTTTCTGGAGAGTAAGAACCCCTGAACCGCTTCTCTCCGTGTCTCTACTCTCCCTTTTCTTTAAACTTGCCTCCTTCACTGTAGGCAACCTTCCACTCTCCATTCCTCCTTCTTCTCCCTTAGCCTATGTTCTCAAAAACTTAAAACCTCTTCAACTCACACCTGACCTAAAACCTAAATGCCTTATTTTCTTCTGCAATGCCGCTTGACCCCAATACAAACTCAACAGTAGTTCCAAATAGCCGGAAAACAGCACTTTCAATTTTTCCATCCTGCAAGATCTAAATAATTCTTGTCGTAAAATGGGCAAATGGTCTGAGGTGCCTGACGTCCAGGCGTTCTTTTACACATCAGTCCCTCCCTAGTCTCTGTTCCCAGTGCAACTCATCCCAAATCTTCCTTCTTTCCCTCCCGCCTGTCTCCTCAGTCCCAACCCCAAGCATCGCTGAGTCTTTCTAATCTTTTCTATAGACCCATCTGACCTCTCCCCTCCTCCCCAGGCTGCTCCTTGCCAGGCCGAGCTAGGTCCCAATTCTTCCTCAGCCTCCGCTCCTCCACCATATAATCTTTTTATCACCTCCCCTCCTCACACCCGGTCCGGCTTACAGTTTCCTTCCGTGACTAGCCCTCCCCTACCTGCCCAGCAATTTTCTCTTAAAAAGGTGGCTGGAGCTAAAGGCATAGTCAAGGTTAATGCTCCTTTTTCTTTATCCCAAATCAGATAGCGTTTAGGCTCTTTTTCATCAAATATAAAAACCCAGCCCAGTTCATGCCTCGTTTGGCAGCAACCCTGAGACACTTTACGGCCCTAGACCCTAAAAGCCCAAAAGGCCGTCTTATTCTCAATATATATTTTATCACCCAATCTGCTCCCTACATTAAATAAAACTCCAAAAATTAAATTCCGGCCCTCAAACCCCACAACAGGATTTAATTAACCTTGCCTTCAAGGTGTACAATAATAGAAAAAAGTTGCAATTCCTTGCCTCCACTGTGAGACAAACCCCAGCCACATCTCCAGCACACAAGAACTTCCAAACACCTGAACTGCAGCGGCCAGGCATTCCTCCAGAACCTCCTCCCCCAGGAGCTTGCTACAAGTGCCAGAAATCTGGCCACCAGGCCAAGGAATGCCTGCAGCCCAGGATTCCTCCTAAGCCGTGTCCCATCTGTGCGGGACCCCACTGGAAATCGGACTGTCCAACTCACCTGGCAGCCACTCCCAGAGCCCCTGGAACTCCGGCCCAAGGCTCTCTGACTGACTCCTTCCCAGATCTTCTTGGCTTAGCGGCTGAAGACTGACACTGCCCGATCACCTCGGAAGCCCCCTAGACCATCACGGACGCCGAGCTGCCAGTAACTCTCACAGTGGAAGGTAAACCCGTCCCCTTCTTAATCAATACGGAGGCTACCCACTCCACATTACCTTCTTTTCAAGGGCCTGTTTCCCTTACCTCCATAACTGTTGTGCGTATTGACAGCCAGGCTTCTAAACCTCTTAAAACTCCCCAACTCTGGTGCCAACTTAGACAATACTCTTTTAAGCACTCCTTTTAGTTATCCCCAGCTGCCCAGTTCCCTTATTAGGCTGAGACACTTTAACTAAATTATCTGCTTCCCTGACTATTCCTGGGCTACAGCCACACCTCATTACTGCCCTTCTTCCCAATCCAAAGCCTCCTTTGTGTCCTCCTCTTGTATCCCCCGACCTTAACCCATAAGTATAAGATACCTCTACTCCCTCCTTGGTGACCGATCATGCACCCCTTACCATCTCATCGAAACCTAATCACCCTTACCCCGCTCAACACCAATATCCCATCCCACAGCATGCTTTGAAAAGACTAAAGCCTGTTATCACTCTCCTGCTACAGCATGGCCTTTTAAAGCCTATAAACTCTCCTTACAATTCCCCCATTTCACTTGTCCTAAAACCAGACAAGCCTTACAAGTTAGTTCAGGATCTGTGCCTTATCAACCACATTGTTTTGCCTATCCACCCCATGGTGTCAAACCCATATACTCTCCTATCCTCAATACCTCACTCCATAATCCATTATTGTGTTCTGGATCTCAAACATGCTTTCTTTACTATTCCTTTGCACCCTTCATCCCAGCCTCTCTTCACTTTCACTTGGACTGACCCTGACACCCATCAGGCTCAGCAAATTACCTGGGCTGTACTGCCCCAAAGCTTCACAGACAGCCCCCATTACATCAGTCAAGCCCAAATTTTTTCCCTATCTGTTACCTATCTCAGCATAATTCTCATAAAGACACACGTGCTCTCCCTGCCGATCATGTCCGATTAATCTCCCAAACCCCAACCCCTTCTACAAAACAAGAACTCCTTTCCTTCCTAGGCATGGTTAGTGCAGTCAGAATTCTTACACAAGAGCCAGGACCGCACCCTGTAGACCTTCTGTCCAAACAACTTGACCTTACTGTTTTAGCCTAGCCCTCATGTCTCTGTGCAGCGGCTGCTGCCACCCTAATACTTTTAGAGGCCCTCAAAATCACAAACTATGCTCAACTCACTCTCTACAGTTATCATAACTTCCAAAATCTATTTTCTTCCTCATACCTGACATATATACTTTCTGCTCCCCGGCTCCTTCAGCTGTACTCACTCTTTATTGAGTCTCCCACAATTACCATTTTTCCTGGCACCGACTTCAATCCAGCCTCCCACATTATTCCTGATACCACACCTGACCCCCATGACTGCATCTCTCTGATCCACCTGACGTTCACCCCATTTCCCCACATTTCCTTCTTCCCTGCTTCTCACCCTGATCACACTTGGTTTATGGATGGCAGTTCCACCAGGCCTAATGGCCACACACCAGCAAAGGCAGGCTGTGCTATAGTACAAGCCGCTAGCCCGCCTCTTAGAACCTCTCATTTCCTTTCCATCGTGGAAATCTATCCTCAAGGAAATAACTTCTCAGTGTTCCATCTGCTATTCTACTGCTCCTCAGGGATTATTCAGGCCCCCTCCCTTCCCTACACATCAAGCTCAGGGATTTGCCTCCACCCAGGACTGGCAAATTGACTTTACTCAACATGCCCCGAGTCAGATAACTAAAATACCTCTTATTCTAGGTAGACACTTTCACTGGATAGGTAGAGGCCTTTCCTACAGGGTCTGAGAAGGCCACCATGGTCATTTCTTCCCTTCTGTCAAACATAATTCCTCGGTTTGGCCTTCCCACCTCTATACTGTCTGATAACAGACCAGCCTTTATTAGTCAAATCAGCCAAGCGTTTTTTCAGGCTCTTAGTATTCAGTGAAACCTTTATATCCCTTACAGTCCTCAGCCTTCAGGAAAGGTAGAACGGACTAATGATCTTTTAAAAACACACCTCACCAAGCTCAGCCACCAACTTAAAAAAGACTGGACAATACTTTTACCACTTTCCCTTCTCAGAATTCAGGCCTGTCCTTGGAATGCTACAAGGTACAGCCCATTTGAGCTCCTGTATAGACGCTCCTTTTTATTAGGCCCCAGTCTCATTCCAGACACCAGACCAACTTGGACTGTGCCCCAAAAAACTTGTCATCCCTACTATCTTCTGTCTAGTCGTACTCCTATTCACCATTCTCAACTACTCATACGTGCCCTGCTCTTGTTTACACTGCCAGTTTACACTGTTTCTCCAAGCCATCACAGCTGATATCTCCTGGTGCTATCCCCAAACCGCCACTCTGAACTCTTAAATACATAATCTTTGCTGGCAGGACTATGCTGAACCTCCTTTGGCACTCTCTAATCAGATGTCCTGAGTCATCTCAATTCTTAGACCTTTTATACCTGTTTTTCTCCTTTACTTATTCCGTTTAGTTTTTCAATTCATACAAAACCGTATCCAGGTCATCACCAATAATTCTAAATGACGAATGTTTCTTCTAACAACCGCACAATATCACCCCTTACCACAAGACCTCCCTTCAGCTTAATCTCTCCCACTCTAGGTTCCCACGCCGCCCCGAATCCCGCTCGAAGCAGCCCTGAGAAACATCGCCCATTCTCTCTCTCCACACCGCCCCCCAAAAATTTTCGCTGCCCCAACACTTCGACACTATTTTGTTTTATTTTTCTTATTAATATAAGAAGGCAGGAATGTCAGGCCTCTGAGCCCAAGCTAAGCCATCGCATCCCCTGTGACCTGCACGCATATATAAGCCCAGATGGCCTGAAGTAACTGAAGAATCACAAAAGAAGTGAATATGCCCTGCCCCACCTTAACTGATGACATTCCACCACAAAAGAAGTGTAAATGGCTGGTTCTTGCCTTAAGTGATGACATTACCTTGTGAAAGTCCTTTTCCTGGCTCATCCTGGCTCAAAAAGCACCCCCACTGAGCACCTTGCCGCCCCCACTCCTGCCCGCCAGAGAACAAACCCCCTTTGACTGTAATTTTCCTTTACCTACCCAAATCCTATAAAACGGCCCCACCCCCATCTCCCTGCACTGACTCTCTTTTCGGACTCAGCCCGCCTGCACCCAGGTGAAATAAACAGCTTTATTGCTCACACAAAGCCTGTTTGGTGGTCTCTTCACACGGACGTGCATGAAAGTGTGTACTGAGTTACCGTGTGCGTAAAAAACATTGCAGAGCTCTGCGTGTACGCACAGGGAAAATATCCCAAAGGACACCCAACGACGTGGTGGACACTGGTTGCCTCTGGGGAGGAGAACAGAGGGCTGGCATAGAGGAGTGAACCCTTTATTTTTATTGTACACCTTCCTTCCTCTCTGCACCCTGAATTGTGTGCATGCCTATGATGGAGGTAATTAGGCTGGGAGGGGCCTCTTCCCTGAGCCCAACAGGTGGCTCTTGGCCTTGGTCTCTAGAGGTCATGGGGAGCCCCCCTTTGTCCCCTCTCCTCTGTGAGTGTCTGATTCCATGGAGGGCAGGTCCTGAGGCAGGGTTGGGTTCCCTAACAATCCGTCCATCTAACTTCATGGTCCTGGCTAAACGAGAACCTCCTTGGCTGTCTTTGGGATGCAGGCCCAGGTGAGGCGGATGGTGGGATGCAGGCCCGGAGCCCCAGGTGAGGTGGATGGCTACAGCAGGGGGACACGCATGCGGGGCTGGACTCAGGGGGCCAAGGCCAATTGGCTCTGACCCTGGTCCACCTTCACCCTGGAATGGGGAAGGTGTGCAGCCCAGGTGCAGGGTCAAGGCCCACCCCTCCCCAGGAGATGGCACACAGGCCTCCTCCCGCCCACCACACTGCACCTGGGAAAGCAGTGGCCTGACGACTGGTCACTGGCTGAGCCGTCACCACCTTCCAGGACCACTGATTGCTCAAACCTGCAGGGTCTTTGCAAGGAGCCTGCCTGGGTCGGGGAGGCTGCCAGAGCCCGTCTCCCTCACAGTGCCTCCAGGGCTGGAGCACGGGCTCCTCTGGCAGAAAGCACTGGGCAAGCCCCAGAGGAGACATGGTGACACAGAAACTCCCCAATGCTCAGGAAAACCTGAAACACGCCGAGAGGCAAGCAGCAGGCTGCTGCCCTGGAAGGAGCCACATTTTCCAGCATGTCGGGCCTGGGGCCTCAGAGTCTCTGCGGGGAGAGGGGGTGAGGGAAAGGGTGGGGGGATGGGGAATGGAGAATGGAGTTGGGGTATAGGGGTCAGTTAAACAGCACTTTAACAATCACTGTGGCAGAAACTGCAAGCTGCAGCCCTTCCTGCTCAGTATCAGACCCCAATTTTGTTGGTGCATGTTTTCCCAGCCACCTTTGCAGGTGGGGTGGCCCTGGGACTGAGCTCCAGCCAGGGGTGACTTGGATGTCGTCAAGTAGAGCTTCAGGGAACTCCATCAAAGGGGGCTGAGTCACTGGAGGCCCCTTTGACCCTGCCCCTGCCTCCTCCTTCCTTGTGGGAGGGAGGGCCCCAGGAGGACCTGGGGCAGTGATGGGGGACAGTTCGCCAGCTCTGACTGCCAACCTGCGGGCTTCATGTGATCTTATGGAAAAGGAACCCACTTCCTTGTTGAAGCCAGCATTTTTCAGCTGTCTATGACTGGCAGCCAAATGCAGTTCCTAATATTCAGATACATTTTCCATTAGCCCGACCAGAGCACTAAGGGTCAGCACGTGAGCTGGCTCTAACCACCTTCTGTTTAAGTCCGGGCAGGGGGACCTAAGAACCATGGATTGGAGCGTTGTGTGCCAGGCGTGCCCCCTGCTCACCGGTGCATCGTGAGAGCTGGGTGTGGTGTAGCCCACAGTTCTTCCCAAGGCAACCAAACCACAGTCACAGAGAGGATCCAGGGTTTCATCCAAGTCACCCAAAGGCCAAAACTTAAGGTGTGGTGGCTTTGATGTCCTGCAAGTTTAAATTCCATGCTGGACAGGCTACCCCAGCTCTGCAGCCCTGGTTTCTCCTCTGTCATCAACAATTCCCGATGGGATCGGCACAGGGACTAGGAGGGCCCCCGCCAGGGCCAGGACTCCCACCTTTCCCCCTGGCCATGAGACCCCTCTTTCCTGCCTGGGAAGGGCACCCTGGGGGAAGCACACAGTCTTCCTTGAGAAGCCCTTAGGGGAAACACAAGCAGTCCTGTTGCCATGAACTATCCCAGCATTCACAATAAATCTCCTCTCTGAAGATTTTTTCTGAAATAATGAAGACTTTTGTACACACCCTTACTTGCGAATTGAGTTAAGGTGTAGCACATAGAAGAATAAACGGATGCTGACTGATGAGTGTAATAAGATGATAGGGATGTTTAAGAGTCCCAATTTGGAACATACGGGTTTTTGTTTTTTGTGTTTTGAGATGGAGTCTGGCCCCCGTCGTGCAGGCTGGAGCTTGGTGACACGACCTTGGCTCACTGCAACCTCCACCTCCCGGGTTCAAGCGATTCTCCTTCCTCAGCCTCCTGAGTCGCTGGGATTACAGGCGTGCGCCACCACGCCCGGCTAATTTTTGTATTTTTAGTAGAGATGGGGTTTCGCCATATTGGCCAGGCTGGTCTCGAACACTTGACCTCAGGTGACCCACCCGCCTCGGCCTCCCAAAGTCCTAGGATTAGAGGCGTGAGCCATTGCGCCCGGCCTGGAACATGTGTTTTTTTAAAATGAAGTAGTAATAATGATCCACACACAAATAAAATTAATTTCCACTTTGCCATCAGTGGTCCTTGCCACCCCCAGGGCTGTCACCAGGCTCTCTGCTCTTCTGGGCCTATGGTTGGGCTGCATTCCCCGGCCCACTGAGGTCTGTTGGTGGGTCCGAGGGGAGAGGCACTAGTTAGTGCTGGGAAATGCGTGCCGAGTGCAAGGGCACTGTCACGGTGCCACAGGCGAGAGCCCTGCGCTTCCTGCGGGAGACGACTCTACCAGAGCACCCCTTCCCTCCGCCCTGGGCCCTGCAGCTTTCGCTGGTTGTTGCTCAGTCAGCCTGGGAGAGACGACCCGGAGTGCCCAGGCAGCTCGCCACGGACATGTATGAAGAACAAGCAGCAAAGCCTGTCGTTGGGGCCACTGGGAGCTGAGGGTTTGGTGACCTGAGCTCGCCCAGCCCATTCTACTTGACCTGTGACCAGCTCGCGCCCAGACCACCGAGCACGCTCACACACAGCCTCGCACCCCTGGCACCAGCTCCACGGAGCTGTCCCCTGCTCTGTAAGAAGAAACAGCCCAGCTCTGCCTCCCAGCCTGGGAACTTCTCAAGGGAAGGTACAGAGAGGCGAGGTCTTCACAGGCAAAGGAGTCCCATCCAAAAAGAAGGTGGGGGTGGCCAGGGGACAGCAGCCTAACGTGTGAAATTGGGAACATCCACGTGAACTCATGACCTTTAATTGTAGAAAGAAATCAAAATACGGGAGCAGTGGTTGCCTCTGGGGAGGGAATCAGATGGCTAGGCAGGACCCTTCTTAACATGACTTTTACTTATTTTTAAAGCGAATGGAAATTAATATCCATCATCAAAAATATTTTCTAGCTCTGTCATGAAGAGTGATCCAGGGAGTAGCACTTTCTTGCATTCAAAAACACATACGCACACAGCACACACATATATATACATAGGCATACACACCACACACCTACACACGCATACACTCATATACACATAACAGGCACATATGCACATGACATACACATGCACACATATACATATATCATGCACAGAGATAGATACATACACACATGCATCCTCATGCACACACACTGCACACACATACATGTATAGAGACACACATCACACACCCACACATGCATACACTCATATACACATACAGGCACATTTACACATGGCACACACATTCGTGAGCACATACGCATACACCATACACATGTACACATACATGCATATACAAATACACATACACATGACATGAATGCTCATACACACACACCGCACACATACATACAGATATACACACACTTGTATACACATACACGCACACTTACACATGACCCACTTATGCGCACATACACACAGCGTGCACACATACGCATATATGCAGATACATATGTATACACATGACACACGTGCGTGCACACACATATACCACACACACACATACACAACACACATACATGCATATACACACACAGACATGCACACACATTATTTACAGTGGGCCTGGGACAGGCTGCATACCCAGGGGTTTCAGGGCAGTGCTCACTCTGGCCAAGTGGCAGTGACTTGTTCACTGGTTCATTGAAATAATGCCAGTTGTCAAAAGTTGCAATGATACCAATACAGTTTCTAGAAAGCATATAAATTGTAGTGGTAATGGAAAAGGTTAGAGCTCATCGTACATGTATGTATGTATGCATGTATGCATGTATGTATGTATGTATGCATGTATATCCTTATCTTGGAAGGAGTGTAGGAGCTGTCGCTCTGGTGGCCGCACTGATGACCAGCGAGAAAGAGGTCCAGCAGGAAGGGGCCCACAGATGCGGGACAGCCATCTGTCCTGAGATAGCCCTGAGACAGTGAGCTGCCTGCCCACACTCACCCCTCCCGCCTGAGAAAGACCCTCAAAGCAGCCAGTCTAGCACATGCTAACAAGATATGCTTCCCTGGTCCTAGTGAAGCAGGCCACGGAGGCATATCTCGTTAGCATGTGTATGTCCCACCAGCATATCATAGAAGTGGGACAAGCAAAATTACAGAGTACTTCGCTTCAGGGGGTGGACATCAGGCTGCCAAAAAACACAAAGCTTCATGAAAAGCTTGAGCTTCCAACATCCTACAGAAAGGACACAGCCTAATGCCTGAGCTCAGGTTCCAGTCACCTCGGGAGGAACAGTTGGGAGCACCGCCCCAAAGGAACCATCGACACCCTGGCCCCTGTGTCCTCAGCCCTTAACTGGTCCCACCCTGAAGCCTTGTCTCTTTTCCTGGGGTCGCCGCAACCCTAGGAAGGCTCAGAACCCCTGGGAAGAGCTATGAGCACCAGTAAGAAGACGGGGAGTAGGGTGAGGAGGGGAGGTGGGAATCAGGCTTCAGCACTGGGGTCAGTTCCAGAGAGAGCAGAGTGCTTCGTTGTGTAACCAATATAGCATTTTAGGCATGTTTTGAGTGTTTGGGTGTTCGAAGCACTAGAGATAGTCTAACATTTTAGACTTTAATTAAATATTTACAAGTGGGATCCAATAAAAACGTTAAATCAGTGTTTCACTGGAGGAATTGCCAAAACTCAGGAGTCGTGTGTGAGACACAGAAGCGGTGTGTTACTGTTTGGAAAGGGTTGATGGTTTCATGTTTAACAGATTCATGAGCCTGATAAATAGGGTATCAACAGTGCACAGGCAGTAACGCGTGAGCCCAGCAGTGCCCTCACAGCCTGGCACCCAGCCTGGCTCCCAGGAAGTGCTCACGTGGGTTGAAGGCAGAGGGAGATGGCCATGGAGGCGCTTCAGGTTTGCTGGCCATAAGTGCTGGGATGACTCCATCTCTCTGACATAAGGACAGAAAGATCTGGAAGAGAGTGGCATCCTTTTCCCAAGGGCACATTCACCCCACTCCAGGCTAGATAGCCCTACCTCCCCTGCACCCCACAGTGTTCAACTCACCCAGAAGCCCAGGGAGCCCAGGAGAGGTGTGAGCAATGGAAGAAAGACCAGCACTGGTGCCTTGCCAGCCACACCGATGTCACTCAGCAGTGGGGCAGGCACATCGTTCAGGTAGTGGGACATATTAGCTGTACTCTGGGAGGCTGGGAACAAACAGCCCTACAGCATCCCACAAGTCTCAAGCTCTAGGGTTCCCCTTGGTTCCACGGAGCATAAAGGCCAGCCAGAGAGCATGGCCTGCAGTGAGGGTGAACGGAGGCTCTGGGAGGAGGACAGTGAAAGGCAAGGAAAGGCACCTGCAATCCACTAAGTGAAACAGGGAGGCCTGAAGATCATGTTTTTAAAAAATTGTAGAGTATTGTATAAATGTATAAATGACAAGGCTGGAAGGACACAGACCAAAATATTAGTGGTGGTTATTCCTCGCTGCTGGAATGGCCACTTTTATTCCTTTTCTTTTGGATTGTTCGTATGTAGAATTTCTTTTGCAATTAAAAAAAAATCAAAGTTACAAATTTTTTTTTTGAGACAGGGTCTCACTCCATCACCCAGGCTGGAGTGCAGTGGTGTGATCTCGGCTCACTGCAGCCTTGACTTCTGGGCTGAGGTGATTCTCCCACCTCAGCCTCCTGAGTAGCTGGGACTACAGGTACACACCACCACGCCTGGCTAAATTTCTTTTATTTTTTGTAAAGATAGGGTTTCACTACGTTGCCCAGGCTAGTCTCAAACTTCTGAGCTCAAGGAGCTCAAGGGATCTTTCCACCTCATCTTCCCAAAGTGCTGGGATTATAGGTGCAAGCTACTGTGCCCAACTAAAATATTCATTCTTAATTACTATAAAATTACTATGGAACCAAAGAGTGCACGTCCTTGTTGTGACTGGTCCCCTTTGAGACTCCCAGCATCCTGGCAGCAACACCAAAGAGGCACCATTGTCAGCTACCCAATTCCCAGAATCCAGAAACAACCCATTTATTCAAGTAGTAGGCAACTGCCTTGCTCCTCCAAGCCTGGACAGGAATCTCACTTTCCCCAGGAGGGTGGGACACACAGAGGGCCTTCTGCGGTGCTGTCTCTTCGAACTGCCTTAGACGAGGGGGACGAGGGGGCTGCTCCCATCCAATCACTGCCCAGGTGAGTCCTGGCCCTTGAAGGCCTAAAGCACGGGTTCCTGGTCTCAGAAGAACCCCAAGGTACTGGCACACCTCATATACCCAGCCTCCAAAACCCCCTCCTGGAGCCGAGTTTCTGAATGAGAGGGAGGCTGGATGCTGGGAGCACCCACCCTCTAATGAGCACGGCTGGCATCCTCTCCGGGGGTGGCAAGGGGCAGTGGCTTCTCTCAGCACTGGGGGCTGGCCCGGAAGCTGGGCCTCCAGTGTCCTCACTGTTTCTATGGAAAGGTGAGTTTTGGATCACTGCCATCCGGAAGCCCCCTCTCCCTCTGCCATTTACAAAGGACTAAGGGACAGGGCCCCAGATTCTCACCCGTCCCTCCCTCCACACAGGCGTCTGTCTCCTTCCCAACTGGGTACTTTTTGGAGGCGCTGGGTAAATTCTGGTGGCCACATGCATTCTGCTGGATCTACTGCCTGGACTTACAGCTGTCATCGAAATCCCCCTTGACACGCGACCCCACAGGATCCTCAGCTCCTGACTTCTGAGTCCAGACACGTTGCCCAAAGGCGCCATCAGACCTGGGATTCACCAGCCTCCCACAGGCCTCTCCCCAGAGCCCCAGCCTGGCCAGTGGGACCAGAGCAGTCTCAGGCTGTGCTGAGGACCCCGTCCCCAGAAACGGCTGGGCCAGCTCCACCAGCATTCCACCACCGTCCTCTTGCCATGTCCCTGATAATGCACACTTTTTTTTTTTTTTTGAGACAGAGTTTCACTCTTGTTGCCAGGCTGGAGTGCAATGGCGCGATCTTAGCTCACCTCAACCTCTGCCTCCCGGGTTCAAGCGATTCTCCTGCCTCAGCCTCCCGAGTAGCTGGGACTACAAGCATGCGCCACCACGCCCGGCTAATTTTGTATTTTTAGTAGAGACGGGGTTTCTCTGCGTTGGTCATGCTGGTCTTGAACTCCCGACCTCAGGTATCCGCCCTACCTCGGCCTCCCAAAGTGCAGGGATTACAGGCGTGAGCCACCGCGCCTGGCTGATAATGGACACTCTGTAGCAGGATCAATGCACAGCAGGCCACTGTGGCCAAGACCTGAGGTCCCACGCCCATTCAGCTCCATCTGGGGTGTGTCACATCCTTCACTGCAAACCCCACCTCAGCCACTACTGTACAGCTCTCAGATCCTCAGCTTCCTCGTCTGTAAAACCAAGGAATGAATCCGGGACTCAGCACAGGGGGATGCTCCGCAAGACTCTCCGGCGCCTGCGCGGCTCTTCCCCAGCTCCCCCTGCAGCTACGTCACCTCCCACGGCCTCCTCCGGCGCCTGCGCGGCTCTTCCCCAGCTCCCCCTGCAGCTACGTCACCTCCCACGGCCTCCTCCGGCGCCTGCGCGGCTCTTCCCCAGCTCCCCCTGCAGCTACGTCACCTCCCACGGCCTCCTCCGGCGCCTGCGCGGCTCTTCCCCAGCTCCCCCTGCAGCTACGTCACCTCCCACGGCCTCCTCCGGCGCCTGCGCGGCTCTTCCCCAGCTCCCCCTGCAGCTACGTCACCTACCCCGGCCTCCTCCGGCGCCTGCGCGGCTCTTCCCCAGCTCCCCCTGCAGCTATGTCACCTCCCACGGCCTCCGGCGCCTGCGCGGCCGCGGCTCCGCCGTTCAACCGCATGCGCGACAGCGCTGAGGCCCGGGGAGCGAGGATCTGCCGCCGCTCAGCCCGGAGCCCGCTCAGAAACCTCGTTCTGCCGACTCGGACGGCAGCCGCCGTTTTGGATCCTGCATTCATTTCCTCCCAGGCTCTGGCTTGTCCCGTCGTTGGTGTCATCTAGGAGCTGCCCAGTCCCGGTCTCACTCATGTGAGTGTGGCGGGCTGGGCGTGTGCAGAATCTCCAGGAGGCACTTTTCTGCACACTCTGGAGAGCCTGCCTGGCCCTCCAAGCACACACCCGTCACTACGCAGACCCGAGAAGGCTCTGCGAGGTGGTTGTGGCTTCCACCACATGAGCACCAGGAGCTGACCTCTTCCCTTCCTCCAAAGTGGCCTCTGGGATGTGCTGCGTGCCAGGCGACATCTCTCCCACCGAGACTCAATCCTCCATCTCCAAGTCCAGCCAAGGCATCCCCGTCAACCCTGCCCTCAAGCAGCACAACTTCTCCCCTGGTCTGGAGACAGAGGAGAAGGAGGGGAGGAAGAGGGTGGGGGCTGGGGGGAGCTTCAGCTGACAATGAGGTGGAAGGAACTAGAAAACATTTCTCCCTCTGAAATAGCGGCATCGGGTCACCAAAGCCTCAGATCAAGTGCAGCTGGAGAAGGGGAAGTGAATGAACTCTTTATCTGGACTTTCTTTATCAAAAAGGTTTAAACTGGATCTAAGGCACACTAGGTGTTTTTGCCCTCGGTGCAAGGTTTCTGCTCCGCAATGGAGCCGTGGAGCAGACAATGGCTGGAGCCCAGCCTGCCCATCAGTGGGGCCTGCACAAGGCTGAGGCGATCTCAGGAATCAGGGCTGGACCCCTTCCAGCTACTGGTCTGCCCACCCCAGAGGCCCCTGTCCTTTGAGTTTCCCGTTATTGGTTTCCCTTTCATTCACTCTTACGTTCAGAGGTCGGACCTAAGAGAACAGAGACACACTGGGTAGTGCAATATGAAGCGGGGCAGCTGGGGTCAGGGTCAGAAAATGGGGCTCGCACTCCCTCCAGCACCTCCTGGCTGGGTGACCCACAGCCACCTCCTCTCTCCTGGGACCTGCGGCTCCTCCATGCCCTGCCTCCTTGGTTGATGAAGAACCAATGGCTGTGTGCCACAAACTACTAGGTTCCATCACAATGGAGGCCATGGGGGCCTCAAGACCAAAGACCCCAAGACCCCTGAGTACAAGCAGGGGCAGCCAGGAATTGGGCCTCTGCTGGGTCCTGGAAACCCCAAAAGCTAAAGGCCCAGGGCTTCGCTCCAAACCTCTCCCTCGAGGCCACACTGAGGACTAAAGGAATTGCCAGAGCTCAGCCTCAAGGGGCTGTTCCTCAATGTGGTGTTGAGGGTGGGATTTGGAAATACAGGCCCAGGTTCGAATCCTCCCTCTGCCAATTGCCAGCTGCCAGACCCAGGGCAAGATCCTATGCCTCTTAGATTCTTGTTTCCTCAATGACAGAGATGGAAAATAATCAGGGATGACAGCCTGGAACAGCAAGTTGTAAGGGTGTATGCATAGACAGATCCCCACTGCGGAGAGCACGCATCAGGGAAGATGCTGCAGCCCCCACCCTGGCTCCTGAAGTACAGTTCAGGTGCATAAGGGCCTCCAGGTCTTTCCTGTCAATGTTCTTGGGGACTATCCATGGTCCCCCACCAACCCCACCCTCCTGACCTTGGCATGCTCAGGGCCAGTGTAACGTCTTTTGTGCTGTCTACTTCTGTTCCAGTCAGGGAGTAGACCCTGAACCTCAGGCTTGGCCTGAAAATTCTCTTCAGCTGCACACAGCTGTCCCCAGCACAGGGACAGGAACAGGAACCAGCAGCGAGGGGCCTGCCATCCCCCAAGTGACAAGGCCCTACAGAGGAACTCCCATCGCTCAAGGCAGGGCACTTGCCCCTCTCAGTTCTCAGGGAGGGATTGCATCAAAGTCAGGGGCTGGGCTGGGAGGACTTACTTGCTAGAGGGAGACAGGCAGGTGGACACTGGATGGGGGAACGAACGTGAGGGTCTGGGTGCAGAGGCTTCCTTGTCGCTTCAGAAAATGTGACACTCCTCATTGCAGCCCCTCTCCCAAAAACCAATCCTCCCCAGTCATCACTAACTCCCAGGCAGTGACGGGGAAGGAGGGCCAGGGGGACCCTTGGGCAAAGCCGGGGGCTGGGCCCTGTTTCTCCTACAGCAGAGAAAGAACTCGGTCAACCATGGTGGCTAGAAGCCGGGGGCTTGGGAAAGAAAGGTCTGCTGTTTGCCAAAATGTAACAGCTCCTCTCCCTCACTGAAGCCCGGGAGAGCAGAGAGCCGTGCCAACCTCTCCAGCCTATTCCTGAGGGCACCTGCCCCCATGCAACCCGCGGGCAGGAGCAGTTCCCTCGCCCGCCGCCAGGGTGCGCCCCGCTCCGAGCAGCCGGACGCCGTCCTCCCGCCGCGACGGGGCACCAGCCCGCCGAGAAATGGCTGCCCCGGGGCTCCTGCGCCCTCTGAGAAGAGTTTGTGGGCTTGATGAGTTTGCTTTACCAAGTATTCCCAAGTACGATGCCACGTGGGGAAAAAGGAACCCTTGTGGCGGGTGTGGACGAATGTAAATACAGACACCCCCGGCGGGCAGGCAGAGGCCCAAACAAGCGGGCCCGCCTGGGGGCCGGCTGCGGGGCGGACCTTCTTCTCCCAACGTTCTAGGCGGCATCTTGTATTTCTGGTGCAATAGAAAAGTTTTAAAAACGTAACTTGGCTTTTTTGCATGTACTACAGGCTCATGAATACTCTGTTCTCTATGTGCACGCATATGTATGTGTGTGTGTGTTCGTGTTTGTGTGTGCATATGTGTGTGTATGTGTATGTGTGTTGTGTTCGTGTGTTTGTGTGTGTTCATGTGTGTGCATGTGTGTGTAGGTGTGTGTTTGTGTGTGTGTGCACGCACACATGCTTTAATGTCTCTGGCATCTGGACCCGCGGCCAGGTGCAGGCCTGGTGGCAGAGTAGGGCTCTGTGTCCACACTAGGGAATTTGGGGGGTCTGCGGGCCAGGGGTACATTGGGAATAGGGGAAAGAGTAGAAAAGGGTCTGGAAATCCAGAGAACATTTTTCCTGAGAGAGTCTCTTGACAAAAGCAGCTTCTACAACTACAGCAGTCCCTCAGCTCTCACAGCTGGGACCTACTAACCCTTGCGCTGTTCTCAGCAAAACTCCTCAGAACTCAGCCACAAAAGGCAAGTCAGCAGTTCACACTTGTGTCAGCCACACAGAAACTGTATTCCACCAAGAACAGCCTGCCCCTAATACAAATAGGGCAGGGGATGGCAAAAGGTTCTGTCCCAAGTCCCCTAAACTGGAGCCACAGAGGGGAGACCATCCACAGAGGAAGCTCTGGGCTCCCGGGGGGGCTCTCAGGACCCCCCACTGCTTGGTTCCAGGGTGAGGCTCTGCCTGGCTCCCCTCATTCCGGAACCACAACTCACAAGCCAAGAAACACAAAACCAAAAGCCACATGAACAGGCACAGACAGCGAGGGAGGCAGGCCAGGCCCCAGGACAGCCTGGGGCACTCCATCAAACTGAATGACCCTGTGGACTCCAGTTAACCCTGAGCTTGCCCCTTTCCCCAGCCATGGTGAAAAAGGCAGAAATGGAGGGGCCTCCCCCATGCCTTGGTGGCCCAGCTCACTATTGGGCCTGTGGAGGACCTGTCCAGCAGCTGTTAGGAAGAGAAGAAGGTACTGGAAGGGCCTGATTAAGGCTGTCTGTGCAGCTGGATCGTGGCTGGGGCAGAGTGGGAAGGAAGGCCAGGAGAGTGGCGTGTCCGATTATGTTCTCCAAAGACGGCCACAACAGTACCTCCCATCCTGTCACCCCTCCCATCAACAAGTGGAGTCTGTGTCCCTTCCCCTTGTATTTGGGGGGAGCTTGTGACTTGCTTGTTACAAATAGAATATGGTGGAAATGATGCAGCATAACTGCCAAAGCTCAGTAGGAAAGGCAATGAAGCAGACACTCACCTCTGGAGCCCTGAGCCTGTAGTCAAGAAGTCTGACTGTGATGAGGCCGCCATGCTCTGAGGAAGCCCAAGCCACATGCAGAGGCTGTTGTGGCCAACAGCCTGGGCTGAGGTCGCACCAACAGCCAGCATCATGTGGGGGAAACATGAGAGATGACATCTTCAGATGGTTCCAGCTGTTGGGTCCCTCTCAGCTGTGGAGTCTTTGCAGTGGAGGCCTCAGACTTTACAGGATGGAAGCAAGTCAGCCCTCCTGTGCTCTGTGCAACTTCCAGACCTGCAGAACCAGGAGTATGGGAAGATGGCTGTGGTAAGCCGCTAAGTTTTGGGGTGCTTTGTTAGAAAACAGCAGTAACTGGAACAGATGGCCCAGGGAGAGATTCAGAAAACTGTGCCAACCAACATTCTGCTCTTTTCACTTTCACGGATGCTGCCGGGACCCAGGAGGCCACAGGTCTTTTGAAGAGCTGTCCCCTCTTTAGCAGGTAATGACTCAGGCTCAGGGGATGTGGGAGCTGCCTCTGGCAGGGCAGCCCCCTCTGCCTGGTGTGCAGGGAACCAAAGTTTGCAGCTTGTGCAAGGCAGACCTGGCCTCTTCTTCTCAGGCCTGAGGAAGGTGCTGCTGGCCAAGACTGACTGTCCGTGCTGGCTGAGCTCTGGGGCGGATTGGCCAGTCCTGCTGGTGTTTCCAGGCCTGATGGATGAACAGGGCCTCCAGAGTCATGGGTGACTACAGCACCGGCTCCTTGTCAGGCCCAAACGAAAACCACTGCTGCTGTGGCCTAGCGACCTTAGAGAGGAGACACACCTTGCCTTTGCCACTTGTTTCTGGCCTGGGCTCTGCACTCCTCTCCATCGGCTACTCTGACTCATCGGGAGTAGACAAAGGGACAGAAGTTTCCAGGAAAAGGGAAAGAGACTGCAGGCAGGTCCTGTGGCTGTGGAAGTGGGTCTGGGGAGCCTTGACAAGGCCCCCCGCTCCAGAGGCCCACATGGCCAGCAGCAGCCAGGCCATAAGCAGTCAGCAGCTGCCATCATTGCCTATCAGACTATCTGTTTCCAAGGAAGAGGCTCCAGGAAGCCACAACACAGACGCCTTTATTCTCCCTGCTGAGATGCCAGCCAGGGACTAAAGGGCAGGAGAGAGGCCTCCGAGGTATGGGTTTGCCTCCCAGAATGTGCAGCCGGAAATGACCTTGACCTTCTCCCATCCCCATTGTGCACATGGGAAAGGAAGGCCCAGGGAAGCGGCCGATCCAAAATGTGTCGTTGCCAGGGCAACCCGGCCGCAGCGCTTGCAAGCCTGGGAAAAAGTTGTTGTTCATCACGGGGGTGGACGTTTGTCTTGTTTTGATTTTTCAAAAGCCTGAACCAACTCAGCTTTTTAACATGCTGCTCCAGGACACGGTGCTACTTGCAGACAGCCTGAGGAGCAGATGCAGGCAGAGCTGATGGTGTTCAGACACCCTCGCCGATTCCAAAACATCCCTGCTCGGCTCCTGCCTCACTTCTCGGCAGACAGCCCTGTCCTGTCTATACCCAAGACCCAAGGGTCAGGCCGATTCCTGTCCATTTCCCTCAATCAGCAACTTTGGTGTAGGAATGAAGTTAAAAGATCCGAGTTCACTGTCCGCAATATGATGCAGTTGCCCTATTTTCTCTTCCCTGAAAAGTTAGGAAACTTTGACATTAAGGAAGTCGTTTGTCATGATTTCTCATTGTCACACAAGTTTAACCACTGTCACATCAGACCAAAAGGCAGCGCTGATCCAGCTGTGTGTGGCATGACTCCAGACTTCTTGGTGAGGAATGGAGATCCTTACGGCAGAATTCAAGCTTCCCTTGTTGCAAAAGAAAGCAAATTCCCCCTCCGGAGAGGCCTTCTCAGCATTGGCCCCAGCTGGAGGCTCTGTCCATTTAACTCCTAAGCATCTCACTTGGGCATCCAGTGAGATGAGCAGGGACCACAGCCATCTCCTAACTCCCCAGTCTCCATTGTGGGGTCCAGGCCTAGGTGGCTCCCAGGTCCTGATTCAGCTTCACAGGGCTGCGGTGCCCTCCTCAAGCCCCGCTGCTTCACCCAGCCTGACTAGCACGGCCTCCAATCCCCCTGTGCCTGCCCCTTCTCTCAGGCACCTCCAGTCTGAAGGACGGTGGGGCAGCTCACTAGTGTGCACCTGCAGGAGGACTCAGTGAGAGGAGGGAGACAGGGCAGCCAGGCACTGCTGTGCTGTGCCCACCCTGCCTACTGGACAGGCCGAGGGCAGGCCATGGGCACCCATGCTCAGGTTTTAAGAAGAGAGAGATCATTCAGAGTGGACCGAGCCATTCCCACCAGCCATTCTACATCGGCGCCCGAGAGGCAGTGCCTCTTGCGTGTGGAGGAGCACACATGAGAACTCCCTGGAGCACTCCCAACTGTAGATCACGGCAGTCGCAGAGAGCCTTAGGAGGCAGAGGGTCTACAGAGCTGGCAGGGGACCCTCGGAGTCCATGACTGTCGCTGTGACTGGGCCCCGCTTCCAGGCTGTGTCCGACAAGGCCAGGAGGGCAGCCTCCACCTCAAGCCTACATCATGCACGCTGGCCCCAGGGGGTTTCTGTGTGGAACACCAGCTGAGTACATGAGGATGAGATGGCACAAACTGCAAGATAGAATAGCGGGGAATAGTACAAATTAAATAAGCCATGAGGTGAGATCACCTCAAGAAGACTGGTGAGCCTAAGCTTTGGCTCCATGATCCTGCCCCTAAGTTCTTAAAAAATGCAGAAAAGGTGTTTAAGAAAATAAGTTAATTCCTGGCAGTGCTGGGGAAAGGTGGTTGCGACAGATCTTGCATTTTCCAAGATGGCTACCACAAGACCTTTCATCCCACATGGCTTTTCTACCAAGGGGCTCAGACGCTCCTCCTATCCAGAGTTGGGGTCTCTCCTTCCTCTCCTGGAACCCTGGTGGGCCAGTGACTACACAAAAGTGATGCCACGTGACTAGCTGGGTCAGAAAGGCCGATTCCATTTCTGCCTGGCCCTCTGGGCGAGCTTATTATTGACACTCAGACTCCATGCTATGAGACAGCCCAAGCCACATGGAGGTGACACAGGCAGGTGTTCCATCTGATGCCCGGATAAGCAGCGCCCAACCAGTCTGGCTGCAGGCCCATAAAAGGAGGGCATCGGAACAGGACCTGCGCAGCCAAACCCATCAACCCTCAGGAGCCATGAGAAATGAGAATAAAATGGTTGTTTTAAGCCATTACCTTTAAGAGTGATTCCTTACTCAGCAACAGATAACCAGAACAGGATACTTTCAGTGGTCCAGAAGTTATGAAGCAGCTGGGATTAGTGAGAATCAGGAAACCATAGCTCCAAATTCTGGAAATGGTGGCTGCTTCCAGTTCAGTGGGAGCAGGTACAAGCGAGAGAACAGGGCTGCAAGTGACCGTTAGGTGCTAAGGGCCTGCATCCAGAAGACCACCCGGGCCCAGCCTACCTGGCGACGCATTCTTGCCTCTCACCTGCAATTGCTGAGGGTAAATAGATACATCACTTACAGATGCGTCAACAGGAAACCTCCCCCTCTAAGATGAGCGCTTAACGAAGACACTACAAACAGCTGAGGAAAACCCACAGCGAGAGAGAGTCACCAAACTCAACAGCTAAACCACCTAAAGAAAGTGAGTTCTTATTACAAAGAAATGGAGATTTTAAAAGAAGTATGTTGGTCGGGCATGGTGGCTCACACCTGTAATCCCGGCACTTTGGGAGGCCGAGGTGGGTAGATCACTTGAGGCTAGGAATTCGAGGCCAGCCTGGCCAACATGGTGAAACCCTGTCTCTCCTAAAAATACACAATTTAGCCAGGCATAGTGGGGACACCTGTAATCCTAGCTACTTGGAAGGCTGAGGCATGAGAATCACTTGAACCTGGGAGGTGGAGGTTGCAATGAGCTGAGATTGCACCACTGCACTCCAGCCTAGGCAAGAGAGTGAGACCCTATCTCAAAAAAAAAAAAAAAAGTCTATTAATGTATTTGGAGAAATAAAGATCAGGCCACTGTTAAAAAAAAAAAGGAACCAACTAAAGACCTTAACATATGATTGTTAAACATATGATTGTTAAAAGGAAAACTCAAGAAAGCCAAGGAGAAAAGTGGAGCCCCCTGAAGAGCAAGTTTCTGGAGTTTGAAGCCAAAGTCCTGTTCAGAATGTAGCACACAAGGAAAACAGCACGAAAACTGTGAAGGAAATGTGAAGGTGCATGGAGGATAGATGCAGAAGTTGCAAAACCATCTAATAGAAATTCCAAAAACAGTGGGTTAGAATTAGAAAACACTAAGAGAAACAGTAGACAAGAAATGTATTGCAACCTATTCCCCAAAAGCTTAAAAAGAGAAAGCTTGGATAGTTCAATAGCCAAAGAATTTGCATAGACAATAAAAGACTAAACTAGAAGACCGAACATTTTTTTAAATGCCTGGGCCCAGCTGTTTTTATAGACTTTTATTTATTTATTTATTTGAGATGGAGTCTTGCTCTGTTGCCCAGGCTGGAGTACAGTGGAATGATCTTGGCTCACTGCAACCTCCACCTCCCAGGTTCAAGCAATTCTCTGCCTCAGCCTCCCAAGTAGCTGGGATTACAGGCGCCTGCTGCCAAGCCTGGCTAATTGTTTTGTATTTTTAGTAGAGACAGGGTTTCACCATCTTGACCGGCCTGGTCTTGAACTCCTGGCCTCATGATCCACCCACCTTCGCCTCCCAAAGTGCTGAGATTACAGGCGTGAGCCACAGCACCCGGGACACTTTTTGCTTAACCTTCAAAGATAGGTAATTATCATGTTAGGTAAACTACTTTGGAGCATACAACAATCTAGAAAGTGAATTAACGTATTTTGCAGGATAATATAAGGTTAATTCCAAAACGAAAAGAGAGCACACTAATGATCATGTATGCAAATATTTTAATATATTAGCAAATCAAATCAAGTAGCATAGTAAAGGAATAACCCATCATGACCAAGTAGCATTTAATCCCAGGTAAGCAAGACTTGCTTGACAGTAAGACTCACTACGTTAGCTTAGTAGAGTAGGAAAAACTAGATGACCCGAACCTCTCAATAGATAGAGGCAGAGTAGGAGAAGAGAACATTTTAGCTGTTGTTTCCTTCACTTGATTAGGGCATTTTCTGCAGACCCACAGCAAAGATCCCATCTACTGATGAAGCCAAGACCCACAGCAAAGATCCCATCTACTGATGAAGCCAAGACCCACAGCAAAGATCCCATCTACTGATGAAGCAAAGACCCACAGCAAAGATCCCATCTGCCGATGAAGCAAAGACCCACAGCAAAGATCCCATCTACCGATGAAGCAAAGACCCACAGCAAAGATCCCATCTACCGATGAAGCCAAGACCCACAGCAAAGATCCCATCTACCGATGAAGCAAAGACCCACAACAAAGATCCCATCTACTGATGAATCCAAGACCCACAGCAAAGATCCCATCTACTGATGAAGCCAAGACCCACAGCAAAGATCCCATCTACTGATGAAGCAAAGACCCACAGCAAAGATCCCATCTGCTGATGAAGCAAAGACCCACAGCAAAGATCCCATCTACCGATGAAGCAAAGACCCACAGCAAAGATCCCATCTACCGAAGAAGCCAAGACCCACAGCAAAGATCCCATCTACTGATGAAGCCAAGACCCACAGCAAAGATCCCATCTACAGATGAAGCAAAGACCCACAGCAAAGATCCCATCTACTGATGAAGCCAAGACCCACAGCAAAGATCCCATCTGCTGATGAAGCAAAGACCCACAGCAAAGATCCCATCTGCTGATGAAGCAAAGACCCACAGCAAAGATCCCATCTGCTGATGAAGCAAAGACCCACAGCAAAGATCCCATCTACAGATGAAGCAAAGACCCACAGCAAAGATCCCATCTACAGATGAAGCCTATGAAACCTAGTTACTAAAGGCACCACTTTTTGCCCACCTGATTGTGAACATTTTGAAAGACTAATAATATCAAATGTTAGTGAGGGTGTACAGAAATTTCACCTCTCATGCACCGCCAAAGGAAGGTTAGGTAAACAGGAAAGTCGCCTTACTGAGCAATTTGATAACAGAAAAAACAAGAATGAAATTCTGTCGTGGATGAGCCTGGCACAGAAAGACAAATACCACACGGTCTCGCCCACATGTGGAAGCTGAAACAGTGGGTCTCATGGAAGAAGAAAACAGGAAAGTGGTTACCAGAGGCAGGGAAGGGTAGGAGGAGAGGGAGGATGGGGAGAAGTTGGTTAATGGATACAAAATTACAGCTGGCTAAGAGGAATGAGTTCTAGCGTTCTAGAGCAGCCCTCCCCAGCCTTTTTTGGCACCAGGCACTGGTTTTGTGGAAGACCATTTTTCCGCATCCCCCAGAGTTGGAGGTATAGTTTTGGGATGATTCAAGCGCATTTCAATTATTGTGCACTTATTTCTATTATTATTACATGGGACTATGTGATGAAATATTTATACAACTCATCATATTGTAGAATCAGTGGGAGCCCTGAGCTTGTTTTCCTGCAACTAGACGGTCCCTTCTGGGGGTGATGGGAGACAGTGACGGATCATCAGGCATTAGATTCTCATAAGGAGCGTGCACCCTAGATCCCTCACCTGCGCGGTTCACGATAGGGTTTGTGCTCCTATGAGAATCTAACACCGCTGCTGATCTGACGGGAGGTGGAGCTCAGGCGGTCATGTGAGTGATGGGGAGCAGCTGTAAATACAGATGAAGCTTCGCTCGCTCCACTGCCTCTCACCTTCCGCTGTGCAGCCCGGTTCCTAACAGGCCACAGACCAGGACCAGTCTGTGGCCGGGGGGTTGGGGACCCTATTCTATAGTACTGTAGGATGACTACAGGTAACAATTTCTTTTATTATATATTTTCAAATGGCTTGAAGAGAAGAATTTAAATGTTTCCAACACAAGGAAATGATAAGTGTTTGAGGTGACAGATATATTAATTACCCGAATACGATCACCACACATCGTATAAATGTATCAGAATATCACACCATACCCTACAAATACATACAATTATGTGTCAATTAAAAATAATGAAAAAAAGGCCAGGCGCAGTGGCTCACACCTGTAATCCCAGCACTTTGAGAGGCCGAGGCAGGCAGATGACTTGAGGCCAGGAGTTTGAGACCAGCCTGGCTAACATGGCAAAAACCCATCTCTACTGAGAATACAAAAATTAGCCGGCGTGGTGGTGCCTACCTGTAATCCCAGCTACTCGGGAGGCTGAGCCAGGAGAATCGCTTGAACCCAGGAGGCAGAGGTTGCAGTGAGCCAAGATCAAGCCATTGCACTCCAACCTGGGTGACAGAGCAAGACTCCACCTCAAAAAATAATAATTAAAACAAACAAACAAAAAAGAATAAGTTAGAATAGGACAAACAGTATTTTTACATTGGATGTAAAACTTTTAAACAGTTAAGAGGCATAAAACTACAATGAGATACCACTTCACATGCTGTAAGATGACTATTATTAAAAAAAAAAGAAACATAAAGGGAAATCGGTGTTGGCAGGGATGTGGAGACCCTTGAGATCCTTGCCGCTGTTGGCAGAATGTAAAATGATTCGGCCACTGAGAAAAACAGTATGGTGATTCTTCAGAAAGTTAAACATAAAATTACCACCTGATCTCTCAATTCCACTTCTGGGTGTATACCCTAAACAATTGAAAGCAGGGACTCATACAGGTATTTGGAGACTCATGTTCATAGCAGCATTGTTTGCAATAATTAAAAGATGGAGGCCGGGCTCACGCCTGTAATCCCAGCATTTTGGGAAGCCGAGGCGGGCGGTTCACGAGGTCAGGAGTTTGAGACCAGCCTGGCCAACATAGTGAAACCCTGTCTCTATTAAAAATACAAAAACTAGCCGGGCATGGTGGCACATGCCTATAGTCCCAGCTACTCAGGAAGCTGAGGCAGGAGAATTGCTTGAACCCAGGAGGCAGAGGTTGCAGTGAGCCTAGATCGTGCCATTGCACTGCAGCCTGGGCGACAGAGTGAGACTCCATCTCAAAAAATAAATAAATATAAATAAATAAAAATAAGATGGAAACAACCCAAACGTCCATTCAACAGATGAATGGATACACAAATTGTGTTCTATCCACATGATGGAGTACTATTCAGCCTTCTAAAAGAAATAAATTTTGACATGCTGAAACATGGATGAACCTTGACAACACTGTGCTACATGAAATAAGCCAATCGGAAGAGGACAAAAACCATGATCCTACTTATGTGAGGTACCTAGAGCAGTCAAATTCATAGTCAGAAAGTGGAATGGTGGTAGCCAGGGGCTGCGGGGAGGGGGAATGGGGAGGTATTATTTAATGGATACAGAGTTTCTGCTTGAGATGATGAAGAAAGTTCTGGAAATGAATGGCTGTGCAGCATTGTGAATGTACTCATTGGGAATTACTGCCACGGAACTGCATACTTAAAAATGGTTAAAACGGTAGAATGTGTGTTATGTATATTTTACCATAATAAAAGAAGAATTTAAAGTTATAAAGCATTCTTAACTTCTGTAAATAAATTTTCTGGGAAACCAAGAGCAAGTCAAAACAAGACAGTGTGGTTTTGCAACGCAGCATCACCAGGGCCGCCAGGCTGAGGGGCCACAGACAGGTCCGGGTTTCCGTGGCTGCCACCCAGGCCGGCTGAGATTGAGGCAGAAGCTAGCTGAGGTGGAGGGGTCTTCAGAGCCTCCACGGAATGCCCTGGCCCTGGGTCCTTCATCCCAGGAGCCTCTCCACTGGGGGAGCACTGGGCCTTCCACCGGCACCTCCTGCAGATGGGGCTGAACCTCCATCAGTTCCCTGCAAAACCACAGTTCTACCCTGTAACCGCCGTGGCCTGCCAGCCACGTAGACCCCAGGCCATGAGTGGGCCTTGCTAAATGATATCTGTTGGCAGCCCAGGGGAATGCAGGAGCACGGGCTGAGGCATGAGACCCAGATCCAAATCCTGCCCCCCTCTTCTTCTGTGCTGACTGACCCCGGCAAGGCCTCAGTTTCCTCAACGTTCTCACCTGTGAAATGGGAAAGATAGTATCTCACAGGACTACTGTGAAGGTTCATTAGGAAAATGTGTATAAATCACTTGGCCCAGAGGAGGTTTTTTCAATAAGATATTAGTTATTTGCTCTTGTTGGTTCATAAGTCACACAAATTTAATTTCAGAAGTGAAACCTGCCTGGGCGTGGTGGCTCGTGCCTGTAATCCCAGCAATTTGGGAGGCCAAGGCGGACGGATCACGAGGTCAGGAGATGAGACCATCCTGGCTAACACGGTAAAACCCCGTTTCTACTAAAAATACAAAAAATTAGCCGGGCGTGGTGGCACCTGCCTGTAGTCCCAGCTACTCGGGAGGCTGAGGCAGGAGAATGGCGTGAACCCGGGAGGCGAAGGTTGCAGTGAGCCGAGATCGCGCCACCGCACTCCAGCCTGGGCGACAGAGCGAGACTCCGTCTCAAAAAAAAAAAAAAACAAGAAAGAAACCCAGGCGTCCCTCCCTCCCAGTTAGTGTCCATCCACGCTGCGTCTAATGGAGAACCTTCCATGTGGTAGTCAGAGCCGAGCCCCGGGAATAGAAGGAGCCATCTCTGAAGCTGCCGGGAGCTGAGGGTTTTGCAGTAGAATAAAGAGAACAAGTCAGCGTGGGGCCAGCCCGGGGCCCCCAGCATAATCGATGCCTGTGTGGCAGCCATGGTGCTGGTGACCATTGAAGGCCAGAGGCGAGAGAGTCGCAGCTTCGGTGCCGGGAATCCAGCAGCTGCTCAACACACATTGGTTGCCTGTGGCCCATTTTGTCAATAAGAAAATTGAAGCTCAGAGGCTAAGAGGCTCACCTGGGACCAAACAGCGGAGGCTCCAACTCCAGGCCTCTCTCCAGATTCCTCTGGAAGAGAATCCACATGAGAACAGGAATCCTACACTCAGGGCTGGGGGCAAAGGGTCTCTCTCGGGACTCAGTGAAAGGCTTCAAGCCTGATCTGGCTGAACTTCCCAGCAGAAAGCTGGCCTCTGCCTCCCAGTCATGCGGGTCCCTGGCTGGGAGAAGCCCCTTTCTAAGTGGATGCCATCAGAATCTGCAGGCTGCCCCGTGGCTGGGCCTTGGCACAGCTTCCTCTGCCAGCAGAGGGGGCAGCCTGGCAGGGGGAGTTGGAAGCCTGCTTAGCCACTGTCGAGGGGTTGGGAGGTCCTGTTCCCTCGGCCTAAATGGTCACTCTTGTCAGGAGGACAGTCAGGGCTCGCTGGCCTCACACCAGGGATGACACAGGCTCCAGGGCAATGGTGACCCTCACGGCCTCACCTCACCAGGGAAGCTGTCAGACACAGGCTCCAGGGCAATGGTGACCCTCACGGCCTCACCTCACCAGGGAAGCTGTCAGACACAGGCTCCATGGCTCGTTGCTTGGCCAGATCCCACGAACAAAGCTCGCTCCGGAGCGCCCCTCCACCATGACGGCTGGGGCCCTCGGTGCCAGGGGAAGTGAGACGATGCAAACCTCTGGTCCTCAGGCCCCTCCGGAGATGAGTATTAATTACCCGAAGGCAGGCCGGGCCAAGCTCATTCATTCCCAGCCGGTTTCAAGACCCGGGGGAAGCAGGATCCCGCTGAGGGATACAGGTGGAAAGGAAGGATGAGAGTCCTGGGGTCCCCCTCCTGCCCCTAGACCACCCGAGACTGACCAGCTCGGGACCGAACAGCTGTGTGCCAGAAGCTCTGAGAGCCTGGTGCGGGCACACGCTGTGGAAGTTTCCTCGGAAGCAGCCCCACAAGCGATTCCACATTCCAGGCTGGGACCCCGCAGCCTCCCAGCCTCCTCACCCGCAGTGGGGAAATAAAGCTTCAGGGGTTGTTGGGGATGAGGAGCGGATTTTAGGGAAGCGCTCTAGCTGCCCCACATTGAAGGAGAGCAGACAGCGCTTCCCTCCCCATCTCCAATCGCATAAACAGGGCTCTGTGAGGACCCCCACAAATCTCACTATTGCTCCCCTGCAGCACTGGACACACCACGGATCCACCCCTCCTGAGGATGCCCGATGGTCTGGCACACAGCTGGTGAGAGGTGAAGCCAACTGGACTTCCTGGGTGGAGCAGAGACTTGGAGAACTTTTCTGTCCTACAGGAGGATTGTAAAACGCACCAATCAGTGCTCTGTAGCTAGCAAGAGGATTGTAAAATGCACCAATCAGTGCTCTGTAAAACGCACCAATCAGCATTCTGTAGCCAGCAAGAGGATTGTAAAATGCACCAATCTGCACTCTGTAAAACACACCAATTAGCAGGATCCTAAAAGTAGCCAATCTAAGGGAGGATTGAAAAAAGGGCATTCTGATAGGATAAAAATGGAACATGGGAGGGGACAAATAAGGAAATAAAAGCTGGCCATCCCCAGCCAGCACTGGGATGGCAGAGTGAAGGTAAGGCTAGGCGCATTGCCAAAGTCAAACCAAAAGTTGAGTGCTGTGGGCCACACAGCCTGGACAGCTGTAGGGGGGCCCGAGGACCCAGCTAGAGGGAGGCTCGAGGCACCAGCCCTTAAGGAAATGAGTTCACCAGGTCAAGGACAGTCAGCATGACTGTCCCCAGGGAGTGTGAAGTGGAGCACCTCCTGGAGAGCTCAGTGCCCAGAAATGAGGATCATTTGGAAGCAGCCTGTTGGGTCTCAGGGAACCCATGCCGGATCACCAGGAGGGCAGTGGTCAGGTCGCATCCTCCCAGCTGCGTCCCCTCCTCTCCCACACTGCCCCTTCACTAGGGGTCAGACCTGAGCAAGAGGAGGATGAGAGAAAAGAGAAGATGGCAACATCACCCCTTCCCCAACCCTGGGCTCCTTGTGAACATCACCGGTGGCTGAACAGGTGCAGGCTGAACAGGAGGATGCCCCCACCCCTGGCAGCCATGGGGTGCCTCCACAGAGAATGGTGACTTTGAGGTGGGTTCAAAGAAGTAGGCTTTGCTCTAGATTGGGTGCTCTCAAGGAGCGGGGACAGGCCTCTGATGGGACACCCCTATACATCTTATCTGCAGGGAGGGCAGCCCACAGCAGGGAAGGAAGCAGCCTCACTCAGTTTAACCCAGAGAGGGCATCTGCTGCTGTTGGCTTGCACTGTGACCTGGCTTTTGTCTGTGCTTAGACACGACTGCAGGGTGGCCTTGTTGCACTTCCCAACGGTTGCAGGGGACCTTGTTGGTGCTCTGTGAGGACAGCAGGGCAGGGCTGGGAGTGCCAGGACAGCTCCTAACAACACAAGGCCCAGCTCTAGGGGCCTGGCCAGCTCCTAGACACCAGGGGCTGCTTTGCTCCTTCTCAGTGATGCCCACGAGCCTCAGTGTGGCCTGCAAGGCCCTGTCTGGTCTGATGTCTTAGCGCTCAAAACTCATAGGTTGGTCAGGGGCGGTGGCTCACACCTGTAATCCCAACACATTGGGAGGCTAAGGTGGGTGGATCACCTGAGGTCAGGAGTTCAAGACCAGCCTGGCCAACATGGCGAAACCCCATCTCTACTAAAAATATAAAAATTAGCCAGACATGGTGGAATATGACTGTAACCCCAGCTACTCGGGAGGCTGAGGCAGGAGAATTGCTTGAACCCAGGAGGTGGAGGTTGCAGTGAACCAAGATCACGCCACTACACTCCAGCCTGGGCAACAGAGTAAGACTCTGTCTCAAAAAAAAAAAAAATAAAAAGACCTGTAGGCCAGCTGTGCCACAGCCACACTGGACAACCTTCCTCCCCCCGCTGCCAGGCGCCCCTTCCGGAGCTCCCACTCACACTCCCCCCTCCACCCTCCAGAACCCAACTGTCTCTCCTCTCAATGTCCCCAGAATGAGTTCTCCCAGCAGCATGCCTGTCCTACCTCTGGCGTAATTGTACATTTGTTCCTGTGGTCCCCTTGCCACATCAGCCCCTCGTAGACTATAAACAACACCAGAGCCGACGCTTTTTCTCCTTTGCCTCACCATTGCATTCCCAGCACCATTTCAGTGCCTAGCACTTGATAATTGTTGAATAATAAGCCCAGAGAGACAAACAGGCAAGAGTCACTGGGAGTGCTGCCCGAAGCAAGGTGTTGGGAAGCGGGTGTGGGTTGGGGAAGAGATGCTGTGATCGGCTGGTGATGTCTGCCCTGGGTGTGGAGTGGGAGGAGGTGACACAGGCACCACTGCTGGAACCATGCCCTTCAAACCACAAAGCCCAGAACACTCTCCCAGGCGGGACACAGAGGACTCCAGAGTGACAGTCCCCATGCCCACAAATTGCATTTGCACCTTTGGAAGATCCTCTGATAAATTTAAAGCACGCATCGTCATTACTTTCCAAAATGGTTAGAAATGGGAGAAGACATCCAGGCTGATAAGGCCTTCTCCTCCAGGACAGGAGATTTTTGCTTGGAAAGGGCTACTATCTACTTTGAACACTAATTAGAATATGGACTTTTTGCCAACATTAGAGAATTTCTTAGCTCCCTTCAAAGCCCACGCCCTAACAGGAGCTGAGTAGGCATCCGCATCAGTTCCAAATGAAAGGCAACTTCACTTTCCGATGCATTTTGGAGCCACCGACCAATACAAAGTCAGATGAGCAAGTGGCAACATGGCAGCTGCCCCGTCCCACAGATGGTCCAGGGCTGCAGCCAGGTTTTAGGCAGCAAATGTTGATTGCACTTGTCATAATGCTGGGAAAGAATGTGCAGCTATCCCAAGCTTTCTTAAGCACTTTTTTTTCCCTGTCATAATCCGGAAACCAGTCAGCCTTGGGTCACCCGTCTACACTCCAGCTTTACTTACAGAATTGGTGCCTACAGAGTATCCTCGTGTGCAATCACCCCCTCGTCACCCAGAACCAAGTGACAAACAGAGTATCCTCATGTGCAAGCACAGGACTCACCCCTCGTCACCCAGAACCTAGTGACATTCCCCGCAATGGCATGGCAAGCGCCTCCTTAACAGCCAGTCTTGGGATGAGACTAGCAGGGGTCCAGATTCAAAAAGAAATCCTCCACTAAGTGGTGTCCCAAACCACACAAACCCTTCATGAGTCGGATGTCACCACAGTTGGCACTCACTGGTGTGGCCTTCCAGAACGTGAGCTGACTGTCCCGCCTTCCACAGGCCACACCCTGGCAGGGGTTTACCTGAAGCCAGATGGCTTGTACCAAAATATCCCCACTCTTTTAAAGAGATGGGGTCTCACTCTGCTGCCCAGGCTGGAGTACAAGGGCGCAAATCATAGCTCAATGCAGCCTTATACTCCTGGGTTCAAGCTATCTTCCCTCCTCAGCCTCCCAAGTAGCTGGAACTACAGGCACACACCTCCATGCCCAGCTAATTTTTTTTCCTTTTGTGGACACAGGGTCGAGCTATGTTGCCTAGGCTGGTCTTGAACTCCTAGCCTCAAGTGATCCTGCAGCCTTGGCCTCCTAAGTGGCTGGGACTATAGTCATGAGCCACATTGCCTGGCTCCAAATGTCCTACTCTTGACAAACTAATCCTGACGCTTATACTGTTTATCATCCGATGTCACCCTGATGAGAGATGACAAGGAATGGTGATGATCTGGGTTTTCGCCAGGAAGCCCCGGGCTGGCATTTCACAGGCAAATGTCCCATGGCTCTTGGAAGACTTGGGGAACCTGACTCATGTGATCAAACTCACAGCAGACTTCAGTGTTGAAACAGAACTGCCAAATTGTTAATTTACTTTGAGAGGTGCCTTTTCAAGGAGCTAAATGAATGGATTCCCCCAGAAGGATTTCTGGCTGGAATTTCCAGAAAGCTGAGTCATTGGAATGGCACCTGATGGGCCTCAGAGGGGATCTCAGGGGTTGAGGAGTTTTGGGGGCTGCAGACTGCAGACAAGGGGGGAACGCCATGAAAGTTAGGGCCTAATCTAGCCTCATCCCCTTGGACCTGATGGATAAATCCAGACAGCCACTAACTGCCTGGACTTCCTCTTTCCATGCCAGTGGGTTTTTAAGTTTACAGTTAATAGTGACCCCCTCCCTTTTATGACACATATTGCTAGTCTATAAAATAGACCAAAGCAGTAGTTTATGGGTGTAAATGGATCTCATGTATTCAACTGTATAACCGTGACGGGCAGGGTTAAAATTATTAACAAGAGGAGTTGTACAGCTGCCATGCTCCCCTGCTCTCAGTCAAAGGACAAAAGCCAAAGAGGTCAGTTTTCTTTTTCTGTCTTCAAAGGGAAAGAAAATAATGAGGGTGGGGGCAGGGTATATTCCATAGAGAATGCCACCTACCAGGTTCCCCTCGGATTTCAGCGTTAAAAAATAGGAACACACTTGGAGATTTTAGCAAAAATATCTGGAGGCCAAATAGCTGTTTTGGAAAGGTGTAAATAACATCGGAATTACTATCTGGGCTGTGTTTCTTTAAGAATGATATGTATTCGAGTCCAAATCATGGCAGGGGTGACATTAAACACTGAAGTTTATGGTGGGTGGATTTACATCAGCCTTGTTTCCAGTTTATTTTTGCATTTTTTTCTTGTTTTAGAACATTAAGGAAGTTTTGATTCACAAAGACAATTAGCTCTCAATGGTAACAATTGTTAACAGTTTTGTCACAGGGATGAAAACAGCTTTATTCTAAGGTTTGCACTAAATCGAGTTAACTAGCAGCAAAGTCAATGATTTAAGTTCAAATTTATAAGTAGTTGGTCACACTGAATGTGTGTGAGTAGGAGTGAGAGTGAGATTAAGGGAGAGAAAGAATGAGGCCGGGCGTGGTGGCTCACGCCTGTAATCCCAGCACTTTGGGAGGCCGAGGCAGGTGGATCACGAGGTCAGGAGATCGAGACCATCCTGGCTAACATGGTGGAACCCTGTCTCTACTGAAAATACAAAAAATTAGCCGGGCGTGGTGCTACTCGGGAGGCTGAGGCAGGAGAATGGCGTGAACCCGGGAGGCGGAGCTTGTAGTGAGCCGAGATCATGCCACTGCACTCCAGCCTTGGTGACAGAGCGAGACTCTGTCTTAAAAAAAAAGAGAGAGAGAGAAAGAATGAGAGGGGTGAGAGAGAGGGGCGGGGGGGAGAGAGAGAGAGTGTGTGTGTGTGTGTGTGAGAGAGAGAGAGAGTGTGTGTGTGTGTGTGTGAGAGAGAGAGAGAGAGAGAGTGTGTGTGTGTGTGTGAGAGAGAGAGAGAAAGGAGCAAGTGCATGTGTGCCTGCCTTCGTGTGGCTCAGGACATCTTGCAAATAGTTAGAAGTATATGATAAATGAAAAATGAAAATGAACAAAACATTTGGGGACTCTCCCACAAAACCTCCGGATTCTGCAACCCACCTCTGCAGGCTGCTGCCCCTCTCTGCACCAAACCTTCTCCTCCTACTAACTCATCATCCTCTTCCCGTCCTGCCTCGCTGGATGGAAGTGCTGGCTGACTTCAACCTGACAGGCAATCCCAGAGTTCAGTTCCATTGAATCACCCACACTTTGTTCAAATATTTTAATGATTTAACTTTCAGGGGCTGTATTCGTTTCTGGGGGCTGCCACAATAAATCACCACAAACTTGGAGACTCAAAACAATGATGGAGCCAGAAATTCCAGCTTGAGGGGTCCCAGGGCCATGCCCCCCTCCAGAGGCGCTGCGGGAGAGTTGGCCCTTGCCGCTTCGGCATCTGGTGGCTTCAGGTGTTCCCTGTGGCTGCATTGCCCCAATCTCTGCCTCTGCAGTTGCATGGCCTTCTCCTCTGTGTGTCTGTGTCTCCTCTTCTCTTATGGAGACACTCGTCCTTGGGTTTAAGGCCCACCCAGTAACCCAGAATGGTCTCGTCTCAAGACCTTTCACTTGATTACATCTGTAAGGCCCTTTTTCCAACCGAGATCACATCCTCAGGTTTCCAGGAATTCGGATGTGGACATGTCTTCATGGGAGCCACCATTCGACACTTGGCAGAGGCCAACCTTTCTCCCCATCATGACCATACATATGAGAAGCAATTGACACCTTTCCTGGCCGACAGTGAGGGTGTGATCAAAGGCAGCTGATACCATTCCCCCCACATACCCCCACCCCCGGTCCCCTAGGGCCGGGGACTTTATCTTCTGTTGCAGACTGAATTGTCTTCCTCCAAAATTCACATGTTGAAATCTTAACCTCCAGAACCCCAGAATGTAACCATATCTGGTTGATATAGTCTTTAAAGAGGTAATTAAGATAAAACAAGGTCACATAGGTGGGCCCTAATCCAATATGACTGCTGTCCTTATAAGAAGAAGAGATTAGGACACAGACACTCACAGAGGGAAGACCACGTGAGGACCCAGAGGAAGACAGTCATCTCCCAGCCAATAAGAGGGGCCTGAGAAACAACCACCCCTGCCAGCACCTTGATCTCTAGGTGAACTCCTTGATTTCTTCTGGCCTTCAGGATTGTGGGAAAACGAATTTCTCTGCTGTTTGAGCCAGCCAATGGTTGTATTTTGTTCTGGGTGTCTGCTATGGACTAAATGTTTGTGTCTTTCCCAAATTCATACATTGACACCCTAATCCCCAGTGGCTTGGGCTTAGGAGGTGGGGCCCTTGGGAGGTGATAAGGTCACGAGGGTGGAGCCCCTTATGGTGGGATTAGTGCCCTTATCAGAAGAGACACCAGGGAGCTTGCTTCATCTCTCTCTTTGCTATGTGAGGACAGAGAGAAAGCAGCCATCTGTGAACCTGAAGTGGGCCCTCACCAGATGTCAGACCTGCTGGTGCTTTGATCTCAGACTTCCCAGCCTCTGCTGTGAGAAATAAGGGGTTTTTGTTTAAGTCCCCCAGTCTACTGCAGTTTGTTAGAGCCAGCCGCGCTGATAGGCTTGTGACGCAGGCCTCCACAATCAGTTAATCCTTTTCCCCTTCCACGGAGGGGTCTGTATGCCTGTAGCTGCTGGAAGGGGAGGCCTTCCCAAGAGTGCGACCCGCGCAGGGGCCTGCCGATAGCCTTCAGACCCCAACTCCGACAGTGCTGGTGCTGCCCCAGGGCTTTTCAGTGATGTGAGGCAACAAATTGCCCTTTCTTCTTAAGCTGGTGTGGGCTGGGCTTCTTATCATTGATGGTAAACGATTCCTGCCACTTACCACCAATGAGACTCTCAAGAGACCAGGAGCTCTTCGGTCTGAGGATTCATCAGAAGCTCCACAATAAGCCTCCAGTGCTAGGAGTGGAGCCCCTAACAGGTCCAGCTCAGCAGCAGAAGCCAGCCTGCCCCTGGGGGTCTCCCCACAGCCCCTGTGTGTCAGTTGCCTCATCCCCCCATG
The DNA here is from genome assembly GCF_000001405.40 of Homo sapiens. Classification (NCBI taxonomy): domain Eukaryota; kingdom Metazoa; phylum Chordata; class Mammalia; order Primates; family Hominidae; genus Homo; species Homo sapiens. Next base: position 101,108,930 of record NC_000015.10, read on the forward strand.
AGGTGACACGCTTTCTGGCTCCTACCTCCTGATCCCCAGGGGCTACTGATGGACCTTGGTCCCTGAGTGTCCACGTACCTGTCTACCCCCACTCTGCATCCACACTGGCTGCCCACGGCCGCTCTGGACACCCACGTTACTCCTGCCTGTTAAAGAAATAATTATAAAGATCACAACAAAGAAAAGCGTAACATGGAAATGGTTGCCTGGGGATGCCGGTGTTGTGACTGCTTTTCTCTTTCTTCTGAAATTTACTACACACACATTATGACAACAATGACGGCCGGGTACAGTGGCTCCTGCCTGTAATCCCAGCACTTTGGGAGGCTGAGGTGGGTGGATCACCTGAGGTCAGGAGTTCAAGACCAGCCTGGCCAACATGGTGAAACCCTATCTCTACTAAAAATACAAAATTAGCCAGGCACGGTGGTGCCCACCTGTAGTCTCAGCTACCCGGGAGGCCGAGGCAGGAGAATCGCTGGAACCTGGGAGGTGGATGTTGCAGTGAGCTGAGATGGCACCACTGCACTCCAGCCTAGGTAAGAGAGTGAAACTGTGTCTCAAAACACACACACACACACACACACACACACACACACACACACACACTATAACAACGACAGAAATGCGTTTTTTGTTTGCTTGTTTTTGAGACAGGCTCACTGCCACCTCCTTTTCCCGGGTCCAAGCAATTCTCCTGCCTCAGCCTCCCAAGTAGCTGAGATTACAGGTGCATGCCACCACGCCCAGCTAAGTTTTGTATTTTTAGTAAAGATGGGGTTTCACCGTGTTGGCCAGGCTGGTCTTGAACTCCTGACCTCAGGTAACCCGCTCACCTCAGCCTCCCAAAGTGCTGGGGTTACAGGTGTGAGCCACTGTGCCCAGCAAACAGAAATGTTAAAGTCACTTATTGTCTTCATGATGCAAGGTGACAATGTTTATGCAATTTTTAAAAATTGCTGAGGTGGGAGGATCACCTGAGCCTGGGGAGATTGAGGCAGAGGTGAACCAGGACCACACTACTGCACATCAGCCTGGGTGACAGAGCAAGACCTTGTTTCAAAAAAAAAAAAAAAAATGCTGCTGTACTTTCAGCCCACGGAAGTCAGGAGTCAAGGCATGAGTGCATGTAGTCCACAAAAATAGTACTGATGGTAATGTGTTTAGATGTGTGTCCCCTCCAAATTCCATGTTGGAATGTGGTCCCTGGTGTTGGATTCCCAGCGTTGGAGCCTGGTGGGAGGTGTTGGGGTCACGGGGATGGATCCCTCATGAATGGCTGAGCACCACCCATTGGTGACAAGTGAGTTCTCACTCACTCATTGGATTCATTCATTTGATAAGGGGTTGTTTAAAACAGCCTGGCATCTCTCTTGCTCCTCTCTCCCCATGTGACACACCTGCTCCCCCTTTGCCTTCCACCGTGACTGTAAGCTTCCAGAGGCCTCACCAGAAGCTGAGTAGATGCTGGTGCCCTGCTTATACAGTCTACGGAGCCATGAGCCAAAATAAACTTCTTTTCTTAGTGAATTATCCATTCGGAGGTATCCTTTTATAGCAATGCAAAACGGACTAACACAGATGGTAACAACGAGGGAACTGACTGCTTTGTTAACTAGCACAAAGAGCCCACCCACATGTGGACAATCTCAGGGAAGGCCCATCGGGCCACTCCAAGGCTTGGAGACCATTTTTAGCTTTATTTATTTACTTATTTACACCCAGGACTTTTGAAAATTTCTTTCCCAAAAATAAGCCGTTGCGTTTCTAAATATCTTGAAAAGCGAGGCCCTCTAATGCGAGGCCCCTATCTCTACCACCACGGAATTATCCCCTCTCTATATGGCCTCGTGCACAATTCATGAAGCAGCCTTTCACCACAGCCTGGAGGGCCCCTAACTTTGAGGAGCCACCTCCTTTTTGACCAGGTGAGGGGTCCCAGGAATGAAGGCCCAAGACCCATCGCTGTGTGGTTCAGGCTGGCCAGGTGCTGTGGTCCCAGGGATGCGTGTTCAGTGGCTGGTTTATCTTCCATCCTGGCTGAGGTCACTGAAGGATAGCCAGGGACGCAGGAACAGCTTGGAAATATCTGGACTGTGAGGGAGGTGCCGGGGCTCAGTAGCAGCTGCTCGAGGCCCCCACAGCTCCCGTGGGACCAGCTGACCCCACAGGATGCTGGGAGAGATGACCCATTCACAAAAGCTTGCCAATCGTGGCCTTTTCCAACCTTCCGGACATCAAACGCCCGCTGATGGTGGCCTTTTCCAACCTTCCGGACATTTTTGGGTCCCAGCCTCAGAGGGACTGAGCTGCTTCTGCTATCCTTTACCTGAAGCCTAGGATTTCAGCTCCCTTAATGTGCATTCAGGCTCTGCTCGGCGTGGCCTGCCTCTCCTGGTGCTTCTCCCCCAGACCCCATCGGCCTCTCACTCCTCCCTTTTTGGCAGCCTCTTTGCCCCTGCCTAGAGGGCACCCTGCTCCTCCTTCCCTTGGGGACCTGCTCACTCCTCGCCAGGCCCAGGCCCCACATGCCTCCATCATGAACCCCCAACACCTGCCTCGGCTGCCTTCCTCGGGATCCCTCCTTCCTTCTCCCAGCTCACAGCCTTGACCTTTACTGAGGATCACAGACACCCCAACTTTCCCAGGACCATCCTGGTCTCAAAAGCTCCCTCCTGGCATCCCTGCATGTCATCAAACTGTCCTAGGTATTATGTGGCTTTGCTGGCCACAAGCAGAACTACCAACAGCAATGAGCAGAGGCTTGAGCAGGTGTCTCGGTTCCTCGGGGAAAAGCTTGTTCTGTGGCCTGTTGGGTGACACCAAAGGCCAGGTGTCACCACAGAGACTCTGACTTGTTGGTGGGGACCTGGACACCGGGCTTTGAAAAGCTCATGGGGGCTCCAACACACAGGTTTGGGGACCCTCAGGGGTTGAGGGTTGCAGGTGATCCTCCAGCCCAGCCAGCCCTGCATGTGCAGGGGACCCTGGGGAGGGGCAGGGGAGCTAGGGTGGGTGTGGCTGCAGCACCCCCTGAGGCCCCCTCAGGAGAGCCGGGTTACCCATCGCTGGCAAGCAGCTCCCTGCATGTGTGAGTCCCTAGGTTGCCGTCTCCAAACGGACATCTGTGCGGCTCAGTCACCAGACAAACTGGGGCCACCCATTGCCACAGCTGCAGAGGCGCGACTTAAAGAGCGAAGTGTAAAGTATTCGGGTTGGGTGGTTCTGACTGTACCAAGGGACGTGTGCATCAGACCTGCTTACCTCACCCCAGGGGGGACAAGCCTGGGGCAATTTTAGGGTCGAGGGTGCGCCACCGTATCCCAGATCCCCAGGACCCAGCCCAGGCTGAGCTGGACACTAGTCTGGGGCCTGCCAGCCCCTCCCCACCCTGGACAGGGCTTGTGCACTCAGCAGGGCTTTCTTCCCAGGGGTTTTCTGCTCAGCCCCCTGCACTGAGGGTTTCCTACAACTAGCTTAGTCACTGGGGTCTCGGCTTATCAGCCTCAAGTCACACATGACATCAGCACCCAGAGGTGTGAGCCCGTCCCCATCCATTCATTTCCTCCACACACATGCTTTCCAGGGGCCAGGCACTGTGCTAGACCCAGGGACACCATGACAGATGCCACAGATGAGGTCCCCCATGCCGTGGACGTCCGTTCAGGTGGGTAAGACTGACATAAATAAGCACACGGATAAATGAGCCAGGCTGTGCCAGGTCGTGACAGGCAGGGGCAAGAGCACGAGGCTCACAGGGACACCTGGAGCAAGGCGTCCAACATCACGCTGGGTGGTCGGGAAGCTGGAAGAGGTGGCATGAGCCCAGCGGGTTTCTTGGAAAAGTAAACACACTCAGGGACTTCACTCTGAGCAGGCACCCCAGATCCAGGGAGAATATTCAGTGAGCCCAAGACTCAGGCAGGCCAGGCTCACTGCCTTCAAAATGCACCCAGCCAGGGCCTCTGCTTCCTCCACTCCTCGCTCTCCTGGGCAAGTTGGGGCTGGAAAGCGGGGCAGGAAGCTCAGGCCCTGCCTGGCCTCGAGGCTGATGACATCCTTTGGAACTGTGATTTTCAACCCAGCTGCCAGAAAAGGCCACGGGGAACACCAAGAACCCCTGACATCCAGGCCACACTCCAGCCAGTAGATGAGAATCTCAGGGGCTGGGGTCCAGACATGAGCCTTTTTAAAGCTCCCTAGGGCATGCCCCTGGGCCGCCGAGGGAGCTTCAAGGGAGGCACCCTGGGAAGGCCGCAGAGCTCCACAGGGGTAGAGCGGGTCAGGGCTTTAGGGTCAAGCAGGTCTGCGTTTCAATCCACACTCACAACTTACTTAGGCTCTCTGACCCTCAGTTTCTCATCTGCAAAATGGGTCGATACCCACTCATGGTGTTAGGATTGAACAAGGTAACACAGGTAAGTGCAGGGTGTAGCGCCTGCCCCCTAGGACACACGGTGTTAAATGTAAGTGCCCTGCTCCCATCCAATATCAAGTGGCAAAGAGCAGAGTGGAGTCAGCAGACCCAGGAATGACCCCAATCCTAACCTCTACTGGCTTTGTGAACCTCAGTTTCCCTGTCTGTAAGGTGGGGAGAAGCTCTGTGGGTGCTGGAGGACCTTGGCAGCATGATGCCCTCCCAGGGTGGACCTGCCAGAGCCAGCGGCCTCGCACATTGCATGGCGTCTGGGGATGGACAGCCCAGGGCTGCAGAGACGACCTGCAACCCCGCCGTGGCCTTTTCATTATCACAGAAATAGCTTCTTTCACGTAAAATGATGTGAGCAAAGAGGACCCTGAACTGTGGCTTCAGCAGATCGCTTCTTGCCTGCACAGATCTTCTCCAGGGGCCCTGAGGTCTCAACTCCCTGGGCTGATGTTTATCAGTGAATTCAACGGCCGGCAGCAAGGGCGACAGAGAGGCCACTGAGGGAGGCAATCCTGGGCCCCCAGGATTCACCTCCAGTCTGATAGTCCTCTGCCCTGGGGGGATCCTCAGCATCCACCTTCACCTAGGCCTGGCCTCTGCTCTGCAATTCCCCAAGATCAATGCTCTGGAATGATTTTGGAGGCAGGCAGGGAGCCCCTCCCATGCTCTCCTTCTCCCTCTGGCTTCCATGAAGTGCACACAGGAGGCACCTCACATTCCCTCTCTTCCTTTCTTCTCTCCCTCTTCCCCGAGCATCTCACCAGGGAGGGCCACATCTCTCTGAGGCTAGAGGGAGGGTGAAGACTTCATTGTTTTTGGAAGCCCCTCCTCCTCCCACCGTCAGTTCCCTGCCCTGCCCCGATATCATCGTCCTGGAGCTGCAGAAACACATCGCTGGTCTCCCAAATGAAGTTCTTGCTCCCAGCAAAGGAGGGTCAGGTGTCCCCCACTCTCCCCCCAGGGGCCCCCGCCTCTTGGTGGATGGTGAAGAGCTCCGGTGGCAGGCACAGGCCGCTGGGACATACCACTTCCCCCAGCCCACCCCCAACTTCCCAGGCTTCCTTGGGAATGGAGCTGGAATGAAAGCTGGGAGGTCGTGGGCCCTGAGTCTGGTGGCCAGGCCTGCAGGGGTTCCATCAGGGTGAGAGAAGAGGCCAGTCCTCCCAGCGTGGACCTGCCAGAGCCTCCGGCCTCCCACATCATGTTGCATCTGGGGATGGACAGCCCAGAGCTGCAAAGGTGACCTGCAATCCCACTGATGGTCTTTTCGCTGTTGCAGAAATAGCTGCTTTCATTAAAATGATGCCTCCCAGGGCAGCCAAGGCCAGGGCTGCTGCCTCAAGGACCCTCAACCAGGCGTAGGTCCCAGGACAGCTTTGTGGCTAAGGAAGCCAGTGCATGCTCACCAAGGACCCCTATGGGCCCTCTGTGTCTAGGGGACATGATGTTGGCAACCCAGATCCCTGGGATTCTCCCCACTTGGGGCCACCATGGCGAGAGGAGCCACAGACAGCTGAGGGTGGAGGCCCTGTCTGCGCCATATTTCCTACAGGATGCTGGGAGTGAGCCTTCAAGCTCATCCAGGCCAGGCTATTGCAATTTTTTTTTTCCTTTTAGAGATGGGGTCTCAGGCTGGAGTGCTATGGCAGGATCACAGCTCACCGCATCCTCAAACTCCTGGGCTCAAGCCATCCTCTTGCCTCAGCCTCCCAAGTAGCAGGGACTAGAAGCACACACCACCATGCCCAGATAATTTTTAAAAACTTTTTTAGAGATGGAGTTTCACTCTGTTGCCTAGGGTGGTCTTGAGCTCCTGGGCTCAAGCCATCCCCCTGCCTCAGCCTCCCAAAGTGCTGGGATTACAGGCATGAGCCACGGCACCCAGCTAGGATTTTACTGATTTTTGTTTATAAAAACCTTTTTCTCAAAAAAAAAATCTGACCTGGACATTCAATCAGTGAAGCCTTCAGAAGGGCAGGAGTGGGGATGCGTGCCCCTGAGTCTTGCCCACTCTTTTCTGAGAGCGTTGGCAGGGCCCCGTGGCTCCAAAGGACTGAATGAAATCCTCTGGTTTAGTCCAGTGTGGAGATGCCCATTCTACAGGTGAGGAAACTGAGGCTATGGAGACAGAGTGTGCCTAGCAGACGTGAGTGGCTCCTGCTGCCCCTGTCCCTGGCACTCCTGCCCTATCTTTCACTGGAAATCATTCACATGGCTTCTGCAGCCTGCAGACCGCACTCTGGCCGGCTCCCACCGGAACCCTGACGCGTACCATATTTCTGGTCTGACAGCCAGCCGTTGTAAAACTGAACCTCCTCCTTGTAATCGCCAATAAGTTTCCCCTTGGAGGAGCTGACTTTGAACTTGCAGAGAACAAAGACCCCTTTGTGGCTTGCTTTTGGGAAGAGAGATGGGGGGAGAACTGCATAAATAATATGAGAAGCAGCAACCCCAATTATATTTTGTTACCTTCTCTTGTGAATATGAAATAAAAACCACTTTATTTTGAAAGCTGCAGGGGAGCCAAGTTTCTCCAGCCTGGACGTGGAGGCCCGGGGCCCAGGGCCGGGCCAGCAGGACAGTCACTGTGGTTTCGGGGGCAGCCAGGCCAGCTGTGAGCACATCAGGCTGTACTGGCCCCGCCTGGCCCAGGCGAGGCATCATAAAACATGGCATGAGCCGATTTCTTTCCAGCTGCAGGAACTCCAATTTGTGCAGGAGGAGGGTCATTTCTTTACCATTTGGGGCTGGAAAGAAAATGGCTTTCTCCCCTCCTTCCCCCACCACTGTTCTCAGCCATGCGTGTCTTCCTGAGTTTCCCTCCAGCCTCTTCCTGCCAACACTCCACGCAGCAGGGCCAGCCTGGGGCCCCTGCAGGACTGGCGTGGGGGCTGCAGCTGTCTTCCCACCGCTCCACCCTCCCCCAGCACAGGGAAGTCTGGCCCGGCTCACTGCCTGCGGTTTCTTCATACACTCCATGTCCTGACAGCCTCGTGGCCTGTGCCCACGCTTTCTCCTCTCTTTGGCAAGCCCCATTCTTCCCTTGAGTTAAGGTGTCACCTCCTCTGGGAAGCCCTCCCTTAGTCTCTTCCCACCCACCCTTCCAATATTCAGCATAGGGCAGCGTGGCTTTGTCTCAGTGACCCTTCAATGGACTGAGGTCGTAACTGAGGACATAATTCATCCCTGGGCCCCCAGCACACATCACAGGGCCTGAGTCAAGAGCAGCCTGTGGGTGGATGGTTGAGGAAGCCCACATTCTTCTTACTGCATGCTTCCTGGTGCTTACAGTGGGCAAGGCTCTGTCAACCACAAGCCATCTTCTGTAGGAAAAAAAGGAGAGGGGACTTGTAGGTTAATATAACTGAGGCGTCTGAGTAGGTGGCTTCAGGTATGGCTCTATCCAGGGCCTCTCTATCTCATCTTATCACAGGTAGGCCTCCCCTCATGAAAGGAGCTAAAAAGATGCATCCTACTAGCTCAGCAACCCTGTAGCCCTGTAAAGGGACAGTCCCTCTGTTCCCATAGCTTGGCAAGGTAAATGCTCTGTCCCCACCCAGGCCAGGAGGTCTGGAGGCAGAATCTCTTCTGGGAAAGCAAATTCTCTGGCAATTTTTATGAAGCAGACACCCGAAGAGGGAGGTTCAGGGGACATAAGAGACTTCCCTTCCACTCATTGTGCTATCCAGGATGGCTCTGGGCCTGAAAATTCAAATATAATATTGTATATCTCCTTAATTAAGAATTTATACATCACCTACTTCCAAAAGAGATCCAGGCCACAATATAACTTTGGCTTTGCTTGTAATTCTTCCAAAGAGCTTCATGGAGCCGTAGCTTCCATGGAGAGAGAAGTGGAGTGATGGGCCAGAGGCCATTGGCACGCGTGGCTTTCTGATTGGGGCACCACCTAAACCAAGATTTGCCTTCTAAAGTCGAAGACTTGCTTTCTTTCCCACTCTCCCAGAGGAAACTAAGAAAAAAGTGAAATGTAAGCACTGCTGCCGAAGCTGCCTTTGCCCCACGACCACCGTCTCGTCCCAGCTCATACCTCACGGGGTCAGATAGCTTCAGTCTTCCAGCGAGAGAAATCCTGGTGCCCCAGGCACCTGGGGAGAAGCTCACAGTTACTGTGGCTATTGTCGCTGTTGGTTTGAACTTTCTAATAAAACTGTATCTGTGGCCAGGCGCAGTGGCTCACGCCAGTAATCCCAGCACTTTGGGAGGCCGAGGCAGGCAGATCACTTGAGCTCAGGAGTTTGAGACCAGCTTGGCCAACATGGTGAAACCCTGTCTCTACTAAAAATACAAAAATTAGCTGGGTGTGTTGGCAGGCGCCTGTGATCCCAGCTATTAAGGAGGCTGAGGCAGAAGAATCGCTTGAACCTGGGAGGTGGAGGTTGCAGTGAGCCAAGATTGCACCACTGCACTCCAGCCTGGGTGACAGAGGAAGACTTCATCAGAAGAAAAAAACTGTGTTGGCATATACATATATATATATATCTGAATGTGTCCCCCAAGATTCATGTCTTGAAATGTAATGGCCAGTGTGGTAGTATTAAGAGGTGGGGCCTTTAGGAGGTGACTGCATCATGAGGCAGAGCCCTCACGGATGGGATTAGGGCCCTTAGAAAAGGGCTTGAGGGAACTATGTATATATAGCATATATATATATATATATATATATATACACAGTGGGTGTAATGGGTCCGGAGAGGGTGTCTGGACCCACCACCTCTCTGGTGTCCAGAGAGGGTGTCCTAGTCTATTCAGTCTGCCGTAACAAAATACCTAAGCCTGGGTTATTTATAAAGAACAGACTATTGTCTCACAGTTCTGGAGGCTGGAAAGTTCAAGGTCAAGGCGGCAGCAGGTTCTGTGTCTGGTGAGGGCCCAGTCTCTGCTTCTAAGATGGTGCCTGTTGCCGTGCCCTCCAGAGGGATGAATGCTGCATCCTTCCTCACGTGGCGGAAGGGACCGAAGGGGATGAACCCGCTCCCTCAAGTCCTTTTCTAAGGGCCCTAATCCCATCCGTGAGGGCTCTGCCTCATGACGCAGTCACCTCCTAAAGGCCCCACCTCTTAATACTACCACATTGGCCATTAAATTTCAAGACATGAATCTTGGGGGACACATTCAGATACAGTACAGGGCAACTGACAACCCCAAGGGCAATCCACAGGTAGGTGGAGAGGCGCCAAACAGGCCTGAAAGACAAAGGGCCTCACACTTCTTGGCTACCCCATTCAATCCGCAAGACACTGAGAGAAGGCGACATGGGGCCACGGAGAACAGGGACAGAGGCGCTGCCCTTCCCAGATGCAGGCGTTCAGCTCTGTCAGTCAGTCCCAGGAGGCGGGGTTAGTATGCCCACCTGTCAGTCATTCTCAGGCTGGTGGGGAGCCCCCTTCCTTATCTGGTTGTCCTTCCTTGGAGCCTGGCTGCCCCACTGCCTGACCTTAATTCTCAGGGAAACAGGGAACGGTCAGGGGCAGTGAGGGCCCACAGGAGCTTCAAGGCCGGGAACAGCCAGTGGCACAATTGGCTCAGGCTCCGGGGCATCCAGGCCAGGTAGCAGCCTGCAGGGGGACCTGCGGGACAGCGTTCAAGGGCTGCCCTTCCAAGACAAACCTCTTCCCTGGGACAAAGGACAGGGATGTCATTCCGCTTTCATTCACTCATATGTAGCTGGAGGTTGGAGGCCATGAGATTTTCCTGCCACCTTCTCTCTGGGCAAAAGATTTACTTGAGTGTGCCTCCTGGCCTATCCCCTGCTCTGAGCCCACAACTCCCCACCCCACGCCGGGCCCTGCTGTCCCTTGCTCCAGTCCTGCCCCAACTCTTCCCTAAGATGCCACATGTTTGGGACTCTGCTCAGCAACTAGCATGCAGGCACAGCACAAACAAGACACAGACCCCAGCTTTACTCCACAGTACTCCATCCTGTGACTGGCATCTGAATGGGGGAGCACGCTGCTGTCCTATCCAAGCCAAGGGCCATTGGCACAACATGTGTTGTGCAAACAAGCAGTTGTCATAGTTCAAGTAAAGACAATGGAGAGAGACCCACATCCCCGGTGGGCTGAGCCCAAGGGAGCTGGCACTAAAGTAGACACCATTAGACCATTAGACACCTCATTAAGCTCATGTTGTTCATTTGTGGGGTTTTTTGTTTGTTTTTTGTTTTTTGGGGTTTTTTTGTTTTTTTGTTTTTTTGAGACAGAGTCCCGCTCCGTCACCCAGGCTGGAGTGCAGTGGCGCGATCTTGGCTCACTGCAACCTCTGCCTCCCAGATTCAAGCCGTTCTCCTGTCTCAGCCTCCTGAGTTGCTGGGACTACAGGTGCATGCCACCACACCCAGCTAATTTTTTTTGTATTTTTAGTAGTGACAGGGCTTCACCATATTGGTCAGGCTGGTCTCAAACTCCTGACCTCGGGTGATCCACCCGCCTCAGCCTCCCAAAGTGCTGGGATTACAGGCCTGAGCCACTGCGCCCGGCCTCATTTGTGTTTTTTTTGTTTTGTTTTTTGTTTGTTCATTTGTTTTGAGACAGAGTCTCACTCTGTCACCCAGCCTGGAGTGCAGTGGCACAATCTTGGCTCACTGCAACCTCCGCCTCCCTGGTTCAAGTGATCCTCCTGCCTCAGCCTCCCAAGTAGCTGGGATTACAGGCACATGCCACAATGCCCTGCTAGTTTTTGTATTTTTAGTAGAGATGGGGTTTTGCCATGTTGGCCAGGCCTGGTCTTGAACTCCTGACCTCAGGCAATCTGCCCGCCTCGACCTCCCAAAATGCTGGGATTACAGGTGTGAGCCACGGTGCCTGGCCTAATTCTGTTCATTTGAATGCCATTCCTCTTTTCACGCTGTTTGTATTTAACTTGCAAATGGCTCTTGGTGGTATGATTCTATCACAGCTGTAAGCATAAGAGGGTTATGCCTGCTTGCAGGTGTTTATGTACTTAAGTAGCAGTATAATAAAAATCATTTAAACCAACACTAGGGGACCAAGAGAATCTTTCCCCCTAAAATGAGGGTGGAAAGTTGTCCTCCATTATTTGAGTTTGAGAATCATGTGATAAAACAATCAGCTTTGATGTGTCTACAGCCATTAAGTGACTTAATGAGGAGATGGCCCGGAAGAGGATTGAAAGCATGGGCTGCTCGGTGTGAGCCCACACTCCTCTGTGAGCTCTGACCTGAGGAAAGGGACTTGGCCTCTCTGAGCCAGGTTTCACATCTGAAAACTGGGGTCAGGGCCTCTGTCCGGGCCAGCTGTCACTCATGTGTCTGCGGCAGAAGCCTGATAGGTGGTGGGTGTTCCCTCTCCTCTGGGGTTACTCGGTCCAGGCTCCTCTGACAGGCACAGCCTTGACCCATGAAAAGCCCTTCTCCAGAGGGATGCCAGGCCCCATATCAGGCAGGACAGAAGAAAGTTTTGTTGGGGGCCTGGGGAAGTGGCCCCCAAGACCCTCCAGGGCCAGCCTCCCGTTTGGCTGTGGGGCAAGAATTCCAGCACCCAACAGTCTCAAATCCAAGCCAAAGCATGGCCTCAGATCTACCACGTCCTCAACACTACCACGGGGGACTTGCTCACCCCTCACTCCAGGGCCAGCTCAGGTGGGGGCAAGCAGAGGGTGACCAGCAGGTGTAGCCTGAGAGCCGAGGCCAGCAGGAGGTACAGACGGAGTTTGAAAGCGTCAGAGCCCATCTGGCTGAGGGAGTCACATGTGCAACTCAGAGCACCCCGGGCCTCCTGACCTGAGCAGGGGTCAGCAGGTGCCCATGCCAGACCCAGGTCCTCTGTCCCGGCCGCCGTGCCTGGCAGCCGCTGATGAGCCCAGCGTGAGGCCGGTGAGCTGGGCCAGGTGGGGAGGTGGCGCGGGCCAGGCAGGGAGACTGGGAAAGGAGGGCTTCGGGCGTCTCCGTGACGAGCTGTGGTTGCAGGCTGGCCTGGCTCCCAGCGTGGCCCCCCAAATCACGGGCCTCCCAGCTCACCCTGGACACTGGGGCACCGGGCCCAGAGTCCACCCAGCAGGGGCCAGGAGGATTTACTGACAAGGCGAAGGTCTGATTTATTTTTACTTTTCAGGGTTGCCCCCACCAAAATGAAGGCTGCTATTAAACCCGCAGCCACTAAAAATAAATATTTAAACGCCACATTTGTGCAGCTGAGCCAGGCTGGGCGCGCCTTACAGGCATGCCATTTCCTCGGGTGGCTGGGACAATGACACCCTCGCACGTCCGGGAGCCGCAGCCCTGAAGGGGCCGGGCCTCAGCCCAGTGAGAGGACAAATCCTGCTGTCCAAGAACATCTTTATTCCCCAGTATCTGGGGAAAGCAGCAACTGGCTAGAGGAGGGGACAGAAGGAGACCGAGAAAGGAGAAGCGTCTCCAGGGAGTCCTCCCCTCACGAGGGCGCCAGCAGCCCCGAGACGCCCCACGGCCCGGCCTGGCTGCCTCACTCCAGCTGTGCGGGTCCTGCCGAGACACAAGACAACACGGCCCTGGACACAGCGAGGTCAGAAACCAGACGCAGCAGGGACTGCGCGGGCTGGGAAGGCTGGGCCCTCCAGCTGGGAGAGGGTTGCCTGGAGAGAAGGAAGTCCCCAGGCTGCCAGCGACCTGCTGCTCCTTCCCAAGCCCAGGATTTCCCAAAGCAGCTTTTCCCTTCCAGACGCTGGGGTGCAGGGCCCAAGACTTCCCAAAACAGCTTTTCCCATCCAGAGGCTGGGGTGTAGGGCCCATGACGGTTCTGCTTTAGTGTCGGGGATGAAAGAGAGGGAAAAAGGGCTGGGAGAGAAACAGAGAAACAGAAAGAAAGAAACAGACAGAAGACACAGAGACACAGAGAGAGGAAAGAGACAGAGACAGAAAGAGAGCAGAGAGAGACAGACACAGAGAGAGAGAGGCCCGGGGAAGAGAGACACACAGAGAGAGAAAAGAAATAAAAAGCAGGGGTGTGGAGTGGGGCGCTTAGCGACAGAGGAAGAGGAAAGAGGGGGAAAGAGACCTTGCTCACGGTGTACAGGGCTAGTCAGGGAGCGAGAGTGGCGGGCAGACCCTGCCCGGACCGCTGGACCCCTGAGCCTCCCCCTGCAGAGCAGCCTCCCTTACCATGTGGGAATGGAGCCCCCAGCCACCAAGGACCCTGGTGGACCAGACGTGGTCTGGTTGAGGACATCCTGGGTGACCAGAGTCATCCAGACCTTCCAGGTGGGACTGAAGAAGCTGCTGCTCGCCAGGGACCTGTAACTTGGGGTGCACTTGGAAATAAGGTTTTCGATATTTTGTGAATAGCACAAGTGTTCTCCCCCTGTATTTTCATTAAAGCACTATCAGTTAGTTAAATGTGCATCTCAATGCTTGTCATCCTGTTTTGTCTGTCTCTGGCTTTCTTTTTTCATATACTAAAAACCTCAAAAACCAAAAGTGGCCAGGCCCCCGTCCACCCGCGGCTCACTGGGTAGGCTGATGTGGCTCTCTAAGTGCCCTGGCTAAGTGCTCTCTGACCTAAACAGATCCCAGGTCCTAGAGCAGCCCCTGGGGAAGCCCTGCACCTCACAATGTTGACACCTTTGAACTCTGTTGCCACTTAAAAGTCACTGGAACCTGGGACCCTGAACACCAGGGGGCCAGGGGAGTCAGCCGGCGGCAGCCCATGGCAAGGCCACCAAGCTGGGGCTGGGCAGCTGGGAAGGAGGGGCTCTGAGGCAGGTGCTCAGCCCACCTGGGAGGGCTGGCGGAGGTTCCTGAGGTAGCACCAGCTTTGGGCAGCAAAAGCCGGTAGCACTGAGACACTCCGGGGGACACGTATCACCAAGGCCCATCCTGCCCCTGACCTAGCTGGGCGTTATTATGGAAGGTATCTCCTTTTCTGTCCTCTCCCACCCTCTGAAAATATCTTCAGAGAATCAGTATGAAGAGAAATAGTTCCCCTCACTATTCCATAATACAGCCCTTTTACATATTTTATCCCATCTGATGTTCACAACAGCCCCACCCTCACTCCCATTGCTTGGGTCTCTGTGCTGCTTCTCAAACACCCCAAGTCCTTTTCTGCCCCAGGACATTTGCACGTGCTCTTCCTCTTGATATTAATACTCTTCCCCATGTCTCATTCCCTCTCTTCATTCAGGCCTCTATTAAATGTCCTCTTCTCTGAAGATGCTTACTTTACAACCATGTGTGACTATCCAGGAAAATTCTCCTGTTCTTAGGAAACACTCTGGCATGTTCAGAGATTGCAGTGAATTAAAATGTCAGAGATTCTTTGCAGATTCCTTCCATCTTCTCCCATCAAGAGGCACAGGCTAGTTCCCCACCCCTCTAATCTGGCCAAGCCTTGCAACTTGCTGTGACTCATAAAGAGTGGCACAAGAGACACCATGTGACTCCAAATAAGGCCTTAAGGGGCCTTCCATCTTCGCTTTTGTCCCTCTGGAACTCCGGTCCCTGTGAGAAGCCCGAGCCAGCCTGCCGGAGGGGCACATGGAGGAGAACCAAGGCCCCCAGGCCAACTGCCCCAGCTAAGTGCTGGGGACGTGAGGAGGACAGTTGGGACCCGTCACAAAGTTTAGAGTGATTTTTAGGAAGGAATGTCAAACTGTAACAAGAGGGAAGAACAAAGGCCTGCCACTTAAATTTTTGAAAATAAGAAGTTGAGGGAAAACAGAAATAAAACTTCAAGTAGCTACATCTATGGTCAATTGATTTGCAAGAAGTGTGTCAAGATAAGTTGATGGGGAAAGAATCATCTTTTCAAAAAATGGTGCTGAAACAAAAGGATGGATTTGGACTACTGTCTCACACGACATTAAAAAATTTACTCAAAATGGATCAAAGACTTAAATGTAAGAGCTAAAACTTAAAAACATCTCAGAAGCAAACAGACGTCAATCTCCTTGACCTTGGATTAGGCAATGGTTTCTTTAGATTAGATACCATCAGCAACAAAAGAAAGCAAACCACCAAGAAAGTGAAAGAACGATACAAATAATGAGACAAAATACTTGGAAATAATGTATCTGATGAAGACTTCCTTCTAGGATGTATAAAGAATTCTTAAAACTCAGTAATAAAAAGACAAAATAACCCAATTCAAAAATGACTGAAGGAATTGAATAGACATTTCTCCAAAGAAGACATACAAAAATGGCCAATAATCACATCAAAAGTCATTGGAAAGGCAAATCAAAACCACAGAGGCTGGGTGCAGTGATTCATGCCTGTAATCCCAGCACTTTGGGAGGCCAAGGCGGGCAGATCACTTGAGGTCAGGAGTTCGAGACCAGCCTGGCCAACATGGCGAGAGCCCATCTCTACAAAAAAATACAAAAAAATTAGTTGAATGTGGTGGCAGGTGCCTGTAGTCCAAGCTACTCAGGAGGTTGAGGCAGGAGAATCGCTTGAACCTGGGAGTGGGGGGATTGCAATGAGCCAAGATTGCACCACTGCACACCAGCCTGGGTGACAGAGCAGAACTCTGTCTCTGGGAAAAAAAAAAAAAAAAAAAGGAACCGCAGTGAGAGACCATTTCACACCTACTAGAATGACTCTAATTTTTAAAGGGCAGCTAAGCGTTAGTGAGGATGTGGAGAAATTGCTGGGACTGGATATACACTCACAAAAGGACGAATCCCTTGGCGGTTGTTCAAAACGTTAAACATAGTTTCCACATGACCAGCAATTCCACTCGTAGGTCTATGCCCAGGAAAAATGAAAACCTCCATTCACACAAAATCTTCTACATGAATCTTCATGGGAGCATGATTCACAATGGCCAAAAGGTGACAATAACCCAAATGCCTAGCAGCTGACGAATGGAGAAGAAAATCTGGTATAGCCATACAAGGGAATATGATTCAGGAAGGAAAGCAAAAGGAAGGGAATTCTGACATGCTACAATATGGAAGAACCTTGAAAACATTACGCTAAGGGAAAGAAACCAAATGCAGAAGTCACCTATTATATGATTTCACTTCTATTAAATTCTGAGAATAGGCAAATCCATGAAGACATAGACTAGTGGCTGCCCAGGGCTGAGGGAAGTGAAGAGTGACTGCTCGTGGTATGGGGTTTATTTTTCAGGTGACAAAGATATTCTAGAATTAGATAGCAGTGAAAGCTGTACAACCTTGTGAGTACGGTTAAAGGAAAAAGAAAAAGCAAACACTGAATTGTATACTTTAAAACAGTGAATTTTATGGTATATCAATTATATTTCAGTAAATGAGACAAAACATCTGCAAAAGATAAAACTTGGGCAACTACTATATTTTCTCTAATATTTAATTTTCTTGATTTGTTCCTTAGTTTTAAATTAATAATTTAAAAAGAACATGTTTCCAATTTTAAATATATCATTCCAATGTAGTAAAATATTTCATATATGAACTAAAATGTCCCCTCACCTTGCAGTTTGTGCTCTTGTACTGTTTTTTGGGGTTGTTAGTTTGTTTTTGAGACTGAGTCTCACACTGTCACCCAGGCTGGAGTGCAGTGGCGCGATCTCGGCTCACTGCAACCTCTGCCTCCTGAGTTCAAGGGATTCTCCTGCCTCAGACTCCCGAGTAGCTGGGATTACAGGCGGCTGCCACCACGCCCAGCTAATTTTTTGTATTTTTAGTAGAGACAGGGTTTCACCATGTTGGTCTGGCTGGTCTTGAACTCCTGACCTTGTGATCCGCCCACTTCGGCCTTCCAAAGTGCTGGGATTACCGGCAGGCATGAGCCACCGCTCCTGGCCTCTTATACTGTTTTAAATGTTAAACACAAACAAGACTTCAATGGTCACACAGAATACAGAATTGAAGTAACTTAAGTTCCGAATCTTCCTCTTTCCGATCACTGTGCTATTGTTGCTTCGTCAAATCTGCTGTTTAAATGTAGGAATTCACAGCACCCTGGGGCACTGGAGACGTGAATGATGTCCAAAGTGGCTTCAGACGGCTCACAACTTACTTTTGAAAAGCACATTTCTGGACCGACTTTATACCTGGGAGTTCTGAAATTAACTTTCACTTGGAATACAAAGCTTATCAAAGGATAATAAATAAAATCATGTTGATTTGAAGTATATATATATATACATAAACCCTCACAATTGTTTAGAATTTAGATCAACAAAATATTTTCCCTGGCAGGAGTATTTAATCATGCCTGGTAATTAGAAAAACAAACAACAGCAACAAAAACACCAGTCGTCTGACTTAGTAGATTTTATTATTGTGACTTCAGTGACAGTGTGTCACCTCGCTGCCTGAACCCAGGCCCACAGCTCCCACTACCCCGCCCTCACTTTCTATTTCCCTAGCGCTTTGAAGATTCCATTTTACCCACCGCAGGAGAACATTATGAGGCTAGGTAATATAATCCCCATTTGACAGATGAGAAAGCAGGGGGCCCAGAGAGGCTTATCCAAGGGCCAGCAGGAGGGGACAGAGCCTAGAAGCTGGTTCTGCAGGGCTCAGCTCCCACTTCTCAGGGCACAGTCCCGACTAGCCCCTCTTATTAGTGACCGTGGGTGGGTCTACTCCCCACAGTTCCGGCTGCCAGACTTACCCAGGCTGTGCCTCATCCTCGCAGTACCTACCTGCTCTCAGCTTGGAAAGAACCTGGAAATTCATTCACACCCAGGTTCTGAGGGCTGCTAACAGGCTTCTTTCCCAAGAGGTAATTGCCTTTATCAAAGAGGGTGCTCTTTAATGAGCTGAAAGAATGCCTCTGCAAGTCGGGCCTCCTCCCTAGGCTGCTGGGATCACTGGTACACATCTGTTCTCCCCCATCTCACCTCAGGAGTAGTTTGCTCCCCAGGGAGGAGCCCTGCCTGAGAGTAAATCCAAAGAGACGTCCCACAGTTAACTCAGCCTCAAAAGCATTTGGAGTTGCAAACTAAATGACATAGTCTCATGACTTGTGTCTGATTCTGTGGATCTAAGAAAATCCAGTTTCTCCCTAACTAACGCCAGCATCCTACAGCCTAGCCTCTGCCTGGTGAACACAGACAGCCTTGCCGGGGCCTGGCAGAAGGAGTGCTAAGAGGACAGGGCCTCACAGACCCTAGAAGTGGGTCTCACCCTTCTCAGCTCACTCAGATGCTTTGTCTCCAGAGTTCTCAGATTTACAAAGCTTAATGAGTGCCAATTTACTCATTATTGTCCTCCCAGGCCTCACAACGCATTAAAATCCTTCTGCACAGACAGATTAGGAGACAAGCCTAAGGAAAACGTACATCTGCTTTAAAAAAAAAAAAATGCAGTTTCAGGTTCCACTTTACATCAGCCAGGGTTTAGTTACAGGAAACAGAAACCACTCTAACAATTTTAAGCAAAAAGGGGTTTAGACAGGAAATTAGGGGCTTACCGTTTTATTGAGAGGCATGGGCCAGGCCTATTGGCGTGGTGCCCGGAAAAAGGCCTGGGGACCAGCCGGCTGGGCTCTGCTAGCCTGACTCCACTCAGCCAGGTGGGGGTCGGGAGGCTCCCAGTGCTGTACCATACCTGCCTCTTGACCCCACAAAGGGACTGAATGGACCCTGGAACGCTGCCACAGGAAAAACAACCACCACAACTTTGCTCGCCAGCAGAAACGGCCAAAAGCAGCAGGAGGAGAGTCTTGGCCTCTGAATCATAGTGGTGTGCGAAGAATTGGCAGGACTATGGATGTGCTGGAGCTGGCTCAGCCTAGTGACAGCCAACGGTGCACGGCAATTCCAATTCCAGGTCCAGGGACACCAGGGGATAGCAAGATTGAAATTGACCACAGTGGATATATTTACACCATGGAAATCAGCAAGCACTAACAGCCGGGTTGCTTTTGTTTTGTGTTGTTTTTTTGTTTTTTTTTGAGAGCTGGTTGTTAAACATTGACCACCGGGCATAACCCATTTCACATTTAGAACTCTAGCGGCAAGGGAAGCGGGAAAAGCAGTGGCTCACCTTCCAGCCTTTGAAGGAACAGCGAGGAGAGCACACAGAATGCTAGCTGCCAAGCCGTCCTCCATGACACACACTCCTAGGAATGTACCCTGCAGTAAATTTGCACATGTGTGAGGGATGAATGGCTGCTGATGCTGCACTTTGCTAGTAATTACGTGGAAGCAACATTTCTTAACGCAATTGCTCTTGAGCATATGTGAAGTTTATTAACCCTGGAGCTAGGGAATTGGCAAGGGGACAGAAGAGTGGGTTGGTTCAAAGATGGCTTGGAAATTGTTGATTTGTATCTACAGGGGGGAAAGAATGCTTGCATAAGCAGCTAATTAAGAAGAGGCAGCTAATAAGGTCAAGCTTACAGTTTCATTTAACATGATCGTTAAAACGTCATTTCCCTATCGGCTGGAACAAGCGAGGTTTGAGGCACAGTAATCTTGGGGGTGATTTCTAGAGAGGCCAACCTTTCATCCGAAATAATAAGAAACACATCCAAGGTGCACTTCATCTGTGGCTCTTAATTAGACAAAGCTACACGGTTTTGTGCCCCAGCTGAGCTGGACGAGAGCCCGTCAGCTCCAAGGCAGCAAGCATTGTCAAGCAGAGGTCACAGCAAAGCGCCAGGCAAGCAGGGTCTGCACTGGCCTCTGGGCTGCTCAAGCTTCTGGTTCTAAGGGACTGAATGTGCAGGTCGCCCAGCCCTCCGTATTGTTTTTATTTGACAATAGCCAAATATGGCAACAAGTTGCTATGCACTGAATTGTGTCCTCTCTAAATCCATATGTTGAAGCCTGAATCCTGCAGTGTGACAGTATTTGCAGATAGGGCTATTAGGAGGCAATCAGGGTTAGATGAGATCAGAAGGAGGTGGCCCTGATTCTCTAGGGCTGGTTTCCTCTTAAAAACAGGGAGAGATGCTGGGTGCAGTGGCTTGCACCTGTAATCCCAGCACTTTGGGAGGCCTAGGTGGGCAGATCACAAGGTCAAGAGATCGAGACCATCCTGGCCAACATGGTGAAACCCCATCTCTACTAACAAAAATTAGCTGGGTGTGGTGGCACATGCCTGTAATCCCAGCTACTTGGGAGGCTGAGGCAGGAGAATCGCTTGAACCTGGGAGGCAGAGGTCGCAGTGAGCCAAGATCGCACCACTGTACTCCAGCCTGGTGACAGAGCCAGACTCTGTTTCAAAAAAAAAAAAAAAAATAGGGAGAGACACCAGAGTGTTCCCTCTCTGCCTTTGAGGCTACAGCAAGAAGGCAGCCACCTATGAGCCAGGAAGAGAGCTCTCACCAGGAAACAGCTCTGATGGCACCTTGATCTTGGACTTCCAGCCTCCAGAACTGTGAGAAAATCAATGTCTGTTGTTTAAGCACCCCAGTTGGTGATATCTGTTAACAGCAGCCGGAGCTGACTAGCATACAAGCTAAATGTCCATTCATAGGGAACTGGTTGGAGTAAAGAGACAAGTCACAGAATGGAAGAAAATTTTGTAAATAATATATCTGATATGGGATTAATATCCAGGATATATGGAGAACTCCTGAAACTCAACAACAACAACAAACAACAAAACCCAATTTGAAAATGGGCAAAGGATTGAATAGATGTTTCCCCAAAGAAGATGGCCAACAAACACAGGAAAAGATGTTTAACTCACTAATCATTAGGGAAATGCAAATCAAAACTACGAGATACCACTGCTTACCCATTATGAGGGCTACTATTTAAAAAAAAAAACAGACAATAGCAAGTGTTGGCAAGGATGTGAAGAAATTGGAATTCTTGTGATGCTGGGAATGTAAGATGTTGCCGCTGTGTGGAAAATAGTACAGCAGTTCCTCAGAAAGTTAAAAATTGAATTACAATATGATCTAACAGTTTCACTTCTGGGTCTGTAGCCGAAAGAACGGAAAGCAGCATCTCAAAGAGAAATTTGTACACCAATGTTCATAGAAATGTTATTCACAACAGCTAAAATGTGGAAGCAAGCTGAGCATGCATGGATGAATGAATGGATAAAGAACATGGTAAATACAGACAATGAATATTACTCAGCCTTCAAAAGGAACAAAAGTCTGAGACACATTGCAGGAGGCATGAACCTTGAAGACATAATGCCGAGTGAAATAAGAAAGGACTGTGTGATTCCACTTGGATGAGATAACTGGAGGAGTCAAAATCATAGAGACAGAAGGAACAGTGGTTGCCAGGGGCTGGGCAAGGGAAGAGCGGTATGGGGAGTTAGTATTTAATGTGCACAGAGTTTTGATTTTATAGGATGAGAGTTCTGTGGAGGGGCTGGGCAAGGGAAGAGCGGCATGGGGAGTTAGTATTTAATGCGTACAGAGTTTTGATTTTATAGGATGAGAGTTCTGTGGAGGGGCTGGGCAAGGGAAGAGCGGCATGGGGAGTTAGTATTTAATGTGCACAGAGTTTTGATTTCATAGGATGAGAGTTCTGTGGAGGGGCTGGGCAAGGGAAGAGCGGCATGGGGAGTTAGTATTTAATGCGCACAGAGTTTTGATTTCATAGGATGAGAGTTCTGTGGAGGGGCTGGGCAAGGGAAGAGCGGCATGGGGAGTTAGTATTTAATGCGTACAGAGTTTTGATTTTATAGGATGAGAGTTCTGTGGAGGGGCTGGGCAAGGGAAGAGCGGCATGGGGAGTTAGTATTTAATGCGTACAGAGTTTTGATTTCATAGGATGAGAGTTCTGTGGAGGGGCTGGGCAAGGGAAGAGCGGCATGGGGAGTTAGTATTTAATGCGCACAGAGTTTTGATTTCATAGGATGAGAGTTCTGTGGATGAATAGTGGTGATGGTTGCACAACAGTGGGAATGTACTTAATATCACTGAACTGCACACCTAAAAAGGGTTGATATGTGATATGGTTTGGACTTGTGTCCCCGCCCAAATCTCATGTCAAATTGTAATCCCCAGTGTTTGAGGAGGGACCTGGTGGAAGGTGACTGGATCACGGGGGTGGATTCCCCCCTTGCTGTTCTTGTGACAGTGAGTTCTCACAAGACCTGGTTGTTTAAAAGTGTGTGACACCTCCCCCTTCACTCTCTTCCTCCTGCTCCAGCCACGTAAGACGTACCTCCTTCCTCTTTACCTGCTGCGATGATTGTAAGTTTCCTGAGGTCTCCCCAGCCATGCTTCCTGTACAGCCTGCAGAACCAGGAGCCAATTAAACCTCTTTTCTTTATAAGTAACCCAGTCTCAGGTACTTCTTTATAGCAATGCGAAAATGGACTAATACGATATGGTAAATTTTATGCTGTGTGTATTTTACCACAGTAAAATTTTTTTAATAGAGAGCTGGTTAAATATAGTGCATCTATCCAGGGCCTCATTGAATACCATGTGAAAGGTACTGCCTAGAGTTGTGCAAACAGCAGTATTGACTCCGATGATGAAATACCATGCCACCATTAACACAAAAGAGGTAGCTCTATATGCATAAGGAATGAGCTCTATAACATGTTAAGCCAAAAGAAAAGAAAGGAACAAATCATTATGTATAGTATGCTGCCATTCAGGTTAAAAGTGGTAAAAGGAGTCTATAAATGTATTTGCCTGACTAAGCAAAAATATCTCCCGAAAGATACTCAAGAAAATGGCCCCACTGGTTTTCTCCAGGAAAGAGTCACTAGACGCAGGAGCAGGAAAGGAGATTTTTACCAGATGCTTTTTGGTTCATTTTAAATTTTGTACTAATATACAACTATTGCCAACTCAAAAATATTTAATTTTTAAAAGATCGTTGCAGGAGTGAAAATACACCAGCCGTTGAAGCGTGTATGCGGCCCTGGAGACCGTGGGTTGGAGCGGATGCCTTAGGTATCTGCTTCGCTGTAGGGACTAACACCGGACTTCAGGGCTCGCAGGGGGCTGGAGTCCTGGGTCTTACCTTGAGTGAGTCACTGACCCCTCTGGCCTCCCCTCTGCCCTCAGGTTCCTCATCTGTGGCCACCCTGCGACAGGAATAGACGTAGCCTATGCATCTACAGATCTAGGCGTGAGGTGGGCCTCTCCTCCTAGGCAAGGCAGGGGCTCAGGTGCTCACTGCAGCATAGTGCAGTTCTGCTTCCGAAGCCAACACATCTGCCAGTCTCCACCAAGGCACCCCAGGAAAAGCTACCTCCATCCTCACATGGGGAGCAGTCTGGTCAGGGACGCCAAGTGGTCCGTGGGCTCTGGAGGCCTGGCTGGAGTCCTGCCCATTCCCCACCATCGGTGGCCATGTCAGATCCTGGCCCAAGGGACAAGCCTGGTGCACTCTGAGTGGCACTGTGGGGACTGGAGAGGGTGTGGCCTATAGGGCCGGTGGCACAGGACCTCGCAGAGCTCAGAGATGCTGACCTGGGCTCTTTCCTGAGGCCTAGCTCCAGCCCAGAGAGGCCACCAGAACTGCTTCACGGCATCCGATGACTGAAATGTTCCTACCTGAAGGCTGGTTCAAAGAAACAGCTGACTCCGCAGTTAGACGTGGGCCAGGTCTCCACGGAGCATGCGTGCTTGGCTGTCCCTGCTCGGCCCAGGGGCAAGGCCTGCTCTGCTGCAGCCCTCTCTGGCCCCCTTTTCCCTTCCTCCCATCCTTCCCCACCAGGAACCTTCCCTTCCCCCACAGGCCTCCACTCCACACTCGAGGGGAGCACCTTTGCTCACACCCTCTGTAGCTGTCTGCGGAGTGGAGCAGGAGGAAAGGGACCGCCACGTGCTCACTGTCGCCTGTTCGAGGAGATGCGTCCACTCTGGCCTTTCCCCTGCACTGGGCATGTCACTGTCACCTAACCACTGCCCCTCTTGTGGAGGGACTTGTGAGGTCCACTGTCCCGGGGAGCAGGGTCTGAGAGCAGAGCTGGGCACCCCACCTCTCTCATCCAAGCACCTTCTCCTCAAACTCCCCTTGAGGCGGGGTGAGGGGATGAGGTCACAGCTTCTGGGACCTGGCTGACCGGACCACCCCCTCCACAGCAAGAAGCGAGGGGGCCGTGGTTCCTCACCTGCACCATGCGCCAGGCCTGCCAGCTCCTCTCCCACCTCGCCTAGCCCCCACCCTCATGAGGGGAACAATAAGGACACGGAGACTCAGCGACATGAGTCCAAGTGACATGAGGACCACAGACCCCCCACACCTGCAGCTGACATAGGGAGTGACCATTCACATTCCAGAATTCCAGAAACCCCAAACTTGGTCATTGTCACCTGGGAAAAGGCTCTGGCCAGCCCCACAGGCCCCTTCAGGGCCAGGCCAGCCATGGGGGGCTGTGTGAGAAAGCAGCGGGTCAGCCTCTGCCCATGCCTCCCTGGTTGGCCAGCAGCAACTCTTCTATACATGAAAGAGTCTCCATCTGCTCTTGAAAAAGTCTCCCTGTCACCCACGTTTCCACTCCTGACCTCTGACCCTCCTGCACCCCAGTCCCATGCTCCTTTGCCAGGCCCCGGATGCTTGAGAGGACCCCAGGGTCTGAGGACCTGGGTCTGGCCGGGGCACAGCTGCCAGGTGCCTCTGACACCTCCTGTCTGTCAGGGCCACTCTCAGCCGTATGTTCCTAATTCCCTGACGCTCAGCTCCATATAAGCCATGAGGCGGGAGGGGCGGCTCCACTGCTGAGCAACTGCAGTCCCCCAGGTGGCCGTGGCTGGAACCACGAGGGGCTGCAGCTCAGGCGTGGCCTGGCCCCAGGAAGTTCCTGCCAGGTGGTCCAGAGCCGGCCAGGAGCCAGGAATGGCCTGCAGGGCTGGGGCTGAAAGCCCTTCTGCAGGCTTGATGCTCCTGGAACCTGGCCTTGAAAGGTCCCAGCAGGATCCCTCCTCAGAGACGGTACTGCCTAAGGCCCCTTTAAGCAAATCCAGCAGACAAAGCCATTTCCTGGAGAGCCAGGCAGGTGGAGCTAGGCCCCGTGTCACAGCCTTTAAACCAGGCTTCTCCGTGGGGCAATCATTTCCTTCCCGGCTCTCACCTGCAGCCTCCCGCTGTCCAGGATATTTGTGCCAAAGATGGCTATCGGAAGGCATGGCCTAAGGTGTGATCAAGGGGTGAGGTGCATCCCTTTGGGCTGAATTATTTTTTAACCAAATTTATTGCTATATTTTGTATGCAGTTAAATTCACCCTTTTGGGGTATGCAATGTGATGAATTTTGACAAATGTACACTTTCATGTAAGCACCACCATCAAGCTAAAGAATACTCCCACCACCTCAAAAGGTTTCCCCATGTCCCTTTTGGTCAATATCCATCCCTCACCCCAAGACCTGGCAACTACTGATCTCTTGTCCATCCCTACAGCTTTGCTTTTTCCAGGTTGTCATATAATTGAAATCATATATGTAGGCTTTTGGGTCTGGCTTCTGTGACTTGAGTTTAATCTATGCTGTTGAATAAATCAGGCATTCATTCCCTGTATTGCTCAGTAATATTCCATGGCATGGATGTTCCACAGTCTGCTTATCGATTCACTAGTTGATGGACAGTTGGGTTGTTTTTATTTTTCAACTGTTATGAATAGCGCTGCTATCAACATTCATGTACAAGGTTTTATGTAGACACATGTTCTCATTTCTCTTGGATAAATACCTAGGAGAGGGATTGCTGGTTATATGGTAGGTATAGTTCAACTTTGTGAAAAGAAACAGCCAGACTGTTTTCTAAATGCTCGTACCATTTTACGTCCCACCGCAATGTAAGGTAGTTCCTCTCCAGCACTTAGTGTTGTCGGTCTTTTCAATTTTAGCTTTTATTTATTTTATTATTATTTTTTCTTAGTTGGAGTTTCACATTTTCACTAAAAAAGTGTTCACTCCAACACTTTTTTAGTTGGAGTGGGCAATTCACTCCAGCCATTGCCCAGGCTGGAGTGCAATGGCATGATCTTGGCTCACTGCAACCTCCATCTCCCGGGTTCAAGCAGTCCTACTGCCTCCGCCTCCAAAGTAGCTGGGATTACAGGCATGTGCCAACATGCCCGGCTAATTTTGTATTTTTGGTAGAGATGGGGTTTCACCATGTTGGTCAGGCTGGTCTCGAACTCCTGACCTCATGTGATCCACCTGCCTCGGCCTCCCAAAGTGCTGGGATTACAGGCATGAACCACCGCACCCGGCCAATTTCAGCTATTTCAATAGATGCATGGTGGCACCTTATCATGGATTTGATTTGCATTACCCTAGTGATTAATAATGGGAAGCACCTTTTCACATGCCTGTTATGTGTCTGTATATCTGCTTTGGTGAAGTGTCTATTCATTTCTTTCCATCCCTTTCTTTAACAGGCTTGTAATTGCTTTGAAACATGTGTCTTGAACATAGCTCTGACCACTGACTGAGGAAGATCCTGTTCATTCAGCAGTGGCTCTCAGCTCTTACATGGGACTGTTTACAAGTCATGCCCCCTCCTGACCCCTAGACTCACTTCAGAGGCTGCACTAAAGTGAAAGCCACAGACCAGACAAGGGGAAGCCCTACCTTGGGCGGCAAGCCGGACAAGCCACGGCGCCCCCCTGCACTTCCGGTGGGTAACTCCCATGGGCGCCCAGAGAGAAAAGATGTGTGAGTCCGGAGAGGCACCTGAGAGGGTAAAATAATAGTTCAGCCACATATCTGTCAGTGATGGGCATACGTTCTGAGAAAGGATGCGTTGTTAGGCAATTTTGTCATTGTGTGAACATCCTCGTGCGTTCTTACACAAGCCTAGGTGGTACAGCCGACCATATGGGACAGCCTGCTGCTCCTGGGCTACAAACCTGCACAGCATGTTACTGTACTGAGTACCATAGGCGACTATAACATGCTGGGAAGCAGGTGTGTATCTAAACATATCTGAACATAGGAAGGGCACGGTAAAAATATGGTATTTTAATCTTATGGGACACAATTGTGTATGCAGTCCGTCATTGACCAAAACATCATTATGCGGTGCACGGTTGTACCCAGTTAAGATAAACCAGAAAATACACGTAAAGCACTCAGTCAGTGCCAAGGAAACAGTAAGCACTCATTAAACATTAGGTACTGTCATTATTACAATCTCATCATTCCCAAGCTGATAAAAATCGTCTTCAGTTGGGAACATGATGTCCACACCCAGAAACAGCCCCTGCAGTGGAGACCCAGGCACAGCTTCAAGAGGGTCTACAGGGTGTCACAAGCCCCCGAGGTCCCTCCATCCCTGTGAAGATGAGCTCAGCTCCTACCTGCTGCCCAGGCAGAACTCTGTGGGTTTCTGCTGGCATCACCAGATGTCCCCTGCCCTCTCTTTTCTAGCAGCCCCCGGCAGTCTTGCATCTCACATGCACACAGGTACACCCCTTCATGCCTTTTGTTCCCCCATCAAGGACACCTCATCCCCCCACCCTCCGCTTCCAGGACGAGGTCTCCGCCACTCCCATTCCTCTGAACCTCTACAACCAATATCTCCTGAACAGTGACTATGGGAGAGGATTGTATGAGCAGAGACCAATTCCCACGTATTTGAGGAGTGGGGAGCTGGCACCAGGCAGTGCACTCAGGAAGGCATCCAGAGAGAGAGGAGCTGGGACAATGGAAAGGGCTCACAGAACTGCTAAGCAAGGACTCGCGTTTCACTCTAGGCCAATAGGAGGCACTGAAGGTTGTGGACATGAGAAAATGTGATCAGGAAGCCAAGCAGAGGTATGGCCAGGAGAAGGGCAACCGGAGCCTGGGTGGGGTGTGGAAAGAACGAGGGTTCAGGAGAAGTCGCTCCTTGCTGTGCAACGGTGGACAATTCCCCAAGGCTCTCCAAGCCTTGATTTTCTCCTCTGTGAAATGGGCTAACAATAACAAGCCAGCCTGCCTCTGAGAGGAGCTGGGGTCAGGTAGCTCAGAGGAGTGGACATCCTCCAAAACCAAGAACATGACATCACAGGTTGTGCTTTTGCACGGGTGGGTGTGGCAGGCAACACGGTGGGACTGAGGTAGACCACATGGATGTGATGGGGACTGAGCAGGGAGGGACATCTAACATCCAGGCACATGCAGCACCTTCTTCATAAGCCTGTGTTCCGGGGGCCGCTTCCCCTTCCACACGCACACACAGCCAACTAACAGATCTGCCTTCTAAGTCCACAAGTAACTACGAGGAAAGACCAAGCCATGCGCACACCCCGCACTCTGCTCCTGCCCCACCACCCTAACAGTGTGGGCAGGGCCCTTCCTGTTCCGCCAGGTTTACGAGGACAGACCAAGCCACGCGCACACCCCGCACTCTGCTCCTGCCTCACCACCCTAACAGTGTGGGCAGGGCCTTTCCTGTTCTGCCATGATTAGCACACATACACTCGACACCTTGCGTGTGTGTGTGTGGGTGTCTGTGTTGTGTGCACTTGTGTGTGTGTTGCATGCATGTGTTGCATGTGTCTTGTATGCAGGTGCATGTATGTGCATGTGTGAATGGTTTCGTAGCATAGTGTTGTTCTGACTTGCTTTAACACCAGGACTTGGGGACCTTGGCTTCAGGACATCCTCTGTGGGCAGCGCAGAATTGCAGAGTCACCAGCTGCTGCACAGTGTCTGCGTTATCTCAGACCTCACTTAGCCAAAGAAAGGCAAGGAACAATAGTGACATTTCTGAAGTGTGGTTATTTCATAAACTGCAGAGTTGGCAGGGCTGTTGATCTGTGCATGCCAGATTTTCCAGGTGAGGGTTCTGAGAGGTCCAGAGGAAAACCTGTCCCAAGCCACTGTGCAGAGGACAGAGTTAGACTCCCAGGGCCATGCTCAGAGGAAGGCGGCTCTCAGGAATCTACTCCCAAAGATGTGGCCTGCTCCTGTCTCTCAGGACTTAGGGGTGATCAGACTCTCTACCTTGCATTCCTGAGGACGTCCAGAAGGAGCCCAAAAGACTGGGACTGGAACCCTTGCCCCTTCCAAAAAAGGACGTTGAGCCACTGCCTGCCAGGGAGGCTCTGGCCCAGTGGGAGCAGGGGCGAGGGAGGGGCCCAGCCCAGGAGCCCCAGATCTTTTCCCTAAAGGGCTTTTCCACTTTGCAATCAGCAGGTTATCTCGGGGTGGTGCTTCAGTGCCCGGTGAACACCCCAGTCCTCCGTGACCTTCCACTGCACGGGAGTAGCCCCAGAGACTGGCCTGGTCTGAACCAGCTATTCACTGAGGGTGTCGAGCAGCGATTTTCTACTTCTCTCCTTCCTTCTCCATTAGCGGACGTTCTTCCATAAAGAAGATTCCCTGGGAGGAACAGGTGCTTCTCCTGCAAAGCTCCCCTCCAGTGGGGACGGACGGGCTTTCCTCTCGCCTTCTCTTTCTTTGCTTTGTCTTTTCCTGTTTTATCACAGTGGGTCCATGGACTGAACACACTATGCTTTATGCTCACTGACAGGCACCACACTTTTTGAAGTTCCAATTGTCCCGGAAATCTCTGGGCACTTCTTGCTTTCTGGCATAGGATGTCCGGGCTTACCTCAAACCGTTCCTGCCCAGACCCGGAACCAGCCAGTCTCCCAGAGAGCCCTGGTCCCTTGGGGTGGGACTGGGGTGCAGAACCTAAGATCTGGCTATTGTGTTCATGGCTATGTGGTGACCCGCTTCACCTCACAGAAGAAAGAGCTGACTCCCCAAAGAGGGGCTGGAGGTCCCCCTAGTCCCACAGGCAGGCAGGGCACAGTGGGGCTGAACTGCAAGACTCTGCCCTGGCTCTTTGGGTGGGGAGAGGTTTCTAGGTTGGTCTCTACTAGCTCATGGCTCTCGGAGGGAGGCCTACCCAGGGTCCTTTGCATATACTTGATCTGAGCCCTGTGGTCAGGGCCTGAAACACGGACGATGAGTAATTTCGAGAGTACTGAAAAGGAAAGGCCACAGAAACAGAGCTGCCCACCCCCTGGCCGATGCCTCACATTCCACCTTTCATTCCTAAATATGGAGATTCAAATCCCAATCTAAATGCAACAACCCTGAGGATTTCACTGTCCGTGTTCAGGTGTTTCTAAGAGCAGACGCCACTGATAGGGCAGACATGACCCTGAGGCCCCTGGCCCTGAGGTGGGAGGGAGGGGCCACCCTGTATTGGGGAAGAGCCTGGGGACCTAAGCAGGCTTTGAAGACCTCACACACACATGTGTCACAGTCTGCCAGCTCCAGCCCCCTGCTCACCCACTGTTCTAGGAAAAAAAAAATACATCACCCCCTGCAACCTGCAGACCCCCGGGGGGCTCCTGGGGCTGGCTGCCACGCACCCAGCTTCTGCTGGGGCACAGTGGACCTTTATGGCTGAAACCCGTCGACCCTCATGTGAGTCAGCGAGGAAACATGTGTGCTCTCGTTTTCCTTAGAACCCTGTGGTCTCCAGGGCCTAACAAGGTACAAATGGAAATGTTATTCTTGCCGGAGTTGAGAGGCATGGAGTGGAAATACGAAACCAGCCAAGAGCAGCAGTAGGCAGTGCGTGTGTGTGCGCGTGTGTGTGTGTGGCGGGGGGTTAGGGGTGGGCTTGACTCCGGCTGGCATCTGTTTTGAGGGGTGGGCCCCGAAAGACTTTAAAGGGGCTACACCCTTTCAGACAAGCTCACCCTACCCCACCCCTCCACTCTGCGCTTCCTCACCCACCCCCCATGGGATCCAAATACCTTTCAGTCCAAGAAGCGTCTACCCCATTAACAGAGAGACCCCATTTCGGAATTCAGCATTTGTTGTCAGCTCACAGGGAGCTATTTCTCTTTGTGTCAGAATAATATAATACTTTAACATATTGACAAAATGCTTTGTTTCTGGTTTGGGGGATTTTTTGGTACTTTATGCTGCCCCATCACTTAGGCCATTCAGGTAGGGGTTATTTCAGACTCGCTGTCCCCAGGGTGGGGCCGCACAGTCGGGAACAGGGCACACACTTGTACATTTTCGACTTCCACTGATGGCTACGGAGACGCTGGGAAGTGAAACTACATTAAGAGCCGAGGCCTAAAACTGCAAGAGCCAGGCTTTATAACAGATCAACGTTTTTGGGTTTTTGGTTTTATGTTTTGGTTTTTGGTTCCAAAAGGCTCCAAGGATAAAGTTTAGACCATAAACAACAGGATAGGAGGACCTGTACACCAAGCCAGTGTCCCACCTGGAGAGAGATAGTCTGTCCCAGCCAGAGGAGAGGCTGGAAAGGAAGCAGGGGAGGCGGATGCTGTCTGAGAAGCTGGGCCGTGCCCCTCAGCACCTGCCAGGACCACGTGCTAGAAAGAAAGCCCAGGACCCTGCGGAGCGCAGGAGAGGACAGAAGAGAGCCAGGCCTGGTAAACCTCGGCTCGCCAGGGCTCCCCTCCAGGGCAATGAGCTGGTTGGGCTTGAACATGAAGCTGAGGCTCCCTCCAGCTTTCTTGCCCATAGCCCAGGCTGTCTCCTGGTCCTCATGGCTAAAGGTGCACTCTGGTCCTCACCTCTGCTCCAAGCAGCAGGATGGAGGAAAGGGGAGATAGGCAGAGGCCATGCCCAGAGGGGTCTCCTTCCGGATATTTCCCAGTCACTGCCTCCCAGCATTTCTGCTTTCATCCTTGTCTCATGAAAGAGGTCACCTGGCCACACCCAGAGGCAAGGGAGGCTGAGACCTGTGGTCTTCATTCCAAGAGGCCCAGCTCAGAGTCAGGAGGTCTGGGAGACAGTGAACGGACATGGGGCAGGGGACCAGCAACCTCTCTGCAGTGTGTCCAGCCACCAGATGCTCCTGCCCCTGCTGACAGCACAGGGTGCCTGAGCCCCCAACAGCTGTGTCTCCAACACCCCTGCTGAAAGACTACCCTCCATAGCTCTATTTTGGGTTCTCAGGTTTAGGAGTCAGGGGGCTCCCTTTCCCAGGAACCTCCCTTGGATGAGGCGATTTTACAAACAAGAGTTAGCCCAGCCCACCAGAGCTGTGCTGCCCAAAATGGTAGCCACTACTTATCTGCCACTATCGAAATATATATTTAAACTAATTAAAATTAAGTATATTTTGGAAGTCAGCTCCTCTGCCACATGAGCCACACTTCAAGTGTTCCATGGCCACCCAGGGCTAATGGTTCCCATATTGCATGGCACAGACCCAGAACCTTCCACCATCACAGAAAGTTGTATCGGCAGTGCTACCCCAAAGGCACAAGGAACCAGAGGCCTAGGGCTCCGTGTGGGGAGCTGCAGGAGTGGCCCCAGCCAGTGCGCCTGCTTCTTTCTTACCACAGGCCCTGCTGCTGCTGGTGACTGGCACCACCCCATGGCCCCATCACTGCTGAGGGGCAGAATGGACACTCAGCCTGATCCCAAAGCCCAGCCACATTATATGCCCCCAGTGTGAGAGGAGAGACCAACAGGCATGGTCAAAGACAAGGAGAAAGACGGGGAGCTGAGGGTGAGAAGGACTGGAGTGCTGTACCTCTGTGATAGCTGACTGGGCAAGTGGAGGCAAATCCCCCCCGCCCTCAACCTCCTCACCCATCTGCCCGCCCACCCACCCATCTATCCATCTACCCATGTACACATACATTAATTTACCCATCCACTCATCCATTTATCTATCCACCATCTACCCTTTCACCCACTCATCTGCCTATCCACCTATCTACCCATCCACCCAACCATCTATCTACCCCCACACCCATCCACCCATCCACATCCATATACTCACACACCCAATCACCCATCCACCTACCCATCTACCCATCCACTCACACATCTATCCATCCACCCAGCCATCTATCTACTCACACACCCATCCACCCATCTACCCATCTATCCACTTATCTACCTACCCACCCAACCACCTGTCCACCCCACCATTCACCAATCCACCCACCTATCAACCCACACACCCATACACCCAAGTACTCATCTATCCACCCATCTACCCATCCACCCACCTATCCATCCATCCACTCAACCACCTATCCACTCACACACCCATCCACATATCTACCAATCAATACACCCTTATGTCATCCACCCATGCACCTATCCACCCATCTATCCATGTACTCATGCATCCATTCACCCATCCACCCATCTGTCCATCCAACCATCCACCCCTCCACTCACCTATCCACCCCTCTACCCACCTATTCACTCATCCAGCTGTCTACCCAACCACCTATTCACCCTCCCATCCACCCAACCACCTATTCACTCAACCATCCACCCATCCACCCAATCATCCACCCATCTACCCACTTATCCATCCAACTATCCAACCACCTATCCACTTATCCATCCACCCATTCACTTATTCATCCATCTGCTCCATACTCCTGCCTCCCAGGCATTGTGTCATTGTGGGTACAAAAATAAATGAGCCATACTCTCCCACCTCAATATGAAAATAATTAGCAGAATAATAATAATAGCTACAAGAACAATAATTGGTATAGTGGTGCAATACCTCTATCAGAAGTGGAGTGAGTGTCCCTTGCAGACACAGTGAGTGGTAAATGCTGGCAAGTGCTGAGAAGCCCTCCAAGATCCCTCTCCCTCTAAGAGTCTATGCTTTCCTGGGTGGGCTGAGTCTGTCAATCCAAATGCTGGGCCTGGCCCAGACCCCCTGAGGGAGGCTTGTGGGAGGCCAAGCTACACCCCCCACACCAGCTCTGGCCAGATCACTCAGCCAAGGTGGGACCCAGGCCAGGCCCCCACCTGCCTACTCCATGGCCCTACATTCCCAGGCTGCCAAGTCTCCACCCCTGCAACAAGAAAAAAACCTAGGAACCCCCAAGATGTAACCTCACCTGCAGGGGAACCTGGCAAAGGCCGCCTTCACAGCTCCAGCTCTGGAGGAGTTGGAAAGGGTGCAGGCAGGGGCAGGGGGCTCGGCTGCAGGCTTTCTCAGTCTTGAGCTGCACAGACCCATTCACTTGCAGAGCCACGTGAGGACTGAAGATGATGTCAATAAAGACCTAGCTGGGGGCTGGCATGTAGCTGGTGCCTAAGATATGCTACTCATAGTTACGATGTGTGAAGGGTTCCCATTCCTCTCTCACAGGCTCTGAAGCTATAAACTAGAGATGTGAGGTGCACAGGATCATTCCTATAACTTGACAAGCCTGAACAAAACCATCTTGCACACGGGTTCCAGCTTGTACCCAAAAAGGAAAGGACAACACATCCTAAATCAAGCCACCTTTGACCTGCTTGGGAGATCTGCTCCCCACACACTTCACCTGAGGCTTTGGAGAATTATCACGGCACATGTCAACAGGCTGGGCGGCCGGGAAGCCTGAGGCCTCTGGGGAGCAAGTGTGTGGATGGCCACAAGAGCATCAGTTCATCGCTGGCAGTGATCAGGGCCTGGACCCACCCTGGGGGTGAGCTAGTTGGCTGCACGGCACTTCTGGTTATTAGTAGGTTTAAGATCAGATTGATTCATTTTAAACGCAGCTTGAGAGCTGAATGGGCCATGGGGTTTGCAAAATGATCTCTGCCCCACAAAAACATACCCTACAGGCAATGTTTCCTCAGGTGTTCAGGCCAGAAGACTCAAAAATTTTTGAAGTACCAGATGCTGAGCTACATTTGAGAGATAGTCAAATCAAACATTTTTTTTTTCTTTTTTTTTTTTTGAGATGGAGTCTCATTCTGTCGCCCAGGCTGGAGTGCACTGGCACGATCTTGGCTCACTGCAACCTCCGCCTCCCGGGTTCAAGCAACTCTCATGCCTCAGCTTCCCGAGTAGCTGGGACTACAGGTGCACACTGCCATGCCTGGCTAATTTTTTGTATCTTAGTAGAGACGGGGTTTCACCGTGTTGCCCAGGCTGGTCGTGAACTCCTGAGCTCAGGCAATCCGTCTGCCTCAGCCTCCCAAAGTGCTGCGATTACAGGCATGAGCCACCACACCCGGCCTCTCTTTTATGAAAAGAAACAGGGTCTTGCTTTGTTATCAGGCTGGAGTGCAGTGGTGCAATCATAGCTTAGTGCAGCCTCAAACATCTGGGTTCAAGCAACCCTCTCACCTCAGCCTCCCAAGTTGCTGGGATTACAGGCATGAGCCACCACTCCTGGCTTCAAATACTTCTTTATAGAGTATCTACTTTTCCCACTACTAGTCAGTGACTAACACAGGGATGGTCCCTGTCCTCATGGGCCTGGTATTGAAGGTGGGGAGCAGATAAGGAAACAGACAAATAACATGATTGCAAATTAAACAAGTGTAAGACTATACTCTCTACTTTCAGGGATCATTTCTATAATTCATTACAAATCAAACAAGTGTTCACGTGCTGTGAGGAAAATGAAGAAAGGACTGAAATGATAGAACTAGAAGGAACAAAAGTGGAAGCAGCGAGACCATTAGGAGGCCTCTGGAGCAATCCAGGTGAAAACTGACGGCTACTTGGATGACACTGCTGATAGCAGAAACAGGAAGATATGGGGAGAATTGGGGTACATGAGAAGATAGAACCCAACGTTGCTTGCTGCTGGATTGTATAATACATGGGCTGAGAAGGAAAGAAGGAGAATCAAGAATTACTCATATACTGTTGGCCCGAAAATAGTTGTAGCTGTTGTGAAAATGGGGTACACTGGTTGAGAGCGGTTAGGCAGATTAAAAAGGGAAATCAGGAGTTCTGCATTGAACAGATGAAGTTTGAGATGGCTGTGGAAAAACCAAACACAAATGTCAGGTGAGCTAAGAGCCTTAGGAACTCAGAGCTCTGACCTGGAGCTAGAAATGAGGCCATCAATTTATAGAGGAAATCACCGAGGTGGCGCAGGATCCCTCAGATCTAAGAGAGGGAGGAGGAATAGGAGGAGCAAGTTGAGAAGACACAAAGAGTGGCTAAAGGAGTAGGAGGAAAAAGGGCAAATGGGGTGGACTGCAGAAAGGAGAGGTGAGGAGGTGGAAATAGCATGCTCAATGGATCCTCCCACCTCAGCCTCCCAATACAGATGCAGACTACCGCGACTGGCTAATTTTTTGTATTTCTTGTAGGCACAGGGTTTCACCATGTTGCCCAGGCTGGTCCCAAACTCCTGGGCTCAAGTGATCTGCGCACCTCAGCCTCCCAAAGTGCTGGGATTAGAGGCATGAGCCACCACGCCCGGTTCCCCTCCTGTTTTCTGGCTGCCTCATATCTGTAGAATATACTGGCTCTGTTTGGGGGCATTTCCCATCTTGAGAGTCCCATGTCCCTGAAGTAGAACAGAGAAAACTTCCCTCCCAGCCTCCTTTGCAGCCAGGGCACAGGCATGTGACCTCACTCCACCAATCAGATTCAACCTCAGGAGACATCATTTGAAAATGAGACTCCAGAGGGCAGCAGGGGTCACAAGTTGACCTCCAACCACCAAATAGAGGCCGCTATCGGAACTGACCACAAAAATAAATAAATAAAATTAGAAGACTGGAAGCCAACCAAGTTTTTGAGTAAATGTATTCTCCAAAAGAATGCAAGGTTGGTGAGTAACAGCCAATACTTGAAGCCACCCCCAGGACTCCAGACTCACACCAACAGGAAGCCGTGTGGCCCCCAGAAATGGCGTATCCCCTCAAGACCCACCCCATGGAGAATAATGAATAAGGAGAATAGGGCAGAGCTGAGTCTGCAGAAGGCAATGGCTCTGGCACATCTTCCTGAGAGCAGAGCAGGGTGCTAGATGGTACCCAGGAAGCCAGGCGTCCTCACTCAGCAGGACTTCCTGCTCCAGCGACTGCTGTGTGCATCCCTTTCCGTGTTGCTGGATGGAAGCTGTACTGCACTTTTCCTGTTTCTAACCAACCACTGATCCTGAGTATGTCGGGGCAGATAACTTGTCTTTGAGTTTCAAGGTCACAGGACCACAGGGCGCCCCACCTGCACCTTACAAAGAAGCCTGCCCTGGAAGTAGCAAGATGGGATTCTGGCTGTTTGCCTTGGGAGACACTGATGTTTTCTGTGTCTGAGGGAAGGGCTGCGTGAGTGCTGGATAGCAAAGGGACAGACTGTGTGGAGTTACTGCGAGCTGCCTTCCCAGGACCCATTCCCGCTTTCTTCCTAACACAGCCCTGATTTGGGAGGGAACAAAAATGTGTCCCTCTGAAATACTCATCTTCTCAATTAGAGGTGACCACGTGACCCAGGTCTGGCCAAGGAAATGTAGGTGAAAAGCTCAGAGATAATGTTTTCTAGATAAAAAGTCAAAGCTTTACTGGAAGAAAGACCACCTTTGTCCTGTCTCTTCCTCCTTCCTCTTCTTCCTGCCTGGAAAGGAGATGTGATGCCGGTGGTGGAGCAGCCGTCCTGTGACTGTGTGGCGTGAAGAGATGTCATTCACCAGCAGAAGGGAGCTGGAGGAGTGAGGGAGGTTAGGAAAGAGGAGAGTCATGCAATGATGCAGCTTAGGAGAGCAAGCTCATCTGGGAAGTCAGACCTGGCCCTGCCACAGAGGCACCAAGGCAGGGCACGCTGAGAGAGAGGTACACAGCCCTAGGGGAATGTAGAAGGAAGGAGGACAGGGAGGGGAAGGAGATTTGTCTTTCCAAAAAGGGTAGTAGCAGAGAAACAGATGGCCTTGAAGGCGCTTTCTTTTCTTTTTTTTTTTTCCTTTTTCTTTTGCTTTTCTTGGAGACAGTCTTGCCCTCTTGCCCAGGCTGGAGTGCAGTGGCGTGATCTCAGCTCCCTGCAACCTCTGCCTCCTGGGTTCCAGTAATTCTCCTGCCTCAGCCTCCCAAGTACCTGGGACTACAGGCACCAGCCACCACGCCCGGCTAATTTTTGTATTTTTAGTAGAGACAGAGTTTCACCATATTAGCCAGGATGGTCTTGAACTCCTGACCTCAGGCAATCTGCCCGCCTCGGCCTCCCAAAGTGCTGGGATTACAGGCGCGAGCCACCGTGCCCGGCTGAAGGTGCTTTCTAATACCACCCATCATCTATTAAACTGACATCTAAATCAGCATTACATTGTTGTAACGTTAACCCATATTTCACTGTTGCTTTGGCCAGGCAGGCTGACTTTCCCATTGAACATGGAAGTCATGAAGTTGATGAAGTTCCCAGACAACCCATTTTGGAATTCAGAGGTGAATCCAGAGGGGAAGCTGATTACTGACTCAGGACACAGGCCCTGGGCTTGCAGGCTGGATAGTCCCTGGGGCATCTGAGAGCGGAACATCAGGCGGTGGTGATTGCAGGTGTGAGCAGAATCACAGGGCTCTGCGGTGCCCAGGAAAAGGGTAAGAACGGTATTGTTTTTCCCCCTAGTTTCACATCTTTTGAGAGGCCATACACAGAGCATCGGCCTTTTGCAGCACAGTTTTCTGTTGTTTCATCCATTTGCATCTTCCAAGAGGCTCCTGTAGCAGGATGAATAGAACCATCAGTTTTTCCAAATGCTATCCCTGCACCCAGGACAATTATGGGACTTTCTGAGGTTATCTGGGAAGGAGGAGGACTGGGGATGGGAACTCACACTTCCTGCCTATCTACCATGGCTGGAGAGGCCACAGTGCCACCCATGTTTGTGAATGTGACTGATCTCCTTTCATTCTCACAGCTCCCGTAGGGTTTATTCTCCTGTTTCACAGATGAAGTAACAAGTGAACAGAAATAATGAGCTGGGCGAGATGCTCACACCTGTAGTCCCAGTGTTTTGGGAGGCTGAAGTGGGAGGATCGCTTGAGCCCAGGAGTTCAAGACAAGCCTGAACAACACAGTGAGACTCTATCTCTACAAAAAGTTTAAAAACCTAGCCAGGCGTGGTATGCAACTGTAGTCCTACCTACTTGGGGGGCTGAGGTGGGAGGATCGCTTGAGCCCAGGAGGTCAAGGCTGCAGTGAGCTATGATTGCAACCACTGCACTCCAGCCTGGGCAACAGTGTGAGATCCTGTCTCTAAATGTAAAAGATAATCGACCAAAGTCACCTGTCTGGGGATCAGCAGTGCTAGGATGCAGTCCCAGGTCTGCTGGCTTTGGAGCCCCACTCTGCCCCCAGCCCCAGCCTGTAGGTTTCTTCTGGTGGGCGCGTGTGTATGTATTTGTCGTCTCACAACATGAAAAGCCTGTACATTCTGGCTCTGGAGTCAGACTGCCTCCCTCTGAGCCCCGGTTCCACTGCTCACTGGCTGTGTGACCTGGAGCAGGTTTCTTGACCTCTCTGTGCTTCAGTTTCCTCATCTGTAAAATGGGAGTAATGAGAGTGGCATCTACCACAGAGCTGGGATGGGGAAAGTCCTGTGTGAGCTATTTTTATTTTTGTTGTTGTTGTGGATGCTGGAGTGGGTGGAGGAGCCTCTGAGCCTGCACAGCTGGGAGGGGCAGTCCCAGGAAAGCGTCCGGAACCCTGCTGACCTTCGGAGCCCCCAGAACCCACTTCAGCGGAGGCAGGCGTGGAGGGCAGCGGTGTCGGGCTCTGACACCCTAGACGCTGTCCTCCCAGGAAGTGGTTTTGGTTTTATCCCACTTTTGGTCTGAGTGAGCAGACAGGCCCTTTTGGGCTCCTGTCCCCAAATAGCCTCCCACCCTGTATCTGAGGGAAAGTGAAACTGTCCACCCTCAGGTCCTGATCAGGTCCCTGCTGAGGCCCTGACCCCCCTCTGAGGTGCTCGGAAGAATGGGCTTGGATTCCGGCCAAGCACCCAGAGAAAGGTCAGCCGCGCTTGCTGGATGCGAGTGGGTCAGGGGCCCTGCTAGTGTGGGGACAATGGATCCCTCAGCCCTGGCCCGTGGGGCTCTGTCTGCCCATGGAAAGGCCCAGACCCCAGTGGGAAAGGTTCTGGGCTGGCGGCCTGGGGGTGCCCTGCACTGCCTGCCTGTCCTTGGGGCTTTATTGCCACTGGACTGGGCGTTTCTGTTGTTTCCCTGAGGGCACCTTTCTACCTACACCTCCAGCCCTCAGGGCCTGACCACCCTAGCTGGGCTTCCAGCCTGAACTGAGAGGCCCACCTTCCCAGGGCACCCTCTGGGCCTGACCAAGCCAGTCTTGCCTGCGACCCCTGAGAGGCCAAAGCAAGGCCCTGGGTACATGAGGCTTCCCGACTCTGCTTAGAGAGCACCGGTTGCTTCATTCCCCCCTACCTAAAGTGTGAGCTCTAAGATGGCAGAGGCAGGGTCTGAGACAGTCAGAGCCCCCATAGCTCCGTGCCAGGTCCCAGGTCCCCAGACCCAAGCCCACAGCAACAAGCACAGAAACCGGTGGTGTGGAAACAGTCCCCAGACAACCTTATCAGTCAGATAGCATAAAGCCTTCCTGTCTGCTCCAGCCTGGCCCCGTAAAAACAGAGCTGCTGATTAGAGCCTTCCAGACACCAAGACTGGAGCCCTTCACGGGCTGGAGAGACATTCTGGTGAGCTTTTCCTGCCCCACTCTATCTTTAAAAATTACGAGGGGTCAGGCACTGTGGCTCACGCCTGTAGTTCCAGCACTTGGGGAGGCCAAAGCAAGAGGACTGCTTGAAGCCGGGAGTTGAAGACCAGCCTGGGCAATATAGCAGGATGCCATCTCTAATAGATACATGTATTTGGGATTTTCCAAATTAGCACCTGTCCTTGAAAAGAAATTTGATGCTGTCTTTTTAAAACCATAAAAATATTCATCATTTACCCAGAAATTTCATTTATGAGAATGTAGCTTAAGGAAATAATGGAAAGGAAGGACTAAAGTACTAGTTAAAGCTACCCACTGCTGGGTCTGTCTAGAACATCTAACCTGACCCTGGAAATGACCCCATGCCCAACATCAAAAGGACGGCTAGGTTAGCGCACGGCAGCCCACCCGCACGGCTGTATTAGTGCACGGACGGCTGCTAAGGATGGCTATATTAGTACACGGCTGTATTATGCACTCGACGGGGTCCTGGATGGCTGTTAAGAATATAAGTGACCAAGGTACACAAGCGGCCTGTGCCCAGCGGGCGTGCAACGTGCCTGCATGTGACCAGGCATGAGGGCACATGTCAGGATGCTGGGATTGCAGCTCACACTCCCTCCTGGCCCCTTTTCTTGCTTTCATTCTTTTCTTTCTCTCTTCTTTCCTTTAACTGAGGCCACAAGGACTTCTGCCTGTCCTCAAGAGGCTGGGAAGACAGCCTCCGAGTGGCACCTTCTGGCACGTGGAGAGAGGAGGAAATGCATGAAACCACTTCCCAGCTTTCTTCCTCATTTGCAAACCCTTGCTCTTCCTCTCAGCTCCTGTGAACCCCAAAACAACAACAAAATAGCATCGTCGTCATCATCATCGTCACCATCGTCATTGTCGTCAAACCCAGAGCCAAGCTATACTTCCTCCCCAGTGAGTCCACGTTTCCCTGCAGGCCCTGCCCTGAGACCCCAGCTCCGGAGAGACCTGTCACTGGAAAGTGTCTCGGAAGCCAACTCCACCACTCGCTGGGGCTTTCCTTCCCTTCCTCAGGGGAGCAGAGGAGCTAATTGTCCAAAGGCCAAGCCACCTGCTGGGTTGCCCAAGGAATACAGGCCAGTCCAACCGGGGACAAGCACGTTAGACAGAAAAATAAAATTCCAGATCCAAAGGGGAAGCTGACAGCAGTGCATCAGGGGCACACCCACCCAGGGTGGACAGCAAAGTAGGCACAGGGGGCTCCACGGCAAGTCAGAGCTGAGTGTTCCTGGCAGGTGTGGGCCAGGAACTTGACCCAGAGCTCGCTACCCAAACATCCAAGTCACTGCCTGCTCTGGGTGAGGGGGTGCTTGGGACCACAGCTGGGGGAGGATCCTCAAGCACAAAACCAAAAAGCACCAACCCTAAGGACAAGATCGACCAGCCTGACCGCGTTACATTTATGAACTTCTGTTATCAAAAGACACCATAAAGGCCGGGTGCTACGGCTCATGCCTGTAATCCCAGCACTTTGGGAAACCAAAGCAAAGGGATCACTTCAGGCCAGGAGTTCAAGATCATCCTGGCCAACATGGCGAAACCTCATCTCTACTAAAAAATAAAAAATAATAAGAATAAATAAAAAATAAAAGTAAAAAAAGACGTCATAAAGAGGGAAAAGACAAGTCACAAGCTGACAATATTTCAACAATAATGAGCAACACAGAATTTGTATTCAAAATACAGAAAGAACCCCGCTAATCTAATAAGGAAAAGATAAACAATATAATAGGAAAATGAGCAAAAGACTCAGAGGGGCATTTACAAATGAGGAAACTCAAATTGCAAAGACGTGAAAAGCTGCTTAGCCTGAAATGCAAAAGAAAGTCAAGAGGAGAATGGGAAGCAACAGGAAATACATACCTGTCCTGAGAGGAAGCACATCTGCTGTCGGGCGTAACCACAGTGAAAACGCTGCACACGGGCACGAAAGGACAGAGAGTGTCTGTACAGCACGGTCCAAAACACAAAACACTGGCCATGGTCCAAAGAACCCTCAAAAGTAAACTCAACTATTTTTTAAACTGTACAGTCATTCAATGGAATCTAACATTCATTCAATGGACGCATGTGTCAAAAATCATAATTTTGAGCAACAGTGAGGAGAACACAGAATTTAAAAAGAATACCTGCAGCCAGCCAGAATGACCACCCGAAAGAGGCCTGCAGTCTCAGCAATCCGGGAGGCTGAGGCGGGAGGATCACTTGAGCCCAGGAATTTGAGACCAGCCTGGCCAACATACCAAGACTCCATCTCTACAGAAAAAAAAAAAAGAAAAAGAAAACTTAGAGGGTGTAGTGGCACATGGCCATAGTCCTAGCTACTCGAGAGGCTGAGACGGGAGGATCACTTGAGCCCAGGAGTTCCAGGTTGCAGTGAGCCAAGATTGTGCCCCTGCACTCCAGCCTGGGTGACAGAGAACGATCCCAAATCAAAAAATAGAGAAAGAAAAGAAAAATAACAAAAAGAATACCTTGAATCTGATCTTATTTATATAAAGTACAGAAATAAGAAAAACTCTATAATGCATTAATCTGAGATGCATATGTTCACAGATGGTAAAGGCATAAGTGTTCATTTCATG
The DNA here is from genome assembly GCF_000001405.40 of Homo sapiens. Classification (NCBI taxonomy): domain Eukaryota; kingdom Metazoa; phylum Chordata; class Mammalia; order Primates; family Hominidae; genus Homo; species Homo sapiens. Next base: position 101,152,176 of record NC_000015.10, read on the forward strand.
ACTACTACTATTTATTTATTTATGTATTTAATTTTTTTGAGATGGAGTCTCACTCTGCTGCCCAGGCGGAGTGAATGGCGTGATCTCAGCTCACTGCAACCTCCGCCTCCCGGATTCAAGCAATCCTCCTGCCTCAGCCTCCCGAGTAGCTGGGACTACAGGCACGCACCACCACACCCAGCTAATTTTTGTATTTTCAGTAGAGACGGGGTTTCACCATGTTGGCCAGGCTGGTCTCGAACTCCTGACCTCAGGTGATTCACCCACCTCAGCCTCCCAAAGTGCTGGGATTACAGGCGTGAGCCACCGCACCTGGCCTACACTACTACTATTTAAACTGGACCTAAAATGATGTCTGTGCAGTATAAAACACCGCACCATTGTTTGTGATTGAAAAGGCTGAAATGACTTGTGTCCATCTGTAGGAACTGGCTCAATAAACAAAGATGCATTAAGGTTCATTGTGCAAAAGTTAAACAAAAACAACCACTCAGTAGAGGCTGTCTGCATAAACAGACCCGGGTATATTGACAAGTGTGAGAAATACAACCAAGCGTAGAACAGGCCGGGTCGCATGCTTTCCTCTTCTACAGGCAATGAGGAAAATAAGAACACTGTCTTGTTTGTCTTTGCCTGTTTTTGCTCACAAACCCAGGGTGACCGTTTGTCCTGTCTCAGTTGGTGCCTGCCTTTCTGGCACAACTTGATCACACCTTTCACTCTTAGCAAGGTCCTGGTTTGAAGGATGAATTACATGGGCCACCCTACTCAAAACCCACTTCACCTCCATCCCTAGCACACAGCTAGCCTGCATTTTCCCATCTGCCCTGCAGGGGTCTGGCCATGGGCACCAGCTCTAGGCAACGGCGTCTCAGTGGAAGTTACACCATGGCTCTCGGACCTGGACCGGAGAGCTCTGCCCTGTGAGATCCTTCCTCCTCCAGCTGTCTGGGCGCCAAGGCCCAGGGCAGCCTCGGAAGCCCTGAGCTGAAGCTGGCAGAGCCCCTGGCAGCCGGGTCCCGGAATGACTGTGGGAGCCCGGCCTCCCGTCCTCCCTGCCTGCCTCTGCTGACCTGCACTGGCTAGGATTTTTGGGGTGGGTAGAAATCAACTTCAATTGTTTTTGAGCCATCAGGCATTGGGGGGTCTATTTGTTACAGCAGTCACCCTAACTAATACAACTAATTTTATTTTATTTTATATTTATTTTATTTATTTATTTTATATTCTTACTAAAACACAAAATAAAGGTACAAACTTTTCAATATACTAATTTGTAGGATTTATGTATTAATTTGTAGGGTATATTTTACAGGAGCTGGCCAGGACCAGGCTCAAGGCCACAGTGGGAGCACCGTCCAGGCTCCTCAGGGACCAGGATAGCTGCCTTTCATCAGGCTTAGGGTCCCTGGGTTTTCCCTCTTCACCCAGGAGACCATGGGGCTGGAACGCTCTGCAGAGGGGGATTGGGAGACTAAGAGGGAGATGCCCACGTCTCACAAGAAGAAACTGAGTTTTGCTAGCCAACGGACAGAAAAGCTGCAGGGAGCTGTGGTCTCATATATACACGTATGTGCACATACACACACATGCCCCTGGTGCACATGTGGACCTGATGCATCTGCATGTGAGCTTTCACCTACACACGCACCTGTGCGCTCATACACAAACCCCTGCACCCACACACACCTGTATACCCCCACAGGCACCTATATACCCACACACACACCTATACACCCCCACACACCGTGCACACATACTCCTGCGCACCCACACACACCCTTGAAGTCACACACTCTTTTGCACCCACACATGCCTCTGCACACACACATTTGTGCACCCCCACACACCCCTGCACCCACATGCACTCCTGTTCCCACATGCACACCTGTGCACCCACACACACACACCCTGTGCACCTACACACACTCCTCTACACACACATACCTGTGCTACCACACATGTGTCCATGCACCCACACACACACACCTGTGCACCCAAACACAACCATGCACACACACACCCCTGCACGCACACATTCCCAGGAACTCACACACACACAGCTGTGCACTCACACATACCTGTGCACCTGCACACACACTTGCACCCACACGCGCACCCACACGTCCCCCTGCCCCGTGACTACGGAGGTGACTTGGGCCATCCCTAGAGCCCCAGGTGGGAAGCGCCGATTGGATCAGCCTGACGAGTCCGGGTTTAGCAGTTGTTTCCCCGCTAATTTGAGCTGCTTGCAAACAGGAGCTAGTTATCTCTTCTGGGGTTGGTGAGGAGTGCAGATGGGGGGTGTGCAGAAGGAGCCCAGCCCATCTTCACAGGCCCTTCTGGGAGCTGCAAGGACCCAGGTGCCGGGTTTCCTTGGCACAGACCCATCAGGGTTGGGCTGGGTGGGAGAGAACCTGCCAGGTCTTCCTCCGGCAGGAAGTGCCCTTCCCCTTCGCCCCCCAGCATCTCCGCCCACCTAGAGGAGACCTGGGCCTTGGGAGGAAGAAGGATGAACTCTGACAACTAACTGCCCCACTCCCGCCCTTCTCATTTTCTTTAAAACTCTCAACAGGCCCCACTCCCCCACTCCCCCACTAGGAAAGTAATAGATGTTTTTTGAAGGGAATTGGGAAACATTAAGGTTCGAGGAAGAGCATGAAGATATCCACATCCCATCCCCAGAAGCAACCAGGGCACTTCCCAGGGAGGCCAAGCACTGAGGGGCAGGCCATCGCAATGCCAGAGTTCTTTTTTTTTTTTGAAAGAGTCTCGCTTTGTCGCCCAGGCTGGAGTGCAGTGGTGTGATCTCGTCTCACTGCAGCCTCTGCCTCCTGGGCTCAAAGGATTCTCTTGCCTCAGCCTCCTGAGTAGCTGGGATTACAGGCTCGCACCACCACGCCTGGCTAATTTTTGTATTTTTAGTAGAAAGGGGGTTTCACCGTGTTGGCCAGTCTGGTCTCAAACTCCTGACCTCAAGTGATCCTCGGGCCTCGGCCTGCCGAAGTGCTCGGATTACAGGTGTGAGCCATTGCGCCCGGCCTGTTGCTGAGGTTCTTTATGGGGGTTTGTGTTTTGTTTTTGTTTCTGTGATGAGAGATACAGAGCACAGAATGTATCACCGTAACTACTTCTTCAGCTGTGCGGAGCCGTGGCCTTGAAGTCCACGCAGGCTGTTGTGCTACCGTCACCAGCAGCATTCCGGACAGAGCCCTTTCATCTCACCCAGCTGAAACCCCGGGCCCGTCAAACACCAAAGCCCCACGCCTCCCCCAGCCCCGGGCAGCCTCCACTCTACATCTGTCTCTGGGACTCCGACTACTCCAGTGGAGTCACACACTATTTGTCCTTCACGCCTGGCTTTTCTCCCTCAGCACAACGTCCTCCAGGTCCGTTCACGTGGTAGCGCGCGTCAGAATCTCCTTCCCGTGTAAGGCTGAATACTATTGCGTTATATGTATCACTGCATTTTGCTTGTTCTTCCATCAAAGCTGGGTTTTTTGGCTGGGCGCGGTGGCTCACGCCTGCAATCCCAGCACTTTGGGAGGCCAAGGTGGGTGGATCATGAGGTCAGGAGTTCAAGACCAGGCCTGGCCAACATGGCGAAACCCTGTCTCGACTAAAAATACAAAAATTAGTCTGGCATGGTGGCACATGCCCGTAATCCCAGCTACTTGGGAAGCTGAGGCAGGAGAATCTTTTGAACCCGGGAGGCGGAGGTTGCAGTGAACACAGATCACGCCACTGCACTCCAGCCTGGGCGACAGAGCGAGACCTTGTCTAAAACCAACAACAACAACAACAAAGCTGGGCTTTTTAAATGTGTTTCTGTGGACTTTCCTCCCCTCTGACACGTCCCAGTGCCTGACCACTGTTTTCCTCTTACCTCACAATAAAGTCTTGAAGAAGGTGCAAGACCAAGAAATAGAATAATGTGAATATGTGTTTGCGGGGCCAGGTGAGACAAAGGGGAGAAGGGAGGGTGGAAATCAGCAGGGGGGAGGAGGTGGGAGCCGGAGTCAGTCATCAGGTGAGCAGCATGGAGGTGGGTGGGGGACCTGGCAGGGCCACGGGTGGATTCTCCAGTGACCTGGGCCTGCAGACTACCCACTGCCCGACAGTCTTGGACACCTGGAGGGGGCTGGGGTAAAGGCAAGACCTTGCCCCTAATTGAGGGTACCAGAACCAACAAACCGGGGAATTTCTTGGGAGTCTCCCTAAGAAGAAAGGACATGTGGCCACTATTAGACGCTCACATATCTGTGGTCAAAACCTCTGGCCAACAGCAGGTGGGTTCACTGGAAAAGACAGTTAAAGTGGGCATCGTAAAATAAAACCTCTGATAGTGTAAAGCTTTTAACTGGAAACACACTTAGTGCCTACACGTGGAGGTAGGTTTGAGGCCCAGGAATGCTGGGAAGGAGCCACTCCGCGGGACTCCACATCAGCATTTTTGCATAAATCATTTCCGTAATGTCTATTCACGACTTCCAGCTTGCTTCTCTTTAAGGCGGAACCAGAATTTAAAGACTCGTGTGACGCGAGCAACCTGAGGCTCCCCTGGGACTGGGCTTCCCCGGACTTGCACAGCTGTCTTGCCGCCATCTGATCTGACAATGATTTTTGTAAAATGACTCAGCTTGAGAAAGGTTTCCAAGGCATTCACTTATATGTCTTAGAAACACCAATTCATTCTTATTACCCTCATATCTCATTGGTTTACACTAAATTTAATTAGATGACATCACTATTATAGCAAGTGCAACGGGCAAGAGCAAGCTTAGGAGTAAACCCACGGACCGTCGGGGGTGGCTCGGCGTGCTCTGCAGGTGAGCTGGTGAAGAAGTGTTTGTCACGGCCTGTGCACAGCTGTACAGGTTACCAAACGAGGATTGCTCTCAATAACAACTTTCGATAAATTTAAATCTTACCATTGTTCTTTGTTTGTTTGTTTTTCTTTTTTGAGACGGAGTCTCACTCTGTCTCCCAGGCTGGAGTGCAGTGGCGTGATCTCAGCTCACTGCAACCTCCGCCTCTTGGGTTCAAACGATTCTCCTGCCTCAGCCTCCCGAGTAGCTGGGACTACAGGTGCCCGCCACCACGCCCGGCTAAGTTTTTGTATTTTTAATAGATACAGGGTTTCACCATGTTAGCCAGGATAGTCTCGATCTCCTGACCTCGTGATCCATCCGCCTCAGCTTCCCAAAGTGCTGGGATTACAGGCGTGAGCCACCGCGCCCAGCCTGGTTTTTGTTTTGTTTTTGTTTGTTTGTTTGTCTTTTAAAGCAAACCACATAAAAGGATTTACACCAAAAAGTCAGTCTCTCCCATCCATGGCCCAGTTCCTTTCCCAAAGGCACTCAACCGCAGCCACGGGTTCCATGCAGACCGTGTAGAGAATCATAGATGTCAACACCACCTTAGCATGGTGTCGTAAGTATTTTTTCTGAAGCCATTCCTTGCTTGGAGGAGAAGGGAGCATTTTATTTTCTGCTTCTCCACGGGGTTCCCCCAGCATCCTGAGATCACCTCCAATGCTGTGCTGGCATCTGATACAGTTCTGGGTTTCCCATGAGACCAGGAGTCCTGGGGGCAGCAGCTTGGTCTTATCCATCTTTGTTCCCCAGCTCCAAGCACAAGGAAGGTGCTCAGGAGGGGGCAGCACTGGAGGGAGCCAGGCATGTGGGTAACCGGGGTGAAATGAGGGGTGCTAGCCCCCCAGGTCCCCAGAGGCGTGGGGACTCCTTAGCATCAGCACCAAGTATGGCCCAGAGCCTGGTGCAGCAAGGGCTCAGGCACGGGGACTCCCCAGCGCCAAGTGTGGCCCAGTGCCTGGCGCTGCGAGGGCTCAGGCTGAGGCCCCCAGGCCTTATGACCCTGCTCTCCACCAGCCAGGGAGAGAGGAAGGCCCTGAGGTGACCCAGACTGGAAAATGCAGCATTGATCCAGCCCCGAGTGCGAGGCTCTCTCCCCAACGATCCCATTCATTTTTCCCAACTATAAAGCATAGCTCTTTCCATTTCACAGCTGGGGAAACTGAGGCTCAGAGAAAAGCGCTTGTTCAAGACTCCCCACATACGACCAGGTCTGCCGAGAGTGCACGCTCCTCCCCACCCCGCAAAATGCCACTGGACGTGAAATGAACAAAGTCAAGTTCACAGTTGGCAGGCATCCGCACCCGCCTGGGACCAGGCCTCTGGGACCGGGCCGTTCTGCTGCTTGGAACTATTCCTCCCATTGTTCAGCCTCGTCCCCACTGCTGGAACCCACTGAGCCTCACTCAGTCCTCTGACCCTCACCCAGAAAATGGGGACGCAGTTGTTGAGATGAGATGAAGCAATACTGTGAAAGCGCTTAGAGTAGTGCCTGATTCCGACCAAGCCCTCTCTAAGGTGAGCTGTTGATTCGGCATCAGCTTCACACCTTCTGAGCATCTCTCCCAGGCTGAGCTCCAGAGTCTGTGGCAGTTCGAAGCTGCGGAAGTGGCCCTGAGAGCACAGCTGGGGAACCGGGACATGCATGTACCCAAAACTAACATGGCAACGACTGAGTAACGCGGGGCACGCAACTTCCTGTGTGATACCTGGGTGTGCGAAACACTTGTTTTTCAAATAAACATTTCTAAACTTTAAAAAATCTGTCTTGGACTGAGCAAATAGTACCAGAACGCATTTCCTCAGTGTAAGCCCAGCGCCACACAAGTATAGGGAGTGGGTCTCCCCGCACTGCCCCTTCTCCGCCCTCCTAGAAGCGGTGCTGTTCACAGCTGTCTGCTTTTCCATCCACACACCCCTCCCCAGCTGTGAGCCAGTTCAGCCTCAGTCATGTCCATGGTCACACGGGAACTGGGGGCTGATTTTTTCTGTGCAGTTTGGGAAGGGTCTGCGTCTTTGTCCACTGCAGCTGCCACTCCAGGGCTGTGCCACAGGCGAAGGGATCCAGCATTTGGGTACATCGTGCACGCCCCCTCTTGGCCCGCAAACTGAGGCACCACGCTTGCACACTGAACAACACCCCTGAGCAATGCCCAGCCCCTTCCCCTGTCTCAAGTGTCTCAATTCCAGGGCCAGCCATTCCCCTACACCCCCCACAAAGCATGCATCCTGTTCTCTGTTCCAGTGATCCAACCCCCCACTCACCACCCCACCAAGAGACTGAACCACCAGGGCCAGTGGCTCCCCATGGACACCCGGAGGCGGCTTCCCCTTCCTGGGCTGGGGGTGGAAAACCCTCTAGAGAGATCACAGCTGCAAAAGAATAAAGCCACACACTCAAAACCAACAACAAGGAAACACCAAGTCATTTTTTCCATCGCCACTCACCTTTTCACACTCTGTCTCTGGAAGCCCCTGTGGATCCCTGTGCTCCTTAGCCGGGGCTGGGCCTGTGCCCAAGGCTGCCCCGGAGGTGTGGGTGGAGGGTGTTGTCTTGGGCTGCCCCAGGGACCTCGGTCAGGGGCTGGGCAGGGAAGGGGATGCTGGATGTCTTCCTGGGCAGTTCATATCAGCTGCCACAGGATAAGCTTTCTCAGAGTGTTAAAAGAACACTCTAACACACAAGCTACACACAGAAGTGTATAGTACAGAGGTTCCCAAAGGGCACAGCGGGCAGGACGTTGGAGATCAGAGCACCTGGAAAGCCCCCTTCTCACCCCCTGACTACTGGGGCTCCCTAGAGGGAGCAGCTCTTCAGGCCAGATATAAAACAGAAAAGCGCAGATCTGAGCTTGACAGGACGAAAATTGGAAGGACAGACAGTTGGATGCATGGAGAGTTGGAACTGGGAAGAGGGATTTGCATTAGTCAGAATGTTTTCTGTTACCAGTGACAGAAACCCAATTCAGACCAGCTTAGGTGGAAAAAAAGAGGGTTGGGGTATGTTGTGGAATCTCTCGGCGTGTGCACCTGAAATATCCCGGGGTCGGCTGGTTTCAGGTATGGCTGGATCCAGGACTCAAGCAATGATCTCAGTCTCTCTCTCTCTCTCTCTCTCTCTCTCTCACTCACATTCTCTCTTCACTTTCCTTATCTTGACTTAGCTCTCATTTGTGCGTTGACCTTTCATGTCTTCCTGCAGATGGGTCATGCTATCAAGGAAGAGACCACCAGTAGCCCAGGCTTACATCATCCCAGCTCGGTAATCCAAGCAGAAAGAGACATTTTTCTAATAGCCACATAAAGACCTGATTGGCTTGGATCACAGGCCTACCCCTTGAGGCAACCCCTGACACTAGGGTGACGAGAGCACTAGCTCCGGGCAAGCCAGGCTCATGTGCCAGTGACGTGGCCAGGAGAGAATGGGACCATGACCCACAGTCCCACCAGAACTATTGCTGGAGATGGAGGAGGGTGGTTTTGTGCAGACGAGAAAAAGTCAGTCTGCTACAGCAATCCAAGCTGATGGTATGGAGTAAACAAAAGCCCAGAGATGGGAACAGCCAGCCAGGGCAAAGCATTCTTGCTGGGAGAAGCAGGAAATGAGAGGGAAGGTGGGTCAGGCCACCCACAGAGGGTCCCGGACACCCCACAGACAGCTCATCCTCTCCATCCACCACTCTCTCACTTTCTGTCAAAATCACCTCTGGATACAACTCAACAACAACAACAAAATAAACATCCCAACTCAAAAGTGAGCAAAGGACTTGAATAGACATTTCTCCAAAGAAGATATACAAATGGCCAATAAGCACATGAAAAGATGCTTAAATCACTAATCATTAGGGAAATGCAAATTAAAACCATCTGAGATACCACTTTTCACTCAGTAGGATGGCTATTACGAGAACAAAAAAGGAAATAACCAGTGCTGGTGAGGATGTAGAGAAATTAGAACGCCTGTGCACTGCTGGTGGAAATGTGAAACGGTGTAGCCACTGTGGAAAACAGTACGGCATTTCCTCAATAAAATCAAAATAAAATTACTATGTGATCCTGGTCAGGCGTGGCTTATGTCTGTAATCCCAGGACTTTGGGAGGCCGAGGCGGGTGGATCACTTGAGGTCAGGAGTTCGAGACCAGCCTGGCCAACATGGTGAAACCTTGTCTCTACCAAAATATACAAAAATTAGCTGGGCATGTGCGCCCCTGTAGTCCCAGCTACTCGGGAGGCTGAGGTGGGAGAATTGCTTGAACCCAGAAGGCGGAGGTCGCAGTGAGATGAGATCTCACCACTGCACTCCAGCCTGGGTAACGAAGTAAGACCTTTTCTAAAAAAAAAAAAAAAGAAAAAAGGAAAAATTACCATGTGATCAAGCAATTTTCCTTCTGGATATATGCCCAAAAGAAATGAAAGCAGGATCTCACAATAGGCAAAAGGTGGAAGCAATATGCATATAATATAATATTATTCAGCCTTAAGAAGAAAAAGATTCTGACATAAGCTATCACATGGATGAACCTTGAGGACATTACGCTAAGCAAAATAAGCCAGGCACAAAAGGACAAATCCTATATGATTCCACTTGTGTGAGGTACCTGGAATAGTCAAATTTGTAGGGACAAAGTAGAATGGCGTTGTCAGGAGCTGGGAGCAGGGAGAACGGGGAGTTATTATTTAGTGGGTGTGGAGTTTCAATTTTGCTAAATGAAACAGTTCTCGGTGGTGATGGTGGCACAACAACGTGAACGCAGTTGTCTGAGTCAGCTTGGGCTGCTGTGACAAATAACATAGACCCAATGGCTTAAACAAAAGACACTTATCTTCTCACAGTTCTGGAGCCTGGAAGTCCGAGATCACAGTACCAGCATGGCTAGGGGCTGATGGCGGTTCTCTTCCTGACTTGCAGACAGCAGCCTTCCTGCCTTGTGCTCATGTGGACTTCCCTCAGTGCAAGCACGTGGAGAAATCTGATTTCCTCTTCCTATAAGGATCTAATCCCATCATGAGGGCTCCACTCCCAAGACGTCAACCAAACCTAATCACCTCCCAAAGATCCCACCTCCAAAACCCATCATATTCAGAGTCAGGGCTTGAACACGAATTTGGCGGCGAGACCGTCTGTAACAGAACTTAATGTCACTGAAGTACACACTTAAAAATGGTTATGATGGTACATTTCATGTTATGTATATTTTACCACAATTTAAAGAAAAACTATACAGGTAAAAAAAAAAACAATCACCTGCGGAGTGAGTTAAAGATTCAGGTCCTTGGGTTCCGTCATAGGGATCTGATGACTGGCTCTGAGCTGCAACTTGGGAGGGGCTGATCTTTTAGAGCTACAGGCAAATCCAAGACACAATACAGCTTGAGAAGTACACTTTAGGCACCAGGGAGCCATGGAAGGTTTTCAGCAGGGCGGTGGCTGGATGCAAGTTGAGGGTGATACGATGGTGTGCAGAAGAGGTTCTAAAACTGTCCTGTCCACACGGATAAGAGAGGAAAGGTGGGGAAAAGAAGGGAGCAAGTTATGGCGGGGCTGGGGTGAACAATCCCCAGAGCAGCACTGAACAGAAACCCGCTGACCTCAAGGTCATGGCCAGCCAGGCCAGCAGCCCCCTCTTAATGAAAGGGGAGCGAGCACCTTCCAGCTGGCTCTCCCAGAGCCACCCTGACAGAGGTGTCTTGCAGCAGGACCATCTGCAGACACAAAAAGAGCAGCTTCTTCCGCTGGAGGAAACCAGCAGGCATCACTGGGGCCCGGCCAGGGACAGAATCCAAGTTTCGGAGCAACCAGCAGGGACAAAGCCATCTGCAGTGTCTCAGCCAACACCTGCCAGGAGGGAAACAAGAAACCCTCACTGGGAACTGCACGGCTCTGCTCCCAGCCCTCTGGCCACTGAGGACCACTTATCATTCAAGGGGACAGACCCTACGGGGAGGAGCAGAGCTGGGGCCCTCCGGAGGCCAGCCTCTCAAGAGCCATTTCTGGTGCTACCGGAGGAGCGAGGCCCTGTTCTGATCCGGAGACACTGCAGCGTCTATAGAAGGAAGAGGCCTTTGCCAGGTGAGATAAAGAGGTCAGTTTCTCCTGGGGCCTCTCTCTGCTGTCTAAACACTTGCCAAGGCACCAAACCGGCTCTATCTAGAATGATAAGGAAGTGTGTGAACTCCAAGCCCCAAGGACAGGCACCCTCTTCCCCTCCAAGGTGAGTCCAGCCAGGTGGCAGTTGGATGCAACCAGAGAATGGTAGCAGAGGCAGGGGGCAGGGCAGGGCATCTTCTCTGCCACATAGAGAACATCAGATGGTGGCAGGGGCAGATGGGAGTTTATGTTGGCTCTTGGGTCCCACTGCCAACAAAGTGATCACTTGGAAGAATGATTTCAGAAGGCCGATGTCTGTGCACTTAGTGGCAGTCTTCAGCCTCAGAGGTGCCCCTGAGGGTCCCTGCCTCCAGAAGGCCACTCCCAGAATGGCACCTGTCCAGGCCTCCACTGTTTATCTCCAGATAATCTTAGGTTTCCTTTTCTGTCCCCATTATCGTGCTGTTTGTAAAAACCTTAAACAGTACTGTTATGGATTAAATTGTGTCCAATCCCCTCCCCAATTCATAAGTTGGAGTCCTAACCCCCAGTACCTCAGAATGTGACCTTATTTAGAAATACAGTCATTGCAGATGTAGTTAGTTAGGCTAAGATGAGGTCATGCTGGAATAGAGTGGGCCCTAATACAACATGACAATTGTCCTTATGAAACCACCTTTGCAAAATTATGACCGAGACAGTGAAAGATCTAACTCAATCAACTCCACTTGCTTCTAACCTCCAAGCTGTCCTTGTTCATTCTTGGGCATAGGCTGAGCTAACTTTGGGAGAAACTTAGTTTATAGTTTATAGTTTGAAACAAAGATGATGGTAGCCTTTCCCCAAAGCAGACCTCCTTCTTGCCTGGGGACTAGATTGCCTTTGTAGGACTAACATTAGTCAAAAGATTAGAAATTATGGTTTAGGAGTCATGCAGCTGGAGGCTACAAGATTCCCATCCTCCCTAAACTGCCCCTAAGATCAGTGCTTGAGATATTTTGCTGACCCTGCACTGGATGGATCAGCTGGCACCACCCAGATCGATAAACTGGCTCATCGGATCTTGTGGCTCCCACCCAGGAACTGACTCAGCGCAAGAAGACAGCTCGGACTCCATTTGATTTCATCCCTGATCAGTCGGCACTCCCGGCTCACTGGCTTCCCTCCACCCACCAAGTTATTCTTAAAACCTCTGCTCCCTGAATGCTCGGGGAGACCGATTTAATAATAAAACTCCAGGCTCTTGCACAGCTGGCTCTGCATGAATTACTCTTTCTCTATTGCAATTCCCCTGTCTTGATGAATTGGCTCCATCTAGGCAGTGGACAAGGTGAACCCACTGGGAGATTACACTTACACAAAGCGGAAATTTGGACACAGAGACATGAGTCAAAGGAAGACAATGTGAAGACACAGAAGATGGCCCTTTGCAAGCCAAGGAGAAAGGCCTGGAACAGACCTTGAAGACCCTGGCTTGCAGACCTTCCCTCACAGCCTCAGAAGGAGCCCACCCTGCTGACACCTTGATTTTGGACTTCCAGCCCCAGAACTATGAGACAGTGTATTTCTGTTGTTTAAGCCATAGGTACCCAGCCTTTGTACTGTTTTCAGCAGCTCTAAATCCCCTCTATTAAATGCCTTAGTGCTGAAAATGCCTGAAGTGGTCTTTTTTTTTTTTTTTTTTTGAGACGGAGTCTCACTCTGTCACCCAGGCTGGAGTGCAGTGGCAGGATCTCGGCTCACTGCAAGCTCCACCTCCCAGGTTCACGCCATTCTCCTGCCTCAGCCTCCAGAGTAGCTGGGACTACAGGCACCCACCACCAAGCCCAGCTAATTTTTTTAGTGGAGACAGGGTTTCACTATGTTAGGATGGTCTCGATCTCCTGACCTCGTGATCCACCTGCCTCGGCCTCCCAAAGTGCTGGGATTATAGGCGTGAGCCACCGTGCCCGGCCATGAAGTGGTTTTCATTTCCCTCCCTAGATCCTGAGTGATAGAAATAATTTGGTAAGTCTTATTTCAGACCTTTCTGCAGAGAACTTAAACACCATTTGTTAGTTCCCTATTTAAGACTATAAAATTGACACCTATTCATTGTGAAACATTTGGAGTTACTTAAGAGTATACAAAAGAAAATAATCACTTAGCATTTTTGAGGTTTTTCCATTCAGTCTTTTCTCTGTGGATCTCTGTAAATATATATATTCTCTTCTAAGCTGGGATCATAATGTGAATACAGTTTTATAACTTGCTTTTTATTCTTTTTACTATGTGAGCATTTTCCCATATTGTAGAATTGTCTTCAGGAAGACAAGTTTGAATGAATACAGAATATTGTACTATAGTTCAGTTTATGTTTTAACTCATTTCTTTTGTGAGGTAGCTCATAAATATAAAAGAGGCCATTAACATATGTACAGTTTAAACAATAATTATAACATGAACACCAGGTAAAGAAACAGAACAGGCCAGGAACAGTGGCTCATGCCTGTAATCCCAGCATTTTGGGAGGTTAAGACAGGAGGATTGCTTGAAGCCAAGAGTTTGATACCAGCGTGGGCAGCATAGTGAGACCCCATCTCTACAAAACAGTTTTAAAGTCTGGCCAGGTGTGGTGGCTCATGCCTGTAATCCCATCATTTTGGGAGGCCAGGCAGGTGGAACACCTGAGGTCAGGAGTCCTAGACCAGCCTGGCCAACATGGTGAAGCCCTGTCCCTACTAAAAATACAAAAATTAGCCAGGCGTGGTGGCAGGTGCCTGTAACCCCAACTACTCAGGAGGCTGAGGCAGGAGAATCTCTTGAAACTGGAAAGCAGAGGTTGTCTTTGACTATTTTTATCAGAGCTGTTTTAAAGTTCTTATCTGCTAATTTGACCTCCTGGTTCATCTCAAGGTTTACTTCTATTGCCTGATTTTTCTCTTGACTATATGTTACAGTTCCCTGTTTCTTCACATGCCTGCTGATAAAAAGTTAATAGTCTTGCATGGCAGCCAGACAACCAGCAGATCTTGGCAAGAAGTGCTAGAATTTACAGGGTTTGATGCAGAGTCCAGAGTGAGGACGGGAAGCTATGACTAAAACTCTGCCCAAGGCACTAAGAAAGGCTTGACTAAGAAGGAATTCTGAACATCATAGATGATCTGTTGTATAAGCTCTGGATTATGTTATCTTCCTCTGAAGAGTACCGATTTTTGTTAAATTCCTAACTAATCATCTTGATTTTTGTGGAGGCTTGGTTTTCACACTTTATTAGGGAAGGTCTGTTTTGTTTTTGCCATTGGTCTTAGATAAATATAAGACCTAGTCTTTGTTCCTAATATATAACCCTCTTGGGGTTTCAGTGGAAATCCAAAGGTGTTTATGAAGCCCCATATAACTTAGTGGGACTCTAACTCCAAACTCTGACTTTCTTGCTATGGGAAATCTCTGATTGGCTTTTTCCAGCCCCCCAGCAATTACTTTCTTCTGGGTTCCTTGAAGTCTCCCCCAGGCAAACATGGTTAGGAGTTAATTGAGACTGAGAAGGGGGTTAATATGCAGACTTGGGAGTCCCACCCTTTAGTCTCCCTTCTTTTTGGGATTTCCCTCCTCCACTTCCAGCTACTCTGGCAGCTCTAAACCCCATCCTACAAGATCTCAAGCCAATAATAATGGAACTTTTTGAGTTCTAACTCCTAAGTGCTGTGGCCTAGAAAGTGCCCTTCAGGAAGGGGCCGTATAAGTAACATGCATCTCACCCAATGCAGTTCCTTTTTATCAAGCATGAAATTCTCTCCAGTTTCTACCTGATCTTTGTTATTCTCCAGGGCCTTCAAATAGTTGTTTCTTTTTGTCCTGGTGGTTGCTACTTTGTCCATAGTTTATCATTGCTATCTGTGGGAGGAGTAGTCTGATATGAGCTACTCCACAATTCCTGAAACTAGAATCTTCTGAATACTGTGTATTTTGAAGAAAAACGATTTTACTGCATCTATATTGAATAGTGTGTTTATGGAATCTTAAAAAAGCCAAACTTTTAAAAGGCAGAGAAAAATTAAACAGGTAAACTATTTACGAGCTTTACAGTAAAACATCCTATTCACAGAGCTGCCATTTCTTGGTACCCTACCAGCAGTCTAAATTGAGGATCTTAAATCTCTCTGGCACTGCATTTCCCCTCTCCCGCCAACATGGATTTTGGAATAAGGCTGATCTGGTATGAATTTTGGATCTGCCATTTATTGGCTCCATGACCTTGGGCACGTCACCTGAGCTCCCTGACCTTCCAGTCCTCATCTGTAAACTGAGGTCAAGAATTCTGATCTCACAGAGACGGGGGAGCAGTAAATGAAGTAACTTATATGAAGTCCCTGGCACTTAGTAATGGTTCGTAAATATTAACTTTATGATTCAAGAGTGAAAGCATTCCGTGTCTGTGAAGTCAGGTTCTTGTTCTTACATTGAAAGCTATTTGATTGTTTTCACCTAAAAACTGAATGTCCCAGGCTGTCTTTATAGAAATATCTAATTTTAGCTGTTATTTTCCTTTGGCAAACCCAGCTGAGAGGCTAGAACAGAAGTGAAGGGGAACTAATCTTGGCTGCACACCATAACCTACCAGACCCCAGGGGGGGCCACAAAGCTGGGTGTGCATGGGCTTGGCCAGCCTGGTGGGGCAGCAGGCACCCAGTAGATCAAGACACAGTCCCCAGCTGGGAGTGAGATCCAATCATGGCAGGTGGAAAGGGGCCCGGGCTGAGGGTTGGGGGAGGCACGGCTAAAACCCTGCCTAACATGCCCAGAGAGAAGGTCACATTGCCCCCGAATCAGGAAGTGCGCCCAGGGCAGTGAGGGCCGGGCATTCCAGGCACAGGAAGCCCCGGGGGAAAAGCGTGGCTTCCAAGAAGTGATTGCCTGGCTTCCTCTTCAGGAGGAGGAGGGAGTGACTGGGGGGCTGTGGTGATGGGGCGGGGGCTGTGGAGAACAGATGAAGTCAGAAATACAGGCGATGCCGATCAAGAAGAGCCTCAGCCCAGTTAAGCCGGGAAGCCTGGGCCTGAACCGGTTCAGTCTAAGCAGGAGAGCCCAGATAAGATTTGTTTTTCTTTTTTATTTAAGGAAGAGGCTGGACTGGAGGAGCAGGAAATGGGCAGGGCATGCCCTGTAAATGCAGCTTTGTCAAGAGATGAGGGGGTGGGAGGAGCATCCTAGGACCTTATCTAGGAGGGTTTGTGGGACCTGGTGACTCACGGGATGTGGGTCTGGAAGGAGTTCTGAGCAGCTGATGCTACCAGGTGGGGAGATAGTGGGGAGGTGACACCAAACTGAAATGAAGTGACAGGAGGAGGGCCAGCTTCTGTCAATTCTCTCATCAGTCTTGGGAGTTACTGGTAACTATGCCCATCTTGCAGAGGAGGAAGCTGAGCTCTGGCACATGGAACTTGTCCAAGGTCACACAGCTGCAGGCACACTGGCACAGGGCCTGGCCAACCGTCTGTGGAGTTGATCCAAACCAATGCTGTGCTGGTAAGTCCAATTTAAAAGAAAAAAAAGCCTGCTTTGAAGCATGTGCCATTTCTTGTGGTGTAAATACTCCCACCTCAGCCAATTTCAGTGGCCAGCATGATGTCACTGAATGTGGGGCTGGGGATCCATTTTCATGAGTCCCTAGCTGGCTTCAGACCACCACTGACTCCAACTCAGGCCAGCCTGGTTCTGAGGCCCCTTCTCCTTCCACAGTGCCAAGCACACAGCTCACAACTAATCTGGGTCTTGGTATTTGTATTCACTGCCCTTTACCCTAGTCTCTCATGGGTTTTACATATAGGTTGGTGTGTACAGTGGGATACAGGAAAATATCAGACAGTATAACAGAATCACTCTCTCTCACTCTGCCCCCAAGCCCAGGCCTGCCCTGTCACTTCAGGATGTACAATTCAGTTAATTCTTCTGGAGCCATATTCAAGCATCAAGACTCCTGCAGAGGGACATTCTGCCGGGGGCTCACACGAATCACTGCAGCACGGTTGGATTTGGTTTTAGTGCTCACTGAGGTGGCTGCAGCTTGGCGAAACCCTGACATTAGCCATAGCAGCTACCTGCTCACCATTCAGAAGCCAAACACAGTGAGGTCTTGTCCCAAATAGGAATTGTGTTTCTGATGTCAAAATCTGCAAATGGATTCAATTTGCACAGCAGCTGTCCTCAAAGTTGGCAATTCGACGTCCTCTCAGACAATTCATTTTAAGACAATGTGCAGTGTTTTAGTCCCAAACCTACAAAAGTCCATATGCATCCCATTTTCTCCCAAATCCTGTGGCCTGTGGATATTTTCCTTCTAACTTGAAACTGACTGCTGTGGAGGCAGAAGAAAGGCAGATCCATGAGGCCAGGAAAGGCGGGCGAGCGGAGCCGCGTGCGGACAGGGCCCTTGTGTGGGTGAAAAGGGACAGGGCACCGGGGCAAAACGGAGCCATTCTGTGACAAACTCACCTCCCAAAGCCACTCAGGGTGGTTGGCTGCAACAGCAGCGACTCAGAGGGAAAGGCCACTGCACCAGCCCTCAGCTCAGGGGGAAGGCGGTGAGATGACACCACAGGGCATTAAGCCAGGGCCCCAGATCAGGTGTGACGTGGAAACCAAGCATGCTTCAGGGAAGGCCTGGCAGCAGAGACCCGACTTCTGGGCAGGCAGAGCAGTCAAGGCTGCCCAGCAGCTGCTGGTGGACCCTGGGAAACCAGCTGGGGCTGCACAGGGCCATCCTCTCCCGCTGAGCTGATGGAACACGTATGTCACCTCCTCCTGAGGATGCGGCCCAGATGGTGAGTGCGCTGACACCCGCCTTCGAGAAGCCGGGCTGCTGAGTTCCTGCTGGAAGGCACATCCTCTTGGTAGAAAGGCCCATCCCCAAATCTAATTTTAAAGAAGGCCCATGAATCATTATCCTAACTGCTCATTACCCAGGGGCTGTGTGGGGAGCTGCCTCAGACCTTTGGGCTGCTCTAGCCCTGGGGAAGCCAGGAAGGCATGTATTGTTAACAACTGCTCTCCTCCAGCCCACGACCCTCTCTCAGAAACCCCCAGCTCACTGCTGCTGCCCTTTCTGCCACGAGATGTGCCGCGTCTTCCCTTCATCACCTGATGCTCCTACAAAAGTGCTCATTCACAGCGTCCCCAGGCCCCTGGACTCCAGGCCACCCCACAGCCAAACATTATCTTCAGATCTAATAACATGCCGTGCCTTCCAAGTAGCACAGAAACCATATAATGATAAATCATAACCAATATATATTTTCTATATGACATTATATAAAATATAATATCAATCTTCAAAACTTGCCTAGAACATAGGTAAAGGTGGTTAGTAATTCCATCTATGCATATCCAAATGTATTCCCATCTGTTTGCAAATGTATACTTTTCCCACTAGGAAATCACTCCTGGCTGCCCAAACGGAGGCCCGGTGCCTCTGGTCATGTCCACATCTCGTCCAGCGCTTCTGCTGCCTCACCAAGTCTGGAAAGAGCTGCTCTTATCTCAGGCTACCCACTTCCACTCCGCGCCCCTGCCTGTCCCATCTCTTGGAATGAGCGCCAGCTTCCTGGGAGTGGAGTGTACCTCTTTCCCAAACAGGCCCTCTGTCTGGAACGCGCCTCTTCTCACTCCCTGAGTCATCAATAAATCTGTCTCACTTTGTCCTGACTCAAGCTTTGCAGTCATAGAGTTGGGTCTGCGGAGTTGCCATTTTCACAGGATGAGGGATCCAAGACACTGTGCAATATTCTCACAGGATGAGGGATCCAAGACACTGTGCAATATTCTCACAGTATTTCTTAAAGGTCATTTCACTTTTCGGGCTTATTTTTAAAAAGGTTTTATTGGAACTAGCTAGTAGGTTCAAAATGTCAACGTTGACCAAATAAAACAAAATGCCAGACGACTTAGTGTTATGTCAGAAATGGCCAAGTCCCAAAGTCCCTCAGCCCTGGAAGAGGATGATCCAAAGTACGAAAAGGGTGAAGTGGAAAGATGCTCCCTGCATCCTGTGACTCAGGATGGAACCACGGGACGCTGGAGATGGCCAGCAGGAGGGAGACGCCCAATTGTAGGAGAGAAGGCAGCCTTCCCGGGCAGTCTCACAGGACCAATGTGTTTTAAATGGATGGAAAAAAAGCAAGATGTCAAATTGTATGGTACGTGCACCCTACATCAAACGGTACCTACCACAGCCCCTGACGGGAACTCGGCAGAGTGGGAACAGGGTGGTACAGAGGAAGGGCCTGGTCTTTCCTTTCCCTTCTCTGCTTCCCTGTATGGGTATCCTCTGCTGCAGTTACATTGTTATTTACCACGGAAGAAATAGAATCCGTTCAAAAATCCAAACTGCAGGCCGGGTGCAGTGGCTCATGCCTGTAATCCCAGCACTTTCGGAGGTTGAGGCAGATCCATCACTTGAGGCCAGGAGTTCAAGACCAGCCCGGCCAACATAGTGAAACCCCATCTCTATCCCGTAGAGGGTTTCAACATAGTGAAACCTCATCTCATTTTCATAAAAATATGAAAAATTAACCTGGAGTGGTGGCACATGCCTGTGGTCCCAGCTACTTGGGAGGCTGAGGCACGAGAATCGCCTGATCCTGGGAGGTGGAGGTTGCAGTGAGCCGAGATTGCACCACTGCACTCCAGCCTGGGCAACAGAGGGAGACTCTCTCTAGAAAAAAACAAAAACAAAAACAAAACAAAAAACCCCCAACAATATCCAAAATGCTTCCTTCACAACACTAATGGGATCATTTGAAAGTGCACTTTTAGAAATGATTCGTTTCTAGCTTCAGACCTCGGGGTGTGCCCAGGGCTTCTGAGGCTATAAATGAGATTCCCCTTTCTGAGCTTTTGCCTAAAACTCAACCCAAACTTAATTCAGAATGAATGAATCTGAAGGTAGCCCTAAGGCTTGGCTAGAAGCATTTCTTTTCTCCAGTAGGGTCACACGTGGAGCAGCGAGCGAGGCATGCGGAGGGCTGTGGCGTGAACCAAGGGGATGAGTCGTGGCAAGCTGGCGAGGGGAAGGGGGCAGCGGCAGCCTGGGAGCATCGCCGACTTAATTGTGATGGAGAGAAATTCATTACAGATAAGCCAGCTTCATTTAAGCATTTTCCAGAGCTTGCCCAACCACTTTGCTATTAAGTGATTTGATCAATTTCTTATTATATTTTCTCATTAAAAAGCGGTCAGGCATAACCGACTACTCTTACAGTTTTAAAGGAAATGTAGCTAGAATGTTCTTTAAAGGACATTTCATTTTTGCCTGTATTAGTAAGAAATGAAGACCCTCATCACTGAAACATCATGAATGGTAAATTAAACATATGAAGAAATATCTGACAAAAGACATTAAGTGGTTTAACTGCACTGATGACAAGCCAGCCCCTAATCTGTTTGACGCGATCGTTTCCGGTGAAAATCTACACCCCCTCCCTCACCCCTACACCCCTGCAGAAAACCAAACCGAACTCTGAAGCATCTGCTTTCTACTGGAAGCCATTCGAAATGAGTTACTGTAATTTGATCCATTGCATTGTAACCTTTACATTATCGTTGCATTTATAACAAGTTAGACTAAGAAGATTTGGTGCAAGCATTTTCATTTCAAGCAGGACAGAAGGGGCCATCTTTCAAGGGTTTAGCAAGCACAGCGGGGCCCACCGCGGCAGGTAGCAGCCCTGTGCAGCCGCTTGAGCTGACAGACCACCCCGCCTCCAGCTGAAGCACATAAGCTCCTTTGCAGCAGAGATTACAGCAAGTTATACGGCAGTAATGCAGCCTAATTCCCCAGGGCGGGCGTCTGTGCAGGCACAGGGAGGGCTGGCCCTTGGCTTCCTCCGTGATGAGGGCACAAGAGGAAACCTTGCCACCTGGGGCCTGGCAGAGCAGGCGCCCCTCAGTGCAGTAGGCAGGTGTGTCACCTTCCTGGAGGATGGGTCTTGAGAAACGAGACCCTAACAGCAGGGAGAATGCCTCTGAAAGCCGCTGGTTCCCATAACCTAAGTGTTGTCCTTACGAGATGGAGTGTGGTGCTGGCAACTCACTAGTGTGTACATTTGACTCGGTGAACACACTGAGTAGTGAATGGAGGTGGCTGCAGGAACACCCAGACCTCTAGGTGATCCTTCAAGTGCATGGCAAGGAGGCAAATATGACAATCATTTTGCTCAGGTCAACTGCTATGTAGATGGCCAGTGAGCGCTCTGAGCCTGCTGGGCTGGGGGGAAAGAAACCCGTGTCCACTTCTGGGCTCAGTCAGGGCCTAGGCTTTGATGCCTTTGTGAAATAGCAGGGAGGGGCTCAGACACTTTGCCTATAGGAATCAATAACTCATCAGCAGGGCCATGAAGGCGTGTTGGGGCTGGGGCGGGAATAAGATGAGACATCCGAGGGTCAGAGTTCCTTCCATTATCTGAACTGTCAAAGGGCCCAAGCTGTGAGTTTACAAGCGCCCTCCTCCCTGGCCCTCACATCCCGGAGTGGAGGGAATGTTCCACCTTGGCTCCTGAGGCCTGCCTGCTTTTGCAGCAAAGAGGGACCGTCTCATGACCTTGTGACACGTGGCGTCTCCACAGAAGGCCTTGGGATGCTAGGTCCACATCCACGCTCCGGTCTCATCCCAGCCCAGAACAGCAGTGCAGGGAAGTTGACCCACCTTCTGGAAGCAAGCTGCAGGTTCCCCTAGTCTGCCAGTGCTGTCTGCCCCATAAGGCTCTCCTGGTTCCATTCCATGCAGGGTCCCTGGCATCCAACCACAAAGCCGGGATCCCACTGGCAACCTCTCCCCACACACTTCACTGGGTCATGAAGCCACATCCATCTTCTGCCCTGAGGCTCCCCGCCAGGGTCCTCATGCCCAAGAGAGAAGGAATTCCCTCATTTGTGTGCAAAGTTCAAAAATGTTGTCTATGCATCTATGCCTACAGCTCTGCCTTCCTGGCCAGGACAAACTTGGTGGCCGTTTGTGGGAAGTCCTGAGCTGGTGCTGGGAGGAAGGAGGGAGGTTCCCCTTCATGCTTTTGTGATTGTACCCTTCTCCTCTTCTTCAGCCATATTACACGGCACGATTTTAACATACTGTCCACAGGAGTCACAAAGCAGGAAGCCACAGTGGAAGGGTTAAGCAGGAAGCCTCCAGAGATTCAGGGGGAAGGGATCAGTTCCAGGCCCAGCAGGGGCTGCAGGTCTCAGCCTGTGCACTGGCAGGAGTACTCAGTGCGGAGGATGGGAGGGCACGCCTTTGGCAGGAGGCACATGTGGAGAGGGCGCTCGAGGGAGTAGGGCAGTGTGGTTCCCAACACGCCAGGGGACGGGCGGGAACAAGAGCCCCAGGCCTCCTTGAGGGGCTCTAGTGAGACAGATACTGCCACATGGTCACAGAAGGAGGCCCAGCTGTGTCACATCCCACAGAAGGGTCCAGGGTGGCAGCGGAGCGGACAGTGGGGTGTTTTAGCTGCGTCCTGGGAAACAGTCAGGTTGTCCAGAGGGAGGGAAAGTGTGTGGCAGGGCCGCAGACACGGATGCCCCCACGACTTGGGGCGCAGCGGCTGGAGGAGGTGCCCTGTGGAACGGGGGATGATAGACGCAGGGACAGCAGCCAGGCTGAGGAGGGCCCGGGTGCCTGTGGAACTGCCGAGTCCACCCTCTGGGCAAAAGAACAGCACCAGGTGACGGAGGAGAGTGGAACCTGGAGGCCAGCACGCGGAGTGCAGACACGCCACTGCCAGGGCGGGGAGCTAGAGGGGTCCGGCCGCGTTTCTGGAAACGGAGCCTGGAAGGGAGGCAGTACTTCCATGAACACCAACACTGCTATCAGGAAGAGGGACAGACCTGATCAGGAGTGGGAGCAGGGAAGGAAATGGCAGGTTTCACCAAGGGTCATTGAAATTCTGGACGCACACTCAAACGTGTCACTCACACCACGTCCCAAATCCCCCCAGTTTGTCACTATGGTAAATAGGAAAGCGTTTATAATACTTTGTCATGAAGATGCATATTATGCTCTTCCTTATCGAAGAATAAAAATGTCTCTGCTTTTTCTCCAAGAAAAAACTAAACACTCCCACAGAGTAAATGGCAATTAGGCTGAATTACGGCAATTCTTGCTGTGAGCGCAATGTCATTATGCTGGGACTTAACTGTCATTACACTGTAAATATACCTATCCCGGGGGCAATGCTTGCCCACACGAGCTTGCTACCTTGGCATCAAAGATCTCACTTCTTTTGACTCTTGGGTTATATTGCAACTGTGCTGATTTATCCTCTAACTAGATTGATCCTGGAACCCCAAGTTGTGCCACAGCCCCACGCCAGGCAGTTGTTAAAATGCAGGTTCTATGGGGCCTGGGAGGGGACATTTCTATCCAGGAGCCAGACGCGGCCCAGGCCCGGTTTGAAGACCTTTGTTTTGAAGAACGTGGGGTCAGCGAGTTGATGAGGAACAAGGACGAGCTCATCTGAGGAAAAAACGGAAGGAAGCACTTGAAACCGGGTTTCGTTTCACTCCCAAGCTGCGGTCCACAGAAGCATTTCCCTCAAATAACTTGAAAAACTTTATGAATCGTGTTTAAGTTTTTTACTCTCCAAATGTAATACAATTCTTCAGCTAAAACAGGAATAATGAGACAAAATGGTTCGAAAAGTACAATAGAAAAATATTGTTCACTGGTTTATTTTTCCAAATGAGCATCAGGCTATTTACAAATACGCAGCCCTCCAATGACGTGTATTAAAATGGCAAGTCTATCACTGTTTGAAATCTAAATGAAAACAAATTTATTAAGGCACATTTGATCTGAGAATTTAACTTTCTGGTATAATGACAGATTCATTTCACTTTTGTCCCCAAAACACATGAGCACCAAAATTGTCAAAGAACACTTAATATTTAGTAAAACAGTAAGGAATATAAAAATTAAGGAGGGGAAAAAGCGTTTCCAAAAGGAAATCTTTGGAGATCGGTTTACTGCAAATAAAACAGACTAAACACACTCCCGATACACATAAATAATACTAACTAACAGGTACTCAAGAAATGGCAGAGCTCTGAACAACAGATATTAAATAAATTAAAGGTATTTCAGATACAAAGGATAAAACAAAACAGTAATGAAAGAATGAAAACCATCTCCACCCACATAACACAGACAGGATGAAAGGAACAAAACCAAATACATTTTTCCCCAACGTTTTGATTAGGGTGTATGTGTGTATGTTTCAGTCTGTGTACATCAGATTTATTGTAATAATTCATCTTTGTCATTCTAAACATTAATATTTTACCCTTTAAAGAGAAGGGTCAAGAAGAGAAAATGCCAAATCCTTCTTGAAATTTAATGCCAGGTCTATTTAGGCCGAATGAACTACCACGAGAACAGCCACATACCTCACTGTGCCTTCTTCACGCCCCTTGCTTTAAAACCTACGTGGCCAGCTGGGCTTGCATGGTGAAACCCCGTCTCTACTAAAAATACAAAAAAACTAGCTGGGCGTGGTGGTGTGTGCCTGTAATCCCAGCTACTCGGGAGGCAAAGGCAGGGGAATTGCTTGAACCAGGGAAGTGGAGGTTAAAGTGAGCCAAGATTGCGCCACTGCATTCCAGCCTGGGTAACAGAGTGAGACTCCGTCTCAAAAAAAGAACAAAACAAAACAAACAAAAAACCTACGTGGCCATGCTGAGCAGAGTACCATGAGAGGAAATGATCAACTCTGGAAAGCTCTCCTGAAGACAATGATGAAACAGCTATTATCACATTTCCTTATCTTACAACTGGAACATGAAATGGCTTTAAAACAATTGTAAAAAAAAAAAACAAAACACAAAAGGTAGAATCTGTGGAATGTTAACAATCACAACAGAACATTTACCAGAGTTACAGTGTTTTGTTACAATAATACTTTGCAGGAATGTTCACGTTTTCTGCCATAGGACTGGAGCAAAGGGTCTCAAAAGAAAACATTTTTTTAAAAAAGTTTTGTTCATCAGGTACATTTCAAGTCAAAGTTAAGCAGGTCTGCTACATAATGTTCAGCAAGAAGATGTGTTCAAAGGCAAACACTGATCACCTTCTTGTTCAGAAAGCTCAATCTTAAAGGAGTCCTATGTAAGAAAACCACTTGTAAAATATATCCTTGTATACGGACTTCAAAAACTGATCATACAAAAAATTTTTGAAAAATAAATTAGATAATTAAAAACGTCTTTTCCAGCAAAGCTGGACATTAGGCTGTCCTCACTGAGCCATTATTATTGCTGCTTTTACTGTAACTTGGATCATTTTTTTCCAGCCACATCTCAGCCAGCTGCTGGGTGGACCCATAGGTCGATGCTTTGGACCCCAAGCACATTTTGTACTGTTTGGGGTCAAGATTGGGATCACAAAAGACAGGATGGTGGACGTGGACTACTCCTACTTCCTGGCTCCTAAACGTCTTCAAACCTGCCTGGACAACCTTGTTGAAAAGGTCCACATCCTCCAGCCCCCAGCCTTGGATGGAAACATCAAAGCCACCCACTCGGACAAGATCTCCCTTATAAATACACGTGATGCCAAACCCATAGTTTCTCCAGAAGCCAGTTTTCTGAGTAAAGGCAAAATGGTTGTCACTGGGAACTTTCCCACTATAAACAA
The DNA here is from genome assembly GCF_000001405.40 of Homo sapiens. Taxonomy (NCBI): domain Eukaryota; kingdom Metazoa; phylum Chordata; class Mammalia; order Primates; family Hominidae; genus Homo; species Homo sapiens. Next base: position 101,177,798 of record NC_000015.10, read on the forward strand.
TCTTTGGGTCATACTGGCTGAAGATGATTGGAAAATATATTTGTTGGCCCAGAACTGTATTTGCTCGACATCGCTGAAGGAATTCTGTAGTAAACACGAGGTCGACGTCGCAGAAGAAGAGCAAAGATTCATTGTTAAACTGGGAGGATCCTACTTCCAGGGCCAGGGCTCTTGAAAACTCTCCAGACACAGGCAAAATCTGCATGTCGGCTTTAGGGTACTTAATGCGGTAATCTCTCATCAGTTCAACTTGTTTGGCCTTGTCAGGGTTGGAGTCAGAATTGAAAAGCAGAACCACGAGCTTGACGTTCTGATTGGGGATAAGACACGTCTTCTCAAAGTTTCCCATAAATCTCACAAACATGTCGAAACGCCCAGACAAAGGAATCAGTATGTTTATCTTTTTATCTTTGGGTTCTTTGTGCTCACTCTTCGACCCAGGGAGCTGAAAGGGGACGAGCTTCTTCAGGGAGTTTGAGAGAAAGGACAAGGATCCAGATTCCTGATTGATTCTCTTGGCCAACTCTTGTGCATCCAGCTCCTCATGCTCCACAAACTGGATTTTGCTGAAAGTCTGCTGTAAATACGCGTGCCTCCTCACAGGGACCGTCATTTTCTTCCCTTTGTGCTTTTTGTACAGAAGCAGCAGGTCCAGGATGTACTCAGCCCCATACATGGGGTTCACCCGGCGGTAGCCGTACTGGATCTCTTTGAAGTCAATGATGCGCCCTCTGGTCTTGGCGTTGGCATTGATCATCTCCATGACCTGCATGACAATGTCGTCCAAGGCTTCCCTCTGGGCGGAGTCCATTCCTCTTCGAGGGGGCTGGCCGTCAACTGCCGAATACAAGTATTTTCCAGTCAGAAACTCCCATTCCAGAATCTCCTCTCGCTGGCGGGGCTGAAACCTCATGAAGGAGGGAGGGATTCCCAGCTGGAGGTCCTCTTTATGAATTTCTGTGTTGCTGTATTTGCTCATCAGGACAATTTCGCGGTGCAGCTGTATTGTGCGATGGCGGAGCTCGGATATCTTGCGGCTCAGCATGTAGCTGTGGAGCCTGTACTGGTAGGGTGGGTTTTTGTTGGGGTGTAATGTGATAGCTTGGTGAATTTTACTGTTATGGAGATCTCTAATGTACCCCTTTTTGTTCTGCTCGTAATTCTCATAAAAAAGCTGCTGCATCTGTTACAGGAAAAAAAAGAGATCACAAATTTAGTATTGTATGATTGAGTGCCAGCACATGCTAAAGAAAATGCAAATATTAGAAATGTTTCTGAATGGACCACAGCACACAAAAGGCCCTAGATAAGGCCCGATCAACAGCAGTCCAATGTGGTTAGAAGAATTCACAGATAGAAACTGCTTAAGGAAGTAAGGGTTAATAACCAAAGTTGGCCAATATACTTTCACAGGCAAACAGAATTATGAAAAAGTTGTCCCATAATGAAAACATATAAAATTGAGATCACAGTGCACCACAGGAGCATGCCTGAAAGATAAAGCCACCCCCGTCCCACTACGCCTGTGAAAGGGACCCACAGAGTCATGCGTCCCTGGCTGAAGACCTGAATAGCAGATCCTGCGGCTTCTATCTGTGGGAATAAACTTCCTCCTGAGAGCCAGAAGAACTCCAGGCAAACAACCTGAGCGAAGGAGTACCCTGCTTCCAGGGAGCTAAGGGAAGGGAAAGCCTATCAGAGGCAGGAGGCGGCCTGGCCCTGCGAGGATGCTGCAGGGATGAATCAAGGCTCTGCTGAGGTCTCTGGAAGCAAAAGCACACGCTGAAAACCCTCTTCACGCTGCTGGCCTCCTGCGTACGAGGAAGGTACCCCTCTCCCAGGTCTTCTGTGGAGGCAGGAGCGGGCCTGCTTGCTCAGCACGGGGTCTCCGGCACCAGCACGGAGCTTGGTGCCTGGGGGATCAGAAAATGCTGGCAGATGGGAAACATGCAGGACGCACAGGGCTCACCATTCCACCAACCCTGCCTCCGCCCCGTGGCGCAGGTTTTGGGACAGCATAAGCTTACGGGCCATCAGCCAAAATGGGTTCCCTCAAGTTAGGAAGGGAATGTGCCTAATGCCTCAGTACATCTGGGCAAGGAGATGAACGTTTTTACAAAGCATGTTGGAATGCAGAGTAATAGTTTGCAAAAAATGTTCAGTGAAAGCATTTGAGGTTGGTATCTGGTAAATTAGTCCTGTTTCTTTCAAGTTCATGGTTGTTTTTTGTTCATATTGTTAAAGACTAACTCTTGGTAAGGGATGACACGCATTCTGGCTGACTGGTTTATTTGCCTCTGGACAATCATATGCTGACTCTTTCCTGAGCCACTGCAACTACCGTTTAATAGTAGAGAAATATAAATGGGCACTTTTATACCTTACTTCTTTTTCTCATAAGGTAAAAAGTAAACAGGGAGCTGGCATGCCTGCCAGGCCCCGCACAGAGCTGGGGTCTGATGAGGGCTAACCTCTACCTCCTGGGCACCCGTGAGTCCGGTCTTAGAGCAAGAATTAGAGCAGAATTACAGGTCCTCCAAAGTGCCGCCGCTGTTTCCAACTTTCCTTCCCACACCGCTTATGCTCCCCACATGGCAGGTGCACGCATGGACTTACCACTGAAATCACTCCCACACTGTGGCACACTTTTCTAATTAATTAGAAAAGGTGGTGAGGTTTTCTGTGGGGGTAGGAAGCAGGGCCTCCCTAGGCTAGGAGGAGAAACTCCGACTCTGACCCCCATGCAGCACACAGGGCACACTTTATATGGAATTTTACATGCCCCTTCTGCTACCTACTATCAACTTTACTATCAACTACAGGAAAGCAAATCTCAAATTCTTGTTTTAAATAAACTGAAGCAAAGAAGTAACCTGGGGCTTGCTGAGAGAAGGCAGTAGGCGACTGGCACCGGGACTCCTTCAAGCCCTGATGGGCGGGCCAGATACAAACAACATGAAGATAAAGGCCCTGCCACAAGGCTTGGATGAACCACGTTAACTTATCTCTCTTTTTACTTTGCTCCTTCTGTGGGTCGCAACAAAAGAAGCCTGATGCACTTCCTGCCCAAAGCATCCTTACTGTTCACTTTCTAGCTGGGCTGATTCTTGGGTACAAACGGCAGGGCTACAAGGTGGCAAATGTCATGTGGGGACTCAAAGAGAAGAAAGGTTGAGAAAGGTTATTTGCAGGCCATAAAACCTTGAAGCAAATATAGTCATTTTACAATCCTGTTGGGGCACTCGGAGGCACAGCAGTTACAAGGACCTGCTACGGTGCCTCAGAAGACGCTCCCAGGGTCTGGGAAGCCATGCTTCCTGTTCCACCAAGGCCAGCCTTTGTAACGTGACTTAAGTAACTGCGCAGGCCACCAGACCCCACCGCTGACTGCACCTGAGGATCTCATGGTAAGGAAGGCTCTTCCACGGCAGAGACCCACAAGCCCACAATGTGCCTAACTGAGAGCTAGCAGAGTCATGACTGTCTGCTGTGAGATAAAAAGCTAGATGACAATTCCGGCAGAGATTCTACATGTATTTGTTTCAAGTATAAATTGTTTCCATTTCATCTGCTCATAATTTCCAAATTCTTAACAATGAACACGAAGAACCATAATATCGTTTGTGGAAGGTCTCTCCATTTCCAAGAGTGTAAACACACATTAATTTGGCCTTACAAGCTGTCTTCTACAGTGAGGTGAGAACAGTCTGAAGCATGTGCTGTTCCTTCTTTGCCCTGCAGGAAGCTCGTGCTGCCAATTCCATCTCCCCATGTATCTCCGACCCTTCTCTCTCCAGCCCCACTGGGTCATGCCACAGGTTCCCCATGGGTCTGCTTGCAGAATTCTGTTCCTCCCTCAACAGTGCTTCAAGACAGTAGCACAGAGGTATTCTTAGAACACACATTGGAGACTTATGGCTGAACAGGAGTGGTGGAACTGACATGATTTTCTCCTCTCTTCCCAAATACAGTGGATCCTTGAACGACGTGGGGGTTAGGAGTGCCGACTCCTCATGCAGTCAAAAACCCATGTATGAGTTTTGACTCCTAAAAAACTTAACTACTAATAGCCTACTGTTGACTGGAAGTCTTATCAATAACAATCAATAACACATCTTTTGCATGTTGTGTGAATTATATACTGCATTCTTACAATAAAGGAAGCTAGAGAAAAGAAAATGTTATTAAGAAAATGGCATGGAAGGAAGAGTAAATACACTTACAGCACTGTATGTATTAATACTGTGAGTTTACATTGTCTGTTTACAAAATCAACCGTCTGTATCTGAAATGGATGGGCCATTGCAGCTGCAGACCTCAATCTACAGTACCTAGCAAGCAATTCATCTTTTTCTTGTAATATTATGACTTTTCTGTTTCTTGGGAACCATTCAGCATGGTTAGTGGTACTTCATATGGGTCCCACGGTGTTATTCGAGGTTCACAGTATTGCACTAAATCTGACGAAAAATATAAGAACTGCAAGAGATCGCTTTTGACTGCAATATGCAATTTTCTGGAGTGATGAACTGTTCAGGTGGGGATGATTAGTGTCACCCAGCATTTCAAGCCTACATTTGCACCAGCTGAGCTCACCACAGTGGCAACAGGAGGCAGCTATGAAGTCACTACAGGAGTAGAGTATGTATCACAGTTGTTTTATACAGTTATGAATGAATGCTGCATCTTAGTCCTCTGGGTTTACTTCCTTGATAAATACATAACTCTGAAGTTTAGTTTTTCCAGAAATTACACCCAAGCACAAGGTGGTGAGGTGCAAGTCTGATAATGGGGAAATGGAAATTGGGGGACTTGAGCAGGACCCTGCCCTCATATCCCACTTGTGTCCCAGAAAACTTATTCCACTCCCCACCCCAAGCAGGAAACCGGAAGAGTCTTTTGGATCAATTGAACAGTACCATAGATACCTAGAGTCTGCCAACAAAAACATCACCCAAAAAGCTGGATCATTACAGCAAAGACACTAGTTTTAAAAGCCTCTGCTACACAGCTCCTGGTCAGCTTCTCAATGCTTCACTCTTAATGAGAATCAACAGTCAAGGATCATCAGGGCAGCTGAAAAAGGGTTCTGAATGGGAATGATGAAAATAAAACAAAACAAAAGCAAAACCCTTGGTGGAACAGAAACAACGCAGTGAACAGAAGAAAAACACAACAACAAAAACAAAAATCTACAATATAGTCAAAGGGAAGACAGTGCAACCAAAACAGAATGTGATAAACACGAAAATCAGAGGAAAAAACCCTTGAAACCAAACACAAGACAGCAAAACAAAGGAGTAGAGTTTGAAGATAAAACTGAAGAAATCCCTAGAAGATCATAACGATAAAAAAAAACCAGACAACAGGAGAGAAAAGTATTCATTCTAGGAACAAAAAGCACACAGGAGGGAAAACAACAATATAAAAAAATGGATCCAGAATTAAGGGAGTCAGGTGCCTGGGTTAAACTCTAAGTATCCAGTATAAAAAGTACAGTATAAAAGTATCCAGTATAAAAACTACAGGAAAAAGCAATCTAAAAATTTCCACAGAGGAGGAAAAAGGGCATATACAAATAATCAGAAATGGAAATGGCACCGGACACAGATAACACCACTGGGAGCTGAAGAACAATGCCTTCAGAAGTGGGAGGAGTGGAAAATTATTCTCAGTGTAGAATTCTCTTCCCAAACTATCCATCCAGTGAGAACAGCAAAAGATGTCAGATACTCAGGACTCAATTTTACCTTGCACTCATTCCTTCCCAGGAAGCTACTGAAGGATATGTTCCTCTAAAGCAAGGAAAGAAAGCTGTAAAGAAGATGACAGGATCCAGGAAACAAGACGCATGGGCCAGAATGACCATGCAAGGAGGCACCACACGGACAGCCCTGCAGCAGCTGCGGGAACACGTGCAAACGGGGGAGGGTGTGGGTGCCCACTGCCTCCATCTCCAGAGTCCAGCTCAGTGCTTGACACATCGAGTTCATAACAAGTGAGGTCTTTAAACAGAGCAAGTATGGAGAAATTGTTGAATGACATCCATACAGAAGGAAACAGCTGATGATGACAGACACGATATGTTACACATGGTAAACGGCATACAAGGATAAGGCTGGGCTCCTCTGGCCAGGATGTGTTTTAAAACGCAAAAATCAGCAGCATATTTAAAGAGAAAATATATACTACTCTGGAGAGATGATATAGTGGTCACCTTTTTTTTACTCCCTAGACCAAATGTGACTGCACACTTTATTCCTGGCCGTCCATACCCCACACAGGGAGGGCGGGCCCCCACGGGAGGCCTCTACATGACTGACTACTTCTCACACACCCACTAGGACAACACATCCCCACACATTTTCAGGAATCCATTTCACAAAGTGTTTTAGAAGCTGCCTACGGTTGTTACTTTCACAGAGTGTGTGTGCTAAGGGGGTGAACATGGAGAAAAGTATTGACTAAACAGGCTGGTAGAAGCTGTAAAACAGACTGAGGGTTTTAAACTACAGTGAAAGTTGCTGTAAGTACCTTCCGGCTAAACTCTACAAGTTTGAAATAAATGTGTTACATATATATATAATTTTTTTTTTTTTTTGAGACAGGGTCTCCTTCTGTCATCCAGGCTGGAGTGCAGTGGTGTGATCTCAGCTCACTGCAACCTCCACCTCCCAGGGAGCTGGAACTATAAGCATACACCACCACATACAGCTAATTTTTGTATTTTTTTGTAGAGATGGGGTTTCACCAGGTTGCCCAGGCTGGTCTTGAACTCCTGGGATCAAGCAATCTGCTTGCCTCGGCCTCCCAAAGCCCTGGGATTACAGACGTGAGCCACCCAGCCCGGCCATTTTCTTTTTTTAATGAAAAAGAAATCTGTTGTAAGATAAAAAGGTGTGTGTGAGTGGTGCACATGCACATGCTTGGGGGAGGGAGCACCTGAGAGAAAGTGAACTTAAAATAAAGCCAAGTCTACGCCCAGACTGGCTGGTGGCCCCTGCTCTGTCCCAGAGGAGTTACTTTTATTAATTTATTATTTATTAATGTTGCTACGGTATATAAACAATTCAGACAGAGAAGTTCCTACCTGACAGACTGGGTGGAACACATACCTGTAATGATCTTTAAAAAAATCTAAACTCACGTCAAGGAAATAGCTCTCCCTTTCTAAAAGAGGGTGATGCGGGTTTAAGCAACAGGTGAGCAGACACTCTGTCGCAGGTAAGGACGAGTACCTCCACCTTAACCAAGACCTGCCCAAATGGGCTTCGGGTGGTGCCCTTCAGCCAATTTCTGTACAAAGCCTTGTCATAAATGGCTTTGGTGTAGAGGTAGGGAAACATTTTCTTGTTACCCTCAGCGTGTGGAATGGGAGATGGAGAGGCAGAAATCAAATATGCTGTCTTTAGAGCTCTTTAAGAACAGGAAATGTGAAATATAATGCAAAGCAAAAATGTCAATGAGATATTAAAGCCAGGTTAGGAAAGAAATTCATACATCATCTGTGATTTCTGAATGGAGCAGGAAGGAAAACCTAGGGAAGCCCTGACGGGCCCCACCAGGCTCCAGGGCCATGGGACCTCCAGGCCAGCCCTTGCTCTGAGTGTGAACAACCTCCATGGAGCACCCTCCATCCTCCTTCCCTGTGAACACTCTCCATGGAGCACCCTCCATCCTCCTTCCCTGTGAACGCCCTCCATGGAGCACCCTCCATCCCCCTTCCCTGTGAACGCCCTCCATGGAGCACCCTCCATCCCCCTTCCCCGCCTTCCCAGGTAGCCCTCCCATGTGACCACATCAAGAGATCTCAGTGCTTCTGGATGGAATCTTTGCCTCTGTGGCAAGGCGGCCATTTGTACTGAACTTTTGAATCCCCTGCAATGTTCTCCTCGAAATATCTTTTTTTTTTTTTTTTTTTTTTAACCTCACCAAGTTTCCAGTTTCTCTGCTGTGATTTGGGTTTTCCCTACTTCCTACCTTTCATTTTTCTTTGAGGATGCGTATTTAAGAGGCATGCTGTGGGTGAGATGAAACTGAATCATTTTGCTCTAGGCACATCAAGGAGAAATGCTGGTCATTAAGCGTTTAACGCCTACATCTCCAACCATCTCCCTGCTTTCCCTCATATTATGGGCTACGTCACTGCTCACCACCAGAATGCCATTAAGTAGGAAACACGCAGGTAGCATTTAATTACTGAGCTCCAGGCAATTTCCTGCATTCAACAGGAAATTGTTGAAGTCCCTGACCCTTAAGTAGTATAGTCAGGCCAGGCATGGTGGCTCATGCCTGCAACCCCAGGAGTTCCAGACCAGTCTGGGCAACATGGTGAAACCTTGTCTCTACCAAAAAAAAAAAAAAAAAAAAAAAATAGCCAGGGGTGGTGGCACATGCCTGAGGTCCCAGCTACTTCAGAGGCTGAGGTGGGAGAATCAATTGAGTCTGGGAGGCGGAGGTTGCAGTGAGCCGAGATCGTGCCACTGCACTCCAGCCTGGGTGACAAAGTGAGACCCTGTCTCAAATAAATAAATAAATAAATAAATAAATAAATAAAACGTATAGTCACATGACTAAATTGCAATTTTCTTGTAACAGAAATAAGGCTACTATTTCTCTGGAAGAAAGTTTAGAATATAACAATTTCAAGAATAAAGCTGTAAGACCTTGGACAAGCTACTTGAATTGATCAAGTCTCAAGTTTTCTCATTTATAAAATGACTGGGCTGGGCAAGGTGGCTCACACCTGTAACCTCAGCACTTTGTGGGGCTGAGGCGGGAGGACTGCTTGAGCCCAGGGATTCAAGATGAGCTTGGGCAACATGGTGAAATCCTATCTCTACAAATAATTAAAAAATTAGCCAGAGGTGGTGGCACATGCCTGTGGTCCCAGTTACTCAGGAGGCTGAGGGGGGAGGATCACGAGCCTGGGAGGTCGAGGCTGCAGTGAGCCATGATCGCACTACTGCACTCCAGCCTAGGTGACAGTGCAAGACCCTGTCAAACAAAAACAAAAACAAAAACAAAAACAAAAACAAAAACAGACAAAAAACACAAAAAAGTGACTGCATTGTACTAGACAGAGGATCCGTCAAGGTAAAGAATTCAAAGATCTTATGTGACCATGTCAGAACGAGTCACAAATCCTCTGAAGCCCAGCTCTGACATTCTTCTGCCCACCTACTCCTGCTATGGCTGAAGCTGCAGCAATATCTTCATTGACTGAAACTATATTTGAAGCATTAAAGGGCAATAACACGTCCCTATTAACTGTTTCTATCCTGTGAAACTTAATCTCCAACTCCTCTATAAAATTAGTTATAAATACGAGATTCTTAACAGTTCATTTTAGTAACTCCAGGAATAAAGTAATGACATTTTTGTTATAAAGAATATTTTGGGCCGGGCCAGTGGCTCACGCCTGTAATCCCAGCACTTTGGGAGGCCGAGGCAGGCAGATCACTTGAGGTCAGGAGTTCGAGACAAGCCTGGCCAATGTGGTGAAACACTGTTTCTATTAAAATTACAAAAATTAGCCAGGCATGGTGGCGTGTGCCTGTAGTCCCAGCTACTCGGGAGGGTGAGGTGGGAGAATCGCTTGAACCTGGGAAGCGGAGGGTGCAGTGAGCCCAGATGGCACTACTGCACTCCAGCCTGGGCAACAGAGCAGGACTCCATCTCAAAAAAGAAAACAAACAAACAAACAAACAAACAAAACTCCAGAATATTTTGATAGTACCAAATTCAAAGTTTAAGAGGATTTTATTATAAGGTATTTCAATAATCTATAATTTGGCACATCACCTAGAAGAATATTATAAAACAGAAAGTTAGAAGTACTGCAGAAGAAAACACAACTCAATCTAGACAGGTTAACTTAATACTCACAAGAGTATTCCTTGCTTAAAAAAAACTCAGCAAAGAAACCTTCTTAAGATGCTTATAGTGGCACTGATGACTTCATTTAATTTCCACTGTCCATGAAACAACCCTTAATCTTTGTTATAAAAAGTGCCTCCATATCCTTCAACTCCAGCAAAGCCATCTCCCTTCCTGTGAGATGTTTCAGGGCTCTGCGTCATTCTCCAGTGAATCTGAGAGGGGCTAATACCAAGGTCACGCTATTCCCAGGAACTTCTAGCCCAGCTGGGAATAACCATCAACTACCCATATCTAATCTTTGGTTAACAAATACCTTCCACAGTCTTCATTAGCAAATGTCCTTCTTGTCCGCTGCAAGGAGAGCCAACATTCTCATTAAGTCCTCGTTCTTCCTGTTAACTGTTTACATGACTGTCCTTCAGCACGTACACGGTTCAGCCTCAGCTACAGACCATCACTGCTACAGAGCGACAACTTCCCATTCGGACTTAGGCAGCGTTTCAGTTCATTACAGAGAAGTGGTTTTCTCACCCTTTTGTCCTGAAAAGTGGTTCAAAGAAAGTAAGCGTTGTCTAAATGTCAAGAGACCGTAACTGCTGGTAGCCAGTCACGAGTTTTAAACATTTAAATTACATTCTCATATGCTTCCAGGTAGGCTCCACGGGTAACTTACTGTCCCAAGCAGGACCTTGTGAGATGAAAGAGTGGGTCTGTTAATAATCAGGCCGAGACCACCAGCATAAACGGTGGCGGTCCAGACTCTCAGGACGCATGGTTATCCCACTGTCCCTGCTAGGTCTTTCCTAATTAGTTTTGTGTAGGCTTTGCCAATTTTCATCTAATTAAGTTCAAGGATTACGTTTTGTGTTTTAAAAACTGAAATTGTCATGGAAATTAAGCTGGGACTTTAGTGGTTAAAAAAAAAAAGAGAATTATTATGAATGAGTCCTGAATGGTTACTAATTCTGAAACCTAAACACCTTTTAGAGAAGCCTGACTCATTTCAAAATAATTTTGAGAATTAAGCTTAGCAAAGTAAAACAAAAGCTGTTGCTAGTAATTCAAGGCTTCTGCATAAGACTATAAGTAAAGCGATAAAACTGAAACAATATATTTTGCAACTGAACATTCCATGTCTACATCATCAGCAGAGACTGTGGTAGGAGACCCTTATCTGCAGTCCGAAAACTATCTAAACTCCCATGTCTTCCCTTCACAAACATCTGATCTGGGGCAATCAGTTGAATGCACCAGGCATCGCCTTAACAAAAAAAAAATGAAGTGGCAGACGTGGCAGCATGATGCAGGATGAATACATGCAGAACCATCTTTAAACAGATGAGGTCCTGTGCACACACGGCACTCAATATTTACTGAACGCTCCCGTGAAAGGCGCCGTACCAGGCAGTGAAAGCCCAAATGTCACGTACAGAGAAGAAACAAGCGCGAACACAAGATCGAGCCGGCGAGCGTGGCGGGCGAAAGAGTCCCAGCCCGGGCCTGCCACGAAGCGGCCACCAGGCTTCTCTCCCAAGGTGTTTCTAAACCCGGCCCACCCAGCACCAGGTATGGCCCTCTGGCCTCCACGCCCGTGCTCTCTCAGCACCCTCTCCACTCCAGTCAACACGGACCACACACCAGCGTCACACGTGACCCAACATGTCTCTACGAGAACGTGATATAAGCTCTAGTCTAGGGGACTGCCAAAGCACAAACTAAATCAAAAATAAAATTAAAAACAAACTTACAGGGACAAGGTGGATGTAAGCCAGAAGGGATGGAGCTCGGGGGGACCAGGACGTGCCACACAGGCCCAGTGCAGCCGGGTTTAAAGGGAAGCTAGAAATCCAGCTGTTCTGTGTCAAGTCTAACTGAAGTGCTGGCAACCAGTTCAAGTGAGAGAGAAAGGGAAAGGGACAGAGAAAAGGAAAAGAGAGAAAAAAGAAATACAAGCCAAAGTATATCTGTGGGTCAAATATGACCTACAGATTCACCTCCTTCTAGGATATTTTTCATCTACACCTGACTTTTTGTAGAATCTTATTCGACATAAAGACATTCAACGCCGTGTTAACGTATAGCATTTAATGAAGAAATGTCTTACTTAAAAAACCCAACCACCCCCACCACCGCCTAAAGACTCCAGCGGCGCTGGGACAGTGGAGGCCTGGTGAGTGGGGACAGCACAGTGGCGCTGTGGGCGGGGAGCAAGGGTTCCCGCAGCCCAGCTCCACCACTTGAGTCCTCGGAGGAAGAGCAACTGCTCTAGAAGCCCTGGGGTCCCAACCCAGCTTTGGGTCATGCGTTACACTCAGAACTGTCAGTGTTTCTGTCATTACACAGTGTTGAGTGCGGTGGGGTTAAATGCCACAGGTTTGGACCCTAGGTTTTGAGCACGACCCCTGTGAGGCTGAAGACTCCACGTCTGCCATCTCCAGTTCATATGAAGTCTGAGGGGGGACTCTCACTTCACAGCTACCTCACAAAGGCACCATTCTGAAAGTTTTCTTTCAAAAAAGAGGGTAAGAAAAACACTGGAGAGGGGACTGAGGGAAGAAGAGGGAGTGGGTTTGTTTTTCTGGGGAAGGGTGGGTGGGGAAGGGAAGCTAGTAAAGCTTTAAATTCCATAGTGTCAAATTCCCAGGGAAGCAATATGAACAGTTTTCAGAGCATAGGCAACCAACAAAAGCAATCCCACGGAGAAGTGACAGGCTTTTCAACCCTTGGGGCTGGAACAACTGGACATCCAAATGCAGGAAGATGAAACGAGACACAGACCTTACCCTTCACAGGATCACAGGCCTAAATGCAAAAGGCAAAACTGCAAAACTCCTAAAGAAAACAGAGGAGAAAATCTAGACAACCTTGGGTTTGGTGATGACTTTCTAGACACAACACCAAAGACACACTCCATGTAAGAATTGATAAACTGGACTTAATTAAAGTTAAAAACTTCTGCTCTGCAAAAGACACTGCCAAGAGAATAAGACAAGTCACAGACTGAAAGAAAATATTCACAGACTTATAAGACTTATCTAAAATATACAAAGAATTTCTAAACTCAAAAATAGGAAAACAACCCAATTAAAAAGTAGCCAAAGGCTTTAACAAGCACCTTGCCGAAGTTACACAGATGGTAGAAAAAAGCATGTGAAAGTCATCATATGTCATCAGGGAGATGCAAATTCAAACAACGAGATGCCACGACACACCTAGTAGAAGGGCCGAGAGGAGCGACGCGAAATGCTGGTGAGGACATGGAACAAGAGGGACTCTCGCTCACTGCCGGGGAGAATGCAAAATGCTACAGGCACTTAGGAAGACAGTTTGGCAGTTTCCTACAAAACTAAACATACTCTTATAGGATCCAACAAGTGAGCTCCTTGGTATTTACCCAAAAGAGCTGAAAAGTTAGTGTCCACACAAAAATCTGCATATGGGCGTTTCCAGCACTTTTGTTCATAATTGCCAAAACTCAGAAGCAACCAAGATATCCTTCAGTTGGTGAATGAATAAACTGTGGCACATTCAGATAATGGAATACTATTCAGCATTTTTAAAAAATGAACTATCAAATCATGAAAAGACACGGAAGAAAGTTAAATGCATGTTACTAAGTAAAAGAAGCCAAACTGAAAAGGCTACATACTGTACGATTCCAACTATATAACACTGTAAAACAAAACAAGGCAAAACTATGAAGACAGTAAAAAGATGAGTGGTTGCCAGGGGTTACAGGGGAAGGAAGGATGACCAGGCAGATCACAGAGGATTTTTAGGACAGTGAACTGTTCTGTATGATACATATATGAGGGTATCTGTCATAAACTTGTTTAAACCCACAGAATGTTCAACACCAAGAGTGACTCCTATTGTAAACTGTGGACTTCGGGTGATAATGATATGTCACTGTAGGTTCACCAATTGTAACAAAGGTACCACCACTCTGGTACAAGGTGTCCATATTGGGGGAGACTGTGCACGTGTAGGGGCAGGCGCCACTTGGGAAATCTCTGCACATTCCACTCAATTTCGCTGTGAACCTAAAGCTCCTCCAAAAAACTTAATTTTTTTTTAAAGCAACCTATTAGGGAAAAAACATCCTCAAATTATCTATGTTAAGTAGATTGTAGGGGAAACTGGTAGTACTTTTTCTCTGGCTTCTCATTTATAATAAATTCATTCATTTTCCTTCCTTCATCCATCTATCTACTCACTGCTCTAAGCAAAAAAAAAAAATTTACAGAAATATATAAAATACACTAAACTTCAGATCCTTTGTGGAAAGAGGTAGGTGGAAATAAAATGCAAGTAATTAATAATTAACAATGAGTAGGATTGTTTGTTCTTTAACACAGTATTCTAAACTAAAAAGCCCTATACAAAAAGAAGAGAGAAATATTTTTAAGCATCTGCTATGAGATACCATACTTCTCTCTCTCTCAACACACTCATTTAATCCTCACAATTTTAAACTCCTTGAGAGCAAAACTCATTTTGTTCTAGGTGCCAAGCACTGAGTAATTGCCCTCTAAGTACTTGCTGAATAAATGAATGAGTAGATACTGTATCTCGTTTACAGGTAAGGACAAAAAGATTAATCACAGACAACAATGTAAGTGGCTCCTGTCAATACGTAAACATTACAACAGAAGAGACGTGTCATGCCCAATAAACAAGAGCTAAGAGAACACACACTCTGCACAGGGCCTTTGCCTGCTCAGAAAAGACATCCCCATCCCTACCCCCACCTCCTACCCCTCAGATTCCCAGACAGCCAGGCAGGGGTCTGGGGCAGACCAGCCAAGGCAAGACAGCCAACCTTAACCCCAACTCCCCCCACTCCCAAACAATATGGCAACAAGAGCTAAGACAAGGGGACTTTCAAATACAGAAGATCAATATCTTCAGAAATACGAGAGGAAAAGCATCCTTCAAAGAGGATCAACTAGAATTCTCAGAATTCAGAGTTCTAAACGCCTCCCTCGTGGCTCCACAGAGGTGCCTTGAAGGCAGGTCTCACAGCACACAGCAGAGCCTGGCATTGATGTATTCCCTTAATAAACATTTATCCAAAGGTTAAGATGTCATAGCTGAAAGTAATCATCCTACATGTATTTCCAAAATAACCTACCTCCCTGCACAATCATTCAACTATCCTTTTAGCTAAACTCTAGGCAACATGTTTAAACTGTCAGCCAGCCCTTTCACCCTTCAGAGGCACCCAATTTTAAAAAATGCTTATTACCACTCCTCTCCCATTGAAGTGAAATAATTTATGTGATTTTATATAATAACATTAACAACTAACATCTCTCGGAAGCTATACCAAGGACCTACCCTGTATGCACTGGTGTAATCCGACGAGGTAGCTCTGTTACTGTGCACGTTTTACTTTCAGGGATACTCTAGTTTGTGCGTTCAGCAACTTGCTCACACCCCGCAGCCACTGCACACAGCAAAGCCGAGGTTGGCTCTCAGCTCTCTCTCGGGCTGGTTCTTGACAAGACAACTAGAAATGCCTGTCCGGCAAGCAGGCAACAAACAAGGAGTGTGTCAGACGGGGATGAGAGCTTTGGAGAACCACGAAGCTGGGGAGACAGCAGCGAGGGCAGGGCTGCAGCATCATATCCTTGGGTCAGGGAAGGCCTCTCCAGCAGGGAAAACCTGAGGGAGACCAGACAGCAGTGAGGGGGCCAGGGAAGCTTTCCAGAGGGAATCAACCTTGGAGCAGACTGAAGAATACGCTGTGCTCTTTCAGAACATTCATTTCTTCCCCTGGGCAAGGGGCCACACCCTGGAGCACGGAGCAAGCATAAACGGCTGGGCCACCAGCCTGACCAGCTGCCCGGGAGCAGGCGAACGCTCCTTCCTCTCCAGCCGCAGTCACGCTGTGTGCATGCACATGTGCGTATTTTAATGGCGTCATCAGCAAGAAAGGTTTAAATGCTGGAAATGACTATTCACAGTTTCTGACCAAGTATGTTTACTCCATGGACCCAAATTTGGGTCAGATAATGCATAAGAGTAAAGAGAAGAGTGGGAAAGTCCTCTATTTAATGTGCACACAATACCAACACTCCTGGCACCGAGGAAGACACGCTGGGGATAGCACCATGCTCCACACCAGGAGAGTGTGCATCTTCACGCTCCTTCCTTGCCTGACAAAACCTGCTCTCTTGGCCATGGAGACCACTCTGACATCACTTCTGCTTGGTGAGCAGGTGGGGCACTGAGTCCCAGCAACAGAGGGCACCAGCAAGGGTAGGGCCATCAGCGTGGATTTCCACACCTCCCTCTACCACCTTCTTCCTCCATGTGCTCAGGGGCGGTCAGATGCCCTGGCCTTGGCCAAGCACCAGGGCAAAGTGGGATCCAAAGGCCACCAGCATCTTTTAAAAGTGAAAGTGACTCGAAAGCTTCAAGTAATTTTCTCTGTGCCCTCTTCATGTAGCTACGGAGCGCCTTCGGCAGGAAAGCCATCACTAGTGACAGTAGAGTTAAGTAATCTAAGAATGGGTAACTTCTGTTTTATTATTAACATTAACACATAGACCACCCACGTGCTACAAACTGAAAGAAAAGAAAAATTTCATTGGAGGTAAACCTGTCTCAACTAATTAAATGTCTCTACTCCTCTGCTTCTTTCTTAGCCTGTTTGTGTGTCCATGTGTACGCACACATTTTACATGGGTACCTCAACTGAGAAACATTTCAGTAGGCTAGGCAGCATTTTAAAGTATTTCAAAATGATATTTCACAATTGCATTTTCAATTGTAATTTCTAAACTAATTTTAGATCAGAATTACGTAGCCACAACAGCTATCCAGCCATTAATTTTGCCCTTATGTTCCTTGTTCTCTACTTGGTATTTTGCACCATTAAATAAAGCTACATAATAATCAGGTGCTGAACGGAAGAGGATGCGACAGCTGCTTCTGAACAGTGCAGTGGTCTTCAATCACTCACAACCAGAGCTTCCTACTCCTCCTAGAACAGATCTGCTGCATGCTACATGATCTCCAAGTCTCCACACAATTCCATTTTCTAATCTTGCCTCTATTTCTAAATTAAATCACAAACCCTGACTTTTTGTATGCATGGGTTGGGTTGGGAGAAGGGAGACAGGGAGAGCTGTGAAGGGTGGGAGGATAAACAGTGGCATCTCAAAAAGTCAAAATTCTACTTTCAAGAGTACACTTCTGATGCCAAGAAGATAAGATCTCATGCACTTCCTCCCCAGGTTTTGAACAGATTCCACAACATATGTCTTATAACAGACTGACTACAATGAAATAGAGGGATTCATGAATGAAAAGTAGTCTTACAAACCGCATTTCATAAGCTCGCCCATAACCCACGCGACTCTTAAAATGCCGTCAAGTAGAAACATTTACATCACTTACGATGAACTATTTTTAAACCTTCTTTATTATTATAAAACAATATATACTTATTATAAAATTCTGGAAACGGGAGGAATCACTCATAATCCTACTCTGACATTTGAAAAATATTCCTTCTAATGCAACATATTCACATATAAGATTACAAAACTAATTATACTTTGCAAACTATACAGTACTTACATACTCATATATCACACCTGAGCAATAATCATATTTTGGATCATCTTATTTTCCTGAAATAGTTAACAACATTAACTGCTAAATAAAACCAAGCTATCCTACTATTTGTGTCAGGATTTCAACCAAAGAAAAAGAGACATGAAAATTATAAGCTATAAGAACAACAAAAATTTCACAGATGTGAGAAAGTTTAAAGGCTAATGGTAAAGGTATAAGTCATGTGTCAACCGAAAGCTACAAACTTTTTATTACATTTTTTATTTAAAAGCTGGCCGGGTGTGGTGGCCCATGCCTCTAATCCCAGCACCTTGGGAGGCTGAGACGGGCAGATCATGAGGTCAGGAGATCGAAACCATACTAGCTAACACGGTGAAACCCTGTTTCTACTAAAAATACAAAAACAAAATTAACCGGGCGTGGTGGCGGGTGCCTGTAGTCCTAGCTACTCAGGAGGCTGAGGCGAGAGAATGGTGTGAACCTGGGAGGCGGAGCTTGCAGTGAGCCGAGATAGTGCCACTGCACTCCAGCTTGGGTGACAGCAAGACTCCGTCTCAAAAAAAAAAAAAAAAAACCCTGTCTCCAGGGAGGAGGTAATTGCAGGAGAGACTATCAAATAGATTCAAATTCCAGATACATAGTGTCGACACCCCAGTTAGTTAATATAAATTATATATAAATATTAAAAATGGACATACAAGACCAGGAGCAGTGGCTCATGCCTGTAATCCCAACACTTTGGGAGGCTGAGGCAGGTGAATCACTTGAGGTCAGGAGTTCGAGATCAGCTTGGCTAACGTGGTGAAACCCTGTCTCTACTAAAAATACAAAAATTAGCCAGGTGTAGTGGAGGGCGCCTGTAATTCCAGCTGAGGCGGAAGAATGACTTGAACCTGGGAGACAGAGTGAGCCAAGATCACAGCACTGTACTCCAGCGTGGGTGACAGAGCGAGAAGCAGTCTCAAAAAAAAAAAAAAAAACATATATGTAAAATAAGCATACCCTAACTAAACAATGTAATTCTCATGAGATCCATAAGTATAAATTACACTAGAAGAAATGAAAACATTTTTCTTTGCTGGCTCTTATTCAGGCACTTTCTGGTGTCCCATGCTGATGTGAAGGCCAGGTGTCAGAAGTGGGAAGGTTTACGGCATAACCCATGTTTACTGGCAGAAACCAGGAAAACTCAGAGAGGTAAAAAGAAACATTAAACCTATTCTGTCTACCTAGTGATAACCACTGTTATTATCTTAGGGTATAACTCATGTCAAACTAACTTGAGAGAAGCCACAGCACTGTAATGCCACCAAGCGGGATTACACCCCGAGATCCATGACTAGACTATAAACTATATACACTAGGAACCATATACACTATGCGAACTATAGGACGATTAGCCAACACCAGCAATAAAGCCACAATTTAAATGTAAATGCCCTGGCTTCAAATGTATTTGTCAAACATTCGATATAGGCTGGGCATGGTGGCTCATGCCTATAATCCCAGCACTTTGGGAGGTCAAGG
Source organism: Homo sapiens (assembly GCF_000001405.40). Classification (NCBI taxonomy): domain Eukaryota; kingdom Metazoa; phylum Chordata; class Mammalia; order Primates; family Hominidae; genus Homo; species Homo sapiens. The sequence goes on from NC_000015.10 coordinate 101,196,794, forward strand.
CAAGGGAACCGCTAGAGCTCAGGAGCTCGAGGACAGCCTAAGAAATATAGCAAGACCTCATTTGTATTTGAAAGAAAAAATAATTTTAAAAAAACCCTTCAATATACCACATTGGCTGTATGTGACCCCAGCAATTCAGTGAACTACTGGTACATTCCTAGAACAAAAAGGGGCAAAGCATGTTTAGTCTTAATTCTTTTATTCTTTGTTTACCTACTTCACAAGTATACATCTATACAGATACTCAAGAATCACAAATTTTGCTTGATTTCTTCCCAAAGAAAGTGGCATTATGCAATTTGAGATTTTCCGGCCAGGTGCGGTGGTACATGCCTGTAGTCCAAGCTACTCAGGAGGCTGAGGCAGGAGGATCACTTGAGCCCAGGAGTTCAAGGCCAGCCCCAACGGGTGGAAGGAGTGGGGAGAGGCAATGCCTGGCAATTTAAGATTCTTCCCTCAAATTATTGATATATTTGACTGGAAGCCCATTAATTATGTTCCTTATTTAAAGGTCACGTTAAGCTTTGGTAACTAATCACAAGACACTTCCATACCTGCCCAAATGTAAGTTTAATCACAAATGTATTCCCAAGCTCACCTGTTATGGCAGAGGAAGAACTAAAAGCCATATAACACAAATTTAAAGGAAGGAACCCTAAGGGAAACGTTTCCATCTGGACTGATCTGCTGGTTTATACTCTGAGAAGATTCCCAAGTCCTTGTATCTACGATTACAGCCAGAATGATTTTCTAGGAGAGACAAATTCAGGGCAAATATCTAAGGACACCCCAAATTACGGCATTTATATAATGTTAAATTATAAACAATTTATAATGTTAAATGATAAATTCCTTATATAATGTAAAGCTATAAATGTATATAATGTTAAATTACTATACAGCAAAACCAAAACTACAAATACAGGTGACCGATTCCTAAGAAGCCAGGATTCTTACGAATGGAAATACTTGTTAGAAGCCTATTTGAATCTCAAATTAGGAGCTTTTAAACCTAAAAGTCAATTAAACTACATTGTGCAATAGCATTTCTTAAACATCTGACCTTGGTATACGCTAAGAATTCCGCGAGTGGTATTTGGACGCCTTATATCTGAAACCTGAGAAACAAAAACCCAGTCCACCAAAGAGAGGAAAGCCTGCTGGGGACTCACTTTGGGATGTAAGGATTTGTTTCCGTCACGTCGCACAGACTGCGACCTCATCGCCAATGTATCTGTCCCCCTTCCCCTGTGGTGACAGACTGTGGTCTGACTCCGGCTATCGGGCCTTCTGTCCAGTTAGGTGTGAACCAAGACCCCCCCAAGCAGAGTGTGAGTGAGAGACCCGCTCCCCTTTTGGCTTGTGCTTAAGACCTGGCTCTGAGCTCTGTGTCTCCAGGCTCTTTCCTCTCCTGCAGCTGTCTGTCACCTAAGCACAGCAGCCACGCTACTGACCGGTGAAGGACAATGCCACAGGAGACGGCAGTAAAGCAAAATGGAAGACCCTGGACCCCTCAATGACAAGGAACACAGTCCCCCGAAATCCTGGAAAAGCCATCCCGTTACTGGACAGAGAAATTAACATCTGTCTCTGCTGCGTCCTCTCGGGTGTCTGTGACGGTGGTTTGGCCCTCTCGTAAGTCTTAAGTTGGCTACTACATTAAACACGGGAACCCATGAACGAACTATGATTTAAAAGCCAGTTTTCAGAGTCACCGCTCACAAAAAACACATCAGTAACTTCTACTTTCCGAGTGGCATTTTACAGATTATCTCATGTCATCGCATGCCAGGCACAGGTTTTACAGGTACTGCTCCCATCTCACTGCGGAGAAAGCGTACTTTCAAAAACTGGATAACTTGAGAGGAAACAGCAGTCGTAGTACCAGGCCCAAAACAGAAACACTTACATCTGTAACTCAGGGCAGGGGTCGGCACACTACGGCCCACTGGCCAAAATCCCCCATTAAAACTTCTACTGGGACACAGTTACACTCACTTTTGTTACTGTCTACAGCTGTTTTTGCATTACAGTGGCTAAGCTGAGCAGCTGGGAGCGAGATCCCACGGCCTGCAAAAACCCTAAAACATTTACCCGCCAACCCTTTACACAGCACAAAGAGTCTGCTGGCTGTGATCCAGAGCCTTCACCTTTATGCTGGAGCCCCACTTACTGGAGGTAAACCAGGCACGTGCAGACTTCGCCTAAAGAAACTCATTCCTAAGTGTGGCATCCTCCTAAGCAGTTTGCCTTCCCATCTACCACTGAGCTGCTCCCTGCTCCCACTGCTGCTGCCCAAACCACATGCCTGACCTGTGCCCTGCTGTGTTTTCCTGACACCAAGACACTCTGTTACATTTGTGGACACTGCGCCTCCAGCTTCCTACCTTTTCAATTCTAACAGAACTCCTTCAAAAAACATCACTGCGGCCGGGCGCAGTGGCTCATGCCTGTAATCCCTGCACTTTGGGAGGCCGAGGTGGGTGGATCATGAGGTCAGGAGATGGAGACCATCCTGGCTAACATGGTGAAACTCCGTCTCTACTAAAAATACAAAAAATTAGCCGGGCGTGGTAGCACGCGCCTGTAGTTCCAGCTACTCAGGAGACTGAGGCAGGAGAATCGCTTGAACCCAGGAGGCGGAAGTTGCAGTGAGCCGAGATTGTGCTACTGCACTCCAGCCTGGGCGGCAGGGTGAGACTCCGTCTCAAAAACAAACAAACGAACAAACAAAAAACACATCATTTCAGATGAAACAGTTCTGGAGACTGGTTGCGCAACTTACATACTTAAATGACTGAACTGTGTATTTAGATGTGACATGTATTTTACCAGTTAAAAACAGATTTTCTGAAAAGCAACTTCAAAAATAAAATTTTGTGGAAATTCTGTAAAAAATAAACATGTTTTATTCAAGTTAGATGAAAAACCTGGAAGTGGCAATGCTGGACAGGAAACACGACGCACCAGATTCTGTGTGGCTCTGCAGTTATAGATTCAGTCTACTTCGGTTTTGTGCATAAAAGGCAGTTTCAAGAAACTAAAAACAGACATAGCACTCCCCAAAATAGAACCCCCAAAACCACGAACAGCAGCGTATGTTCATTTGATCCCTGTGTCTAACAGCATTACAGCTGCATCAGCAACTGGAGACAAGTGAGTCACAAAAGCCCTCTGAAGCATCGTTCTGAATAAGATACAAGAAAAAGTGACTCACACAATTCGTTTCACGCAACCAATGTTTTGTGAATACTCACTATATGCCCGGTACTGTGGCAGTTATCCAATATTCTACAACATAAAATAAATACCTCATTCCAAATATCCCTTATCATCCGGGAACTAAGATGACATTCTAGGTTGAATAAGACGAAATGCTGTCACCATATGTTGTCATTTCATGAGCCAGTTTACTTCCAGAATAACTTTTTTGATTTTCATTTTAAAGAGTATCCACGTAAAAAATAAGAGACGCCTTTACGCAAAAATGCCATCTATCGACAAAATTATTCAGGTTTGCAGTCCTACTGCATTTCACATGACGGGTAAACACAACGCGAAGAAGACACGGGCTGGAGCCTGGCCTGCTTCTCACAGGCTGTGTCCTCGAGCAAGTCTCCTGACTAATTTGGTCCCAGTTTGTCTCCTGCCTGGTTTGGACCAGAAAAGTCACAAAAGTCTTTTCTGGGGTTACAATTCAGGGCAAACTAACAGTACAAACAAGGTTAGGAGAATTGTTCAAGAACTGTTCTTAAGTACCATGAAAGATGCACTGACTAAGAACACCTGCCAGCCCCTGCACCCCCAGATGGGTCAGGGACCAGACTCTTCCAGATGCAGCTCCCGAGTCTCTCCGATGTACCCACTCTTCTGCAGCCCGCAAGCAAGCCTCTCAGCTATGATTCTCTTCATTTCTTACCTGGCTGTTGCAGAAATCTCTTAGGTCTCCTCTGCCCCAGCCTCACCTTGCTCTGAACCTGTCGGGGTGGTCTTTCAATATGGAACCCTGGTCATGTTGCTTGCTGGGAATAATTCGACCCACCCCAACTGCTCTGCATACCCCTTAGGTCTCCTCACATTCCAGCCACCCCTCCTCCCTCTGCCAGGTCTCATGTTGCCAGGCCACAGTTCTGTGGATGAGGCAGGAGGTTCTCCCTCGCCATGTGTGCGAAGTCAGCCACCCTGGGTAAATCCTGTCCCCCTTCCCTGCCTGAGCCAGGGTCTGTGGGAGCCTGTACACCTTCTGAAACACAATATCCAATATCCCACTGCCCACTGCCCTCCCAGGGCAACCCAGAGTGTGTCTATAGGTGGGGGCGGTGCGGGGGGAGGTGGTCGGGGGTGGCGGGGCAAGCCAGAGAGAGAATGTGAAATCTCCTTTAATTCCTCTTAGAGAACAGTGATTCCCCACAAATGGGTATAGAGTAGAATCATCTGAGATTGTAATGCATGTCTGGCAAAAATCCACTACATAAAGAAAATAATGAATAATGAGGCTGGTGGTTAAAGAAGGAGTTGCCTATTACTCCCCCGACCCTCAGCCTTCCGTGAATATCAACGTTAAGGCATCCTGGCAGGAGGAACCACCAAACGTCCTATAGAACAAGGTGGGGACGAGTGAGCAGAAGAGAAAGGCTCACATGAGAAAGATGCCTAAGAACAAGGAGGAAGCCAATGAGCCCGCCCAGCCTAACTCCTTCCCATCCTTCTGGGGCTGGTCTGACCCATCTGATTGGTGGAGCGGCAGGGCTGCCTTTCCAGCAGGCGGTTGGGCAGTGGGGTGGGAGGAGAGGAGGCAGGAAGACTCCAAGAGGAGTTAAATCTTAGCTAGGGCTGCAGCTGTGAGTCACTGGATGGCAGGATGACAGAGGTTGCAAGTACCAGCAGCAGGGAAGAAACACAGACAGGCGTTCCCTGGCAGCTCTGGTGGCCCTGGGCTGGTAGGGGCTGCCCTTCTTTCATTCCAGCCAGTGTTTCTTAGAGAGATCAGCCTAACCAGATGGAAAGGAAGGCTGTTACCTTCCACCTTTCCTGAACTGTGTTCAAAGAGAACTGGAGGCTGCCTTCATGTTCTCCCAGTAGGTGTCCAGGAGGGGGTTAGAAGGAATCTCAGGCCAGCAGCAAGCCAGCCAGGGAAGGGCCCACTACAGCAGCTAAGGAGGACAACCCTCAGCCCTCAACACACTTCAGCTTTCAATCGGGGCTAAATTATGGGACAGACTGCATTCCATGAGCTTTAGCAATTTCAGAAGCTGCTGATGACAAGCTCTGGTCCTATCAAGCTTGCCAGGGTGGAAGCAGCAGGAGGGGCAGTGGGATGTCAGACACAGCAGAGGCTGCAGGGAAGGATGGAGGGCATTTCTGCAGGGGGGGCAGTGGGATCTCAGACACAGCAGAGGCTGCAGGGGAGGATGGAGGGCATTTCTGCAGGAGGGGCAGTGGGATCTCAGACACAGCAGAGGCTGCAGGGGAGGATGGAGGGCATTTCTGCAGGGGGGGCAGTGGGATCTCAGACACAGCAGAGGCTGCAGGGGAGGATGGAGGGCATTTCTGCAGGAGGGGCAGTGGGATCTCAGACACAGCAGAGGCTGCAGGGGAGGATGGAGGGCATTTCTGCAGGAGGGGCAGTGGGATCTCAGACACAGCAGAGGCTGCAGGGAAGGATGGAGCGCATTTCTGCAGGAGGGGCAGTGGGATCTCAGACACAGCAGAGGCTGCAGGGAAGGATGGAGGGCATTTCTGCAGGGGGGGCAGTGGGATCTCAGACACAGCAGAGGCTGCAGGGGAGGATGGAGGGCATTTCTGCAGGAGGGGCAGTGGGATCTCAGACACAGCAGAGGCTGCAGGGGAGGATGGAGGGCATTTCTGACCCCTTGCAGCACTCACTGGTAAACATGGAATAAGGTGACTCTCATTTAGGATTTTTTTTAACTTTAAAAGGCTAACATATAAATAGTAGTTTGCAAATTTAGGGATTTTGGGAGAGGTGGTTAAGACTAAAAGATTATAAAATGAGGACTAATAACTTAAAAGCCATTATGTAATGGTAATCAAACAAGAAAAAAAATATTTTACCATCATGAACCAGCTATAATTTGGGGAGTATAACATGGTCTTTGGGTTTTATGCTGGATGTAGACCTAAATTCCACATTTCTTAAAATCCAATCTGCACTGCTATAGAGAGGTTACTTGTTTCCAGAGAAAAACATTACTAGTGCTGGTTAGCATATAAAAATAAAAATGTGACAATGGGATTCAGTAACGGCTATTTTCAAGTAAACAAACAAGAAAACAACCACAAATCAATTTTATTAACAACTGATTGCACCTAAAGCCAAGCTTTAAAGTAGAAATGCACTGGGTTGCAGAAACCACAAACCCCTGAAATAGGGGGGGTGAGGGAGTATAAAGGCAGCGTGGGCGCCCACAGCACAGCCAGTAGACCCTGTCCACAGTCCTGACAGGCATGGACCTTCTCCCTTTAGGCAGCCCACTCCACAGGTCAAGGCCACACATCCAAGTGTGCAGGAGGATAGAGGAAAAGAGACACACTAATTTCAATACAAAGGCTTCCCACAACTACAGTCATTCAAACTACTTCTAAGAATGGAGAAACAGAATTCTTCTAAGAATTACCAAAAGCCCCCATATACGGCTGCTCAACAATATCATCATTTGACAAACATCATTAATTCAAGTAAAAATCATGTGGATGATTAACTCATCATTAACTCAAGTAAAAATTAGTGGATGATGCTTACAGGAGGAATAGGATATCTCATGGCCTCAAAATATTTCCCTATAAGGTATTTATTAAATAACAAAGGCAAAAGTAGTGATTTTTACAGAGGAGAATCGTGGCAAGAGATCAAAGTTAACACTGCCTGTATGGATCATACACCGAAATCATGTGCTCCTGATGTGAGGCACTGAGGACACATCACGTAGCCTGGGGAAACATCAGATAAACCCAGACTGAAGGACAAATAACTACAAAATAACTCATCTGTACTTTTCAACAACGTCAAGGTCATGAACAGCAAAGACAAGGTCAAGGTTAAAGGGCACTTAAAGAGACATACCATATAAATGCTGCATGTGACCCTAGACTACACTCTGGAACACCTCAAGTTCTTTATTTTGCTATGAAGGACATTACTGGGACAACTGACAGAATATGACTAAACTCTGTAGATTACATAACTGTGCTGTATCAACGTTAATTTCCCTGATTTTGATTACTGCGTTGTGTTTATGTCAATGAATGACCTTGTTCTTAGGAAATACATACTGATTTAAGGGCAAAAAGAGCATTATATCTGCAACTTCCAAATGGTTCAGAAAAAACTAATGTAGGCCGGGCACAGTGGCTCACACCTGTAAATCCCAGCATTTTAGGAGGCCGAGGTGGGTGGATCAGCTGAGGTCAGGAGTTCGAGACTAGCCTGGCCAATATGGCGAAACCCCATCTCTACTAAAAATACAAAAATTAGCTGGGCGTGGTGGCGTGCACCTGTAATCCCAGCTACTCGGGAGGGTGAGGCAGGAGAATCACTTGAACCCGGGAGATGGAGGGTGCAGTGAGTCGAGATCGTGCCATTGCACTCTAGACTGGGCAGTAAGAGCGAAACTCCATCTCAAATAATAATAATAATAATAATAATAATAATAATAATGTACACTTATAGAGAAAATGATAAAGCTGATGTGGTAAATATTAATAATCAGGGAATTTGGGTGAAAGACTTATAGGAGTTTTCTATTAAGTTAAATTTTTTCAAAATAAAAATTGCCCCCCAAAAAACAGTGGTTAAAAATGACCATCCAGCTGGGCATGGTGGCTCACACCTGTAATCCCAGCACTTTGGGAGGCCAAGGTAGGCAGATCACTTGAGGACAGGGGTTCAAGACCAGCCTGACTGACATAATGAAACCCCATTTCTACTAAAACTACAAAAAATTAGCTGGGGATGGTGGCACACACCTATAATCCCAGCTGTTCAGGAGGCTGAGGCACAAGAATTGCTTGAACCCAGGAGCCGAAAGTTGCAGTGAGCCAAGGTCACACCACAGCATTCCAGCCTGGGCACTAGAACGAGACTCCATCCCCCCGCCACACACACAAAAAAGACCATCTGGCAGAGTTAAGAATACTGTCACTTGGCGAAGATCATAGTAACTAATTTTTCGCAATACTACATACTCTATCCACCAGCAAATCATGAAAGTATGGCTAACAGATTTCTAAACAGCTCTTTAACTACTCAGAGAGATTTTCAGAAGCATAAAGCAAGAAGTTTTTCCTCTGTAATCTATTTTTATTAAGCTTAAAGTTCTAATATTTTATCTTTTTTTTTCTTTTTTTAAAGTAATCAACATGGCAATACCTCATATGCTTGAGGTTTCCTGGACAAAACCCTATTACTATTTCTGTCTCTAATTCATCCTTTTTGCCTGCTGTGCTGTGGGCATGACATCAATTTATTATAACCAATAATTTCCAGTGCCTCCCAGTCACTAAATTGCCACCACACACACATGATTCAGAGGAAAGAAACTAGAACCAGCATACTCTTCAGTTGTTTAAGAAAAAGCCTGGTCTTTATATTTCCCCATTTATATAAACAAGCTAGTAATCAATTGACATAGACTCCACAATGTTTCCTGATAACTAGAGAAAACACACAGGTCTACCAGATGTTTATAGCTACTTGTGAAAAGACACATACCCAAACCTGAAGAGTACTGTGATCACAAAACTGAGCTTGATTTTTCTACTAACGACTATTAGTATTAGCAGCCTGACATTTAAACACACAAACCCATACATGCTTATTCTGCTCTAAGTGAAGAATTTTAATTTTGAAGATTGTTGGCCGGGCGTGGTGGCTCACACCTGTAATCCCAGTACTTTGGGAGGCTGAGGTGGGTGGATCACGAGATCAGGAGATCGAGACCATCCTGGATAAAACGGTGAAACCCCGTCTCTACTAAAAATACAAAAAATTAGCTGGGCGTGGTGGTGGGCGCCCGTAGTCCCAGCTACTCAGGGGGGCTGAGGCAGGAGAATGGCGTGAACCCAGGAGGCGGAGCTTGCAGTGAGCCGAGATAGCGCCACTACACTCCAGCCTGGGCGAAAGAGAGAGACTCCGTCTCAAAAAAAAAAAAAGAAGATTGTTTATTAATTTGCTCTACCCCATGATCCTGGTATGGTAGTGTTTTCTATTTCAAGTTCCTATAGACAGTAATACGCTCCATCACTAAGGCAGCAGGATTCCAGGACATTTGATTTTTGATATATGCTTCATAACGTTTGCAATACTAAATGAGAAGTTTAATTTCAAACTCCAATCTCTGTCTGCTCTCCTTTCTCTCCCCGGGTGAGCCTCTGAGGCGAGAGGTTTGATTCAGGAGATAAGACTAGGGCTGCACAGGCATGGTGTGCCTCGTGCGCCACGGAGTGAAACTAGACAGACAAGGGAAAACCCACCAGGTCTCGAGTCGGCAGGAGAACCAACGACCAGGTATTTGTTTCTAAAGACTCATATGATCCACTGAAGAGAACCACTGAGTCAGAGGCAGGGGTGGAGGTCGCAGTGAGGGAGGACATGGCACACTACCCACAGGCAGGGGTAGCAGCTCCCACTGTGGGGTTAGTCATCAGCTGGGGCTCTGAAGGCGGTGACGTGCTAAGTGACAGATCACCACCAAGATCCGTTTCCCATGAAAACACTTTGGAAAGAAGCTTTTATGTGGGCTCACTTTATACAAATAACACTTCAGAAAATAAACGAACACTCATTAAATTATGCACCAAAAGAAAGTAAACTGTGGAAGCTAGAAGAGACAGCAGTGTTAGATATTAATTAATAGGCTACAGAGAAGAAGAAATACATTTATCATCTGTGAGAAAACATGTAGGTTTGTCATTTTATTTTCCCTACACAGAAGCAGCCATAATGGCAGAGAGAGTGAACAAATATTCCCAGGGTTTTGGGGCACAGCCTAAAATAGTCCTCCAAAAAATACCAAATTTCTTTTCTCATTTTTAATCATAAAAATTCACACTAATTTGCAATGATACTCTAGGACACCCATGTTTATCTCATAAAAAAAGTCTCTCTCCCAGACCTCAGGTAAAATTAATGTTCTAGGAACGTATGCCACGCATTTCCACTGGCTATCCAGTACCACTCTCGCGTGTCAGCACATTCCAAAATTAGTTTAATTTAAAAGAAACAAGACCAAACAAAACAAAGCCAAAAGGAAACAAACAAAACCTAAAAGGGGAAAAATCCTACTAAGATAACTGAAACAAATATTGTCTAATATATTTCTCAGAAAGGGTCTACTCTTGACAAATGTTTTTTATATTAACACAGCATTTGCAGTCAAAAGAAAAATAAGCCACTCACTATCCAAAATGGGAATAAAAGTCTTTTCTTCTATACCTCATTTTTGGAAATAAAAAGTCTTTGGCTGAAAGCAAAGGAAAGAGTTACGTCCACATAACCCTTCAGAATGGGAAGAATCAGCGTCACCAAGTCTTCACTTCGCCAACTAACAACAGTATTTTAAAAATTGTTCATTCTGATTTTTAGAACCAACTCATGATGCTGGCTATCTGTGAACAACAATACCTTCTAGTATGTTATATAATATTTCATTTCAATGTTAACAGGATATTTTTCTTAAATTTCCAGGTGCCTCTCTCATATGCTCTGTATCTGTTAATTCATCAAACACTCAAGTGCCTCATATGTTAACCTCTAAATGGAATACAGAAATAATTAAGACAAGACCCAATCTACTAGAAAAAAAAAGTTGAATATTTGGCACAAATAAACACTCAAAGAAAATAGATCTTCCAGAATATACTATCCAAGCAAATATTCAGTCTTGCTAAATTTACCAACAGGTTTTTAAAATCCTCTGAGAATGAGGGCTGCGTTGCCATGTGACACAGGTAGTACCTGGAATCTAGTAACTAAAATTGAAAAGCTTATTTCAAGATGGAGTTAGGCTTCTTGCCCCTGCCCCACCCGTTGTCCTGAAGTAAAAAGCCACTAGTGGGGTCAAGCAAGATAGGGTCCCCAGATGGGGTGAGGGTGGGCTGGTGCAGTGGCCCAGCCTTGGGGCGTCAGGTAGGCCGCCAACCCTTGAGTTGAGTCACATAGGGAAGGCACCGGGAAGGAGGCATTGCAACAGAGGATTGCTCACTTACAGCGGAAACTGATGCAGTAAGTAAATGTGGCTGAGGCCAATGAGCAGCTAGATTTCTCAACTGTCAAATAAAGCAATTACAAATACAGAAAGGGAGAGAAGAGGAAGAACCCTTTGGGGTTGAAATGGGATTTGGAGTATCAGGGGGAACCCAAGGACACACACACACATGCACATTTTCCCCTGGTCAGCCCACTGCTCAGGAGTGGGCCAGCCAACACCCACAGCAACGAGCACACCCACAGTCTAGATCTTGGCTTCTAAATGTTTTCCACTAAAAAGAACCAGAGACTCTTCGAGAGATGGCAGACTGCAAGGCTAGGGCAGGGAAAAAATAACAGCCTGAAACATCTTAGTATGCCAGAAAGAAATTGCTCAAACAGTTATAGGGGCATATCAAAAAGATACAGAAGGCCAGTCATGGTGCCTCATGCCTGGAATCCCAGCACTTTGGGAACCCAAGGCGGGTGGATCATTTGAGGTCAGGAGTTCGAGACCAGCCTGACCAACATGGTGAAACCCCGTCTCTACTAAAAATACAAAAATTAGCCAGGTATGGTGGCGGACGCCTGTAATACCAACTACTCGGGAGGTAGAGGCATGAGAATTGCTTGAACCCAGGAGGCGGAGGTTGCAGTGAACCGAGATCGTGCCACTGCACTCCAGCCTGGGTGACAGAGCAAGGCTCCATCTCAAAAAAAAAAAAAAAAGAGATACAGAAGCCTGCAACAAACAGCAGCCACTGGACACGTCTAAGGTGATGTAAACATGGAAATGTATAATAATGGTAAGAGATTATAACTCATTAAATAAAATAGGAATACAAGAGTGTATACTCATACAAGCACACACATAAGTAAATGGGAAAAGGAACAAGCTTTTCCTTACTTTCAACTAATAAAAGTAGAAAGAATAACTGGATTAGAAAATCACCATTTAGCAACCATCACACTATTCATTTATTCTGCCAAGAAACATCAATTAATGCTAAAACTATTGGGGGTGGGAGTTTGATGAGGAACAGGATATTTACAGTCTCTCCACAATGACACTCACTAAATATAAAAAGACAGAGAGTAACTTTACAGTGGAGAAACCTGGCCAGGTTTTCCTAATCACTCTACCTTAGTTAAATGACCAAAGTTAATACTACCAATAACAGAGCAAACCAAAATCACAAACTGTTAGGATACAAAGAGAACACAGCAACGCTTCTGTAGTATCTGCACACTTGAACCTAATCATGAGAAAATAAATGCAAACTGATAAACATTCCACTGGTCTGTAAGCTCCAGAAGTGTCAAGGTCATAAAAATCAAGAAAAGGATGGAGACCTGTTTCAGACTGAAAGTGACTAAGGACATAATGCCAGTGTTCGTAAAATGCCATCCGTTTTAATAAAACTTCAACTTATACATAGACTTACGTAAGAAGAATAAAGCGATATATACCTGTATGCCGTGAAGCTTTTTGTTTTAAGGAAAAAGGGTTAAGTAAAAACCTTTATCACTGAGCTTCAGAGACTGGAAATTGTGATATGAATTCAATATTCCATGGGAAAAAAAAACCTGCTAAACAAAAATAACAAATAGCAGGATCAGTTGCTATGCAACAATAAGAAATGTTTGCATGAAGTCAGCAGAGGAGGAGAAAGGGCAGTAAAAATGAATCTTTCTATATTTTCTATGTTTAATTCTCAGGGCAGGTTATAAATAGTGAATCAGAAACTGTTCCAACAGACAGGTATTTTCTTAGAAGATACATAGTGGCATTCTTCAGTTTCTTAGTGTGGAAGATGTGAGGACAACACTATAAGCTAAAAAGAAATCTACTGGCATGTGACTGATCTGTACTGAATGACAACTGAAATGGCAAGTTCAACACAGAAAGTATACAAAAAGTATACAAGTGCCTTAAATTTTGTAATGAAGACTCTTTGAGGTTACTACAAGTTAGTGTCGTTAAAATACTGAGTAAGTTTCTTAAAGCACTTGTCTTCAACTCTTAGTCCGTTATTTCTCTTCCTGCCTACTGATTAACCTTGGTAAAACTTTCTGAATGTTTCTAGGAAAAAGCATGGAAAAGAAAAAAACAAAGTTCAAAAACAAGATCTGTAACCTTGGAATATGATTTGATTATAATCACTCACTAAACAGATTAGCCAGTACCTTTTATTGTCAGATTTTAAAAATACTTGGCCACAGGGAGTTAGTAAGGCCTATTATAGCCACAATTCTGCATAATGTGCAAAGCAAAAGTGCTTAGCAGAAAAAGAGGCTGAAGGCACCATCACACCTTAAACATAAACCTCTTAAGACTTTATCTTCCTGTCATTGCAAAAACCCTACATTTAATAGAAAAACTAATCCCCATTTAAACAACGTCTAGAAGAGATACAGAGACACTAGATGGATACTGGAAAAGTAATGCTTTGAATCTCAAATCCTATTTTCTTGAGTTTTAAAATTACAAATAGTTTTTTTTAGTCAAAGAAAACTAGAATCTAAGTTGTGATTTTAAAGAAATCATAATCAAGAAGACTGCGAAATGGAGGAAAGTGGAGGGAGAAAAGGAGAACTGCATCTTAAGAGCAGGGGTGGGCCAGAAATAGACCAAGTCTTAGAAAAATGAAGCAGCTGATTCAAAACTCAGCTCAATATCTGATTGGATTAAGGTTACGTGGTCCAACCTTAACTGTCTGCCAGAAGCAAAATTATATCCTCACTGGAGGACAGTAATCATATCCAAAGACATTCCAGTTTTTTTTAAATACAATGTTTGTGATTCAGTCAAAAGCTACTAAACATGCCAGCTGTTTAAGACCAAGTGACTGAAAACCAAGAAAAACAGACAAGAGAAACCTATACTTGTCAGATATGGGCTTTGAAATAATGTGATTAATATGTCCAGGAAACAGATGATAAGATGTAGAAGTTTAGCAGACAATATTAAACTATTAAAAATATCAAATGAAATAACTAAAATTAAAATACACAGCTAAAAGTTAAAATGCAATAGGTTTAGGCTGGGCACAGTGGCTCAGGCCTGTAATCCCAGCACTTGGGGAGGCTGAGGAGGGTGGATCACCTGAGGTCAGGAGTTCATGACCAGCCTGGCCAACATGATAAAGCCCTGTCTCTACTAAAAATACAAAAATTAGCCGGGCGTGGTGGCAGGCACCTCTAATCCCAGCTACCTGGGAGGCTGAGGCAGAAAAATCACTTGAACCTGGGAGATGGAGGTTGCAGTGAGCTGAGATTGCACCACTGCACTCCAGCCTGTGCGAAAGAGCGAGACTTAGTCTCAAAAAACAAACAAAGCACAATAGGTGTGATGGCAGATTAGATACAACTGAAGAGATATTAGTATAATGAAAGGTGTGTCAGACGGAAAAAATCCAGAGATCTTAGAGTGAAAAAGAATACTGAAAATAACATAAAACACGTATAGGACTCAGTGAAAATGTGTAATATATATGTAACTAGAGACCCAGAAACAGATGCAAAAATGGGACAGAAGCAATATTTATAAAAATAATGGCTGAGAAATTTCTAATACTGACGAAAGATGTAAACCCACAGATTTAAGAAGTTCAGTGAATCACAGCTGAATAAATACAAAGACAGTATAACTGGGCACATCATAATAGGACTACTCAAAATCAAAGAGAAAAAAAATTTCTATTATTTGACTATCAAGGGAGAAATAATCCTAAATACAGAGAAAAGATAAAATACCTTCAAAGAAAAAACAATACGACTTGAGAGGTGATTTCATCAGAAAATAACTGAAATCAGAAGGCAATGGAATGATATCTTCCAAGCGCTCAAGAATAGTAAGACGAACAAACAAACAAAAAACCCCTGCCAATCTGGAATTCTATACCTAGAAAATATATCATCCAAAAAAAAAAAAAAAGTAGGTGGCTTAAAGACAGGAGAACAACTTCAAGACTTGGGGTAGGCAAAAGTCATGGACAAAAGGTGTGAACAGACACTGCACAAAAGACAGGCACATGATCAATAAGCACATGGAAAGGCACTCAGTATCACTAGTCATAGGGAAAACGCAAACTGAAATCACAATGAAGTAAATGCACTACACACCCATCAGAATGTCTAAAACCATAAAAGACTGAGAATGCCAAACAATGATGAGGACATGAAATAACCAGAACTCTCATACGGTGCTGTTGGGAGTTAATAAGATACGGCTACTTTGGGGAAAAAACACATGGCAGTTTCTTATGAAATTAAGTATATACCTATCCTCTGACCGAGCAATTCCACTTCTAGGTATTTATTCAAAAAAATATTAAAAAATGTCCACAAACAAAATCTTGTTCAAGAGTAGTCAAAGCAACTTTGTTCATAATAGTAAAAAAACTAGAAATACTCCAGGTGAAGTTTACTAAGCAATAAAAAGGAATGAGCAACTGATACACACGACTGTATGGATGAGCCTCAGAAACATGCTCAAGTGAGAGAAGCCTTATACAAGAGTCCACACGTATGATTCCATTTATATTAAGTTAGAGGACAGAATCAATCTTTGGCAGAAGAAAATCACAACAGTGGTTGCCTTGAGCTGGGAGATTCATTGGGAAGGACAGGAGGAACTTTCTGAGGTAAATGTAATATACATCTTACAAGGAGTCTGGGTTACTACATGTGTATGCACTTATCAAAACTAGGTGAATGCAAGCTTAAGATTTGTGCATTTTGTTGAATATAAACATGATCTAAAAGAATAGCAAACTGTAAGTCAATATGCAACTCTAGGTAATAATAAACATGTAGAAAACACTTGAAGGAAAGTGTACCAATTAACTCTGAAATGCATCAAAATATAAGATGGTTGGACAGATATGTAATAAAGCAAGTATAATAAAGTATTACTGGTAGAATCCAGGTGGTAAGTATATAAATACTGACTGAAAACACTTTCAATTTAAAATTTTTTCATAAATATTGAATAAAAAATAGGAAGGTGAAATTAATACTTGACAAAAATGAAGAAATTATCAATAGAAAATCTATATTAAAGGAAATCTGAAAGAGTTAATTCTTCCGAAAAGAGGAAGAAATCCAGATGGAAGAACGGAGGTGTAGTAAGGAAAACAGAGTAAGAGGAAGGGCAACCATGAATATAAATCTAAATAAAAATCAACTGTATGGAACAGTGACAATGATGTCTTGTAGGAAACACACACACTTGACAACTATATCCTAAAAGGAGGGAGGACTTCATTGTGCTACAGTGTTGTAAAATCCTTGCATTTTTTCTGGGAAGTGATACTAGTTTATAGTCTTTAAAAAGTCAAAACTGCGTGAGGTAATCTCTAGAGCTTACCATTAGACAAATGGTAGAGGAAGGAAAAAAACAAAAAGCATCGAAACTGGAAAAAAAAATTAGAAGAGGCTGACCAATGGAAAACAAATAATAAGTACGGTACAATTAAACCCAAGTGCCAGTTATTATACTAAAAGTAAACAGACTGAATATTCTAAGATTATTCTCAAATTTAAAATAAGGAAATGTGCTACCTGACAAAATACTGCTGAAATCAGATAAATCCTGTTTATCAAATGTATTCCACACAATAGCTGACATAGAGACCCAAATGAACAAGCAAGTAGGATGGCATAAATTACGCTGAAGTCACTCAAACTATTCCAAAACACTACAGCAGCACAGCAGCACAAAATATGTCTTTGTGATTAATCACACCTTGAAGCAAGATGAAACAGAAGATACAGGTACGAAGAAAAGCAAACTCCCACATTACATATTTACATAGTTCCTACTGTGTGTAATTTCCTAGACTCGGTGTTTAAGTCTTACTCAATCATACCTGAAAAATCACGAGGCTTTTACTTTTCCTAATGCGGTTAAAACAAAAATACAAGAATGTGGCAAACTAGCCACTGTCTCATTTTCCCTCCAATGAAAACTGGCTCCTTCAACCTTAAACAGATAGCCCAGGCATGGAAAATTGGTTAAACGTGGGCCAGTCCCAAGTGACCTGGATCCATCACCTGTGGGGCTGGTGGGGCAAAAGCCTGTGAAATGGCATCTGGCCTTGTGCAGAGTCCCCATTGCACAAACTGTTTCTGTGCTGTGTACAGACATCAGGGTGTGTATGTGTGTCTGCTGTCTGTGTGTGCAGAACTTACGGCCCCTATTTGACAAACCCAGCCGCATCTTGCATTTGGTAGACACAGCAGCTTCACATTACTGGGTGCAGCACATCTCGCCACCCACTGACCCTGTCCCTCACATACCCTGAACACCTACTTACCAGGGCCTGTGTAAGATGCAAGGATACCCATTTCACTACAGTTTATATCATAAAAGCACCTTACGTCCTTTTTTTAGGAAGACATGGACTAAAGTAAGATCTGCATCAACGTCACTGCACAAGTTGTGTCTGCATCTGCCATCTTAAAATAATAACTGAATTTTCACTTGTGTATATCCTCAATAACTGCAACAGATGCTTACATACTTTGGTATATGAATGCTGAGTGATACAGCTTGGATCTGTGTTTCCATAAAATCTCATGTCGGATTGCAGTCCCTATGTTGGAGGGGGACCTGGTGGGAGGTGGCTGGATCATGGAGGTGGATTTCTCATGCATAGGTGGGAGGTGGCTGGATCATGGAGGTGGATTTCTCATGCATAGGTGGGAGGTGGCTGGATCATGGAGGTGGATTTCTCATGCATAGGTGGGAGGTGGCTGGATCATGGAGGTGGATTTCTCATGCATAGGTGGGAGGTGGCTGGATCATGGAGGTGGATTTCTCATGCATAGGTGGGAGGTGGCTGGATCATGGAGGTGGATTTCTCATGCATAGGTGGGAGGTGGCTGGATCATGGAGGTGGATTTCTCATGCATAAGGTTTAGCACCTCCCCTTGGTGCTGTTCTCTTGACAGTGAGTTCTCGCAAGATCTCGTTTTTTAAAAGTGTGCGGCACCTCCTCCCTTCGCTTTCTCTTGCTTCTGCTCCCACTATGTGAGACACCTCGCCCCCACTTTGCCTTCCACCATGATTGTAAGTTTCCTGAGTCTTCACCAGAAGCCAAGCAGATGCCAGGATCACACTTCCTGTACTGCCTGCAGAACCATGAGCCAATTAAACCTTTTCTTTATAAACTGCCCTGTCTCGGGCATTTCTTTATAGCAATGTGAGAACCAACACAATGTGTAAAGATCTGAGAATAGTAGATAAAGACTGTAAGTTACAGAGCTTAAAATCTTAAAAGGTTTTCCAGGGTATACTATCAGTATGAGCCTACATCATCAGATACAGCAAACTTAAGTTTTCAAGGCCATAAAAAGATGAAGGGGTAGGATACAAAGTTTAACAGCTACTGAGTAAGACCTTCACAGAGTTGCTATGGTATAGAATCTTCTATAATTTTTAAATATAGGCCACGCGTGGTGGCTCACGCCTGTAATCCCAGCATCTGAGGAGGCCAATGTGGGTGGATCACCTGAGGTCAGCAGTTCAAGACCAGCCTGGCCAACATGGCAAAACCCCGTCTCTACTGAAAATACAAAAATTAGCCAGGCGTGGTAGTGCATGCCTGTAGTCCCGGCTACCCAGGAGGCCGAGGCAGGAGAATCGCTTGAACCTGGGAGGTGGAGGCTGCAGTGAGCTGAGACTGCACCGCTGCACTCCAGCCTGGGCAACAAATCGAGACTCTGTCTCAAATCATCAGATACGAATTCATCAACAAATGAATGAACAATTCATGTACATCTCTTCAAGATCTTTTTCAGCTTGTTAATATTCATCTAGGTAGGAAACATGGAATGTGATAATCTTCTGTAAGTTGTTCAGACTTGTCTTAAAAACTTGTGCCATTACCATTAAGGTTAAGTAATCCATATTATTAATATTCTAGATGCCTGAGGCACATGAACAATCATAAAAAGAACATTAAAAAAATCAAACCCAACCTCAGAGAAGATCACTTCAACAATTTTCCATATGCTCATTAGTCAGGCGTAAACATGCCTAACTTTAATATTATTAAAATACAAAAATGGAAAGAGCAACTTGCCCAAATTATAAACAGCTAGAAACACAGTACCAAATAAAAGCACCTCAGCCTGGACTAAGCCATCAAGAAGGCATTAAAAACCTCTTCCTAAAACAAAAATGAGACACCGCTATATAACTATTAGAATGGTTAAAATCCAAAACACTGATAACACCCAGTCCTGGAAAGGATGCAAAGCAGAAGGAGCTCTTGTTCATTGCAGCTGGGAATGCAAAATGCTACAGACACTCTGGAAGAAAGTTTGGCAGTTTCTTACAAAGCTAAACATAGTCTTATATACAATCCAGCAGTCATACTCCTAGATATTTACCCAACTGATTTAAAAATGTATGTCCCCACAAAAACATGCACACAAATGTTTATAGCAGCTTTATTCCTAATCGCCGAAAACCAAATGTCTTTCAGTGGGTGAACAGATATGGTACATCCGTACGATGGAATAATATTCAGTGATTAAAAGAGAAGTGAGCCATCAAGCCACACAGAGGCATGGATGAATCCTAGATGCAGACTCCTAGGTGAAAGAATCCAGTATGAAAGAGCTATGTATGGTATGATTCCAATTATATGACATCCTGGAAAAAGCAAAACTACGGAGACAGTAAAAAGATCAGTGGTGCCAAGGACCTAGCAGTTGGGAAGGAGGGAGAAGCACTGAATAGGTGAAACACAAGGATTTGTAGGGTAGTGAAACCATTCTGCATGATACTGTAATGGTGGACACATAACACTGCATTTGTCAAAACCCATGAACTTTACAAAGCACAAAGAGCTAACCTGGATGTATATAAATTTTTACGAAATCATTTAGGAGGTCAGGAGCGGGGGTCCCAGGATGGAATGCAGAGTGTGACAAAACAATCTAACTGCATTACAAATGTATGAGACAATCTCACTGAAGTGGGCAGAGCAGAAGGTGCTGACCTAAGTAACTGTGAGAATGAGTGAAGACTGTAAGACTAAAGGCAAAAGAAAATGTACATAAGCACTGTACTCTATTTGCTGAAGTTGTTTCCCAAAGAGATATATGTTAATTCTGAAACCATTATGCTTGTACACTGAAATTACAGAATTAAGTAAATGGATGGCGGGTGGTAAAAGCCAGGTTTCTCACTGTTTGGGAGGTTACAGTTTAGCAAAGAAGGAGGCTAGAACGATCCACATGGTAATAATCAGAGCTGGAGACATCACTATCAATTCATGCTATCAATTCATGCTTAGCTTAATATACATACAGATCGTCACATACAGAAATATTTATAATTATGTGTATACACATGGGTTAGTATACACATAGGTATTTCCATGTTCTGTCATCTGAGGGGGCCAAGCAAGTGACACCCCAATAGCAACAAGCATACCTAGCACCCAAGTCTTGCTTTCTAATACCATTCTCCAAGAGAAGAGCCTCGATTCCTTGAAGAAATGGCTGATTCTAGGCCTTGGGCAGGAAATACACGAGATGAGCCTGGAGCAACTTCTAGTGCCAGAAAGCAAAGAGGTGCAGGAGTGCAGAAGGAAGGGATGGAGGGAGGGAGGACCGAGCAACTGAAAGAGCACCCAGTGGACAAAGGTGGAACAAGTTTAGCAACAAAATAAAAGCGTATATAATCCAAAATATAAATACGCATGGGGCCATATTGACATAACTGAACAAATAAATGAGGAAGAACAGACAAATTTCCCTCCTGAACAGAAGAAATCACATAGATATTCCAACCTCAAGGAAGGAGAGTGTAACTCCCCACCCGTAAGTGTGAGCTGCATATTAGTGACCTTCTCCTGAAGAGCACAGTATGTAAAGGAGGGGAAAGGGTAACTCTGCAGTGAAGAAACCTGACAGACACTCCCTTCAGTCAAGTGATCAAGGTCAACATCAACAACGATAAACCATGCTGACGGTACGTACCCTTGATATGATGTGATGGAAATGGCATTTTATCTCTACAGTCTTCCCCTCAGAAATCCATAACGCCAATCTAATTGTGAGAAAAACATCAGACAAATCCGAATAGAGGAAAATTTTACAAAATACCTGACTAGCACTCCTCAAAACCGTCAAGATCATCAAAAACAAGGAATGCCTAAGACACTGGCACAGACAGGCGACAGGAGAAGCCTGGAGATATGACAATAGAAAAAAGACAGCAGGTCAAAGCTAAGGACATTTAAATAAAGTATAGATTTTTATCTTTATAATTTTTCTGTAAATCTAAAACTCTCCAGCTGGGCACAGTGGCTCATGCCTGTTAATCCCAGCCCTTTGGGAGGCTGAGGCAGGTGGATCTCCTGAGGTCAGGAGTTTGAGAACAGCCTGGTCAACATGGTGAAACCCCGTCTCTACTAAAAATACAAAAAATTAGCCTGCTGTGGTGGTGTGTGCCTGTATCCCAGCTACTAGGGAGGCTGAGGTGGGGAATCACTTGAATGCAGGAGAATCGCTTGAACCTGGGAGGCGGAGGTTGCAGTGAGCTGAGATCGCGCCACTGCACTCCAGCAGTGCATAAATAAAACTCTCCTAAAGTTAAACTTACGTTAAAACAGGCTGGGCGTGGTGGCTCATGCCAACAGAAGGCTGAGGTGGGAGATTGTTTGAGCCCAAGAGTTTGAGGCTGCACTGAGCTACAGCCATGCCAGCCAGGGTGACAGAGCAAGACCCTGCCTCAAAAACAAACCCCTCTATGAGGCCCAACAGCTGTCACTTGAATAGACTGTTAAACACATGAGTATACGAAAAGTATCCCACCAAATGAAGAAATGTAAGAACCAGGAAAATTTCCCCTTTGTCAAAAATTCTCAACATTTCAACTTTATTGGTTCTTTTCAAACAAATACTGGCGGTATTTACAATAAAAAGGTATAGTGCAGTATCATACAGAAAAAGAAAATGTGATCATTAGAGTTCAAACTGCAGGCTCCAGTCGGCCTGCCTGGATTAAAACTCTGAATCTATCTCTCTACAAGCAGTACAACCTCGAACAAGGTTAAATAATCCTGTTTTAGGGAAGAACGGAAGCAGAGGCTTAGAAGAATGCAGTTTAAATGGGGTTTCTCTCTATACCAAAAGAATAAGATAACTTTAAACCTCATCCACCCCCAAAAAAATCTATTTATTACAAAGGCTTAACTGAATCAATGTTCAATTATAACTGCCTCCTGAAATTAATAGTGATTTCTGCCAAGTTAAGTGTCAGTTAGAAATCTTAAGTATTATGAAAGGCTTAGATCACCAAGTGATCAACAGCATTCAGTCTCTAAAAGTTGATGGACTGCAGACGACAAAACAAAGGCTGAGGCCCTGGTAGATTTCTATGCAGTTGGTAAAGGTATAAAGCAGCTTCACGAGGATGCATCCAGTTCCACGTAGGGAGGGGTGGATTATCTTTTTAAAAATAAACAAATCATACATTTTTAAATCAACACAAGCAAACGTCAAATTTCATGGTAAATAAAACCTCTGTAACACAGGGCCCACACTCCACAGCTTACTTCTCCAAACAAACACCACTCAGCTCTGCCCAGGTGCTGACCACCAACCATCTGTGGTCCACTGGTTCTCAGGCTGCCACTGAGGTTGATTTTTTTCAAGTACTGTCTCGTACACCAGTCATCAGCAGAGAAAAAAGTTTCCCATTGTTATACCAGCACATACCCCATCCTTGTCCACCCATACCAGAGGATTCTTGTTTTTCTTGAGATGGAGTTTCGCTCGTTTTGCCCAGGCTGGAGTGCAATGGCGTGATCTTGGCTCACAGCAACCTCCACCTCCCAAGTTCAAGCAATTATCCTGCCTCAGCCTCCCAAGTAGCTGGGATTACAGGCATGTGCCACCACGCCCGGCTAATTTTGTGAGGGGGTTTCTCCATGTTGGCCAGGCTGGTCTTCAACTCCTGACCTCAGGGGATCCGCCTGCCTCGGCCTCCCAAAGTGCTGGGATTATAAGCATGAGCCACTGTGCCCAGCCTAGGATTCTCTTTTTAAACATAATATTCACTTTTGATAAGAATCTCCCAAATACCTGCCATCCAAGTCAACTATTAATGTAATAAGTACCCAAACAGTGAGTGTTCAAGCATTCCAAGTGCAAACTAAGCAAACGTAAATCAAAGTTTCCTCCTATTTCATTGGCCTCCCTGCTCAGTCTCCTCAGCTGGTGCCCCCTCACCTCTGACCTCTAACCCACTGGAGCCTCAAGGCTCAGCCCTCAGACCCTGCCTCTATCTCCCTAACTGCCCGTGTACTTAAATACCATCAATATGCTGCAGATGGTATTTGTATATCAAGCCTGAACTTCCCCAGTCTTCCCCTTTACCAGGAACCCTATCCCTGTGAGTTCCCTGGGAATTCAACTGCTCAGGCAACCTGTCTCTCTCCCCACATCCTATCAACTCTACCTGCAAAATTTATCCATTTATCCACCACTTCTCACCAGTCACCTGGTCCCAGTCACTTCCCCTCACCTCTTCGCAGATGTATCAGCATGCCTGCCAACCAACCTCCCTGCTGCAACTCTGCAGCTGCCTCTCCATGAGCAGAGCAGAGGGACCCTCTGGAAATGGAGGCTCGTCTGCCCCAACTCTCAGGGCCCTCTCAGCTCACTGACTGTAACCCTCAATGTTCTTATCACAGAAGGGGACAGGCCTCACAGGACGCTGCCCCTCTCACTCACGTGCTCTAACTCAGCTTCCGTGTTTTCTCAGTCATGGACGTAATCACTGCCTCAGGGCCTCCGCATGCCCATTCCCTCTGTTTGAACTGCTCAAAACGTCCTTTCCCAGATATGACCATGGTTTGCCTCTCACTCTCTCAGCTGGACGAGCAGCCCCGTCCCTCCATCAGTCGACCGCCTTATCATGCTTGTATTGCTTCAGACTCAGTGCCACCTGCGAGCAGCCCTGTCCCTCCATCAGTCGGCCGCCTTATCATGCCTGTATTGCTTCAGACTCAGTGCCACCTGCCATTATTTATTTATTTGTCTCCTTATTTTCGGACATCCCCATAGAGAAACAAATGCATTGAGAGAATAGGAGCTTTGCTGTGTTCACTGTGGCAGCCCCTATGCCTATAGCAGGGCCTGTCACACGCAGGTACGCAGACAAATTTTTAAAAATATATATTAACAGGCCGGGTGCGGTGGCTCACGCCTGTAATCCCAGCACTCTGGAAGGCCGAGGTGGGCGGATCACTTGAGATCAGAAGTTCAAGAACAGCCTGGCCAACGTGGCAAAATCCTCTCTACTAACAACAACAACAATTAGCCAGGTGTGCTGG
The DNA here is from genome assembly GCF_000001405.40 of Homo sapiens. Taxonomy (NCBI): domain Eukaryota; kingdom Metazoa; phylum Chordata; class Mammalia; order Primates; family Hominidae; genus Homo; species Homo sapiens. Next base: position 101,221,361 of record NC_000015.10, read on the forward strand.
GGTGTACCTGTAATTCCAGCTACTCAGGACGCTGGGGCACAAGAATCTCTTGAACCCGGGAGGAGCCAAGCTTGCCCCACTGCACACTAGTTTGGGTGACAGGTTGAGAGTGTCTCTCTCTCTCCCTCTCTCTATATATATAAACAAAGTTTTAAAAATTAAGTTTGTATTATCTGGGATATTCAATATCCATGCTCACTTTACCCTAATAAAGTAACCAGAATTCTAAATTATTACAGAATCAATATATAAGCACCTAAAAAGTAAACAAGCATTCCTCAGGTGGTAAAAATAAATGAAACCGTACTCAACTTTCTGCCTTAAATAAACCACATCATTTTAAATAAAAGTTGTGTCTTTAAAACCAGTGTACCTGTTCCAGGAGACGGCACAGACATGTTAACTATGTGAAAGAAAAACTAGCACCTATAGTATTTTTCTGTCACAGGGAGTTTTTTTGTTTGTTTCTTAAGAAAAGGCTGTGGAAGTAATTGCTAGACATCCAAGAAAATAGCTTTGTACTTTTTTTTTTTAAAATCCCTGCCAGAGTTCAATGAGAGAAAACACAGAAGCCAAGCACTACAGGGTTAACCAAGATGATGTCAGCAAGCCCGAGCGTTAAATTGCTGAGTGAACGCTGAAAGATCTTTTTAGCCAGGGAAACATTTTGCTGTAATGGTACCATTACAAATTTTTTACAGTAATAACACAGCACATTATAAGCTTGCTCAACTGATAAGCTCTTTGTAAGGGTTAGAAGTCTACAGCCCTCACACACAAAGACCTTTCTGTCTCAGAGTTCTTAGAAGTCAATAAGCTAAAAATCACATCCTGCACAATATCCACTTAGAGTCACAGAGGATCTAGTCTTCTATTGCTTTGCCTAGTTTCCCCTTGGCATGGAGAAGCCATCAGGATACAGAGGCAGAGACAGCGACATCATTTTTGTGTCCAATTATCTCTTGGTTCTAGCCACTTTGTACTTCAAGACAATTTTGGATTTAAAGAAGAATTGTAAAGATGGCAGAGACAGTTCCCACAGCTTCACCCCGCTTCTTCTGATGTTAACATCCCACTTGACTATGCTACACAGAGCAAAACTAAGAAACTGATACATGTATACACTATTACCTAGAGTGCAGACTTTATTCAGATTTCACCAGTTTTCCCACTAATGTCCTTTTTCTCTTCCAATCTAGGGCCCCACAGTACATTTAGTAATCCCACCTCCTTGGTCACCTCTAGCCTGACAGTTTCCCGGTCTTTCCTTGCTTTTCCTGACCTGACACTTTTGAAGAACACGGGTCAAGTATCTTGCGGAAAATCCCACCCCTTGGTTTTGTCTGAAGTTTTCTCCGATTAAACTGGGGTTGTGGATTTGGGGAAGACTATGCAGAGCTGATGTGTCTTTCTCATGCCATCATGGTGGGGGGGGTACCTGACACAAATGTGACCCACTCCTGTGATGTCAAGGTGGTGTCCACCAGATTCCTATTCTCCACTCCATTCAGGAGCCTCGAGTCACCCTGTCCCTCCACAGTCAAGAGGAGGGAAATTAAGCTCCACTTCCAGGAGGAAGATTATCAAAGACTTTAAAATGAGCATAAAAACCACCACAGTGACTAACAAATACTTTGTTAACTACTTTATTTGAGACAGAGTTTTGCTCTTTGCCCAGGCTGTAGTGCAGTGGCGCTGTCTGGGCTCACTTCAACCTCTGCCCCCCAGGTTCAAGTGATTTTCCTGCCTCAGCCTCCCGAGCAGCTGGGATTACAGGCACCCACCACCACGCCCGGCTAATTTTTTGTATTTTTAGTAGAGACAGGGTTTTGCCATGTTGGCCAGGCTGGTCCCGAACTCCTGATCTCAGGTGATCCACCCACCTTGGCCTCCCAAAGTGCTAGGATGACATGAGCCACCATGCCCGGCCAACTACTTTGTTTAAACTATAATTTGTTTGATAAATAAATCCGGAGTTACAGTTCATGGCAACTAACAAAAGCTGAGGCTTAAGAAGGCTTATAACCAGACCACATGAACATGTGTGAAATCATCAATTACAGAAACAAAAGATGCTTTAAAATATCTTATAGTTTTAGCTTTAAGATGTTTGTCAGTTTAACCCCCTGCCAAAAGTCCTTTGTTTTCATCATCTCATCTACTACAGAGTACTTCCACACTGGGACTCAGGCCTCGTCTACTACAGAGGACTTCCACACTGGGACTCAGGCCTCGTCTACTACAGAGGACTTCCACACTGGGACTCAGGCCTCGTCTACTACAGAGGACTTCCACACTGGGACTCAGGCCTCGTCTACTACAGAGGACTTCCACACTGGGACTCAGGCCTCGTCTACTACAGAGGACTTCCACACTGGGACTCAGGCCTCGTCTACTACAAAGGACTTCCACACTGGGACTCAGGCCTCGTCTACTACAGAGGACTTCCACACTGGGACTCAGGCCTCGTCTACTACAGAGGACTTCCACACTGGGACTCAGGATTTAGTGCTGATCATCTGCCCACTTTTACAGTCCTGGCCCCTGTAACGATGTCTCAGTCAACAACTGACCCCTTAGACTGTGGTCCCGTAAGATTGTAATACCTTATTTTCACTGTACCTTTCATATGTTGTGATATGTTTAGAAATACAAACACTTACCATTGTCTTACAGTTGCCTACAGTATTCAGCACAGTAACATGCTGTACAGGTTTGTAGCCTAGGAGCCGCAGGCTACACCATACAGCCTAGGTGTGTTGGAGGCTGTACCATCTAGGCTTGTGTAAGTGCTCTCTATGATGTTTATACAACAAAATCACCTGAGGATATACTTTTCAGAATGCATCCCTGTCATTAAGTAACACATTACTGCATCTGGTTATACAACTCATTGCCAGTAACATGGCTCAGAGGAGAGAAGAAAGGAAAAGAATACATATATATAAAACATTAACCTATCAAACATATGACTGGGGGCATTTGTGTGCCAAGTCTGGCCTCCCACTAACCTGACTTTATAAAAGTTACTTACTAGAAAGACCCAGGGCTAAATGGGATGATGTCAATTAACAAAAACATAACTTCAGTTCCCACACATCCATAACATCACTAAATCATAAGAAATGTTTTAAGAGTATAAATGGCAATGACGGTTCTTAAACACTAGCAAGTGTAAGATTCACCAGAGAAGCCTGTCAACAGCGCAGATCACTGGACTCCACCTGCCAAGTCTGGGGCCTAGAAATGTGCCCATCAGCAAGCACCTCAAGGGATTCTCTTGCAGACGGTCTGCCTCTGAGAAACTCCCACCTGGTCTAAGACCCACAGGCAATGCTAATACTTCACGTCCACACACACGCTTACACTTCTAAACCTTACACTTCACCTCCGACTTTCCTATCCCAGACAACACCGCCTGAGGTGAACAACACTGCCACCACCAGATGCAGCTGCACCTCTGTTCCCTCACCTGTTCCTTTTCAAACACCAGACTCTTATTAGTTCAATAAAGATGATTAAATGTTAGAACTAAAGACTCAAAAGCTTCGATGATGCCATCTTAAGACCTCTTAAAAATGTGAAAGGATGCCTTCGTGATTGGTTGGAACAGTCCAGAAACCCAGTCACCTTTACAGAAGGGCGTGGCCCAGGCAACGAGAGTGCCTCCCACCGCTCCCCAACTCATCCTGCCTGCTCTAATTGATCCAGGCACCCACCCTGTGCTTTCCCATACAGCTTACAGTATTCTGCCTTGGTGTGCAGTGGCACAGTCACAGCTCCCTGCAGCCTCAACCTTCCAGGCTCAAGCCATCTTCCCACCTCACCTCCAAAGTAGCTAGGACCACAGGCGTGCAACAAAATACCCAGCTGATTTTTTTTTTTTTGGCAGATACAGGGTCTTACTATGTTGCCCAGGCTGGTCTTGAACTCCTGGGCTCAAGTGATTCTCCCACCTTGGTGCTGCGATTACAGGCGTGAGCCACTGCTGAGCCTTGTTTTATTCTTATTTCAAAATGCTTTGAATATTGATATACGTTTTAAAAGGCAGATTACCGTTGATATAGTTTGGATACTTGTCCCCACCCATATCTCATGTTGAAATGTAATCTCCAGTGTTGGAGGTGGGTCCTGGTGGGAGGAACTGGATCATGGGGGTGGATCCCTCATGAATGGTTTATCTGTGGTGCTGTCCTCCTAACAGTGAGTTAGTTCAAGATCTGGTTGTTTAAACATGTGTACCACCCCCCTCCCCTTGCTCCCACTTGTGCCATGTGAGATGTCGACTCCCGCTTTGCCTTCCACCATGAGTAAAAGCTCCCTGAAGCCTCCCAGAAGCCAAGCACATGCCTGTGCTTACTGAACCACCAGCCAATTAAACCTCTTTTCTTTATAAATTACCCAGTCTCAGGTATTTCCTTATAGCCGTGTGAGAACGGACTAACACGCCAGTTCTATTATGGGAATTGAGGTGATAACAGCTGTGATCTCAATCTCTTCAAATGTATACAGGAAATGCCACTGTGCTATGTCTTAAGATAAAGAAAACGATATGTCGATCCCACCTCCTGAGAGTGTGCTAACAGGCTCTCACAATCACAGGACTCTGATATACCCAATGGTGGAACCATTTCAGAGATGTTCATGTACCTGGAGAAGGTTTGTTTTGCCAACAAAATAATCACAGATCCAAAGCAACTAACACATCCATTTTAGGTAAACTATGATTGGTTCTGTCAAAATAGTCTTCCCTAAATTGTAAAAACAAAAACATGAGATTCCAAGACTACAATGTTACTACAAAGCATATTCAAGTATTTGTTTACATAGATCAAAATCTATGTGGTGGTCTCAGGGAATGAGTTCTGAAGGGCTTTGCTTTTCAGATACTTGAGGATAGTTTCCGGTAGCCCTCACATTTCACAAGCAAGCACTCACCTGTCCCAAACATGAGCTATGGTAATAGGTAACATGCATCAACTCAATTTATCCTTGGAACCACCCTATAACGTAGACAATTTTTACCCTCACCCCATCTTTAAGGAAATTAAGGTTCAGGGGAGTCAGGTAACTCGCTGCCCAAGACCACACAGCTAGTGAAGAACAAAGCTGAATGAAGCACCATGATTCAAGTCAGGCCTATTTGTGCCCAAACCAATGTCCTCAGCATTCCCTGCCTCCCCTCAACTCTGATGCCATCTGGCCTTACCCTTCGCCCCACTCTGCCTCGTCACTCCACTCATGCTGGCCACTGTGCTATGTCCTAAACTTACCACACATACTCCTCTGCACTGTCTCTCACTGCACCCCACCTCGCTCCACCAGCATATGAGACCATGGTCTTGGCTTTCTGCACTGTTGTGTCCCCAGCTAGCACAGTGTCTTGCTACAGATGTCCAAAATTTATTTTTGAAATGAATGTATGTGAATATTGTAACTAATTGGTTGGAAGTCTTTCTAATTTTTAGAGCACAATACCCTGACTTCTTAAACAGAGTATAAGGCGACACTCAGCGTAATTCATCTAATTATAAAAAGCAAAATTTAAGCTGTGGAGCTAAGTCCCCATAACAGATGCTTTTAGGTGACATCAGTGAAAATGGCAGAGTGAAGACCTCCAAAAATCCTGTCTGCCCTGAAAGTAAAGCGAACACTGACAAAAATGGGCAGAGGCAGCCTTTCCAGGACTCTGGATATTAAAGATTTGCAGTAATCCAGACAGTATTTATGCAAGAAAAAGACAAAAATTTTGGTAACAGTAAGCTTGGTGGCATTTTAATTTGCCCTATTTCCAGTCTGTTTTCTACCCTAGCCTTGAAAAACAACAGTCTACAATCACAGCAAAAACCAGCAGCTTGGAAGCCATTAGAGGGGTCAAAGAGGGGCTGGAGCTCCTTCAAAGCCCCATTCCCAAAGAACTGTCATTATCTGACCTATCTGGTGGTTCCCTGGAAGACCTTGCAATGTTGTCTTTATTTGACCTGACTCAGAATTTTCCTATTGCAAACACCTTCTTGGAAGGGGATAGGGGGCTGGTCAAAAACAATCACAGGCAATTGTTGAATGCAGCACTGCCCAAGGGGATGGCTAACCATACACGCAGTGTGTGGGGGGAACAAACAAACAAAAAAACAGGCTAAATAAAAAGCTTAAAAAGAAAAGCAGGGAATAAGATGCAATATGGGGTTTTGAAAAAGCTTCAATATATTACTCCTGGGAATCTACAAGGCCACACGCATGTGTGGGAGTGTGTGCATGTTCAGCAAAGACCCAAGAAGGCCCTAAGCTCTCTGTACAAGCAAGTTAAGTAGTTAAGTGAAGTTTAAGGCAGGGTTGTCAAATGCCTGCTGAGTGTTCAGGGCAAGCACCAACAGGTATACAAGAGACCCTCAGCAAAGAGCCAATAACTTTTTAGTTCCAGGCATCTAAGGAAATCTCTGTCCAGTCATTAGCTAAGCACTAAGCAAATCATGTAGAGACTTCCGTGGCCACATACAAAAAAAATACACTGTACGGAACTGGTTCTGAAAAGACACTAAACAAACAACAAAACCCAGCAATAACATCCCTGAAGGGGTAGATTTCAAGAGTTGTCACATTTAAATAATAGTAAGTAAATGTCTAGTTTCCAAAAAAAAAAAATTATGAGGTATCAAAGAAACAAGAAAGTATGGCCCATACAAAGGCGGAAAAAGCAGCCAATACGGCGACAGAAATTATTTGTATTTTTAATGAGCCAAACAGAAATTATGGAGTTGAAAAGTACAATATCTGAAATGAAAATATCACAACAGAGTTGAACAGGCAGAGGAAAGAATCCATGAAACTGAAAGTAGGCCATTGCAATTATCTAGTGTGAGAAAGAGAAAGAAAACAGGAGTAAAAATGAGTAGAACACAGCATGACGGGCATTCCAAAGGAAAACAGAAACAGAGAGAAAGGGGCAGAAATACTCAAGAAATAATAAGTGAAAAATCTCCAAATTTGATGAAAAACAAGCCACATAACCAAGAGACACAACAAACTCCAAGTATGATAAACTCAAAGGGATCACCTAGACACATCCTAATCAAACTGTTAAAAGCCAAAGAGAATCTTAAGAGTAGCAAGAAAAGCAACTCATGACATACAAAGGATCCTCAATAAGATTAACAACTGATTTCTTATCAGAAACCATGAAGGCCAGAAAGCATCCATTCAAAGTGATAAAAGAAAAAAAGATTGGCAACTAAGAATTCTATATCCAAGAAAGATGTCCTTTAAAAGTGGAGGAGAAATTAGGAAAAAAGTGAAGGAGAAATTAGGACATTCCAAGAGAAACAAAAGGAATTCATCTCTAGCAAACTTGCTCTATGAAAAATATTAAAGGAAGTCTTTCAAGCTGAAATGAAAGAACATTATACAGTAACTCAAATAGGCATGAATAAGAAGCCCCATAAGGGTAACTACATAGGTAAAAAAGGGTATAAATGTATTTTTTATTTGTAATTCCTTTTTTCTCTGATCTGATTTAAAAGATAAGTACATAAAGCAATTATTATAAATCTCTGTTGACTGGCATACAACGTATAAAGATATAATTTATTTGACAACAACAGCACAAAGGGAGGAGACAACACAGCTACACATGAGCAAATCTTGTGTTTACTACTGTTATTAAGTTGGTATTCATCAGAACTAAATTATCAGGTAAGATGTTCATCCCCAAGGCGACTACTAAAAAATACAGTAAAAGAAATGACAAGGGAATTACAATGGTACACTAGGTAATAAAAAAGGTAGTACTGGAGTAACAGAAAAACAAAGATATGACATACAGAAAACAGCAAAATGGCAGAGATAAGTCCTCCTCTATCAGTAATTATATTAAATGCAAATTAATTAAATACTCCAATTATGAGGCAATATTGGCAGAATGCATTTTTTAAATGATCCAACTATATGCTGTCTTCATGAGAGACACACTTTACATTCAAAGACACAAACAAGTTGAAAGTAAAAGGATGAAAAAAGATATACCATGCAAATGGTAACCAAGAGAGCTGGAGTCATCATACTAATATCAGACAAAACAGACTTCAGACAAAAATTGTTACTAGAAACAAAGAAGGAATTTTATAATGATAAAAGTGTCTATCCATCAAACAGGTATAACAAATATAAACATATATACATCCCAAAACACAGCCCTGAAATAAAAGGAGAAAAACCTGACAGAACTGAAGGAAGAAATAGAGAATTCAACAATAACATTAGAGACTTCTGACTAGGTACAGTGGCTCACACTTGTGATCCCAGCATTTTGGGAGGCTGAAGCAGGCAGATCACTTGAGGCCAGGAGTTCAAGACCAGCCTGGTTAACATGGTGAAACCCCATCCCTAATAAAAATACAAAATTTAGCTGGGCATGGTGGCATACTCCTGTAATCCCAGGTACTCAGGAGACTGAGGCCTGAGAATCGCTTGAACCGAGGAGGCAGAGGTTGCAGTGAGCTGAGGTCATGCCACTGCACTCCAGCCTGGGTGACAGAGCGAGACTCTGCCTCAAAAATAATAATGATGATATTAGAGACTTCAATATCCCACTTTTTTTTTTTTTTGAGACGGAGTTTTGCTCTTTGCCCAGGCTGGAGTGAAGTGGCGTGATCTCGGCTCACTTCAACCTCTGCTCCCCAGGTTCAAGTGATTCTCCTGCCTCAGCCTCCAGAGTAACTAGGACTACAGGCGCCCGCCACCATGCCCGGCTAATTTTTGTATTTTTAGTAGAGACGAGGTTTCACCATGTTGGCCAGGCTGGTCTTGAACTCCTGACCTCAGGTGATCCACCCACCCTGGCCTCCCAAAGTGCTGAGCCGCCACGCCCGGCCCTAATACCCTACTTTTGATAATGGATAGAACATGCAGCATTAGTGCTCACTCTTTGGGACATCTAGCCACTGAGGGTCTGCCTGGTTCTCAGGCCTGCGAGTTTAACGGGCAGCCTAAATGAGTGAGGAAGGAACTACTGGAACACAAATCATCTCTGTGACAACCCAAAGTCAAGAAAAATTATTTCTTTGTGGAGAGAACATTCAAAAACCTCTCATGAGGTGATGGACATGTCAACCTTCCTGATTTGATCCTTATACAACATATACATGAATACATTAAACCATACTCCATAAATATGTACAATTATAATGTGTGAATTTTTTTTAAAAAAAGAAACATTATTTCTTCTATTATTAAAGTGAAAAATACCCCAGGCTTCTGGTATATGGATGTTCAACATTCCTTTATGAGACAGACTAACAAGGAAGATTTTATCTTTTTACACATTTTGCTGCAAACTCCAATTTCCCTTGATGATATATGCCTCCTCATAAAAAGAACATTATCCATTTCAGCCTTCCCTGTACTGTTTTATATTTAAAATCAGTATCACAGGTTTCATATTTTTAATTTCTTTTCAACTGGTTCATGAACATATGGTCTTTGTCTCCTCAACTACTCTGAAGTCCTTGAGGGAGAAAAAGGTGGCCATTCATGTTTCAATCTTTTGCAATTTCCCTACCAATTCAGAGGGCAGTTCTGGGCTCATTAATGAACCCTTAACAAGTACTTACTGGCTAACTCAGAGCTTCATAACTGGTGTATTTTGGTGTGCGGGTGTAACATGAACAAGTTCCATGTGTGCCCAGATAACAATCCTTCCAGGCCTAGAGTGGTATGGGGCTGTAGGGGTGGTGGAGGGGACAGGAGCTAGGGATTGGGGTAACAGCAGCCCTTGGAGGCAGGCTCCTCAGCGTGAGTGAATTGAGTCAATGTCAAGATGTGAAAAAGATTGGGGAGCCTTGGGCTAAATGACCGCCTAGAAACACTGCCGAAAGAACTGGAAATAGCCCGAACGTCCATCAAAAAGACGAAGTTCTTTTATTTACCAAATGGGAAATCTTCCAAGACATAGATGGTAGGTATTACGCTACCATTCATGTAAACGGGGAGAGAAGTAGAAACTTAATTGTTTGTATATGATATGATACGCAGGAAACCTGAGGCACCATGATGGCTAATTCACAGCGGAAGCCCAGGGGCCGGAGGCAGAGGAAGGAAGACGTATTCCTATAAGCCCTTTGCACTTCTGAATTTTGAGCCACGTGACAGTATTGGCTATTAAAAACAATTAATATTTTAAAGCTGTCAAATCCACCTTTGCCTATCTCCAAATTTCATCAATAATCATTACTGTCTACAGCTTCACCCCTAGTCAAATATGAGAAAATAATAGAAGAAAGATCTACTGGTTGCCTGCGTGCAGTCTGTGAAAATCCACTGGGCTTGACCCTTGCGACCTATGCACTTTTCCATACGTACAGTACACGTCGAAGCAAAAGTCAAAGACAAAATGAATAGGTTACTTAAGTCAATTTTCTTTTTGTTCCCTCTTAAGAGTAGTATAGCTTTTCATGTATTTGCCTTGATAAAATGAATTCCTATTTCAAAATTTTCAATAATAATTCTCAAAAACACCTCACCTGAGTTGAGTCAATATTGCTGACACCATGTGGCAAGGGGAGCCAGGAGCTGAGCTCCTCCCAGCTCTTCCCCAGCCTCCAGGCCTACACTCTCACTATCCTCTGACTTCTCTGTGAGTTTAACATTATTTCCAAACAAAGTTCTCAAGGCTATTTTTTAATAACCACCAATAATTATCAAAACAAGTTTAGAAATGAATCTAGACTTTGATTTTGACAGTTGTTCCTCACAAGTCATTTTAATTACCTAAGTGTCATCCCAAGGTACTATTTCTACTCGCCAAAAAAAACACTATACCTTCTGGCTAGGCTTATAATAGGGCAAAATAAGTACCTTCCAAGTCCCAAAGCTTAACGTAATTGTCTTTAACATAAGACTCCACCTCAATAATTTCCCATAATGTGAACCTTAATGGGGAAACTAGATTTACAGGAAGTTTAATAAAAGTTCCTCATCCACACGAAGGATTAATCTTACCTGAGTGGTGAACACAATGATAAACCTAATAACAACTTAGGTTAGAAGCACTTAAAGCTTTATAAAAAGAAAAATAAAAAAATAGAAATCAAAGGTCTAATAAGATGGCAAGTGTTCCAATAGATGAATTCTTAACATTATAATGAAGAACTACACGTGAAAGGGAACACTTCAAACATGTAAGAAAACATACAGGAGAAAACATATTCGTGACCTAAGGAAGGGAAGAATTTCTTAAACACAAAAGCACAAACCGTAATGGAAAAGAATGATGCATTAGATTGCACTTAGATTCACAATTTGCGTACAATAAAAATCCCACAATTAAGGTGAAAAGTTAAGTCACAGTCTGAGAAAAGATACTCTATCCAGAATAAAGCACTTCAACAAAACTGTAAGACAACATTTCAGCAGAAATACGGGCCAAGACTACGAACAGGCAAGGCAGCTCACAGAAGAGAAAAAGAGAGCTCTGGGCACTGCAGGTGGGAGGGCCCTGTGGCACAAGCCCAGGAGAAGCCTGCAGCAGTCAGTCAAAGCTCTGACACCACAGGGCATTTAAAGAAACGCAGAGCAGCAGCAGGCCCAATAACCACACTCCCAAGGAGAGCCTTGCTGCTGCTGTCCCTGACCCACCTCCCAAGGCAGGGAGACGGGACCACACGGGGAGGAGGCCTCCTCACCAACCAGGTCCCTTCAGCTGATGAGGCCACTGACAGGATGCACCAAGCCTCAGAGGGGGCTCCAAGTGTCCAGACAGGATCATTCCATGCACCCCTTCGCAGGCCATCAGAAACCTTTTGTGATTACCTCCCGTCAGAGGAAAATCATCTCCAAAATGGCCTCCCACCCTGCAGCCCCAGGATGACACTTTCTAACTACCTCTTGGCACTAACGCTAAACCCAAGTTCTTGATCAAACTCAAGAGACTGGCTCTGTTGGTGTCTGTCCAGCAGTATATAACAGCACGACCTAACTAAGACATACTTTTAAAAATTCTCTCCCGAAAGAAGGTCTGTCCTCTATGATTCCGGCAAGAAGGTTGGCTTCTCGGAGATGATGGTCAGGGGAAAGTGTTCCAAAATATACAATGTGTTACCTATTTTAACCATAATGAAATGTGTCAAGGTTATAACTACTTTCTTAGGATGGGGAAAAATGCAGAAATATTGCCAGCTGTATTCTGCTTAAAACAGCGTGAAACCCTCAAACAGCTTTCCTCGCTGCAAAAATCCGTGACGACAGAGAGATCCCGTAGGCCCAGTGAGCTGTCCCCTATGTGCTGGGGTTGGGGGGATAGTATAAGGCACACAGGGATTGAAGAGTTCACTCAAGATCACATTTAGGATTTAAAATGTATCTTTGTGACTTTGTAATTAAAAATTACATGGCCACTCCCTGTATGCTTGAAAATGTCCACTTCCCTAAAGTTCAAACAACAAAAAAAGTAAGAGTGATTAGCAGACATTTAAAAGCAAGTCTAGGGGTGGACAAGTACAGGCAAGAATACTGCTCTTTCACTCAAGTACGTGCTTTAGAACATTAGTTCAGAAAAAAGCTAACAGTTCATATTAGAAAGTGTATTCTTTTTCTTGGGCAAAAGATCTAGCAATTACCTCTGCTCCTCACAACTGCCAGGAGTTTATCAACCTAAAGACAATACAACCTCAATAATTTTTTTCACCATTAACTGGTATCAGATTGTGCAATCTGCAGGCAAAGGGTGCAGCAACAACACAGGAAAGTCCAAAGCCAGTCCATCTTCTCTACAACTGCTACAGAGAAAACATCTACAAGCGGACTTCCTTCGGCAAATTTCATTTATGTGTCACGGTAACTCAGAAGTTGCACGACAACTATTCTGAAAGCAACAACTATATTATAAACTCACAGATTAAAGTAACTATCTGAACAGTCAAGGTACACAACAAATGCGAAGTCAAATGCTATTGGCTTTTTTATACCATGATTCCTTTTATAAATTCAAAACACGTTAAGTTTCTAATCTGTGTAGGTCATTATGACCAGAAGAGAAGAGCCAGGCCTTTGCAAAAACAAATAGGGAGATATCCTACATTCTTGCAATTACATCTGTGGAATCAGCAGAAGTCAGACAAGATGATTTTCTGGATAATCAAGAAAATATCACCATGACCATCAGCAACCCATTATCTTTTCTTTAGGCCCCAAATGCCATTATTTATTAACTAAGTATTAGGACAAAAGTATGGAAGAGCCGGGCGCCGTGGCTCACGCCTGTAATCCCAGCATTTTGGGAGGCTGAGGCAGGCAGATCACAAGGTCAAGAGTTCGAGACCAGCCTGGCCAGCATGGTGAAACCTCGTCTCTACTAAGAATACAGAAATTAGCCTAGCGTGGTGGCGCCTGCCTATAATCCTAGCTACTCGGGAGGCTGAGGCAGGAGAATTGCTTGAACCCAGGAGGCGGAGGTTAAAGTGAGCCGAGATGGCGCCACTGCACTCCAGCCTGGGAGACAGAGCAAGACTCTCTCTGGGGGGAGAAAAAGTACAGAAGATATGCGCTCAAAGCCAAGAAAAGGTAATAAAGGGGAACTGAATTTTTTTTTTAATCTAAGGCTAAAAATGTAGAATAATACCAACTTCAACCCTCAAAGAGGATATCATCTCTAGTTTCCTATGATACGCTCAGAACTAATGACAAAATTGACAAAATTAAGTTTTTCCCATGGTAAAGAATTCTGTTCTTACCTCATAAGACCAGACACACTGCACCCCTGCAAACCTCCGGACACACCTTCCCACCTCCACGTCCTCATGGGTGGTGTACATCTCCCGGAGACACTTGCCAATGTGCGGCACCATTCTCCGAAGCACCTCCCGGCTCATGATCACGCCAGGCCCCCCCATGCAGAAGTTCTCACCAGGCTCCAGGGCCAGTTTTCCCATTTCTTCCGTGGTGCCCAGGCCTGTCTGCCCAAGAAAGAGGGGCTCGCTGCTGTTCAAACTCCTCAGGAAGTTCTCCAGACGGTCTCCTTTGATGTACACGTCATCATCTGCTCTCATAAACCATTCATACTTGTCCAAGTAGTGGTCGTGCATGTACTTGAGCATCATGAAGGACTTCTTCTGGGGCGGGTAGGAGTCGTCCACACCCCGTAGTGGCACTACTGGAATTGGTACAGATGTGTCAGAACCCTCACTTGAGAAGAACTGAACTTTCCCAGGAATTGTCTTGGACCATGTTCTGGAATTAAAATAAATATCAGTTAGAGAACAGTTTATTCCAAGCTGATTTTCAGGAATTCACGTTATCTGCTCATCTTGTATCGCCGTGTTCAATGGAATGATAAAAAGCTACTTGGCCTGCTTGGTTCCTCTTAACGAAAGCCCAGGTTACCGCGTATTGCAAAGTCTAAATTAACTTTCAAAAGAACCCCAACAAAAAATGAAGAAGTGTTAAAACTGTTCTGGGATAACTAAGTTTTAGTTATGGCTGAAAACCAAACTGCCAGGGGACCAAGGTCTGGGTATACAGATTAATTTTGTGATACTATCAACTCCCTACCTAAGAACTTCTCAACTCTATAAAACAAAAAACAAAATCAAATGGTTCACTCAAAAAATTTTCTTTGAACCAAGTGCCAAGTATGTGCTAAGCTAAAGGGATGTGGTGGTGAACAAAAACGTGATCCCCAACTCACAGAGAGGACATCAGGAGAGACAGACACTTACCAGAATAATGAGACTAATGTATATATTATTATGAACTAAGAGAAGTACTCCCAAAGGGCAGAGCACAGGACATGAGCTGAACCAACAGAACAGGGAGCCTTCCCCTGAAACAGGGTAAACATCAAGGAATGCAGGGCACGAGAGCGCTGTCATGAGGCGAGGAAGAAGGCTGATACGGTTTGGCTGTGTCCCCACCCAAATCTCATCTTGAATGATAGCTCCCACAGTTCCCACATGTTGCGGGAGGGACCCAGGGGAAGGTAAGTGGATCACGGGGGCAGCTTCCCCCACACTGTTCTCATGGTCAGGAGTGAGTCTCATGAGATCTCATAGTTTTACAAGGGGTTTCCCTTTTTGCTTGGCTCTCATTCTCTCTTGTCTGCCACCAAGTAAGACGTGCCTTTCACTTTCCACCATGATTGTGAGGCCTCCCCAGCTATGTGGAACTGTGAGTCCATTAAACCTCTGTTTCTGGGCCGGGCATGGTGGCTCAAGCCTGTAATCCCTGTACTTTGGGAGGCCGAGGCGGGCGGATCATGAGGTCAGGAGATTGAGACCATCCTGTCTAACACGGTGAAACCCCGTCTCTACTAAAAATACAAAAACAAAATTAGCCGTGCGTGCTGGCGGGCGCCTGTAGTCCCAGCTACTAGCGAGGCTAAGGCGGGAGAATGGCATGAACCCGGAAGGCGAAGCTTGCAGCGAGCCGAGATCGTGCCACTGCACTCCAGCCTGGGAGACAGAGCAAGACTCTGTCTCAAAAAAATAAATAAATAAAATAATTTTAAAAACCCCTCTGTTTCTTTATAAATTACCTATTTTGGTATGTCTTTATCAGCAGTGTGAGAACAGACTAATATAGAGGCAAATGTGGCCGGGGGCAGTGGCTCATGCCTGTAATCCCAGCACTTTAGGAGGCCGAGGCAGGCAGATCACAAGGTCAGGAGTTCAAGACCAGCCTGGCCAACATGGTGAAACCCCATCTCTACTAAAAAAAAAAATACAAAATTTAGCCAGGCATGGTGGCGTGTGCCTGTAATCCCAGCTACTCAGGAGGCTGAGGCAGAAGAATTGCTTGAACCCGGGAGGCAGAGGTTGCAATGAGCCGAGATCGCACCACTGCACTCCAGCCTGGACAAAAGAGCAAGACTCCATCTAAAAAAAAAAAAAAAAAAAAAAAAAACAGAGGCAAATGTGCAAGGCCTGGCAGAGTACACTAGAGATGCAGGCCTCTATGTTGCAAGAGCCACAGGAAGCCTCTAGAGGGAATGCGGCAGAAGACAAGATTAAGGCCCACACATTTTGAACTCCCTAGGAATGGAGAAGAAGGCCGAAGGAAGCCAGAGTGGACACAGGAAGACCACTGAGTAAACTACTGCAGCAGCCCAGACCCGGGTTTAAGAGACAACGGTTGCCCATCAACAGAGGGAAGATGAGTGGTCAATTGCGAGGAAACCACATAAAGGGTTTAAGAGACAACGGTTGCCCGTCGACAGAGGGAAGATGAGTGGTCAACTGCGAGGAAACCACGTAAAGGGTGTAAGAGACAACGGTTGCCCATCGACAGAGGGAAGATGAGTGGTCAACTGCGAGGAAACCACGTAAAGGCTGCTTCTGCTGAGCAGCTAATTGAAGGCTATCATATCGCACTTTCCCTCCTACTTTCTTCACGTTCTGTATTCAGATCTAAAGTTGTTTGGCTATAATAATTCATTCATACAGACTACTTCCAAGAAAAATGTATCGTGGAGAATAAATAAAATAGTAAATTTAATCTTAAAATAAAAAAAGCAGTTATCAAATGATGTTCTTTCAAATATTTTTTATTTTACCTGTTACAAGTGTATTTATTATAGTGAAAAATTACTTGAAGGATCAATGAAACCCCCACACATCTTTAAGGGAAAGTCTTAGGAGAGAAATATCTGAAAAGATACACACCAAATCTCTGCGGAAGAGGTACACAAGGAGGAAAATTGGGAGGAGCTGGAATGTGTGTGGACAAAGGTGACTTTCACTTTTTATTCTATGCATCTCTATATTGAAGGACAACTGCATAAGTATCATATTGTTTTTTTTAAAAAAAATTGTGATAAAATATACATAACATAAAACTTACCATCTTAACCATTTCTAAATGTAAAGTTCAGCAGCATTCAGTGTTGTGAAACCATCGGCACCATCCATTTCCAGAACTTTTTTCATCTTGCAAAACTGAGATTCTAAATATTTACTTTTGTAATTTTAAAAAGAACTTACAATGAAGCACTTGGAAAACAAATGACTGGCTTTTATTTCTCTTCCAAACCCAAATATGAGGAATACAAAACAACTTCGAATGTATCTCTTTCAAGTAGAGGCAAAATTCAATGGAATTCGACTTTCTGCCAACACGCCTCTCAAAAAGTGCAAGGATTAAATATATACATTTTTTCATCACATTTAGGATGTTAACTGGAAGATGCACCATTGTTTTATCTATCAACAAATTTAAAAAATACTGCCAATCATAATCCCATGACGCCGGTAACTATAAAATGCATCCTAATTTCTGAGATGTCAAAATCACAGAATGGATATAAGATGGTGTTGTTAATGTTTTCCCTTAGTGCCTATGGATTTAAAATGGACCTGTATTCTTACGCCACTTAAATAACTCATTAACAAAGAACAAGAATAACAACAAAAAACAAATTCAGCCCAGACATTCATTCCACGGTTATTAACAGATACTGTTCTAGGTACTGCACTTCATTTTCACAAAGGATATGCTCCTGAAGAAAAAGGATGTAGAATAAACGTAGAGATGTGGAAATTAATTTAAAGAAAAACCAATCCCACCTACAAAGGGACAAGTCCTTTTGCAAATGCGACAATGTGTGAATGTGTGACAAGCTATACAGAGTCTTCTGATGCGGTGACATATGGAGGGGAGATAACTTCTCAGAACTCCTCCAGCCTTGGGAAGTTAGTAAGGACAAAATTATAGTGCAATGACCCCCCATTCAAGTCGAGGAGCCCCTGATAATGCTCTCTTTATAGAGAAATGTTTTTCATTTGGCAGTCGCAACAATTCTTTGAAAATGTAAATAATTTCAGTGCTTGGCACATAATAGAGGTCACTAAATGTGTGCACTGAATACTGCCCACTCATGTACAATAAGTAACTTAATGGTGCCACACGTGTTTGCAAAAGGTCAGAAATCATTTCTATCTTGTACTTTGAGAAATTTTCAACCTAGGAAGCCATGAAAATACTAAAACACTGTAATGTTATTTGGGAGATGGGGTGGGCGAGACAATTCCTGCCTTCAAAGAACAACCAACTAAGGAGGCGAATCTACAGCATCACCGCAAGAGCTGGCTCTGGAATCAGGCCATGGGGGCGAGAACTCCAGCTCCACTTGGGACAAGTTACTCTGTGCCTCAGTTTCCTTATCTGTAAACGGGGGTTGTTGTGAGGGTTAAATGAGCTCTCTGTAAACAGCTTAGAAGCCTGCCTGGCACTATGTAAGTATGACTTATTATTAAGGAAGACAAGAGTTTGCAAATCAAATAAGGTAGTGAAAGAACAGGAAAGTGTGGGCTCCACGTGGACTAGTCAGTCTCAGGAGCACACGGAGCAAAGGTAATGTGGAAAATGCTTCTTAAAACCTGAGCCTCAAGCTATGTACTGAAATCCTCTTTTACTATCAACTTCAGACAATGTTACAGGAAAGAGGCCTAACTGCAAATTTCACGAGCATTTCGCGGTAGAGCACGAGAAACTTCCCTACTAGACTGAGGATGAAGCTTCATTATAGTTTGGCCCTGCTTCCCGTGTACCCCACCAGGAAGAACACAGTGAAAGAGGCCCCAGCAGTACAACCAGCACAGACGCAATTAATGTCTCAACTATGACTGAAATGGTGTAATTTGCCCAAGAAGAGAAACCAATTAATTTTAAAAACAGTCTAACCTCAACCCTACAGTTTTATGGTAACTCCACCCAATTATTATCTGTTCCTTTTTAGGTAACTCAGGGAAAAACCTCATGTTGTCCTTTTCTGTTCTAAATGACTGGTGGTTGGTTTGAGGGAAATCTCTCAATGTCAAGTCTTTGTAAACCCTCCAATCTTAAGAAATTATAATCTTTTCAATTAGGGTCCTTTAACTTGAAGAGCTCCACAAAGTGAACGAGTTCAGGAACATAAATCGTGATTCACCACCATCCTGAGGAGGAGGAGGGGATGCATTAATAATTTCAAATAATTGAAGGGAATGCTCCCAAAGAAGCAAGCTGTCCCCTCTTCTGCAATATCAACAAGTCCAGTTCCTTCATTTTCATAAGCAAACGTCAGCTTTGCCATCAACACATTTGTTACCGGGAGCAAAGAACTCTCACTTAATTGAAATGACAAAACGTTTGCAGAGGCCTTGCCAGAAAAAGCTCATTTTCAATGAACTGATGTCCAACCCTTGCTCAAGCCCAGATAAGACAGCTGAAACTTGAGAGTGCCAAGTGAATCCTCCATCACTCTAGGTTTCTAAACGCTATTCCTACACTGAGTCAAATCACAGTTAAGTAATTCAGCTGGACCAGTATTAGCTTAGCTAAGGAATGCCTTTGCTGGTTAGGACTTAACCCATTTATGTCAGAGGTTGCGATTTTTTTGTGTGGAAAAAAAATCAGACTTTGGTGATAACCTTGAGCGGGATATAAATAACTCCCACAAGCTTAGCGTTCCAATAATGGAACTCTAGGCATAAATGGGTTAATATCATAGTCTCCATTTCCATTCAGTGTTGTTTTAAGAAAAACTACATAAAATACACTTCTGTACAAAACTGCATCTATAGCATGACTCTTGTCCTAGGTAAATATTCATAATATACGGGTAAGCTTAAAAAGCAGGCAACAGTATATACTTGTGATGTGGCTTACCAAGGGAACAAAAGTACATATACAAAAATAAAATAACGTACAACTCCACCCCCAAAGTATTCACCGTGGTTATTTTTGGATGGGAAAACCAGAAAGGATTTAATAGTCTTTTTTTTTGTTTTCTGAGACGGAGTCTGGCCCTGTCGCCCAGGCTGGAGTGCAACAGCGTGATTTCACTGCAACCTCCGTCTCCCAGGTTCAAACGATTCTCCTGCCTCAGCCTCCCGAGTAGCTGGGATTACAGGCACCTGCCACCACGCCCAGCTAATTTTTGTACTTATAGTTGAGACAGGGTTTCACCATGTTGGTCAGGCTGGTCTCGAACTCCTGACCTTGTGATCCGCCCACCTCGGCCTCCCAAAGGGCTGGGATTACCGGCGGAAGCCATTGCGCCCGGCCAATAGTCTTCCTTGTGTTTTCTAAATTTTCTAAGTTTTCTGCAACAGGTATATTTAGAGCTGGAAAAAAAGTTTTAACTGGGCAAAAGCTTTGAGGCTAACAAGCAACCAAAGAAATCAAAACATGTAACAACAGAGAATTTTTACTTTTGTAATAAAATTTTTTTATCCAACAAGAAAAACTGAAAGAAAAATGGAGTAAGATTGAGTCGTTTCAATTGTGATTTTTAAGCTTTAATAGTTATTCTACTAGTTACCATTAAAAAGGTGGGGAGATTTTCTGTGAGTTCCCCAAAATCACTATTACATGTGCTGTCTGATGGCTACACGGCAGTCAGTTTAAAAGGACTCATGATAAAATCATCTTGGAAGTTAAAGAAGGGAGGATATGGGTTTTTCTCTCTGTAGAACTGATGGATAATAGGAATTAAGGGTATATACAGCTGTTCCTTATCATCCAAGAGGGAATGATCCCAGGACCCCAAAATCCACAGACGCTTTAGTCCCTGATATAAAATGGTGCAGTATTTGCTTAAACCTTCACATACCCTCCTGTATACTTTAAATAGTCTCTAGATTACTCATAATACCTAATACAATGTAAATGCTATGTAAATAGTCGTTATACTATATTGTATTTACTTGTATTGTTTTTATTATTGTTATTTTCTATTGTTTTTCCCCCCAAATATTTTCAATCCATGGATGGTGGAATCCACAGATGTAGCAGATAGCAGGGCCAGCTGTATTTACATTCTCCCCTGTTACAGAAGGGATTTAAGACAACTTAACCAAAATCATACAGGATGAGAAAAATCAGCAAGAAAATGAGACCAAAGAAAAGTAAGAGTAGGAAACCCTTACGCAAGGAACGAAAGGCAAATCCTGGTGGAGGCTGCCCTGCCCAGGGCAAACCCTGACTCAGTGAGAGCACTCTCAGGAGCCACCACTTCAACTGCAAAGTGCTCTTGTGCTGAGACCTACCTGCCATCACGTGACCTACGGATGTGCTAGTGGTGGGCCCAAATTCAGCTACAAACTTTTCAGCAGGCAGCCATGAGAAGTCACGAGACTGTGTCCTACTGTTCAGGGTTAAGTGTAAAAACATACTAAGGCCTGAGGGAAACTTCTCCCAAGGTCAATGATGGAGGTATCCTTACAGGAAGTACAGTGTGATGGAGCAGCAGTCCAAGTTCATCCTCCAAGAGAGTACACGGAGGGCACCACTCTATGCTGCCAGCCAGAGCCACAGCCTTCAGAAAAGGGAGGGGTCTTTCAAGGCCACCAAGTGATGCCACGGGCCTCTCCTCGGCCGGAAGGAATCCCCTCTGGCAGGATGTTGCAAACACTGTTCAATCCCTCATCTCCATCTTCTGCCTTGGTCCCAAAAGCTCTGCAGCAAATGCATTCAGCTGCAGTTTCCCACTTCTGTGCATGTGGTTTCCGGGTATGTGGTTTCCTCTTTCAAAACCTTTAACTGTCTCATCGTGCACGTCCTTATGACCTGTCCAATCTCAAACCCTTTTTGAAAGGAGGTGGGAAAATGTAACAGAGGCTGTGAATGGTGGGAAAATTATTTTAAAAGAAAAACCAAATTATACTCCTTACTGTCCATCCTAAAAAATAGACTTGAGGGGAAAGCAAGCAGTAAAGAGCCCTTTTTTTTCTTAATTAAGCTGTTGGCAGGGGGGATTACAGCCTCCCACTTCAACAATGGCCTGGGCACAAGCCCAGACGGCATTCCAAGGTATTAAGAGCTACGAGGAGCCCGCCCTTTGAGCCCAGGTTCACGGCAAACAATGGGAACAGAGACCACAAATAGGCCACTTTTGAAACATCACAATTAAAATTTGGAGTGTAAATGACAGAAGACGAATTCTGATCTCATGAGACATTTCCAAAGCTTGAAAGTGTTGGAGAGCTCCTTTCATAATTTGCATATCGCTGCTGTATCCTTAAAAGTATAAATATGCGACTAATACTTAATGATCCACATGAACCAAAAATCAGTATCGTTTAATGCAAACAATTAAACCACCCTGAACTTGTTCTGGCCGACCACTTTGCAAATCACCGTCTCCCTGAACTGAGGCACCGTCCTCTATAAAGCCCACCTAAACACAGTCACCAGCCACCCTGGCCCCACAGCCTCCACACTGGCTTTCCATCCCACACACGCGCCTCCCAGGTGGTCACCCACATCACTTTTCCAGGCTCACGGACACTGCTAAGGCTGAACAAACAGTCATCGTGGATAAGGAGACCAGCCTTACACACACTTCAACCACTTTCAGACCCACTCCCAGCATGCATGGCTTGGCGACTTGAAAACCTGGACAAAACCTGCCGGTCAAGGACAACTTTGCAGTGCTTGGGCTGGATTTAACTGAAGGCCAGACAACTTGATTCCAGTGTTAGCTTCTGAGGCCACATTCTGTGTCTGGATCCGTGTGCGCCTCTAAATTGTGCCCAATTACCTGCAGACACTGCCATCAGTTACCAAACACGCCGAGCAAAGTGTAACAGTCTTTGCGCCTATGGTCCACCTAGAAAACCACAATTTCAATGGCCTCAACACCTACAGTCAATAATCCTCAGGCTTTTGGTTTACAGGCATCAACTTGACACCACATCAGAGCAGACTGGACCTTATTTGTAATCATCCAGAAAATGTATTTGTCTACAGAAAAAATGCTGCAGCTATAAATGCTTCAGAGATGACACTGAATTCAGGTGAGAAGATGGACAGCTTTTATGCTTGTAAACTGTAGCTAGGTTTTCTTGTTCACCCAATGCCATCCGGAACCAGAAGCCAAAAAGGCCTCAACAACAGGTGGAAGCACTGAGTATTTACATTAAGATACAAAAGCTGAGGCCCCTGCACTGAAAATGCTGCCACCAGATCCTCCCCAATGTCACCTGGAAGCGTGAAGTTACAGTAACTGAGGAAAACGGTTGTGACACTAACCAAGTAAATGTGTGCTAAGCTAATTCTGTCACTTCAGGACAGAATTAATGGTAACTGACTGAAACGAGAACGGGCTGCAGCTCTGTGCCTAGCGGACCTCCACACCAGCAGCCTAACGTGCTCAAAATGGAATGCAGTTTCTCTTAGAGCTGACATCTTTTTGTGGTTTTACTGTAGCTTTATTACAAAATAACTGCTTACTGTAGAAAAACCAGAATATATAGAAAAGAGCTAAGAAGAATATAAAAGATCACTTGGCATCACAGTGAGTACATCCTTTGATGTTTCCTTTTCTATGCTACACAAACATACACTTTTGTTTTACTTTAAACACAGAAGGGCTTTGTACTGGCCATACTGTTTTACAGTTTACTTTCACTTAAGTATATTCTGAACCTCTCCTCATGTCAATAAAAGTATTTCAGCCACACCATTTTTACTTGTTAGAGATGCAGACCACAGTATGGATGAATCAGTTAAGTCAATTTTGGTCCTTATCTCCTAAAGCAGGACACCTAAAATACCTGAAATTTCCACTTCATATGTACACATTTAAGCACACCTTTAAAATTCCTTTGGAAAAAATTCTAGAGCAATTGCCAGACCTCAAGAGAGCTGCATTTTAGACTTCTTGATAAATGCTACCCAAGCGTCCCTCAACAGGTACCGGTCCTGTCCAGCTCTAGCTAGGTACCGGTACTTGACCAACTCTAGCCACCCTCTGCAGCAGCAACACCGCTGGGCTGATCTTCCAAAACACACATCCCATCAGGCTACTGTCCTGCCGAAATGTCACCAATAGCTCTGGACAGCAACCACACAAAGCCTGGCACGCAGACCTTCCCTCCATGTCCCTGCCCACCACTCTACCACCCACAGCCTACACCTAGCCCCAAAGAGCTGGCCTTTCCCATCGCTCCTTCACTAACTCCTGCCATTTCATGTTGTAGGAAACCTGTAGTTGTCTCTGCCTCAAAAACACCTCTTCATCTTCCAAGACTCAGCTAGTGGGTAAAAAAAGGGTGGGAGTGTGGGTGAGACATTTCTTGATCCATCACCCACTGGGTGTAAGCCTCTTTCTTCTGCTCCCCCACAGTGATTAGTTCACGCACCCTGACAGCCCTCATCAACCAATACCATCGCTCGTTTCCTTCTGAGACAATGAACTCTGCAGAGACTAGGGCCCTGTATTTGGAATCTACTGTTAATAAAGAGCAGCTTAGTTAACAGACAGGGGAACGTGAAGCTGCCGGTGCAATGGAAACAGTCACGCACAATCCGCTATTGACAGCCACATCTATCCCTGGAATCAATCCGCTATTGACAGCCACAGCCATCCCTGGAAATCCCTGGAATATTGTTTGAGCGCTTCAAGATCTTGAACCTGACATAAAAAACTACACTCATTTTCAGAGCCACATGGTTCCCTAGTCTCCTACAGGAAATTCACGATCTGAAATGACTTGGTGCTCCAAAAGTTCACTTACAGGTTGATTATTTGGATTTTACATGGAAAAGCCTTCTGTATAAATGTTTGCCAAGTTGAATTCTATCTAAGAAAGTGAGGACTGCTCTGAACTGTTTCAAGATAAACATGGTTTACTTAGCTCAAGAAATAAGGAAATGAATTCAGATTTATAAGATAGGAGGATCTCATTAAGGTTGGTAGAGGAACAGTCCGTCTTCATTTAAGGCATTAGGAAGAGATCATTCACTGATAATAGTATCCTGAAATCAGATTCCTATATCTCTAGGTAATGCTTCTCAAACTTTCTTCCCACAGTCCCCTACAGACTGATGCTAATCTGTAATGGTGCCCTTGTTCAATCTTGGCGCAAAGAAGGGAAACCATCCACCTCTTTCTTCTGACAACATAAAAAAAGAACAAAACTATTCCCCATCTTCAGCCCAGAGAGGGTAAGAACCAAAACAAACAAAAGGTGTTGGATTAGCTCAAGGTTCTGGGCATAAAAATGGACGAATAAGCAAAATACGTGTGGCTTTTTTTTTTTTTTAATCAAAACGTTGATTAAAAAAATCTAAATAGCACAGAAACTCTCTCAGCAAGAAAAGGTAAGTGTAGCCAAGAAATGTTTGAAGCAGATGAATAACAAAGGGGAACTTGTCCACCGGATATTAAAATATTATTCAACCTCCAATAATTTCAATGGGTGGTACTGGCACAAGAACAGACAGAAAGTTCAACGGAACAAAACATGAAGTCCAGAAACATACCCAAGAATTCTGAGCATGACGAAGATGGCATTTCAAACTGGTAGGGAAATGAGAACTTAGTCAACGGTACATGGTGCTGCGACCACATACTATTTGGGGAAAAAATAAAGTTGAGATGATTTCTACCCTTTCTAGAATTAGGAAGGAAACGTTACCTTTAAAAATCTCTCCAGGGCAGTAACTGTGAACCTGGGGTAGAGAAAACTAAAATCAGAAAGGGAAAGACATAGACTGAACTACATGAACATTTCCCTTCCATATATCACAGAACATAACTAAAAAGAAAATGTTTAAATATGGGAAAAATACGAATTGCAGCTAGTAATGCAAGACACAAGAAACCCAGAGGTTCTGACAAGCTGTCCTTAATTTGCATAATAAATGACTTCAGAGGAATCACAGTACCATTTTAAAGCGAAATTACCTAGAACACACACTTGCAGATGAGTCAAAATAAATTATTTTATGTGTTAACTTACAGAACCCCAGCTACCCACCTCCTTTTCCTGCATAAACCCTCCAGTGGCTTTCTAATTCACTCAGAATGAAACTTTACAAGACTGGACACTAGCGAGCCCCTTCTTGGGGCTCTTCTTTTACTGGCCTTCTTGGCTTTCTTTCTTTTACTGGCCTTCTTGGTGTTCCTTTCCAAGCCGGTCCCTGCCTTGGGACTTCCCGGTGCTTCCTTGGCCCTCATGCTCATCAATGATATTCACACAACTGGCTCTTCATGATCAAATCTCAGCCCAAATGGCACTCTCTCCAAACTCTTCCCTAATCACCTAACACAGAGAGGACACACTTGCCCTGCCCCAACCCTGTTCTATTTTCTCTACAGCATCCATCACTAGCAGAAACCCTCTTTTTAGTGTCGTCCCTCTGACTAAAGAACATGACAGCAAGCCGTGTACTGCAGTGTCCCCCAGGACTCAGGGTCGGGGGCCAGAGGGGCCATGCATGCATGTGCTTTACAAAGAAATGGATCCTAAGTAACGAATCAGGATCACTCCTATTAACTCCACAGCTACTGTGTCACTCAGGGCCTCCAAAGCTCAGCCCTGGCTGGTCTCTCACCTGCTACATTTTGAGTTTTGTCTCGCCTGCTTTGAAAAATCTGTTTCTTGTCTGCTATCAGCTGTCACTGCCCTGCTATATCTTGGTGGCCCCCATCCATCCCTCAAGCAGATGGCAGGTCTAGAAAGTAAAAATGTGTAATGATGGAGATGTTCTATCATCAAAGTGCTGTGCCTTTAGTGTGGACGGGCATATCTCCTTGGATTTTCAAAAGCTTTTTTAGCCCCTTTCTGGATCTCAGAGTTGTTGGAATGAAGAGGTTGCTAGCTACTAGTCCCTTCACCTAAATTCTGACATTTTCAGTATTCTACACCAAAGTATCATCTTACTGAAAGTGCTGGCATCTCCTTCATCTATAAGCCAAACAACAGTTGTTTTTTTGTTTTTTTTAAAAAACAAAACTACAGTTTTCGATAAGATGAAGAATGAATTTACCTTTCAGGAGAAATGTAAAGCTCAGCACATCGATTTCCAAACTAGAGTTCTACCTTGTGCTAGAAGAGTCAAGCTTACTTTTATACTGAACTGTGCATGGAATTTCCAATTTAAGAGCTCAGTGTGGACTTTTGGTCTGGGCTGCAAAGCACAGTAAAACTGGAATCATATGTTATACCCTATAACCTCCATCCCAATTGAGGCCCTCCCCAAAAGTTCCTTAACTTTTAGCCTTAAGGCTAAAATCGTCTTGTGCCAACTCCTGCAGTCAGTCTAAACACAGGGTTGGCAGGCAAGAGGCAAAGGACCCTAACTGGCAGGGCAGGTCCACCTCCAGGCTCCATGCACTCTGACTTCTTAAGATCTGAGAGATAAAAGGAAACTTCTGTGAGAGAGCTGGAGTGACATTAGCTGGACACTATCTCCTGGTAGGCGTTTTCCTTTCTCAGAAAGGCAGAGGTGTCAAAAGAAAGGGAGAACCCCGCCTGGGGGCAAACTGTGTTTCTGCTTTCCCCTAACCACCTGAAAAAAAAATAATAAATAAACAATGAGATTAAGTCTTACATCCAGAAAAAGATGAGGGAAGAGATGTGGAAAGGAGGCCAAAAGTAAGAGCGTTAAGCTCGAGTTTGGAAAACCATCTCCAAGTGTGAAACAGTAGTTCTAGTTTGCATTACATTTTCTTTTACTTATTTTCTTTTTTTTGAGACGGAGTCTTGCTCTGCCCCCCAGGATGGAGCGCAGTGACGCAATCTCGGGTCACAGCAACCTCTGCCTCCTGGGTTTACGCCATTCTCCTGCCTCAGCCTCCCGAGTAGCTGGGACTACAGGCACCTGCCACCAAGCCTGGCTAATTTTTTTTTTTTTTTTTTTTTTTGCATTTTCAGTAGAGATGGGGTTTCACCGTGTTAGCCAGGATGGTCTTGATCTCCTGACCTCATGATCCGCCCGCCTCGGCCTCCCAAAGTGCTGGGATGACAGGCGTGAGCCACCGCGCCCGGCCTGCATTACATTTTCTGAGTATTGCTGGTGCATTAGGCCCCCCACTGATTTGAATATATTGATACCGTAACCATGAAAATGTATTTGGTTCAGGGGGCATGGGGGAGATAAGGGAGTTACCTAATTTACTGTTTGTACTAACTGGTTTGTTAACTGTCCCCAAAACTGTGATTTCACATGGTCTATCACCACACTAGAGTCATGCGGATTTACTTTCAAAACCATGCTGTAAATAATCTATATGGCTCATCCTCGATTTCCGATACGGCTGTTTCTCTGGTCAAAAAAAAAAAAAAAATCCCATAAAACCTCAGGTAATGCAAGGTAGATCTGGGAGAGATCCTGATAGGCTGGTTCCCAAATCACTGCACTAGTCTATGTATCTCTATCTATCGATCGATAGATAGAATTTTTTTTTTTTTTTTTTTTTGAGATGGAGTCTCACTCTGTAGCCCAGGCTGGAGTGCAGTGGCATGATCTTGGCTCATTGCAACCTCCGCCTCCTGGGTTCAAGCGATTCTCCTGCCTCAGCCTCCTGAGTGGCTGGGACTACAGGTGCACGCCACCACACCCGGCTAATTTTTGTACTCTTGAGTAGAGACGGGGTTTCACCATATTGGTCAGGCTGGTGTCGAACTCCTGACCTCAGGCGATCCGCCCGCCTCGGCCTCCCAAAGTGCTAGAATTACAGGCGTGAGCCACGGCGCCCCGCCTGCATTAGTCTGTATTTACAATACCTGCATTCTAAGCTTTTCAAGCCACTCAGGACCCTTCCTGGCGGAATGTGGGTTCTGGACTTAAGCAGGACCCTAATGGAAATGTGCAGGAATGGGGATCAAGCCATTCAAGGGGCAGTCACTGAAGACCACTTTCACCTTCTTTCTCAGTCCTTTACTTTCTCCCTTAAAGGCAAGGGAGACCATATATGCTTTTCCCCTCACAACATCTAGTGCCTGAAAAATCTGACCAAGACTGCATTTAAAAACTGAAGTGTAAAGGTATTGGTTATAAGAACAAACAGCAACCAGCTTAGCCTGGCTCAGCACTGGCTGCTCTGAAATTTCATTACCAGACAACTGATGCTCTAAAACCATTCCCCACATTGGTTTGCTCTGTGGCTGGATAAGACCCAAACTTTATCCATACAGTAAGTGTCTCTATACTTCACACATATAGGGTTTCCATCAAATCCCTTTATCGAGTCTACAACCCTCTCCAACTTCAAATTCACTCCAATACAAATCTGATTCTAACCATGCCAGCCATTCCAAAATCATCTCCCTTCTAGAGACTACATTGGCTAATCCCTTTGTTAAACCTGAACACAATTCCAGCTGCTTTTATGACTCATTTGGCCAACTAGAGCCCAGTTACTGGATAACATGCATACACCACCAAGCTGAACTAATTAACACCAGAATGCAGTTTTCCACTGAATCTACCAAGGGCCAAGAACTGCTTTTCCCCAAGGTTCTCTCTCTCTGTACTCAACAGACTGGTGTGGTCCAATATGCTGCGGGCATTCTCTTTCATTTATAGGAGTGCCTCCAACTGCGAAATGTGAGAGTATGATGTGGAAAGGTTCTAGAACTAGATTAACGTACACGGGCTCCAGCTTTGCAAGGACAAAGGTGCACATTTTAGGGAATCCAGTATCAGCCCCAACTGCCTCCACTATCAGGTACTGTGCTATGAGTTTTCCAACATTATGAGGGAGACCCGATCTGTCGGGCCCTTCTAACGAGAAGCTTCGATTTGCAAAGGCTAAAGTGCCTTCATCAGGGTGAGAGGTACACCCAGCGAGGCCACACTAGTCCATCTGACCCCAAAGGCCATGTTCCTGAGCGCCGCGCTCACCATCCCGCCTCTGATCTTTTCTCCCTCGGCCCGGCGTCTCCCGAGAGGCAACCCGATCCCGCCGGAAGCCCAAGAAGGGCCTAGGAAGCGGGCGGAGGCGAGAGCCAGGAGAGCACCCGGGATGCCGGCCGCCGGGATGCCGGACGCAGGAGGCGGTGCCCGGGGAGCAGGGGCTCACCTGTAGGCGGCCACGGCCCGAGTCTGCAGGTATTTCTGGGCGGTCATGACTCCCACGAAGAGAAAGTTCCTGTCGCGCGGGCCGCCATCTGGGTCCGAGCCGGGCGGCCAGAGCTGCGCCCCGCGCGCATCGCCGCGCGCCCCGCCGGCCTGGGAAGCCGCCGCCTGCCCGGACCGGCAGCCCTCGGGGCTGGCGCGGCGCCGTGGGCCCGCTCGCTTCAGCTCGGAAGCCCGGGGCAGGACGAGCCGCGAGGCCAGCACGAAGCCCAGGACGAGCCCGAGCAGCACGCTGAGCCAGGCGCGCCGGCCGCGCGCGGCCATGCCCGCGCCGCTCCGCCCGCCGGGCCGCCGCCGCAGGCTCCGCGCGCCCTCAGCCCGCTGCCCCCGCCCGCGGAGGCCAGCCCGCCCTAGCGCCGCGAGGCCCGGCCCGGGCAGCGCCGCCGCCGCCGCGGGCCCGCCGCGCCCATCGCGGCCCCCGAGCCGCCCGCAGGCCCCGCGCCGGCGCTTTGTTCCGCACGCCCGCCCCCGCCGCCGCGGCCTGCGCCTTTAAGAGGGGACCATGCCCGGCGCGCGCTAGCGGCGGCTCGGGCGCGAGGTGGCGGCGGCTCCTCCCGCTCGCGCGCGGGGACGCGGGGCCGGCACGACGGCGACGACGGCGGCGGCAGACGAGTCCGGGCTCCCGTCCCGCCCTGCCCGCGTCCTCCGGCTGGCTGGGCTCGGTTCGCACGGCGCCTGTCCCCGTCCTCTTCGTAGCCGGCGCCGCCGCCGCAGCTGCACATCCTCCGGCTTAGCTCGCCATTGCAACAGGAGCCCCTCACGTCACGCACGGCGCGTTATGAAGTGGCCCCGCCGGCGGCGAGCCGTGGCCCCTCTCGGGATCCGTCCGCGCCGCGCGATTGGCGCAAAAGTGAATGAGGGGCGGTTCACGTGGCCGAAGTTTGACCAAAAAAAAAAAAAGCCCTCTCGGGCGCCCCGCCCGCGCGGTCTGCGACTGGAGCTGGCGGGCGGAGGGGGCGTGGGCCCCCGCCCGGCGCCCGCGGGGCCGGAGCTGCCCGTGATCCGCACCTAGCACCCGGCGCAAGGGCGTCCCCGCGAGGACGGCCGCTTCCCGCACCGCGGCGCCCGGGCGCGAATCTCGGGAGCCAGCCTTGCAGTGGGGGCTTCTCGGCCCCCAGACTCCACGCTGCGCACGTTCCTCCCGCACGGGCCGTCCTCGCTGCACCCCACGGCCACGCCCTTCCTGCCGCCGGGCCGGCCCCGCGCTCCCGGCCCCGCGCTCCCGACCACACTGCAGCTTTGTCCGCAGTCCCGCGGCCGCACGCAGGGAACAGCCGTCCCGGAGCCCTGGGGACGTGCGCGCCTGCGAGTGGACCGTGAATTCAGTTACCTTGTTCCCTGTTGCTAGTTTCTACGCTAAATAAGAAGAAGAAGAAGAAAAAGCCATCTTTAATACTTAAGGTCCACGCTTCTCATACAGTACTAGCATTTAATGGATCTCGAAGACAAGGAAAATGAAGTTAATGCCCTGGATGGTAAACCCTACTTTCATTTACATACTGTGTGGGCAGATAGCCGGCTAGTACCCCCAGCCTGGGACTTTGTCCCTACTTTAATATAGTCCGTCTGTAAAAGTGCCGTGGATTTCTAAAGACGGATTTTGGGTCCCAGATCCTCTACTCTGGATTTTAAGTTTTATACATTTCCTCTGCAATACTTCAGCTAAGGCAGCAAAAGCGGAGGTCTCCATACAACGAAAGTTTGTGTAGAGTTTCAGTCTTGTTACTTAGTCACCAGTATATTGGGGTTTTCTAATGAAACTTTTGAAGGGCAAAGTGTTTCCCTGGGCCTGAGAAGTTACCTGCATTGAATCAAATAAACACATGCCTGGGGCAATCCTTGGATCTTTCTTCATTGTTGACCAAATGGTTGAAATACTATCACACAGTTTAAAATGCCTGTGGGAGCTTCAGATACCTTCTCGGCACCTGAATGGTGGTCACTCTTGTTTATTCTTTGGATATTACCACTTTCTTTGACACTTGTGATTTATATTAAAAATAGTTCATTACCTACCTTCCCACAGAGCCCCTCCCTAAGGGGTGATCCACATCTAAAAATAAAATACTCATTATGCAGTGAATACAGGATTCCAGCAGTGGTCTTGGGAAAAATACAGAACATACAACCATGAATTACAGGCTCGAAAACCATCGAAAAAGGTTTCCACTAAGACCATAAACCACAAATGCCGAGGAGTCACCAGATCCCCCAAATTCAGCAGCCCCATCATTCACAGTGATTTACATGAAGTACGAATCTGGCCAGATTCAGATGTTCAATTTTGTAGCATATTCAACGATTTCAGTATTTTCTAACCTGCTTTAGACTTACCTAGTTTTCTTCGAAACTAGTGTCCAGTGAAAAGCTGGCCGGGCGCGGTGGCTCACGCCTGTAAACCCAGCACTCTGGGAGGCTGAGGCGGGCGGATCGCCTGAGGTCAGGAGTTCGAGACCAACCTGACCAACATGGAGAAACCCCGACTCTACTAAAAATACAAAATTAGCCGGGGGTGGTGGTGCATGCCTGTAATCCCAGCTACTCGGGAGGCTGAGGCAGGAGAATCGCTTGAACCCGGGAGGTGGAGGTTGCTGTGAGCCGAGATCGTGCCATTGCATTGCACTGCAGCCTGGGCGACAACAGCGAAACTCCGTCTCAAGGAAAAAAAAAAAAAAAGTATATAAATATCTGATGGGAATAATATTCTGAGGATGCCAAATATTTTGTCCTCCTCAATATCCTGGTTCCTAGTTGTCCCTCAGTTCCTAGGTTAACAGTCTCACCTGTCTCACCTGCAGGCTTAATGGGGGTCTTTCGTAATGTAGAAAGGATACCCTTTTCTTTGTAAAGGCTGAGCCTGAGGGCTTACAATTCCCTGGAGAAGGAGAGTAAGACATACGGGAACTCCCTCTGGGAGAAGAGGGATATGCCAGGCCAAGAGAGGGTTGGAAGGAGAAGAGAGAAACTGAGGTCCTGTAGAAGTCTGCCAGGGGCAGGGACCAATTCCGGCATGCAGCCTAGGAGCAGGAGGGCAAGCTCTAGCACATCTGGAAGGAGCAGCTGGATTGTTGAGCTGAGGCAGTTCTCCTGGGGAAGAATCCAAAAGTGTCCCAGTAAGGGGCCTGGCTCAGGAGACAAGGCTATCCTAAGTGGGGATTTCACAGCCAGTAGCAAATACCTGGAATCAAGAACTTCAGTGACAGCCAGAGACCCAAACAGCTGGACAGGACTGGTACCCCCAGTATGAAGGCCTGTCCCATGCCCAGCCCCACTAGTCAATACCAGCAAGGAGCCAGGGAGGACAACGAGGGTCTGGAACATCTGCCCCCAATGCACACACATGCGTCCTTCCCCACAGCCCCCTGGAGGCCAAGGCTGTCCTCATCCTAAAGCCCCCTCACCCTAAGTAATTTTTAAAGGTAAGGAGTAGGCAGGGTGATTCGCATTTATAGGGATTTCACTGCAGGGAGCTGAGGAAAGACTTTTCATGTTCCGGGCTTCTTGATTTCACTGTGCTACTGGCCTTCTCTGTTGAGGGAATCATTGACCATTTTTCTCATCATAAAAGAAGGGGAGGTATTAACTGTTACCAGGAACACTTGTAAGGAAGCCCTTAACTGTAGTTATTCCATGAAAGTCCCAATGGCACAGGAGTGGCCCAAGAGGTGGGCTGTGATGGATCAGGGATCAGGAGTGTGGGACCGAGTCTGAGCTCTGCGTGGAGTGAGTTCCACCTGGAGGGGCTCCGGGAGTCCGGCTCTGTCTCCAAATGAGTCTTTCTGCTGGATCACGTTAAACGGTCCTCCATAGTGATTCCAGACCAGTATTCAGAAATGTGTTCAAAAATCCCAGATCACTTAACTTCCCTTCTGTGTTCATGAGTGTGACTCTTTATGACACATTATTAAAGTTCATCGCCACCTACCTTACTGAGCATTTTCTCACAGATGGCAACTTTGTTCCCACACACTTCACATTTCTTTTCTGTTGCTAATACATTGAACGTCTGTTACCAGTATAACATTTCATATAATTTGCAGCAATTTCTTGGAAACCCTTGGTAAATACCTCAATTGTTTGTTGGCAGCAAGCCTCAAACGACCGACAGAGTTCCCTGTTAGAGCTTCTTTAAAGATGAAGCCTCTCCACTCACGCCTCAAACAGGGGTCCTTGGAAAAAGTGGTAATTTTTATTAAAGAAAAAAAACTTTCAGAAAGGCCTGTTTTAAGAAACAGTGAATGCTGAGGAGTTATAATCATCCATCCTTTCAGAAGGTTCTGTTCACTGCCTGCAAAGAAGAAAATCTATAATGACCACTTTACTAATATTGCCACTTAACCTCTGTTAACCCAATAAAACACTGCTTCATTATGAATGCTGCTATTAAACTTACAAGCAAGATCCTCATGAGGTTGTTAATTTCGCTCACTATTTCCTTCTGTTTGTAGCATTTCCAGTCAGATGCAGGAAAGGGCAAGTGAGCAGGGCTCACGTTCTGGTTTCACACACTGGCCTATTCCAGCCCTGGGTGTTCTGCAAAGTCCTTCAGTGCTTATCAGCTGTGTACACCGTTTCCATCAGACGCTGAGTCAGTGTGAGTGCTTCTCACACTGTGTGTGTGTGTGTGTGTGTGTGTGTGTGTGTGAGCTTTCATGTGTACGATAGAGACACAAAAGAGATTTAAGTTCAGTATAACCATGTGGACCAGCCAGATGGGATGTGATCTTCCTAACTAGAAAACGCTGGGTGCCGCCAGCACAGGCACTACTGGGAACCAGCCTGAATGTTCTTTAGGAGACAACCTCACTGCAGAGGCTGAGGACAGTTGGCTTCTGGTGTTAAGACTTAATCCTTGTGGAGAGGAGTTTGCCTTTCCCATCCCTTGCCAAGAAATGCATTGATCTTTAAAGCGGTGCCAGAGTTTCCACAGCTGGGAAGTTTGCACAAAGACAAAGCTCCTATCCACAGGAGGGAACTCCCTGTAGGAACCCAGGCACTGGACAGCTGGGCAGCAGCATGGCCACCTGAGGGCTCAGTGCAGCTGGGGCCAGATGTGCAGCTCAGATTCGATTCCCACTGGAGGCCTAATGAAACGTAAAACTGGGAAAAACATTCACGCTGCAGAAGACGGTTTAAGCTACAAATTGAGGCAGCAGAAATAGGGATCTACAAACACCTGAAAGTACAATGCAAGAGAAAACACTGTCACCATAATACTCATGGCTAAATGGCCCCAGGTCATTGATCCTTCTCACACCCAGTTATGCTATCAAGCCCATGCTAGGGTCATAAACACTCTTAATGCACACCTCATGGGTGATAAATGTTGTTATCCAAAGTTGGCAATTAAGGCCTCTCTAGGAACTCAAAATAATCACCGTATGTATATTCACTCGGAGGAGTCTGTGGAAATAGAGGCTTTCCCAACATGCTTGCGGGAGAGCAAAGTCATACAAACCCACTGGGAGGGCGGTTTTGTTTGAATATAAGTGTGAATTTTTATTTCCATTTTTTTAAAGACAGGGTCTCACTTTGTCACCCAGGCTGGAGTGCGGTGGAGTGATCGTGGCTCACTGTCAACATTACACATTACAAGTGCATTTGCTTTCGACCCCACAGTCCTGCTTCTGAGATTTGTCCTCCAGCCATACCAGTACAAAATGACACTTGAACGAGGTTATTCTCTGCGACACTGTTTGTGATAGTAAAAGATCAGACCCCAGTGTTCATGTATAGGGGAATGGATAAATACACAAAGGCGCACCCATCAGAGAATGAACTATTGTGCAGCTGTAAACCACAGCAAGGAGGCGCTCTCTCTACTGAAATGGCACAAAACAGAAAGCAGAAAGAATAAGAAGTTTGCTAGTGTTTTTATAACAAAACACTAGAGGGATGCACAAGAAATAAAAGTGATGGCCTAATGGGGGGTGGAGAAAATGAGGGCAGTTGAAGTGTGTGGGCAAGATTTCCCAATTGGGCACTGATAAATATCATTGATATCACTGATGTGTATATATATATATAATTTATATATATATATAGTATATGTGATATATATATATATATTTATGTATATATCACATATTCTTTTTTCTTTGAGACAGAGTCTCGCTCTGTCTCCAGACTGGAGTGCAGTGGCGCGATCTCAGTTTACTGCAACCTCCGCTTCCCAGTTCAAGCGAGTCTCCTGCCTCAGCCTCCCCAGTAGCTGGGACCACAGATGTGCACCACCACGCCCAGCTAATTTTTGTATTTTTAGTAGAGACAGGGTTTCACCATATTGGCCAGAATGGCCTCAATCTCTTGACCTCATGATCTGCCCATGTTTGCCTCCCAAAGTGCTGGGATCACAGGCGGGAGCCACCGTGCCTGGCCCTTTTTGTGGTTTTTAGACTAAGTTTTGTTCTTGTTGCCCAGGCTGGAGTGCAAAGGCGTGATCTTGGCTCACTGTAACCTCCGCCTCTTGGGTTCAAGTGATTCTCCTGCTTCAGCCTCCCAAGTAGCTGGGATTATAGGTGCCTGCCACCATGCCCGCCTAATTTTGTATTTTTAGTAGAGACGGGTTTTCATCATGTTGGCCAGGCTGGTCTTGAACTCCTGACCTGAGGTGATCCACCTGCCTTGGCCTCCCAAAGTGCTGGGATTACAGGTGTGAGCCACTGCGCCCGGCCATGATTTTTTTTTAAAGACAGGGTCTCTGTCACCCAGGCTGGAGTGCAATGGAGTCATCCTGGCTCAGGGCAACCTTGACCTCCCAGGCTCAAGCCAACCTCTCACCTCAGCCTCCCAAGTAGCTAGGACTACAGGCCTAACTTTTTTTTTTTTTTTTTTTTGAGATGGGGTCTCGCTCTGTTTCCCAGGCTGGTCAAGTGATCTTCCTGCCTTGGCCTCCTGGAGTGTTGGGATTACAGGTTCGTGAGCCACGGCACCCAGCCTTATTTCCCTTGTTTTATATGTGTTCCTCCTTGTACTTTATTCTCGGACCTTCCATAATATTAGAGCCTTGTGTCATGTCTTTTTTTAGCCTTTTAACATAGAAAAATAATTTTCAAAATTTCCTTGGATAGCGTATTGAATATAACAAAGGGCTGGAAGGGCAGTGCCACAACTTTGCGACAATGGCACCCTCTTGTGGTACACAGCTAATTCCTGCGAAGTGAGGATTTCTGTTTAACCTTGGACTTAAAGAACAATGGTCAGACATTTTACTTTATGGTTAATAATAACCTACTTCTAATTATCGCCTATTCCAGCATTTTCCAAGGTGATACCCTGGTTCTGGATTTGTGGTTCTCCAGCTGGTGACACTGTAACATGAGAGAAGTTGAATTAAAAGCTGTCGGCTGGAAACTCCCCCTAAACTCTGAGGGAAGTAGGTAGGTTTAGCAAGCACCCAAGATGATTCTGATACCCAGAGTGGTTTGAGAGCCACAGTCTCTGCTTTCATGTGAGAAATGGGTCAGTTATCTCCCAACAGATGCAAACTGTCAGCCAGCGTAAGTTACTGCGCATGGCTGTAGATGCTAGCTGAGAAGCTTTTGTCTTCCTGCATCTGCATGGGTATCTCAAGCTGCAGAGGAGCTCACCCAGGACAGCTTGTCCGCAGGTCCTTGCTGCCGAAGTCTGAGCCAAATAAGCACTATGTGGCTGTACAAAATCCGGAGTTGTCTGGGGTGCTCTTGGGCACACTGCCTCCCACAGCATCAAACATGCTCACAATGCAAAAGGTCATCAGAGTGCCTTCCCTCAGCCCGGCAAATCTTGTCCCATGGGGGCTGGTGGGCATAGAATCTGGGGCAGTGGGAGGAGGGGCCAGGGTTAAAGGTCAGAGAGGTTGTTTACATCACTGGGCTTTCATTAGCCCCCCAACACCAATGCAAAGGGAATGAGCCCCTCTTCCTCCCCATGAGGGGCTGCTGACCTCTTTGAGACTTCTGTTTTCTTTGCAATTCTCCTAAAACTGCAAACTTTTTTTTCTGTATTTTGAAAATTTTTGTGGATATGTAATAGTCATATATATTTATGGGTACATGTGATAATTTGATACAAACCTACAATGTGTAATGATCAAATCAGGGTAACTGGTCACTTCAAACATGTATCATTTCTTTGTGTTAGGAACATTCCAATTCTACTCTTCTAGTTACTTTGAAATACACAATAAATTATTAACTAAATCACCCTATTGTGCTACTGAACACTAGATCATATTCCTTCTAATCTATCTCTACTTTTGTACCCATTAATCATTCCCTCTTTATAATCCCTGGTAATCACCGTTCTATTCTCTATCTCCATGAGAAAAATGGTCTCACATATGAGTGCAATATTTGTCTTTCTGTGCCTGGCTTATTTCACTTAACATGTCCTTAGTAGTTCCATTTATGTTATTGCAAATGACAAGATTTTATTCTTTTTATGGCTGTGTAATATTCCATTGTGAATATGTACCACATTTTAAAATCCATTCATCCATTGATGGGCACTTTTTCTTTTTCTTTTTCTTTTTTTTTGGGGGGGAGACAGAGTCTCACTCTGTCACCCAGGCTGGAGTGCAGTGGCACAATTTCGGCTCA
This sequence comes from Homo sapiens, assembly GCF_000001405.40. NCBI lineage: Eukaryota > Metazoa > Chordata > Mammalia > Primates > Hominidae > Homo > Homo sapiens. The sequence goes on from NC_000015.10 coordinate 101,259,772, forward strand.
CTGCAACCTCTGCCTCCCAGGTTCAAGTGATTCTCGTGCCTCAGCCTCCTGAGTAGCTGGGATTACAGGCACCCACCACTACACCTGGCTAATTTTTGTGTTTTTAGTAGAGACTGGATTTCACCATGTTGGCCAGGCTGGTTTGAAACTCCTGACCTCAAGTGATCCGCCCACCTTGGCCTCCCAAACTGCTGGGATTACAGGCGTGAGCCACTGCTCCCAGCTTCATAGATGGACACTTTTGATTCCATATCTTAGCTGTTGTAAATAGTGCTTCAATAAGTGTGGGATATTGAAGACATATCTTTGATATATTGATTTCCTTTCTTTTGGGTATATACCCAGCAGTGGGACTGCTGGATCGTAGGGTAGTTCTACTTGTAGTTTTTAAAGGAACCACCATACTGTTCTCCATAATAGCTGTACTAATTTATACAACAGCGTACGAGTTCTCTTTTCTCTGCCTCCTTGCCAGCATCTGTTATTTTTTGTCTTTTTGATAAAAGCCATGTTAACTGGGGTGAAGTTGAAGTGATATCTCGTTGTGCTTTTGCTTTGCAATTCTCTGATGATGAGTGATGCTGAGTATTTTTTCAAATACCTGTTGGCCATTTGTATGTCCTCTTTTGAGAAGTGTCTATTCAGATCTTTTGTCCATTTTTTAATTGGATTACTTGGGGTTTTGTTTTTGTTTTGAGATGGAGTCTCGCTCTGTCACCCAGGCCTGAGTGCAGTGACGCCATCTCAGCTCACTGCAACCTCTGCCTTCTGGGTTCAAGCGATTCTTCTGCCTCAGCCGCCCGAGCAGCTGGGACTACGGGCACACGCCACCACGCCTAGCTAAGTTTTGTATTTTTAGTAGAGATGGGGTTTCACCATATTGGCCAGGCTGGTCTCGAACTCCTGACCTCGTGATCGACCCGCCTCAGCCTTCCAAAGTGCTGAGATTACAGGCGTAAGCCACCACACCCGGCAAAATGTTTTGTAGAGATGGGAAATTTTTGAGTCAATGTTTTACTTGGTTAAAAAAAACGTGTATGCCACTTAGCATTTGTTAACTCAGAAATGAACATTTATGCCACTGAAAAGTATACGTAATTTTAAAGTATTTAGTAGTAGTGAGGCCAACTGCTTCACCTATGAGACAGCAAACATCAGAAACAAGGGTGAGAAGCTGTGTCACTTCAGCTAGGGCACTGGAACTGCCCATGATGCTTGCCTGAAACATATGCCAGGCCAAACCACCTCTGCTTCACTTTTGGTCAACTTTTATGATGTCAAAGAAGCAAAGCTCACAGAGACTCCAAGATCCCACAGGGAGCTCTGACCCTGAACCAGAACTACCTGTGTCACGAGGGTACAGAAACTTTGCCACTTATTTGAACAGAGAGGATTTTTTTTTTGTTTTTTTTTTTTTTGAGACGGAGTCTCCCTCTGTCACCCAGGCTGGAGTGCAGTGGCGCGATCTTGGCTCACTGCAACCTCCTCCTCCAGGGTTCAAGGGATTCTCCTGTTTCAGCCTCCTGAGTAGCTGGGACTACAGGCGCCCGCCACCATGCCCAGCTAATTTTTGTACCTTTAGTAGAAATGGGGTTTCGCCATGTTGGCCAGGCTGGTCTCGAACTCCTGACCTCAGGTGATCCACCCACCTCGGCCTCCCAAAGTTTTGGGATTACAGGCGTGAGCCACTGTGCCTGGCCAAGGATTTTTAAAAAACAGTTTTATTGACGTATAATTGATATACGATAAACTGCACATGTGTAAAATGTACAATTTAAGTGTTGACATATACACCTGTGACACCATGTGTGAAAAAACCAACTCATCTGTGTTTTTCCTCTGCTTTCACACCATAACAATCAACACAGAAGGCTTCTGTGATCAAACGTGTTGGGGGTTGTGTTTTCCCCACCAGGAAGCAACCAATCAATTCTGCAGCCAACATCAGCTAGGTGTCCTCCAATTCAATTCTGACACTATCTACCTGGAGATAGCGTCGGATACAGGTTGAGGGCTCAGTGCCCAAGATGGCTCCTGTCCACACTCAGGCACGTATAAGTCTGGGCCTTTGGACCTGGTGACTATGAACTGGGGTTCCCACAACCCCTCTTTGGTTCAGTGAATTTGCTAGAGGGGCTCACAGTACTCAGGGAAACGTTTATGTTTACCAGTTCATTACAAAGGATATTTTGAAGGACACAGATAAACAGCCAGATAAAGAGAGACACAGGGAGAGGTCTGGAAGGGTCCTGAGGACAGGAGCCTCTGTCCTGGTGGAGTTGGGATGCACTACCCTCCTGGCACATGGATGAGGTGTTGTTCAGTTCCTTGTAAGCCTCCAAATGTTCAGCTGTCTGAAATCTCCCCACATCCAGTCCTCTTGGGTTTTTATGGGAGCTTCATTACATAGGTATGATTGACTACATCACTGGCCATTGGTGATCAACTCAACCTTCAGCCCCTCTCCCCTCCCTGAGGTTGGGGAATGGGGCTGAAAGTCCCAACCCTCTAATCCTGCCTTGGTCTTTCCGGTACCAGCCCCATCCCGAAGCTCCTAGGGAGCTACCAGCCACCAGTCAACTCATTAGTGTAGGAGAGGACATCACTTGAAGAGTCTGAGGATTTTAGGAGTTGTATCCCAGCAAACAGAGTTGAAAACCAAATATATGTTTCACAGTATCACAGACACCATCACCACCAAGACAGCAGACTTGTCTATTACCCTGAAAAGTTTTCTTGAACCACCTTTTCCTCCTTCCCTCCCTGTTCCCCACCTCCACCTCCAGCTCAGGCAACCACTGATCTGCTCCATCACTATAGATTAATGAGCGTTTTCTAGATTTTTGTAGAAATGGAATCATATGGTATGTAGTGGTTTTTTGTTGTTGTTTTGGCCTGGCTTCTTTCACATGGTGTAACTATTTTGAAATCCATCCACGTGGCATGCATCAATAGTTCATTCCATTTGGTTGCTGAATAGCGTTCCTTTCTATGAACATACCACGATTTAGCCATCCATTCATTGGGCTACTACATGTAAAGTAGCTGGGAACATTCCTGTGCAAGTCTTGGTATGGACAGATGCTTTTATTTCCCTTAGGTATTTATGGATGGAATGGCTGGATCATATGGTAGGTGTAATGTCACTTTTTATGGTACTGCCAAACTGTTTTCCATTTTCTGTTGCTACCAGGAGTGTGTGTGTTCCAGTTCATCCACATCCTCATTAACATTTGGAATAGTCTTTCTAATTTTAGCTCTTTTTTTTTTGGCAGAGTGTCACTCTGTCATTCAGGCTGGAGTCAGTGGCATGATCTCAGCTCACTGCAACCTCCACCTCTCCGGTTCAAGCAATTCTCATGCCTCAGCCTCCAAAGTGGATTACAGGTGGGCACCACCACACCCAGCTAATTTTTTTTTTCTTTTTAGTAGAGATGGGGTTTTGCCATGTTGGACAGGCTGGTCTCAAACTCCTGACCTCAAGTGATCCGCCAACCTCAGCATCCCAAAGTGCTGGGATTACAGGCGTGAGCCACCACTGCGCCCAGCCTAGCCTTTCCAATAAGTGTGTAGTGGTATCTCATTGTGGTTTTTAATTTGCATTTTCCTAATGACTAACAATGTGGTCTTGGGAGACATACTCTCAAAATGGGACTGAGGAGAGGATCGCTCAGCTATTTAAGGAATGAGCAACAGCACTCTGGTACTTACTCAATGGCAGGCAGGGGCATCATGGGCATTCAAAGTACCCATGGCCATGGCCGAGGAAAGTGGACGAGAGCAGAGCGAGGCAGTGGAGGCCAAATGGCTGTGAAGCAGGCACAATGGCAACGAGGATGACTATGAAGAAGGTGGGGTCACCTGGCTGCTTTGGATGGGCCTTGAGTGTGTACAGGGAAAAGGACAAGTTAAAGTTACTTAGGATCCAATGCAGAACACAGATGAAAATTGAGGTCGCGAGTTCAAGACCAGCCGAGCCAACATGGTGAGACCCTGTCTCTACTAAAAATACAAAAATCAGCTGGACGTGGTGGCATGTGCCTATAGTCCCAGCCTCCCAACTGGGAGGCTGAGGCAGGAGAATCGCTTGTACCCAGGAGACAGAGGTTGTAGTGAGCTGAGAACCCACCATTGCACTCTGGCCTGGGTGACAGAGCGAAACTCTGTCTCAAATAAGTAAATAAATAAATAGAAAATAAGAGAAGAGACACAGACACTGAAAGGTGATCACGTGAAGCCCATGGCAGAGATGAGTGATGCAGCCATAAGCCAAGGAAAGCCTGGGGCCACCAGAAGCTGAAAGAGGCAAGGAAGGATCCTCCCGTCGAGGCCAGGAGGGAGCATGGCCCTGCCGACACCTTAAGTTTGGCCTCAGAAACTGGGAGAAGCAATGCCTGTAGTTAGAAGCTGCCCAGTCTGTGGTCATTTGTTCCAGCAGCCACAGGAAGTGAATGCAGTGAGTTCTAGCCCTGCTGGAATTCCCCCATCCCCTGTAGTTGTAGGAGAGAAATGGCTGAAGCCCAGCCCAGGCCTGGCTTTAAGGTCTGCAGAGCAGCATTGCCAATGAAATGCTGACCCCTGTCAGGTCCCTAATGCTAAGGGCACTGATGGGAAAGAAGCGGGACCCTGAAATATGGGTCGACACAGAGGAGGCTGAGAATTGAGAATGCTGAGCCTCCCAATCCCTTCATCTCAGCCCCCTGCCTGCTTCCTCCTGCAGAAACAGCTTTCACTTAAGGTACTGGGACAGTTGTCTCTCCAGCTGCTGCTGATCCTGCAGGCTTCACTCTCATCACCCCTCACAACCTCCAGGCAATGGAGAGTCTGATTCCAGAAAATCCCAGATCGAAAAGTACAAGGCTCACTGTACACAGCCATCACTGAAAATGTAGTATGACTTCATCCATCCCTGTGGCAGGAGTCTGGGAAGAATCATGGCCACGGACTCCAAGGGTGTCAGGAGGAGGAGAATGGATCCTAAGGGTGTCAGGAGGAGGAGAATGGATCCTAAGGCTTGCTGGAGTCCAACTTCAGGAAAAGGAATTCAGGGTTTACTGTGCTGGCCGGAGCACTTGGGGTGGTGTTCGTATCCATTGAGAAAGTTACCTGTGCCTGCAGTCAAGGTGGCCTAGGGACAGCACCCCAGGAGAGGGCCTGAACGGACTGCATAGAAGGGCTCCCTGCATGCATACAGGTCAGCCTCCTGGGGCAGGAACCGGGTGGAGAGTAGATGTGGAGGGGCAAACAGACCTCATCCAGCACGGCGCAATCCCACTGCCCTCCAGCCGGCCTTCCTCTCATGCTGCTCAGGAGTCCTGGTTCTCCCACCAGCACTTGCTTTATGCTCTGATGAAGGAATGTCCTCTGGACCATCTCTGGGGAGCATTGTTGGGGAGGGGTGCTGAGCAAGCTACACGTGGTACATCCATGCAACTTGCGTGTGCCCTGAGCCTTGGGACCATATCTCGTCACATGCGAGGGAAATTCCGAGAGTTGAACTGTGCTTGCCAAAGGCCACTGTTTTCATTTCCTGTGGCTGTTAGAACAAATGACCACAAACTGGGTGGCTTATAATTACAGGCATTGCTTCTCTCACAGTTTCTGAGGCCAAACTTAAGGTGTCAGCAGGGCCATGCTCCCTCCTGGCCTTGACGGGAGAATCCTTCCTTGCTTCTTTCAGCTTCTGGGGGCCCCAGGCTTTCCTTGGCTTGCGGCTGTGGCTGCGTCACTCCAGTCTCTGCCGTGGGCTTCACGTGGTCACCTTCTTTCAGTGTCTGTGTCTCTTTGATTTATTTATTTAGAGTCTCGTTTTGTCACCCAGGCTGAACAGAGTGCAGTGGTGGGATCTCGGCTCACTGCAACCTCTGCCTCCTGGGTTCAAGCGATTCTCCTGCCTCAGCTTCCCAGTGGGGAGGCTGGGATTACAGGTGCACGCCACCATGTCCGACTAATTTTTGTATTTTTAGTAGAGATGGGGTCTCGCCATGTTGGCCAGGCTGGTCTTGAACTCCTGACTTCAAGTGATCTGCCCACGTCGGCCTCCCAAAGTGCTGGGATGACAGGCTTGAGCCACCACGCCCGGCCTCTTCTCTTCTAAGGACACCAATTGTTACGAGCTGAATTGTCCCCCCTAAAATTTATATGTTGGAGCCTTAACCCTCAGTACTCCAGAATGTGACTATATTTGGTGACAGTCTTTAAAGAAGTAATTAAGAAGAGGCCATCAGAGTGGGCCCTAGTCTGGTATGACCGATGTACTTGTAAGAAGAGATTAGGACACAGAGAGGCAGGAGGGGTAACTGTGACAAAGAAAAGAGCCTGTGACCAGGCAGCAGGAGGGTGGCCATCTGCAAGCCAAGAATTGAGGCCTTGGAGGAGAGTCCTGCAGCACCTCCTCCAACTTCCAGCCTCCAGAACTGTGAGGGAATAAACGTCTGTGGTTGAAGCCACCCAGTCTGTGGCATTTTGTTACGGCAGCCCTAGCCAATGATACAGTAATCACATTGGCTCAGGGCCCACCCTCTGCGCAGATCTCATCTTAACTGGGTTACATCTGCTGAGATTCTATTTCCAAATAAGGGCATATTCACAGATACTGGGGGCAGGACCTCAGCACATTTTGGGGGACACAACTCAACCCCTAACAGTCACCTTGAGTGCAGGCATCGGTTAATGAGCTTAGCAGATATTAAAGCCGGGCGCAGTGGCTCATGCCTGTAATCCCAGCACTTTGGGAGGCCGAGGCGGGAGGATCACTGAGGTCAGAAGTTTGAGACCGCCCTGGCCAAGAAGGTGAAACCCTGTCTCTACTAAAAATACAAAAATTAGCCGGGCGTGGTGGTGTGTGCCTGTAATCCCAGGTACTCAAGAGGCTGAGGCAGGAGAGTGGCTTGAACCCAGGAGGCGGAGGTTGCAGTGAGCCGAGACCGCGCCACTGCACTCAGCTTGGGTCACAGAGTGAGACTCCATCTCAAAAAAAAAAAAACCAAAAAAAGCAACAAAAAGAGATATTAATGCCATCCCCAGAGGCTCATGCCTTCAGCTGGGCTCAGCCAATGGGAGGCACAGGCAGAAAGACTGGTGGGTGGGAGGAGACTAAGGTCATTTATCGTGGTCCTTCTCACTGGGTCACTGAGAGCTGGCGTCTCTATTGAAGGCTGGTCTCTGTCGGGCGGCCCTCCCCCCAGGTCCTGGTAACTGCTCTCAGGTTTGGGGGCATTAAAGGTTCCCCGATGTTGCTAGCCACCCGGATTGTATCATGCCTAACCCTGTCTGCACCCTGGCAAACAGCTCGTTTACTGAACGCTCCTCAGCCAGCCAATTTGAGATGCCATTTCCGGCTGATACAGGCCATGTCCTAGGCTCTTTTGGGATTCAGGTGGAGTGTATTGGTCAGAACAGGAGTCTTCACATTTGCCGGGTAACTCTCTTGCTTATAAATTTTGGGGATGATCCTCAAAGATCAAGTTGGGGCAGTTTTGATCCAGATGGGGAGAAGTTTCACAGACGCAAAGATGTATACTAAGGCTGTGTGACCCGGAAGACTCCCTTCTACTGCAAATGGCCAGTTTCTTCCCCTCCCTGCATCTACGCCTTTGCAATGTGACTCGACAGCTCCTCCCACCGAGAGGCTGTGCCTTCCTCCAGCCTTTGCGTTGGGACTGGCCTTATGAATTGCTTTGACCCGTGGGAAGGTAGCAGTGTGGAGCAAGCAGCAGCTTGAAAAACTTGGGCACACAGTCCTTGGAAATGAACAAATCCGGGTTAGCCGCAGATGCAGAAACACATGGGCCAGTCGCCTGTCGCCCAGCTTAGCGCCAGCCAGCGGGCAGATGTGGGGGAGGCCACTGGGCCCTGCCAGCCGCCAGCTGACCACAAGCATGAGTGCAGAGCCAGCCCAGCAGAATCTTCGGGATAAATGGTTGTTTGAAGTCATTATGTTCAGGGCAGTCCAGATGCTGGAAACACTGAGCTGACCATCTTCCAAATCAGAGGTCACCCTGGCAAGCTCACTTCTCTTGCATTTTTTCATGATGAGCCCTTTTTATTACAGCGTTTGCCATTGTTTGGGTGATGATGAAGAGAAGCCTGAAGTGAGCTGAGTGGAGGCTTGGAATAGCTACTTCAAAGAGAAGCGGGCTTAACCTGTATCAACATCTGCAGACGTGCTCTCCTGAAGCTGGTCTGGTGGCACTGTATGACCCCCTCTCAGGATGCTGAAGGCAGCAAGGGGCCAGTGAAGGTCCCTCAGAACCTGCAAAGGACCACGTAGACCCCAAGACGGACATAGCTACTCAGGAGTGTTAGGAGCTGTACTAATACTGAACACTAGAGTCTCCTGGTTTGTGGTTGTTATGGATTGAATGTATGTGTCCCCCCACAAATTAGCATTTGAAATCCTCACCCCCAAGGTGATGGTATTGGGGGGGTGCCTTCGGAGGTTAACTAGGTCATGATGGAATTAGTACACCTATAATGGGGGCCCCAGAGCTCTCTCCACCACGTGAAGACACAACGAAAAGTTGGCCATCTGCAGCCTGGAAGAAGGCCTCACCAGAACCCGGCCATGCCTGCACCCTGATCCTGGACTTCCAGCCTCCAGAAACAAATGCCTGGTGTTTATAAACCACCCAATCTGTGGTACTATTACGGCAGCTAAGACAGAGGAAAAGGTTGTTTCATCTCTAAATTATTTCCTACAACTTCCAACCCCTACTTCCACAGAAGTGGAATCTGTAGCTACAGAATAAACCTAAGTTAGGTCTTCGTAAGTCACATCATTTCTTACTGGAATGTGTATTTCCCATCTATGGGCCTTCATCAGCTATCGTCATCTACTTCTGTGGCCATGCAGTGCTCGTCTTCCCCCACAGATGTCAAGGCCCTCAGGGCGGGGCCTGTGTTTACACTGTCCACAGCATCCTCGGCACCCCCAGGCCCATTCTGAGCCTTTAGTTCCCCAGAGCCCATAATTTTCTGTGAGTTCTTCGAAACAGAGCATTTGAATTGGGGTATGAGACACTGATATTTTATCATAAGCCACGATTACCCGTCTACAGAATCACTAGAAGATGCGTTTGCACATATGTGGTATCCACAATGCCACTTTCGCCACGTGACATTAGTGATGGTTTCCTTCTTGCCTTTTCTAACTCCATGAGGTGGGCGCTTATGTCAGGGCTTGTTCTAGTTGCCGGGGATGCACCCACACACCAAAGAGACCACTCCTTTTGTCTTGGAGTGAAGAAAAGACACAATTACAACGAAATGTGACAGTTGTGCCAGAGGAAGACTGGATGCTCCGAGCACACACAGCATTCACTGCAACCTGACTTCTTCCCCTTAGTCAGGGGAGAAAGGGGGAGACACACTGTGTCAAATGTGGCCAAGAGAACAGGTCTAAAGACAGCTCTGGGCACCCCAGGGGTTTCAGGAAGGTGAGAAAAAGCAGCAAAAGAGAACAAGGAGTGGCCAGAAACGTAGGAGAAAGCCAGGCAAACTCGGTGTTTTGGAAGCCAAGGGAGGTGTTTCTTCAGGAGTGCTCAAGGACCGCAAAGGATGCTAACTTCAGGCGAGGACCGAGGCGACCCATCACCCCCTGCCACACGTGACCTGAAGAGCAGCTTCAGCAGAATGGATTTAACAGCAAATGCAGGAAGAGAAATTAGGGAACACAGAACACTTTTTCAAGACTAGAGACCATGGCACAACTGGCAAAGGAGAGAGGTGTGGACTGTCACGGGGGCTAAGATCCAGTGTGTAGAGTGTTCCAGAAGGGAGGGCTGCGAGGAGGGGCATGTAGGAAATGTGCTGTCAAGTCAAATACAGCGAGACCAAAATTCCACTGGCACGAGAAATGGGATGAACTCAGTAAGGGCACCTTCCACATCGCTAAGGAGTAGGGTGAGAAACGCCCACCCAGAGGCACCCAGGGCTGCGCATTTGACGGGGCCTTGCTCTTTCCAAGAAGAGACAGACTTGGCATGTTACCTATCTGAAGGGGGCGCAGAGTGGAGTCCCTGAGGAGAGGATGGGATCCAGGCGGTGATGGGATCCAAACGTGGTCGTTCAAGTCTTTTCTCCTCAAACATTTAGCCAAGGGCACAACTCTATCTCCTAAGCATTCCAATTGAAGACTCTTGTGTGTTCTGCCCCACAATTTACTCATGTTGCTCCATGATTGGGATAGGGTGCGTCACACATTATCTAAAACTTCACAGCTCCCAGTGTCTGTCCCAAACTCCTGCCAACTGCCAGGACACACCGCGAGCCCCACAGCAGCCTCTGCTGGTGGACAAGGTGAGCACATGGCCTAGGTTTGAAGCATGGTTTTTATGGCTCTGGCCGTCCCTTCTTCCCCAGGGGCCTCAGCTTTTGGCATTTGCACCTCTGCCCCCAATTTCTCATTTTTTCAAGAAAGGTCCAAGACCTGCTTTCCCTGGCAAGCTCAGTCCACCTTTCTGAAATGCTTAATGCCCTAGATCTGTAATGTGATTTTCACTGTATTATTACTTCACATAACTTTTTTTTTTTTTTTTTTTTTGGAGATGGAGTTTTGCTCTTGTTGCCCAGGGTGGAGTGCAATGGCACGATCTTGGCTCATCACAACCTCCACCTCCACCTCCCACGTTCAAGCAATTCTCCTGCCTCAGCCTCCCAAGGAGCTGGGATTACAGGCATATGCCATCATGCCCAGCTAATTTTTTGTATTTTTAGTAGAGACAGGGTTTTACCATATTAGTCAGGCTGGTCTCGAACTCCTGACCTCAGGTGATCCACCCATCTTGGCTGGTGGGATTACAGGCGTGAGCCACTGTGCCTGGCCACATAACTGTTTCATTAGCTGCAAGAAGCTTCCCACACCTTGATGACTTAAGGCCTTTGGCTAATATGAACACAAGGATGAAGTAGACTACAGCGAGTAGCGTTGTGGACCAGTTACTAAGCCCATCTAAGCTTCAGTTTCTGAAAACCAAGGTTAGTAACATACCCGTTTCATAGGATTCTAGGGGGATCAAACAGAAATGGACACTCCTGCCACGTGGTAAGTGCTCTTCAAATGCTATTACACAACGCAAGTTTCCCCTCCCCTCCATTATCTCCTAATCATTCTCCCTGACACCCTCCTTCCACCCCTACCAAAAGGTGCTAGATGCAAGGGGGGCATGCAGAATTCAAGCACTGTTTCTCCCCATGGAAAAAAATCAGGTTTCAAGGTAGTCAGTCACATCTAATAGTGTACTTAAACATACCCCTCTACTTTTTGTCGTTTATTTCTATTTATAACAAACTCTTGTGTTGAGGGCTCTTGATGGACGGCAGCAAGGGAGCTGCTCTGCTGCATATGAAACCCCGACCCAGAGCCCCTCTACTCATGCGATGTGTAGTTGACAGCCACTTCACAAACATTTTCAGCTACAGAAAATATATTCAAGGAAGAATGTTAAAAAGTTTCCTTATAACCTACAAGGGGTTCTCTCTAGATGTAAACAAATCTGGATGAAATATTTTAATCCAAGTATACCATTTCCCACGTCGTAAATCTTCTGGGCTGGTGGGAGCCAATCCAGTTACACACTGGAAGGGGAGTGAGGGTCCCAGGGCTTCCCCACACCTCACAAGGCCCACCCTTGTTTCCACTGACCCTCTCTTTGACCTGAAACCCCCAATTGCCTCCACAGGCAAAACAAAACTCAAATCTCTCTAGACTCAAAGACTTAAGACTATGCCAACCTATTTGTTTGTAATTACACTGCTCAAGGCTCCTGTTTCCTCTCCTTCAGCCATTCTCCAGAGCGCTCCTCAAGAGATTTTAAGTCTCTCACAGCCAGACTGTATTTCCCTTGGTCAAGAAGCAACCACGGAATATTCTACCTGCAGGAGATAACAAATGTTGACTAATTTATGTATGAGACCATTCTATAGTACTTTTGCAGCGAATTACCCCCTATTCTGAAGGTTAATGTTTTTCCTTCTGATGATCTAGACGGGGTCCACACACTACAGCATTCAGCCCAAATCCAGCCCATGAGCAGAGAATCTTTTTTAAAAACAATCCTTTAAAAATATAAAAACCTAAGACTATGTGACAGAGATCATATGTGGCCTGTAAAGTCTAAAATATTTACTGTTTGGCTCTTTATCCAAAACTGCTGATAGTGCCTCTGGACAAGAGCGTAAAAGATGAGTCATGGCGTAAGGGAATAACTGAGAGGTCACGTAGAAACCTGGTCAGCCTATGAGGAACCTTGAGGCACGATGTTTCTTTATCCCAGTAATTCGGCAACTCGACTCCAAGCACCCAATTTTGTGGATGAACCCCAAGGAGTCTGTCAACTTTCAAAATCACGGCAGCTGTCTGCCACTTGCCAGACTTATTTTGGGTGAGTAATAATAAATAGAGAAATAAGTAATAGTTAGAGGTTGTAATAAAAAGCTATTTAATGTTTGATAGACAAATTGAAGTCCATAAATCTCCTTGAATAAAGATGCTAAAAATGTTATTCTTGTTTTTTAAATAGTTTCGTTTTTACAAAGTTCTGTACATAAAAATAAATATACAGAAACAAACCCCATCAACTGTCCACATCAGTAATCCTCACTGGTGGGCTCACCATTGATAAGGAAGACATCATTCAACGCAACCTGTCACAGAGACTGTCCTAGCAGCAAGGATTTCTAACCTCAAAAGAACATTACTAGGCCTCTTTTATCAAGATTGCTAATCATCTAGAGGCCTTTACCTACCAACTAGCAATTAACCATGAAATCAATGAATGCAATCACTGTCTCCAAGTAGAATGTGACCAATGACCTCATGCCTAGAGGCAACATCTATACCTTTTGCTGACTGGAGCCCTGACATATGCAGGTGTAGTTAGGAACAGAAATCAACCCCACCTCCCCTTGGCTAGTCACTGTGAAAAGCGTGCGTAAGGCAATTGAATCGAGGGTTAAGGGTTCATCTTGCTAATGTCAAAAGTGACACTAACAAGATTCTTAGCCTCATCCGCCAGATGACGGGCCTCTGCGTCCAGGTCTCCAGGAGCAAGCTCCGCCTCCTTCACCAGACAACGGGTTATAACCTGGGAGGACAGAAAAGCAGCACAACAGTATTGATAAAAATCTGAAAATCTGGGAACATTGTATATCCACAATAAAATTATGAGAGTGACACGCAAAGCACTGCAAAGATACAGATCCTAAGGGACATTTAAAAAAACCTTTTAGCTATGTGAAAAAAAAAAAAACCTTTATATTGTGATTGCCATTTGAACTGATTGTCTGGTGGGGAAAAAAGTCATTCAGCTTCTTTGTCCCAACCTCCGAAACACATGCAAAAGGGTCACCAAAAAACTCTCTCAAGAGGGCCTGATTTAAGTATATGAATCCTCCTATCACAGTGCTTACTAAAACTCATACATTCAAATAAGGGCTGTTCACGCTACAGAAAACAGATTAAAAAAAATCAAGAGTCAAACTTGTCACTTCTACCAGTCAGAACGGGGTCTTCTGTATCCTTCCCTACCCCCAACCACCCCACTCCCTCATGAGCTTCCCAAAGTCAGTGCACAACTGGTAACCTGGTTGAGTGCTAAGGTTCTAGGGCCACCCAGAACTTAAATGTTACTTTTACTCCTTACTTATAGTGGAATCTTTGGGCAATTAAACACTGTGCCTCAGTTTCCTTATTTGTAAAGCCAGGCTAGTCAAAAGTCCCAGCTCAGAAATGCTGGGGATGCTGAAAGAGGCCGTGCAGGCAAGCACACCCTGCATTCCATCTTCTACGATTTCCATTCCTCTCCTAAATATCACCTCTATGTGTCTAAAAATAAGCTTCCGGCAGGACCATTTAAAAATAGCATTTTCTTTCCAGATGCATCACCTTCTCTACAGCAAGCCAGGTTTAGTCTTCTGACACAAAGGGGATTACAGCTCAGCGTTTAAGGTCAGCCAAGTCTGTGGCCCTGCTGCCTTGGAGCCCATGCCCCAGTCTTTCCTCAGTCCTCAAAGACACCATCAGGGCCTCTGCGGTGCCCCTCTCCTCCTATGGAGGATACAAAATCTTCCGCCTTGGTTCCTACAGTGTTCTAGTGTGTTTGTTCTTTCCTTCCTCAGCAGTAACTTGCAACTCTTAGCCAGAATCACCAAGGATTGCTTATTTTCGTTTGTGAGTCCCATCTTCCCAGATTTGAAATTCTCAGGGATGGGATGAAGACAGACTGCTGTGGCATCATCCAGAGTCCCCGGGGCAGTGCTGCACACAGGAAGCAGCTTTGGATGAGCATCTGTCTGCTACTCCTTGTTATTTGCAAGAAACAAGGTGGTCCCAGCCAGAAAGACCAAAACCACTGTGTTCCAGCTCCTTGACACTCATCTGAAGATTGGCAGACAATTCCTCACCCTACTTAGCTCTCCCTCTACGGGGCTGCAGAAGGATCAAGTTAGAATACTATAAGTACAATCCTTCTAAGTACTTAGTGAGGACCTAGGAGGTGATTTGCATCTGTTTCCTTTATTGAATCTTCACAATCCTAAGGAATTAGTCTTAATTTATGGACAAAGAAACAAACAATCTTGTTCCTAAAAGGTAACTATATCCTGTAAGTGTTGAAAATCTGTTAACATTTGACATCAGTGGTGCTTACCTCCTCCCCGCAAAGGCTTTCTGTCCGATTTCCGTTTCAGGACAGATGAAGTGGAAGGCCCAGGACTGTCTTCCTCCTGTTTGAACACACACAGTAGTGTAAGAAGCAATTAAAACATTCTACTTGGCAATCTTCATCTACCGCATGCCAGCCGGCCGAGGTCTCCAGTCACCTGGGGCTTCTTTGCATTTCCTTTGTAACTTTTTCCTTCTTGCATGCTGTCCCACATTTCAATCTTCTGTCTCCTTTTTTCTTCTTCAAGCTGAGAAACAATCACATTTTACAGAAAGAATTCAGAAGCTGCCATTTCTCTCAAAGACAAAGCTAACTCTGATAATTCTTAATTTAAATGTCTTTCAGAACAAACTTCACCCTCGTTTTCTTTAGTTAATAAAACTGTTGTGATCTGGTAGTGTGAGTTTAACTCACATAGAGCAGCTTTGGTTTTTGTACACTATTAAAGAAAGCAAAATGTTTCATGAAAAAGATTACTGACTCCATTCTTCTGAAACTCACTCCTGTCAGGACATTTTTGGTAATGGGGAAGACACAGGCACATGCACACACACACTCACATGCTCCCTGCTCCAGCCTGTCCCTCCTTTTGTGCTCTGGACCTTTCATGGTAATATATTCACACATCTAGTGTTCCCTAACAATCGTGTATTCTTCTTGATATCACCAATACTTACATGGTAGGAACTGAAATGCTTATTGAATCTAATGGGATAGGACCTGGTCCTAGAAGCTTATAGACAACACAGACACAGGCATCGTTAGCCACTAAACCTCAGACAATTTCTATGCACACATTCAAACTGAAACCAGTTCATACTTGTTTCAGTTTTTCCTTATGCTTTTCAACTTGCGCATTTAGTTCTTCTTGCATTTTCAGTCGAGCAGCTGCTAAAGCTTCTTGTCGTTTAACAACAACATCAGGTTCTAAAATGTCAGAAAAAAATGGAGATAAAGCACTGTGTACAATATAAAATAGAAACTTTTGAGTGTCCATATTATTAAAAGTATAAAGAGGTATGGATATCAGACAATGAAACAACATATTTTTACATAAGTACTCCTAACCCCTCTGCATACATTTTACTGCTTCAGGGGGCAGGGGTCTGTTGCTGAGCCACGGATTTTAGCCCGAAATATCTACATCACCAGAAATCTGTTAGAAATGCCAATTTCTGAGTTCCCCTGAGCAATTCCGATTCATAAAGCCTGGGATAGTGGCCACACAGAGCACATCTTGGATACCTCAGTGACACCCACAGTCTCTAGGCTGACTAGAATCCTGGAAGACTACCAAGGAAATATAAAGTTTTCTAAATCATTATCCATCCCTTAATTAGCGCAGAAGATTCTTAAGTATTTGTTTCTACAGAAAAGAAAAATCCTTCCAAATAGCATTATGAATAGAAATGAACTCATTTCTATTCATAACGTCTACTCATAGAGTCTCGCTCTTTGCAACAAGGCTAGACTCCATCTCATAGAAAAAAAAAAAAAAAAGAAAGAAAAGACAGTCTCACTCTGTTGCCCAGGCTGGAGTGCAGTGGCACAATCTCAGCTCACTGCAATCTCCAGCTCCCAGGTTCAAGCGATTTCTCCTGCCTCAGCCACCCTAATAGCTGGGATTACAGGTGCCCGTCACCACGCCCCACTAATATTTGTATTTTTAGTAGAGACAGGGTTTCACCATGTTGGCCAGGCTGTTCTCGAACCCCTGACCTCAAGTCATCCTCCTGCCTCGGCTTCCCAAAGTGCTGGGATTACAGGTGTGAGCCACCGCGCCCCACCGAGAACCATATACTTCCTACTTTTTTTTTTTTTTTTTTTTTAAAGACAAGGTCTCAATCAATTGCCCAGGCTGGAGTGTAGTGTGGCCCGAGCATAGCCCACTGCAGCTTTGACTCCCTGGACTCAAGTGATTATCCCGCCTCAGCCTCCTGAGCAGCTGGGACTACAGGTGCGTGCCGCCACTCCCGGCTATTTTTTTTTTTTTTAAATAGAGACAGGGTCTTCCTGTGTGGCCCCTCTTACTTTTACTAAGAGACTAACTCTTAATATAAAGGAGGTGCAAAACCACCGCTTTCATTTCGGTTATCAGGCACTAACCCACAGCAGCCGCAGCTCGGTCCAGCTGCCTCTGCCTCAAGGCTCTTAGCCGGGCGGAAAGCTTCTGAAAGACCACGTAGAGAAGGATGCAGCTGAAGACGATGTACCAGCCATAGGTGGCCAGCAGGGAGCCCACTGAAAAGAAAAACAGTTTTCAAAAAACTAAAAATGACACTACTAGTTGACCTTTCCATAAGACTCAACAAACACAAAGTGTAACTCCTGCCCTCAAAGCCTTCATGGTCTAGGCTGAGGAAAAAGCCTCCTAAGTAGATCGTTAAAACACGAACTCAAGAAGTGCGACAATTCAGGGATCACTGAGAAGTGAGACTTCCCAACCATCTGGGGAGTCGGGGGCAGTTAGAGTGTGGAGGGCACAGCAACTGGGTTTTGAAGAATGAAGAGCAACTAATCTGAATCAGGAAGGCAAAGGCCTTTCAGAGCCACATAGAAAGGGGTGACAGCGCGGGGAGTCAGGAGTGTGTATGGGGCTGTGTGGGACGGGTCCCAGAGGCAAACGCCAACGGCCGAGTGACCCCAGTAACTACCACAGGAAGGGCTTGGTTCGCAAAAAAGACTTGCGCAAACAAGGGACAGCCGAGCCGCCCAGGGAAGTGCGGCTCCCGAGAAGCCTCCGCGCAAGGTCCGGGCCTGCTGCCCAAGGTCCGCGTAAGCGCCAACGCCCGACCGTTCCCAGGCCTCCCAGGCTCCGGCGCCCGGTGCAGCGGCGGACGACCCACCCATCATGGCTGCGCGTCGCAAAAGTGGCGGCGCGCGCCCGGCTGCCCCGCAACGACTCACCCGTGGTGTGCAGGAAGCGCAGCCCCTCGGTCTCCAGGGCCGGCCGCGCGGACAGAGACTCCTCTTGGCGTTCCATGACCGCCGCCGCCGCCGCCGCCCAGCCCTGCCGCCGCGCCTCCAGCCGGGCGCTTCCGGTGCGCTCCTACGCACACGTGGCGCGCCCGGACGCGGTCGTGGTCCCGGCCAATCGCAGGCCGACCCCGCCCCGTCGCTGGGCCAAACGCAGGGGGGCGTGGCCGAGGGGCGTGGCGGGGGAGAAATCCCGGCTACGCTCGCCGGGGCCGGGACAGCGCGTGTGGGAACGTTCTGTGCTATCTCTTGGCTTGAGTCGGGGGTGGAGGACGGACCTCGTTCACGGATTTCTTACCGAATTTCTACTTTCTTTTTTTTTTCTAATTGGACACTGAAGCCAAGGAAGTCAGTGGTCGCCCGGAAGCAGGATTTGCACCCACATCCTTGCCCGGGGCACATTGGACAACAGGGCTCAGTTGGTTGACGACTCCCAGCATTTGAGGGTTGCAGCCAACGTCCACCCCAAGTGAAGACACGAAATGTGAGCAGCCTCCTGCTCCTGCTGCTGGTGATACCTTTCAGGCCAAGAAAGTCCCCACCGATCCTCAAGGTTCTTTCTCCAAAATCAAAGCCTTTTAGGAAAGAACGATCATAGTAACTGCTCTAACCTGTGTTGAATTATACTGTATCACCACAAGACACGATCACAGAGTTACTTATAATAGTGTCCTGGCTGTGTTCCTCTGCCTGCAACGCCGTCCCGCACCCTCTTCCACCACTCAAACGTCACCACCTTTATGGTGACCATAACCATCCTATTTGAAATGTGACCTTGGGTTTTTCTGGAGCATTTGAAGTGCACATACCTAGCTGTGTTTCAAAAGAAGGGTTGGGAATTGGGAATAGAACTGAAAAAATAATGAATAGGTGACAACATCCGAGTGCTGCGTCACCACTGTCGCCAGGAGCAGTGTGGGGAAGGCAAACCATGACATGAAGCGTGAACGCAATCAGTGTTTCTTCAATGCAGGTTTGCCAAGAAGTTCCTCAAGGGGGACAGCTGCAGGGATTTGAGCACTGACCTCATCAAGCTTTCCCAGCAGTGTGTTCAGAAAGCAATAAAGGGGACCTGGCATTCATGAGCCATAGCAAAGAGAAGCCTGAAAGCTCTTCTTCCCTGTTGGCCACCTTGAAAATGGACTCCTCAGATGAACCGAGGACTCTGGATGTTATCCATAAAGGCTGTGAAGATAGCTTATCGATTTAATGAGGAATTTTAGGAGGGAGAATTTCCTTCTTCATGTTTGCCTTTCCGTTGTAAAAGGTGATGAACCATCACCACTCTTTGCTTTGCTACAGATGATTTCTCACTTGCTCTGGCATCTTGCAGGAACATTTATGTGCTAAATTGAATGACTTCTATGGAATTAGTTGCAATTCTCAGTCCCAGATTAGCTTTAAATCCGCCTTACATCTAAATACTGATAAACTAGACAGGATGAGCAGGGTTGCCTCAACTATTTTGTTAGGCTGTGAAGGACATTAGGTATACCGTACTGGGGTCATAGTTCATGGAAAAAAATGGTTAGGGCCTCACTTTTCTCTCAGGAAACTCATACCAAAACAGTTTCAATCAATGCTTGGGAGCAGTTTTATTTTTATACAGTAACTTAACAGGATGGTTTAACACAAGAGTTCCCCATCTTGACAAGGTGTCAGATGAAGACTTGAGAGCTTCAAGAATGTTGCAGTGGGCCAGGAGTGGTGGCTCTTGCCTGTAATCCTATTGCACTTTAGGAGGCTGAGGCAGGAGGATCACTTGAGGCCAGGAGTTCAAGACCAGCCTGGGCAACACAGCAAGATCCCATCTCTACAAAAAAATTTGGCCAGGCACGGTGGCTCACGCCTGTAATCCCAGCACTTTGGGAGGCCGAGGTGCATGGATCACCTGAGGTCAGGAGTTCAAGACCAGCCTGGCTAACATGGTGAAACCCTGTCTCTACTAAAAATACAAAAATTAGCCAGGTGTGATGGCGGGCGCCTGTAATCCCAGCTACTAGGGAGGCTGAGGCAGGAGAATCGCTTGAACCTGGGAGGCAGAGGTTGCAGTGAGCTAAGATTGTACCACTGCACTCCACAGCCTGGATGACAGAGCAAGACTGTCTAAAAAAGAAAGAAAAGAAAAGAAAAAAAACCCACAAAACTTAGTTATGGAAGAAGATCCTAAATTGCAAAGATTTGTTGTTGCCGGCTTTCAATCCATGTCAATGAATTAAAGTCAACGTGCACAGTATAAAAATGCCAAAATGTTGCATCTGATTAAATGAAGGGAACGTTTGCTTTATTTGCCTTGTTTAGCTACCTTATCCTGTAATGTCTGTAATCACAAAGATGGAATAAATTGTAACATTTTAGGTTCTATCATTAAAAAAAGGCAACAATCCTTTTCACTCAGGACTTTGCGATATAAAATGGAAACCAGTATTAACTCATGAAAATAATGCACATTCTAAGCATATAGAAAACCAAAGTATCCTTGTAAACTATTGTGAACTATTGTATACATATATACATATAATGCATATATTCCACTAAAATCTAATAGATATTATTTGAATGCATGGATGATGGCTTTTCAGTTCCTAGCACATTGATCTTATGGTCCTATTGATAGAAGTTACTCATCCTAGCCAGGAATTTGTTACCTTTGTCCCTTTAATCAGGTGTTATAACCTCACCTGGCTTGGCTTGTCTAGAACTGGAAAGGTATTTCAACAAACACTTTGCTCAATGTAATTGCTCAGGTATTATTTGCAAAAAGAGGACAAAGGTGGACAGTAACCAGGGCTGCCACCTATCACTGACTGTTGTAGGCTAAATGATTGGCCGAGGCTGAAAGAGTGGCCCTAATTTGTCACTCCTTCTCACAGCCATATCCTTGCTATGGCAAGGTCAAAGGAGTATATTTCCCCATCATCCTTTGACTTTGTACTTGGCGAGGTGGCTTGCTTTGGTTAATATCAAGTGGGCAGAAATAAGTGTGTCAGTTTTGAGTGTAGGTAGGCCTTAAGAAGCTCCTAGTGTTTATTTCTTGTGCCTTTGCCGGGTGAGCTGGCTTATCTGAGACCTGTAAAGAAACCAAGCCACCCCAGTTAATCCAGACCTACAGTGATAAGCAGAGCCAACTACATAATAGTGTTGTTGATTAAAACCCCTGAGTTTGGCCAGGCGTGGTGGCTCACGCCTGTAATCCCAGCACTTTGGGCGGCCGAGGCGGGAGGATCATGAGGTCAGGAGATTGACACCATCCTGGCTAACACAGTGAAACCCCATCTCTACTAAAAATACAAAAAATTAGCCGGGCGTGATGGCGGACGCCTGTAGTCCCAGCTACTTGGGAGGCTGAGGCAGGAGAATGCTGTGAACCCAGGAGGCGGAGCTTGCAGTGAGCCGAGATCGCGCCACTGCACTCCAGCCTGGGGGACAGAGCAAGACTCCGTCTCAAAAAAAAAACAACAAACAAAACCCTGAGTTTTCGGGTGGATTGTTATACAGCATTATTGCAGCAAGAGCTAACTGATAAAGTGCCAAGCTTTTCACAAAAGTATATGCAACAAGATGGGATTAAGACTGTCGTGGCTAAGGGGGATCAGAGAGATGGCAATGAAACAGTAGTGTTCTTCAAATATGAGTAACTTACGCCCCTTTCAACAAATGTTCTTGTAGACTCTCCATATGACCTTTATGTTAACTATGTACATATATAAAACTAAAGGCTGGGTATGGTGGCTCAGGCCTGTACTCCCTTGGGAGGCCAAGGCGGGAGGATCACTTGAAGCCAGAGTTGGAGACCAGCCTGGGGGCGGGGGAGAAAAAAACAAAAAACATAGCCAGGTTTGGTGGGACACACCAATCAATTTCAAAAATGGAATCATTTCAGTTGTCCTATCAGAAGCCGGAGCGACAGGTAAGTCTGCACTAACAGAAGGGCTATGTGGGAGTGGAAAAGGCGGCCTTCCTGGCATGTGTCATGACACTGCAGGAGCCAGACGCTAATCCAGCCCAGGAAGCCTACCGAGAAAACGCTGCCCTCCTGCATTTCCAATTTCAACGTGTCCTTAGACCTCACTGCAAATGCACCATGATGACACACAACTTGGTAGCATAGTGAGTGGAGTTTATTTTTATAATTTGTAGAAAATTGACATTTAGATTTCAAAACTTATATTACAAAATTATCAGCAGCAGTCTTAAGCATTTCAACAATGCTGATAGATTCCACTTTGCTAACACAAACAAGGCTATTATACCATGTTCGAAAAGCAAGACTTGTTCCAAGAGGGCCTATTATTATACATCTGCCTCACTGCTCAGGACCCGTTTGTGACTGTGTCTTCTTCCATCTCTTCTTCACCATCATCAGTGGGCCCTAAAGAAAACCACCAAAGCAAAAGTAGTATCAATTTTAGAGAATCCATTCCCTTAGCATGCAAGTGTTTGTTCTGTGGCCACTGTTTGTTACACACTGAAGTAGGTACAAAAAGATCAAAAGCAGCACCTGCCTTTGAGGAGCTTATCGTCCAGGGACGGTCTAGTCTGTCTTTGGCAGGTACTGGAAGGGATGCTCAATTTCAAAGGAAAAGGGTCACAAAGATTTCAAAATTGTTGCCTCCCATTGTAGTTGATAATAATTCATTTTTGGTGAAGGTAAAGCCTATACTCATGTGCTTTTCATGGCACTACCGTAGGCAAAGAAACCGGAAATACTCAAAAACATCTGGGCACCTACTACATGCCATATACTGGCAACAGTTCAATGACTTTATTGTCTCTAAATTAGGGAAATATGCCAACAACTACCAAAAAATGTTACATTTGTTCAACAATTTATGGCAGGTATTTTGCTCAATGTATTCCAGGGGGAAAAAAAAGTTGTAACTCCTTCAATTGTTTGGGAAACAATTGTTATTGTTGACTTAATGTCTGACTTAACATCAGTCAGCTGAATTATTGTATTGGTTTCATCATTCCATCCTGTGCAATACGGCATTTTGATTGACGGGCATGAAGAAAATCTGGCCACACAGGCACACAGTTAGAAAAGGGAGGAAGATTTTAACAGCCTGTGCAGATAATGGTGGATGCTCTTTTTAGATACTATGCTAAAACTTGACAAATGGTAGCTTCCTCAAGGTTAGATGGCAGTGTAAAAGTCTGAAACCTTATCAATGAACTTTTCATACTCTTACTTGGTTTATCTTGTACTTTGAACAAATCTTTTACCCGTACATGATTTCGTATCATTTGGAAAACTGTGGTTCACCGACTTTTGCAGATCTTCCAAACGTTGAGCCATGTAATTACACATCAAAAATGTCACACCCATTAATTCACATGCACATAACATTACTATTGAGTTCCCCAGAAAAGTCTTAAAGTACTGGGAAGCTGGCAGGTTACGGCAGTGGATACAAGTTTTCTAAATTTTAATTTTTGCTTTAAACCTTGAATTTTCAATTGTTTTCCCTGAAGTGACAGGCTCACTTCATCATGTTTGAGAAGACAGGTAGCTGCCTCTCAACTGAAACAACTGCACCAGTGCATGGAGATAACCACCTAACTCAAGAATGCAGACATGTGCACCCCCTTTCTGTCACCCAGAATATCAAAGAGACGTGTGCCCGAGGAGTGATATTTAATTATCTTTACTGCTGCATCCAGGACACTCTTAAGTGAAACTGGTATGCACGCTACTGGGAGTGCAGAGCAGGGAAGAATGTAACAGCTATTATTTAGGCTGCTGCCTTGACTCCTACTGAGGTGCCCGCAGTTCTACCCACTATTGCTCCATCAGTGCAAATGTTCATACTAAAGCAAGTAACACCTTGGTGTTATTAGATGAAAACAGTCTTCGGCCAGGCGCGGTGGCTCACGCCTGTAATCCCAGCACTTTGGGAGGCCAAGGCGGGTGGATCATGAGGTCAGGAGATCGAGACCATCCTGGCTAACATGTGTTTTTAGTAGAAACCCTGTCTCTACTAAAAAAAAAAAAAATACAAAAAGTTAGCCATGCTTGGTGGCGGGCGCCTGTAGTCCCAGCTACTCGGGAGGCTGGGGCAGAAGAATGGCATGAACCCAGGAGGCGGAGCTTGCAGTGAGGTGAGATTGCACCACTGCCCTATAGCCTGGGCGACAGAGCGAGACTCCGTCTCAAAACAACAACAACAACAAAATCAGTCTTCACCTTACAGACTCCCAGAGGCCCACAAACCATACAGTAGAGAATTACTGGTCTTAAAAAATTTCTTTTTGGCTGGGCACGGGGCTCACGCCTGTAATCCCAGCACTTTGGGAAGACGAGGCAGGTGGATCACGGGGTCAAGAGATTGAGACCATCCTGGCCAACATGGTGAAACGCTGTCTCTACTAAAAATTAATTAGCCGGGCACGGTAGCAGGTGCCTGTAATCCCAGCTACTTGGGAGGCTGAGGCAGGAGAATCGCTTGAACCCGGGAGGCGGAGGTTGGCGTGAGCCGAGATCGCGCCACTGCACTCCAGCCTGGGCAAAAAGAGCAAAACTCCGACTCAAAAAGGAAAAAAATGTCTTTTTAATTTTTAGCTCCCAGCTCAAACATTATTTCCCTAGGAAACTTCCCCAAGACGGCAGTCTGAGTGGCTGTCCCCAGTTACATTCATATCAAAACTTGTAAGACGTATTTCAGTACTTTTTATCTTATATCCCTAGTGCCCCACATGCAGCCTAGCATAAAGCAGGCATTCAGATGTCAGAACAGTTACCACTTATCAAAAACTCGCTAATGTTGAGCCTTGTGCTGTGTTCAGTCTCTCAGCCTCTCGGCAACCTTTTGAGGTTTGCTACTATTGTTATCTCAGATTTAAAGATGAGGAAAGACTTGAAGAAACTTGTCCAAAGGCAGAGCTGGTGAAGCTGAGATTTGGGCCTCGGACTGCTTGGCTCTAGAGCCTGTGTTCCTAACTACTGAGGTATCATGCACACACGCAAATATATATAGGTAAAAGTCCACATGGCTATCGCTAGTGTTCGGTGCACTCCATGGCTGAAGTAATTCTAGCTTCAACTTTTACATAAAACCCCCCACAGTGCTGTAACTTAACTTTCTTCATGAAATACCTTTTTTTTTTTTTTGAGCTGCAGTTTTGCTCGTTGCCCAGGCTGGAGTACAAAAGTGCGATCTCGGCTCACCACAACCTCCACCTCCCGGGTTCAAGCGATTCTCCTGCCTCAGCCTCCCGAGTAGCTGGGATTACAGGCGCGCACCACCACCCCCGGCTAATTTTGTATTTTTAGTAGAGATGGGGTTTCTCCATGTTGGTCAGGCTGGTCTCGAACTCCTGACCTCAGGTGATCCGCCCGCCTCAGGCTCCCAAAGTGCTGGGATTACAGGCGTGAGCCACTGCACCCAACCCATCAAATACTTTATCTTCAAAGAGCATTTAAAGAGATTTCATATATTAGATTTGATGTAAGGAGGCACTACTCTGGCATTCCAGAGTCATGGCATCTAAATGGTTGTGAGTTACACTCTGAGTGTAACATTAATTTGAACATACAAAGAACACCATTTGTTCACCTGATCTGCGTTCTCTGCCAGGGATCTGACCAGACTGCAGCAACCCCTTCAGCCTCTCCACTTCAGCCAGAGTTGAAGCATTTGCTATGGCATTCTGGAGGACAGAGGGCAATGGAGATGGATGATTAACTTCAACCAAGTATCAGCTACCCAGAAAACTAAGTGTCAATCACCTACAGAAATTCACAGCAACTTCTCCATCAGGAACATTAAATACTTTGGTGTAGGGGGAAGAATGTTATTGGCCCACAAAAATAAAACTAGAAGCCAAACCACAAATTTCTAAAATTGGTGAAGAGATGCAGGCCTTCTTATAAATAATCACTCCACATGTTCTAAAATCGTAGCTAAGTGAAGTAACTATTTGCAATTATGTTACTGAATAATTTAAGGAGGCAATATTATAAAACGAGGGTCCCTACTGATCAGTCAAAAGGATTTGCCAGACAGCAAATCTTCGAAAGTAAAAATTAAGGCAAACACTGAGACAGCATACCAAGGTAAGTAACTGTTCGAAGTGATAAATGCACCTTGGAAAATGAGAAAGACAAAGCTGCCTCCACATTAATTAGCTTGTGTAATTTCAAGTCTGATCAAATAATAACTTTATGCTAGTTTTTCCTTAAACAGAAATATTGCTGTATGCTAATAACTGTGGGAAAATGAAATCTGCAATGTTCGGAACATGTTTATTATCCAGCTTTGTGTTCTGAACCCATCTTAGCTCATTCCAGTCCAAGAATCCTAACACATGATTACCTTGATTGCTTCTACATCCCCTGGAGATGGCCCACCTTTCTTTTTGTCAGTTGGCAAACCAGCACCTGGATTAAAACTTAAGAGGGGGAAGAACATAACTGTTAGACCTAGACCAACAGAAGTTGCTTCTCTTTTACTTTCAAAAGCTTTTGAAAGTAATTCAACCAGTGTAGTATCTTATCTTTGTTAACAAACTGATACAAGAACTCTCTCCTTCAGAAACACCATCCAGTTCATCTTCCTATATAGAAAATAGGATGTACATGGTATCACATGAAGACTGACTACTGAAATATTTGCTCTGCTAAGCTGGTAGAAATTTCTTGTGATGTGTGGACCATTGATGTACATGGAC
Organism: Homo sapiens; assembly: GCF_000001405.40. Taxonomy (NCBI): domain Eukaryota; kingdom Metazoa; phylum Chordata; class Mammalia; order Primates; family Hominidae; genus Homo; species Homo sapiens. The sequence goes on from NC_000015.10 coordinate 101,286,081, forward strand.
TATAAGCACTCAAATTTAATACCACATTAATATGTCAGAGTTTTTGGTTAATTTTGTAGGAGACGAACTGCCAGACAGATCAGATCATGTTTCTGAAGGTGAAGTAGAGTTAAGTTGGATATCCGTGTCTTACGTTTTGCTTCTCCTGGCAATATCCTTTGCAAGCTGTGCACCCCGTTTGCCCTTGAACATTTTCTCTGCTTCCTGACGCTCCTACAGCGACACCACACACAGAGTTAATGGAAATAGGAATACCACATGCATTTAGATGCATTCCTCAGAAGACATGGAAGCGAACTCTCCTACAGTACTCCGGGCTGGTGAAAATACCAAAAAGCAATTTCAAATTAAGAGAAGACACAGTGGTCTTCTTTCTTTGGTAGAGCTCCCTGAAGAAAGTTCATTCTCCTAGCTCCAAGGAGGGGATCCCAGGGAACTAAGAAGGCAATTAAATGAATAATAAAATAATGAATTCCTAATAAAGGGAAAAATCATCCTAACACACGGAGCTGCACGAAAGTAGGTTACATTAAGTTCTCCGCTGGGAACGTATCTAGGCAGACAATCCACTGTTAAGACTGCTCACCGTGGCCTCAGCACTTTGCGAACTTCGGAATAGCCAGCATTACATAAGAGAGCTCCAACTTAAAAGTTCTATCATAAACTCTGCTATTAGAAAAAAATGTGATGTAACATTTTCCCTCCCACTTTTATTACAAACTAATGGTAAAATTTACTCATTTAGACAATTTTAATAATCAGTAACAAAAATATAAAGAAAAACACACAACTCTATAATGGCTCACAAGCAACAGATTACTACTTACTTTTAGTTTCACTTTCTGGAAATCCAGTACTCTGACTTGCGGAACTTTATAAATCACATACAATCTGTAATGCTTCTTATTGGTTACCGGATTTCTTAGGATACTACAAGAAAAGGAATGACACAATGGCAAACTTGTTCATGGCACAGCACTCAAGAGGTCTGTTTGAATAGTCTAAGGAACCTATAAATCAAGGGAACATTCACATTCTTCACATTGCAACATTGTAACAATTTAACATTAAGGAAATATATTCAATCTTTCTTTGTAAAAGGCACTTTTTTTTTAAATTATACTTTTAAGTTCTAGGGTACATGTGCACAACTTGCAGGTTTGTTACATATGTATACATGTGCCATGTTGGTGGGCTGCACCCATTAACTTGTCATTTACATTAGGTATATCTCCTAATGCTTTCCCTCCCCCCTTTCCCCACCCCACAACAGGCCCCGGTGTGTGATGTTCCCCTTCCTGTGTCCAAGTGTTCTCATTGTTCAATTCTCACCTACGAGTGAGAACATGGGGTGTTTGGTTTTTTGTCCTTGCGATAGTTTGCTGAGAATGATGGTTTCCAGCTTCATCCATGTCCCTACAGAGGACATGAACTCATCCTTTTTTATGGCTGCATAGTATTCCATGGTGCATATGTGCCACATTTTTTAATTATCTGATTACATTAAGGTCAAGGCTGGTAAAAGTAATGTTATTTTAAAGGGCTTCATTTTGTCACAATATGTAATTCCCATACCTTAGGTAAGTCAGCGATTTGAGAGATGCCAGAGGGTCCAGATCACCCTGTCAAGCAATAGCCACAGGTAAGAACGCGAATACCACACGCTATTTTGAGATTCTGAAATGGAGAGTGCTTTTGAAGCAAGTTGTCTTTTCATTATTTACTGAATTTTTACTCTCTAGCAACAAGCCCAATACTAGCACATCACAAATGTTTAAATAATTTCTACCGATGAATACATGGGAGCTTCTTAAAATCTTGGCATTAACAGCTTCTGTCTCAATAGCAGGAGATAAGAAATTGCTTTCCTACAGGAATCTCAAAGTGGCTGCTGAGCCATGATTTGGAAAAGAAAACAATGGCAAAGCTGATGGGACTCTGGAGCAACCTATTCACACTGGGAACTGCAAGCCAGAATCTTGGTGTAAGTGGGCTTTCCTGCTAGCGCCAGCTTCAGCGTCTAAGAACAACAAAGGTATACTGTCTTTTGAAAGAAGGTACATTTATCCTAGCTGCCCCTGAAAATCTCTTTAAATAAAATTTGCAGGGACAAGGAATAGTATAGCTTAAAAATGATCGAATTAATGGAAAGAAGGCAGGGTGATTTTTTTTTTTTTTTTTTTTGAGACGGAGTCTCGCTCTGTTGCCCAGGCTGGAGTACAGTGGCGTGATCTTGGCTCACTGCAAGCTCCGCCTCCCGAATTCATGCCATTCTCCTGCCTCAGCCTCCCAAGTAGCTGGGACTACAGGCGCCCACCACCATGCCCGGCTAATTTTTTTTGCATTTTTAGTAGAGACGGGGTTTCACTGTATTAGCCACGATGGTCTCGATCTCCTGACCTCGTGATCTGCCTGCCTCGGCCTCCCAAAGAGCTGGGATTACAGGCGTGAGCCACCACGCCCAGTGGGCAGGGTGAATTTTTAATCTTCTCCAATTGTTCCATAAAACATAGTGCAATAAGGATAGCAAAAAAACAAAAACCTATGGTTACCAGCTACAACCAAGCTAGATGGCAAGGCATTCTGCAGTAACTCTAAAATAGGAACAAGTAGAGACAACCCATGTTGAGAGCAACAAGGCTTGCAGGGTGACGGCCTTTGTACAGGAAGAAGCAGAGGGGAGGCGAGGAGCCGTCTTACAAACTGGAGAACTCCAGTGACTGAGAAAAGCAGGCCCAAGACCAGCATGTTCCAATAATGACTACAGGGGTCTGTGATAAGGGCTGCAGGGGCAAGAGCAATTTGGGCCCTCACTCTTAATAGAAATCATGTCCCAACACGGCCCTGCCCTGAAGAGAAACTGCTGGAACAGGCGCAAATTGGGTAGATGGTGGGGAAGGGGTGTGTGTGTGCAAGAGGCACAATGAGAAAAAAAAGTACAGATAAAAACAGGGAGAGCAGAGCCAGAAATTCTCAAAAAGCAAGCTGCCATCTTCAAATATGTCACAAAAACCACCAGAGGGAGCTCTAGAGCTTGATACTGTTTTACCCCCACTGAAGATGATCCAAAAAGGAATAAAGAACAAAGTGGTAACATTTGTTACATACACAGTGTAAAACGTAATGGCGATGTAGTGATGGGCTTCAAAAAAGAATAAATATGTAACAACCCGAAGGCTGCTGAAATGTTGAAGGTCACTGTACTGTATTGTTTAGCAGGGTAAAGGTGTCAAAGTTTAAAATTAAATGTTGAAGGTCATGGTACAGTGATCTTAACATTTAATTTTAAACTTTTATAAATATGTGTGTTTTAATTCCTACGATGCTAACTCAAGATTGAAAGAGAGTAATTTCTAAACCATCAGAAGAAAAAATGGAATGACAGAAGGAGAGCATCTACAATAAAGGAGAGAAAACGGATTGAAGAACGGGTGGGACAGACAGGAAGCCCCAGAACAGAGAGAAGACAAACTGGAACACACCAGTAATTACATTAAATGTAAACAGACTAAATATAAATAATTCACTTAAAAGAGCTTTCAGACTGGATTGTAAAAAATTCCAACCAGAGCTGGGCGCGGTGACTCACGCCTATAATCCCAGCACTTTGGGAGGCCAAGGCGGGTGGATCACAAGGTCAGGAGTTCGAGACCAGCCTGACCAACATGGTGAAACTTCGTCTCTACTAAAAAAAAAAAAAATACAAAAATTAGCCAGATGTGATGGCGCCCACCTGTAATCCCAGCTACTCGGGAGGCTGAGGCAGCAGGAGAATCACTTGAACCCAGGAGGCAGAGGTTGCAGTGAGCCGAGATCTCGCCACTGCACTCCAGCCACTCCATCTCAAAAAAAAAAAAAAAAAATTCAACCATACAGTTTTTAAGAGAGAAATCTAAACTACAAGAGGTACAGACAAGCTGAAAGTAAATTTTGGATGGAAAACGATTTATCATGCATATAACTAACCAAAACAAAGATTGTTTCGAGGTAAAAGAAACCTCAAGGTAAACAGCATTAATAGAGATCGAGGGTCACAACATAATAAAAAGTTTCCGTTCACCAGAAAGATATGAATAATTTAAAATTTGTATGTATCAAATAAGGCAACTTCAAAATATACAAAACTAAAATCGACAGAACTTCAGGGATAGTCAAATCCACTACCATGCTGTGAGATTCTAACATACCTCTCTCAATAACTGATAAGCCCAGTAGTCTTCATCTTTGCAAAGAGCTTTAAATACAACTCTAATTTCTCTAACAGCACCTATCATGAGACACATTGCCTATAAATATGTATTTCGGGTTGAATACTTCACACACTTCAGAAAGGACATGGCCATGGACCAGTGCTGTCTTATGTTTGTAGTCAAGCATCTCCTTGAGAATCTGAAGGATGCTATGGACCTTGTCCACAAGGAAAGGAACACAGTTCATTCTCAACAATCAGGAAAATACGGGAGGAAGGTTAAGTCACAAAATTAAGTTATACGATTTTTTTTTTTTTTTGAGATGAGGTCTTGCACTATTGCCCAGACTGGAGTACAGAGACATGATCATGTCTCACTGCAGCCTCGACTGATGGCTAGGGCTCAAGTGATCCTCCCACTTTAGCCACTGGAATACCTGGGACCACAGATGCACGCTACCACTTTTGGCATTTTTTTTTTTTTTTTTTTTGAGACGGAGTCTCTTTCTTTGCCCAGGCTGGAGTGCAGTGGCATGATCTCAGCTCATTGCAACCTCTGCCTCCTGGGTTCAAGCAATCCTCCTGTCTCAGCCTCCCAAGAAGCTGGGATTACAGGAACCCACCACCACGCCCGGCTAATTTTTGTATTTTTAGTAGAGACGGGGTTTCACCATATTGCCCAGGCTGGTCTTGAACTCCTGACCTCGTGATCCACCCGCCTCGGCCTCCCAAAGTGCTGGGATTACAGGCATGAGCCACTGCACCCGGCTTTTCTAAAAAAATTACTTATAGAGAGAGACAAGGTCTCACTATGTTGCCCAGGCTGGTCTAGAACTCCTGGGCTCAAGTGATCCTCCCACCTTGGCTTCCCAAAGTGCTTGGATTACAGGCATGAGCTATGGCACCTGGCCTACAATATAAATTTAAGCATCCAGTGTTTAAGTGAAGAATTTAGGTTACAAAACAATACACAGTATCTCAATTATGTTAAAAATTGGATACACAGAACAGAAATTTAAAAAGCATGAAAACAGTTCCAAGTGGATTGTTCATCTAACGTGAAGAGTAAAACAAGGTTTCTAGACTGGAACTGTTCAGCAAGATTTAATGCATATCAGATATGTAATCTAAAATTTTCTAGTAGCCATGTTAAAATAGGTGAAACTAATTTTAATAATATGCCATTTAACTTATTATCCAAAACGTTATCATTTCAACATCGATATAAAAAAATTACTGAGATAGTTTACTTTTTTTTTTTTTTGCACTTAAGTCTTTGAAATCCAGTGTGTATTTTATAGTTCTAGCACATCTCAATTATAAGTAGCCACCTGTAGTTACTGGTACTATATTGAACACTGCAATTGTAGAAAACAACATAGGAGTTTATAACCCTGGAATAGGGGAAATTTAAACATCAAAAGGGCTACAATAAAGAAGAAGATTGATTCATTGGACTGCACCTAAATTAGGAACTTCTCTAACAAGACATCCTAAGTCAAAAGTCAAGTAAAAGTAGGAAAATATTTGCAACATACGGCTGCAGAACCCAAAAGGCCCAGATCCTGAATTAAGAAAAAGACAAGAAAGAGGATACTGAGATCATTTTCTAGATTTTGTAAATTTTCTGTAGGAAGCACATAGTACCTTTAACCCCACCCACCAAATACATTTTCCTTCTGTGCAACTTACCAGTTCCACGAGACTATTATTGGTGAGAATGAGTTCTGTCAGACAGGGCAGAGCCTGATCAAGTCCCTCACCTATACGGCTAAAATAAAAATAGAGTCTTAGTAAAAGTGAAAATTAAATAAGCTAACAATTTTATCTACCTCCTTGCTCAGAGGATCACAGAGAGACACTTAGAGATCCTTCTTCCAACACCCTGATAAAGAGGAAACAAAGCAAAAAGAACCCTTTTCTGAGGCCACAGGGTCAGCAACAGAAGTGGGATTTTAGACACTGCCTGGGGCTAATTCCACTGTCATACCATCTAGTGGAACCTGAGAAAAGGTGCAACTCCTGGGTGGCACAAACTACTTAACTCACTTCATGATTTTTTGTGCAGGCAGCACAGAAATACAAATAATTCTGGATTCCCAGCTCAGGTACAAGACACAACAACTATACTATAGGGGAATGGTTAACCTATGAGAAATATTTCTATCTGAAGGAAATCCCACTCACCACCCAGTACCTTTAAAGACATTATCTATACACCAAGTGCTTTTTTTCCAATAAAGTTTACACAGAGCTGATGAAGGCAGGGTCAAAAAAGATCTCAATTTCAATAAGTAACAGTCTAGAAATTAGTTGCAGTTAAAAAAAAAAAAAAGCAGAGACGCTCAGTCAAAAGTATAATTGTTACCTTTATATATCCTTTTACTATGACCCCTTTGATAATTGTTTTAGAAGCCAAAATGTATACAAAGCAACATGTTTTTATTTAGAAACTTAACCATGAAAATAAAAATACATGATTTCTGAACAGATACAAGTAAGACTAGACTAATGCCAGGTTAATCTCTGGATCTCTATAGGAAAAGTGAAGTTCATTTCTCATTTTAAGAAAAAACATGTATTGAATGTGGCTTCCATTATGGAAAAAATATTTTTTCAAAATATAAATAAAAAAGAAAAAGAAAAAGAAAAAGAAACATGTAGGTTTAACCAGTAGCACGTGCTACAACTTCTTCAGGAAACACTGCAACATTTACTCTAGGGGAAAAAATTACTTTCCCCTACAGACACGTACCATATTCTGTTGTTGTTCACTAACAATGTTTTCAGTCTTCTCAACAAAGGAAAACCATCCAGTTTCCTGATCTCATTGTCAGAAAAATCAATAGCATCAAACTGGTCTAACGTAGCACCTAGATTTTCAATGACGGGAATTTTATACCCTATAAAATGGAGGAAAAAAACACAAGAGGTATTAATATAACTAAACAGTTGCCCCTTAAAGCATTAGCTGTATTTCATAGTATCTGACTCCAGGCTTTGATTTATTCAGGAAGTATTACCTAGCACCTATGTCGGGTCACGCATGACTTGCCGCTGTTTAAGATACTAGAGAGAAAACGCTGAACGAGTCTCAAGTCCCCAGTGCCATGAAGCTTAGAATCTGATGACAACAAGGACAAGGACAATAACAATGGCTGATATAGGCAGCTAACATTTATAAGAACATTTACAAGGTGCCTCACACTGTCCTAAGTCGTTTGGGCTAGTTAAGCGGAATCGGCACAACAGGAGTTTACACTTGGAGCTGCTTAGTCTCAGTGCCCAAACGGCGTTCAAACATTGTGGACGACAGTTCTCCACTCTTGCATCTCCACAGGCCAGATTCTTAGAACCCATCAGAACAGCCTCAACATATCACGACAGTTCTCCCTCCCCTCCCCCAGCTCCAATTCAGAATTGAAGATCAATGGTTTAAATACAGTAATAAATCTGTGAACACTCAAATGTTAATTTGTCTAATTTGGGCATAATTATTGTGTTAGGCACTATAAGAAAAGAAATATTCCGAAGAAGCAAGGTCTACTAAAAAAAGAACTTACCCAAAGTTAAAGGACACAATTCAGAGCTGTACTACACGTACTGCATCAAAATACGTATTCTCAACACTGCACATGCTCCATAAAGAGAAATGGCAGAGATCATCAAAAGTGGTGAGTTGGGCCGGGCGCAGTGGCTCAAGCCTGTAATCCCAGCACTTCGGGAGACCAAGGCGGGCGGATCACCTGAGGTCGGGAGTTCGAGACCAGCCTGACCAACATGGAGAAACCATGTCTTTACTAAAAATACAAAAAATTAGCCGGGCGTGGTGGCGCATGCCTGTATTCCCAGCTACTCGGGAGGCTTGAGACACAGGAATCACCTGAACCGGGGAGGCGGCGGTTGCAGTGAGCCGAGATCACGCCACTGCGCTCCAGCTGGGGCGGAAAGAGCGAGACTCCATCTCAACACAACACAACACAAAACAGTGGGATTTCCCAAAGGTCGGCAAGAAATCTAAGCAGATCCCGCAGCGATGCTGCTCCGAGGCCATAGGTCCCCATGGGAACAAATCTCAGGCTACGACAGCATGGTCTTATCCTCAGAGAAGTTGCTCTATCACGTCCCTTTTAAAGCCGTCTCCTGAAATGCCAACTAGCTAGCTGCCCTCCCAGTATCTTACCAAGTCTTGCTAAGGTTGAAATAGTACAGGAATCTGAATAATTGCGAGCGCTTCCACAACTTACACACAGCACCCGGCGGTGCAAGCCTGGGTGACACAGTTCAATTTTTAAAACGTCTTCATATAGGGGAAACGCCAGACAATTAAAGCTACTAAGTAGAAAATACTGGAGGAAACAATCGCGGTTGTTCGGGGACTTAGTTTCCTCCCTCACATTAGGAATAATGAACACATATCCTATCTACGCTCAAAATATCATCTGGCGGCAAGTATTAAGAACCAATCCCGCGCCCTGCACTTGCGTTACAACCATTAATGAGCCGCTCTTCCGGGCCCTCAAACAGCCAGCGGCGAAACAGCCAAGCAAGGCCTAACAGGGCCCCACGAGGACGCACCAGGAAGTAATGAAGTCACCCGTGCCTGTCAAGAGGCACGGCGCTAACAGAAGGCTCCCAGGAGCTTAACCGGATGCTCATCTGGCAACAACGGCAAGAATCAGGCCCGGCGTTCCCTGCGCAGCCCGGTCGGAGCCCAGACAACCGGCCCGCGGGCCAAGCTCCGGCCTTCGGTGCACGCGGCAAAGCGCGGAAAATAAGGCGGCTCGGTGCCGCCTGGGGACTGGCCGCCCACGCCCCCGGACTCACCCCGGAGGTCCAGCTCCCGGTCGCGCACCGCGTTGGTGTACTGCGCCGCCTGCTCGATCAGCTCCGCCGTCAGCTTGACCATCCTGCAGCCTCCCGTTCCCCCGCGCTGTGGAAAGCCCGTGGCCTCCCGCCAGCGAGACGTCCCAGCGTGCCCCGCGCCCCGCCGCCAGGCAGCACCAATCGCAGCCGCCGAGTGCGCGCGCAGCTCGACCGCCAGGCCGAAGCAATCGAAGAGCCACGCCTCCGGGGGCGTTCTTGCCGGAAGTCGTGGCGCGCGCACAGGGGATGTGTCTCGTTCTGGGTTGTTTCCTAGGGTGTGTTTCGGAGTCTGGAGGACCCCTGATTCCAGACGTTGGTGTTTAAAAGTTAAGGCGAATGTGGAAACACCCGAGGGGAACTTTCTCATGCATTAGCGCACCTCGAGGTGGGAGGGGAAGCGGTGACTGTCCTCCCTCCACCAGCCGTCGCGGGAACCCGTGGGGTTCAGTGAAGGGTCCAGCAGTTCAGGTGCCCGCCCCGGGCCTGGGCCTTGGCTCCGGGCTACAGTGTGAGATCCCGGGCTAGGTGGCCCGCCTGGGGCAGGTCGCCGGGACAACCCCACCGCCCCGCAAGTCCAGCCCGGCCTCGGGCACGGTAGGGTTTGCGGTTAAGCTTGTGACCTTTAGACTTCTGAATATTCATATGTATGAAATGTGATATACATAAAAGTGTGCATATCAGGAATTTACAGTGATTAATGACCAGAGTGAACACAGCTGCGTAGCCGACACCGGGATCCAAAACACCGCTATTCTGAAAGCCTCCCTCTTTCCCAAAAGGCAACCGCGAACTCAACACTACAAATTCGGTTTGCTTGCTTTTGCTATAAATAGAATCATGCAGTATGCTTTTTTTTTTGGCCTAGTTTCATGGAGTCTATATTATGTCTGGAGTCCATCCAGGTTGCATACAGAGATGGTTTGTTTGCTTTTGCTGCTGAAGAGAATTCCATTGTATATATTATACCATAAATTACTTATTCTGCTGTTGATAGACATCAAAGTTGTTTTCAGTTAGGGCTATTCTGAGTAATGCTACTATGAATTTTCTGGTACGTGGTTCTGATGCACGTTTGCATGAGTTTGTCCTGGAGTGGGACTGCTGGGACATAGGGTATATCTATCATCAATAAGTAATGCCCAACAGTTATGCTAAGAGGCTGAAATAATATACACACTCCAGCGGTGTGTAAGGGTTTTCATGGCTTCCAGCTTCAGCCTTCTTGGCATTTTAACTCTATAACTTCAGCTATTCTGATGGGTGTGTGGTGGTATTGCACTACTGCTTTGCTTTGCTTTTCTCTAATAACTAATGAAGCTGAGAACCTTCTCATGTGTATGGTGCCCATTCTGATAGCTTCCTTGGTTAAGTGTTCTTTCGAGTCCCTGGCTCATTTTTTTTTTTTCCTTATGGAGTTGTCTGCCTTTTTTCTTATTGATTTGTGGAATTTCTTTATATATTAGGGATATGAACACACTCTGTGGCTTGCCTTTTCACTCTTAATGGTGTTGATGATTAGATTTTTTTTTTTTTTTTTTTTTTTTTTTTTTAGACAGGGTCTCACTCTGTCACCTAGGCCGGAGTGCAGTGGTGCCATCAGGACTCACTGCAGCCTTGACCTCTCAGGCTCAAGAGATCCTCCCACCTCAGCCTCCCAAATAGCCGGGACTATAGGCACAGGTCAACAGGCCTGGCTAACTTTTGTATTTTTTGTAGAGACAAGGTTTTGATATGTGGCCCAGGCTGGTCTCCAACTCCTGAGCTCAAGTGATCCACCTGCCTCAGACTCCCACAGTGCTGGGATTACAGGCGTGAGCCGCCTCGCCTGGCTGAGAAGTTTCCAAGTTTTATGTAGTTCAATTATTTTCTTTAGGTTAGTGGATTGGGTGTGTGTGCATGTGCATGTGCCTTAGGAAATCTTCCCTTACCCCCATCATATTTTCCTATGTGGTCTACTAGACGATTGTTTTGCTTTTCACATTTAGTTCTGCAATCCACCCGGAGATGATTCTCCTTGAACTTTTATTGAAGTATGATATACATATAGAAGAATGCAAACTGAACACACCCAACCAACTAGCATCCTCGTAAGAACAGGACATTGCCACATTCCAGAAGCCCTCCTCCTGTCTTCATCTAGTCACCACCCTTGCCCCAAGGGTAACCATTATCCTGCCATCTTGTATAGATTTGCTTTATCTAGTTTTGTATTTATGCAAATGAAGTACCTTGCATATTTTTTGCTAAACATTATGTTTGTGTGTAGATGTAGTTAATCTATTCTCACTGTAATATGGTATTTCATTGTGGATGTTTTACAATTTACTTATCCATTCTGCTGTTGATGAACATTTGGGTAATTTTCACTCTTTTATATTATAAATAGTGTACCTACAAACTCAATAATATATATCTTTATGTGAACACATATACTGATATACTCCCAGGGATGGAATTACTGGGTCATAGGGCTTACTTATGTTCAGCTTAAGTAGGACATAGTTTTCCAAAGTGGTTGCCAACTTAAACTCCTTGCTAACGTTTAGTATTGTCTTTTTAATCTTAGCCATTCTGGTAGATAGGTAATGGTATGAAATTGTGGTTTTAACTGTATTTCCCTAATTACTAACACAATTGAGAACTTTAAAAAATATATTTATGTTTGTTTGGATAACCTCTTTAATGAAGTGTCTGCTTAGGTGTTTTGCCCATTTTTCTATTGGGCTTTATTTTTAAACTGATTTGTAGGAGCTCTTTATATTTTTTCAATAGGAACCTTGTGAGCTATGTCTGTAGTGAGTATCTTCCCCCTGTGGCTTGGGTTTTCACTCTCTTAATGGTATCTTTTGATGAATAGAGGTTCTTCATTTTAATACAGTCTGATTTATGAACCGTTCCCTATACAGCTAATAGTTTTCGAGTACGCTGTGAGAAACTTTTGCCTACTCCAAAATTATATTTTCTTCTAAAAGCTTTCTTCTTCCACCTTGTCCATTTAGATCTGCAGTCTCTCTGGCCTAGATTTTTGTGCATAGTCTAAGGTAGGGAAGAAGATATATTTTTCCCCATATGGATATTTGGTGGACCCAGCACCATTTATTGAAAAGACCATCTTCTCCCCCACTGCTCTGCAGAGCAGCTCTTTTCAAAAATCAAGTGTCCAAATATGTGAGGGCCTCTGCTTCTGAACTAGCTGTTCTTTTCCATGGGTTTAGTCAGCTATCCTTGCAGAATACAAGCTTTAGAAAAAGACTTGGTATTTGTCCCTCAAAAAAAGCTCCCATTTTTTTCTCAGATTATCTAGTAGTTATCTGATTATTCTAATCCTTTGCATGTGAACATAAATTATAGATATATGTGAAAAAGCACCCATGATTTGATTTGTAGTGTGTTGGATCTGTAGAAGAATTTGGAGAGAATTAATATCTTTACAATATGAAGTATTCCAATCAATGGGCATATTATAGCCCTACATTTATTGAGGCACTCTTTAATTTCAGCAGCATCCTGCAGATTTTGTGTCAAGGCCTTGTATATCCTTTACTAGATTGTCTAGATATTTGATAGATTTTGATGCTACTGTAAATAGTACCTTTTGTTTAAAAACTCCATTTTCTAATCATTAGTTTGATATATTTAAATACAGCAGATTTTTGTATATTGGCGTTACATCCAGCGATCTTGTGAAATTTACTTAAGTTTATCTGTAACCATTCTTGTGGATTTTCTACATACATAACCATGCTATTTGAGAATAATGATAGTTGGCTGGGCGTGGTGGCTCACGCCTGTAATCCCAGCACTATGGGAGGCTGAGGTGGGTGGGTCACCTGAGGTCAGGAGTTTGAGACCAGCCTGGCCAACATGGTGAAACCCCGCCTCTACTAAAAATACAAAAATTAGCCGGGTGTGGTGGCACGTACCTGTAATCCCAGCTACTTGGGAGGCTGAGGCACGAGAATCACTTGAATCAGGGAGGCGGAGGTTGCAGTGAGTGAAGATCATGCCATTGCACTCCAGCCTGGGCAACAGAGTGAGACTCGGTCTCAAAAAAAAAAAAAAAAAAAAAAAAAAAAGATAGTTTTATTTCCTCCTTTCCAATTATTATACTGGTTCTGTATTTTTTGCCCTGTTACACTGGCTGGGATCTTTAGCACAATGTTGAACAGCGGTGGTAGTGGATATGCTTTGGCAGGCATCACTTCATAGCCCGGAAGAAAACTCTAACCAATGATCGTTAACATCACCAATAATGGAACAGATCGTGTACTCCCTGCTAGAATGCAGACAGAACACAGAATCAGCCTGTGAGATTCGTGTCAAAGATGCATGACTTGACTCAAAACGTGAGGAACCCTCAGACAAGTGCACAGCGAAGGGCAGCCTACAAATAACTGGCCTATAGTCTTTAAAAGCTTCCACATCATGAGGCAAGGAGACTGAGGAACTGTTCCAGATGGAAGAACATTAAAGAGACATGATGACTAAGTGAAAAGTGTGTTTCTAAACCAGACCATTTTGCTAAGAACTTTATTGGGACAACTGGCAGAACTAGAATTCAGTCAGAGGGTTGATGGTAATAACATACCGATGTTAATTTCCTGAGTCTGATGGCTGTGCCGGAGAATGTCGTTGTTCATAGGAAATACCCACTGAAGTATTGGCGGGGGGGGGGCGGTCATAGGGTATATCGGCAACTTACTCTCAAATTGGGAGGGAATTTCTTTGTATTGTACTTGGAACTTCTTTGTTTTCTGAGATGGAGTCTCGCTCTGTTGCCCAGGCTGGAGTACAGTGGCGGAATCTCGGCTCACTGCAACCTCCGCCTCATGAGGAATAACATGAGGTTCAAGTGATTCTCGTGCCTCAGCCTCTCAAGTAGCTGGGATTACAGGCGCTCGCCACCATGCCTGGCTGATTTTTATATTTTTAGTAGAGACGGGGTTTTGTCATGTTTGCCAGGCTGGTCTTGAGCTCCTGACCTAAGAAGTGATTTCCCCTGCCCCCTGTCCCTGCCTCGGCCTCCCAAAGTGCTGGGATTACAGGCCTGAGCCATCACACCTGCCCCGGTCACTGCAACTTTTGTTTAACTAAAAAAACTAAAAAAGTTAAACAAAATAACTAAAGAATTAAAATAACTTTAAAAAGTTAAAATAACTAAAAAAATTAAAATAACAAGTTAAAATAACTAAGAAATAAAATAACTTAAAAGTTAAAATAACTAAAAATTTAAACAAAATAACTAAAAATGTTAAACAAAATAACTGAATAATGAAAAAATTAAACAAAATAAAACCTCAACTTCATTTAATTCCAGAGAGGACCACCAGGTGGAGTCCTTAGGCTGGAGAGCTGGTTTTAACTTGGGGCCCTTCTGTTGCTGTGTTTAAAAAAAAAAAAGAGTGGGGTGGTATCTCTTTACTTTAAAAAGGGAAAGTTGTACAAGTTTCCCTTCAGCATAGGAACAGGGACAGAAGTCAAACCATATGTGGTTTTATTCATTGAGGGTATCTCTATGAAGTTGCAAACAATTTTCTTTTTTGATTCCATTTCTTTTGGCCGGAATTTCTCAACCTCGGCACTATTGACATTTTGGTCTGGACAGTTCTTTGTCATGGGGGCTGCTGTGCATTGCAGGGTGCTTAGCAGCATTCCTGGCCTCCACCCACTGGATGTGAGTACATCCTTCCAGTTGTGACAACCCAAAATGTCTCCAGACGTTGCCAAATGTCCCCTGGAAGACAAAAGTCATCCCTGGTTGAGAACCACTATTTTGGCAACAGGATGTTCTCTGCCCTGGGCACTTTGGTTCCTGTTGTTTCAAAAGGGAGTCTAAGATATCTGGTCACCCTTAGTGTGGCTGGTCTGTAGTGGTGAGGGGCTTTGGATGGTGGGACTGAATCCTAGGATCTAAGGTGGGTGCTCAGTGCTGTACCATCTAAGGATGCTGTTCTGTGCTCAGATAAGCCACAAAGCCTGGGGTGTCAGGAAAGGACTTAAACAGCCAACCAGGAAGGATAGAGTCTGGGGTTCGTGCGAGGAAAGCAACAGTGAAGGCTGGGGTAGGGGAGCAGATTCTTCCTTTCCCCCCAGCAGCCAGTGCCCAGTGGCCTCCCAGCTGGCTGGGCAGAACCTTAAGATGCTAGAGAATGGCCTTGGTGTATACTTTCCATCACCCCTGCTTGTTCTTATTAAAATGTTTTTCTTTCCTGTTCTCCACCTCCTTTTTCCATCCTCTGATCTGAACCTCTGGCCCTCACCTGCTCTCGGGGGCCCCAACATACTCCAAGCTTTTAGGCAAAAGGCCCTCTCCAGCCATAGTATCAATAATGCAAATGCAGTGGAGGGTGGTCTCCCCAAGTTCAAGGACACTCCACTCCTAGACTCATTTAGACCATGTTGCTATCTATCTATCTATCTATCTATCTATCTATCTATCTATCATCTATCAATCTATCATCTATCTATCTATCTCTGTCGTTTTTGATTGATTGATTGAGACAGGGTCTCGCTCTATTTCTCAGGCTGGCTGCAAATGCCTGGGCTCAAGCCATCCTCTTGCTTCTAACCTCTCAGAATGTTAGGATTACAGGTGTGAGCCACTGTGGCTGGCCCTTTTATTTTTTTAAGTTCTGTCCACCCCCCCTCCCATTTCAGGTGTGTCTTCTGTACAAAGTGCCATTCTCACCAGTCCTTTGAAGAGTCGCAAGATACAAAGTCAGTAGTGGCCTGGGAGGGATGGGGATGTACACATGGGGTCCACTGTGAGGTGCCAAAGAATTTGGGGATAAGGTCAGGTAAACATCACCCCCTGAAAATAAAGCTAGTTTAAAACAAATGCATCATGGCTGCATTTGGGCAGCTGCAGAACGACGCCCCTCCTGCAGCCAGCCAGCTTCCTTCCCTGGGCCCGGTGGGGAGCAACTTTGCCAATGTGCAGCCCCAGGCAAGGCATTCACTTCTGTGGGTCTCAGTGTCCTTGTCTGGGAAATGACAGGTTTAGAGGAGGTGATCCATGATCCTGTCACTTAAAATCCATACACATATCCTGCCAGAGTCCAGACAATTTTAACCTCAAGGTCGGACCACTTGTGAGCAGACATTATATGTAGTTGGTCTCTTTCAACAAGGTGGAGTTTAGTCATTAGGACTTTGTGAACAACTTCTCAACTCCCCACCCGACTTGTCAGCCCCAAGCTGGGCTTGCCTGGCTTAGCCACTCGACGAGGCTGCCTGGTTGGCTTTCCTGTAGTTGTATCTCCCTTTGGGAGATAAAGGGAGTTTCTTCCCTTTTTTTTTTTTTTTTTTTTTTGAGACGCAGCTTCGTTCTTGTTGCCCAGGCTGGAGTACAGTGGTGCAATCTTGGCTCACTGCAGCTTCACCTCCTGGGTTCAAGCGATTCTCCTGCCTCAGCCTCCCGAGTAGCTGGGATTACAGGTGTCACCACCACGCATGGCTAATTTTTGTATTTTTAGTAGAGATGGGGTTTCACTGTGTTGGCCAGGCTGGTCTCGAACTCCTGACCTCAGGTGATCCGCCTGCCTCGGCCTCCCAAAATGCTGGGATTACAGGTGTGAGCCACCATGCCCGGCCAGGAGTTTATTTCTGATTCAGCTGCAAACATGGTAGACTGTAAGCTCTCAGTGGGCAGCTCGGATTTGCTGGTATCTGGGCTCTAGGGTCTAAAAGGCTGCCTGGCACCAGCAGCACTTAACAAGTTACTTTTAATTCAAGGTCGGTCTCATGGGCGGGGCAAGGGGTTGAATGTTCATCCCAAACACACTTATTCCTTCACTGCCTCACACGCACAACTCTGGTCAATTGGTGCTTGTGGTGGCCAGCTGTTGGGTTGTGTGACTTGCCCTGCCTTCTGAGAGCTGCACACTGCTCCCCTCCTCTGCTGCAGAGCTCCCTGCAGCCATATTCTGCTGCACAAGCCTGTCCTTGTAGCCACAGCTGATGACACAGGGAGAGTACCCATGTAAGGCAGGCTGACCAAGTCCTGTCCCTGGGAAAAGAAGAGCCAAGAAACAGACCCAGAAAGTTGGCCTGAGGGGTTGGATTTGTACCAGTTTTACCTGGAAGATGCTGGAGGTCTTGTCATTTGTCCCATCAACTGGAGAAGGCGGCCATGGAGAGAAGGGCAGTGCTGCCGTACAGAGAGGGTCCAGGTGACATTTAATGCCGGCTCCAGCTTTCCCAAGGCTCTGCTGCACCCCTCCCTGAAATTCTGAATCCACTCTGGATTCTCAAAACAACGCCCCTCACCCACTCTTGTTTTCACCTAAGTCATTTCTAGTTGGTGCGTTTCCTTTACTTGCAGCCAAAGGATTCCTAGCAAGTACAAGCTTCTGACTTCACAGAGAGGCCATGGTAAACATCCCAAGGAGTGCATCAGCCATGGGTTCAGGGATTTCAGCCACTGCATAGAAGACAAGCTGTAACCTAATTCAATCACACTTGGCAGCAACCGGTGAAGAGGCAGTCTGGGCTCTGGGGAGCTCCCCCGTGACAGATGGAAGGGGCCCCTACATCTGGAGAGGCTCTAGAACCTCCTCCCAGTGAGGCTAACGTGGTCTGAAGGGGTCTCTTTGCCCAGTGACATTCTGGGGTTGGGATCTGGGATTTCCTCCATTGCTTCCTTACATCAACATTTGCTAAAGCTCAAAAGAAGACCTTCCACGTAATGACATCAAACAGATCTGAAACCACAGTTAAAGTAACGTCCACTTAACACTTGGTCAGCACTCATGTTTCATTTTGTGTGCCGTGGAAAGAAATACAGGCTCCTGTGCCATGGGATGTTAACTCTTTTATTAATTTAGGGTTAACATTGTACTTGCTTCATTGATTTCTCTTTCAGAGTTGTAGATTCAATAAACAACATCTGGGTTCTCTCCAGCTCACAGGTGACAAGGCAAATGCACTGTCGTCAAACAGGGGAGCAGGACAATATGGAGAAAGACGAGGTCGAAAAAATTTAAGGCAAATGTTACTTCCCTATTCAAGGGAATTGATCAAGCAGATCTGTGCATTTCAATGAAAATATATGAAATATTTGTCAAAATAATTAACATCGGTAAAAATTAGAACATGTAGCTTATAAAATGCCTACACAGGTTTGGCAGAATAAATCCAACTGTGTCATGTAGGCTTGTAATATACACAGACACAGGAGTTTCCACCTTAAAAACGAGTCTTCTGAAGGGCAGAGGCCAAATGTATTTTAAAAGCAATTCCATAAAATGGGAAGTGATGGATGATTAACAATGCATGGCTGGCTTTACATTTTGTTCAGAGGAATTGCTTGGCCATCGGGGTACCTTTTGGCTGGCCACAGAATGCCTCCTGTTGCCTCTCCTCAGAAGGCTCTGCATCAGGTCGAGGTGGTCGTTCAGGCCATGAGACTCCTGAAGACACAGACAGAACACGGTAACAAGGAGAGCTCGGCTTGCTCAAAGGAGAGCGCTGCGGGGGATAGAATCTTCTGGTCTGGCTTTGGAATTGGACTTTCTAAGCCACTGCTGCAGTTTCAGAAGTAGCTGACTATGTAGAAATAGATACTCCGGCCCCAGTGGTCATACATTTTATGCCCTCAAACCTATCTTATTTATAGTCTGACCAAACCGTCCCCAGACTGCTCAGTGGCAGGCAACGAGCAGGTAGACTGCTGGCCCTTTGTCACATGTGAGGATGGCCCAGGGTTCGCCAGCTGGGCCGGGGAGATTTACTACACAGCCGCAGAAAAGCACGGGGAGAAGAGTGATGTGTGATGCCAAGCGCCTTTCTTTTCTGCTTTGGTCTTGAAGATTCAGTAAACTTATGGTCCCAGAAGCTGCTCCAAAGCCAGAGCTGTGGATTCCCAGAATTCATTTTGTTCCTGTTAGTTTGTCGGAAGACTGGAGCCAACAAGCAGCATTTGAGAGGATATCACCATTTTAGGAACACCTCCTTAAGAGCCACCACCCACCTGGCTTGGGTGCTCAGAGATGCTGCTCCTGGGGAGATAAAGCTGTCAGGTGCAGGGCGCCGCTCCTGAAACAGACTCTGGCCGACAGTCTGGAGGAAGGTGGACGGATGGATGGATGGGAGTGCCTGCCCTCTGTGGGCAGCTAGGCACCCTTACCCGGCCAGGAGGCACGTGCGGCAGCAGAACTGAATGAAGAGCTTCCGTTCGCACAGCCGGTTGGACTTCACCATCTCGCAGAATGTCTCGTCAGCTGGGGCCCCGCATCAGGAAAGGCAAAAGAGGGAAAGGTCAGTCTTCGGTGCCTGTGAAGATTGTTTCAAGGCCGGGCGCGGTGCCTCATGCCTGTAATCCCAGCACTTTGGGAGGCCGAGGTGGGTGGATCACCTGAGGTCAGGAGCTTGAGACCAGTCTAACCAACATGGTGAAACCCCGTCTCTACTAATAATATAAAAATTAGCTGGGCATGGTGGTGGGCACCTGTAATCCAAGCTACTCGGGAGGCTAAAGCA
This sequence comes from Homo sapiens, assembly GCF_000001405.40. Taxonomy (NCBI): domain Eukaryota; kingdom Metazoa; phylum Chordata; class Mammalia; order Primates; family Hominidae; genus Homo; species Homo sapiens. Next base: position 101,305,615 of record NC_000015.10, read on the forward strand.
GGAGAACCACCTGAACCCAGGAGGCAGAGGTTGCAGTGAGCTGAGATCATGCCACTGCACTCCAGCCTGGGCAAGAAGAACAAAACTCCGTCTCAAAAATAAATAAATAAATACATAAATAAATATTGTTTCAATCATTCCACATATGCTGGGCATCAGTGGTGCCCTGGGCAAGAGGGACACAGACAGAGGTGGGCAGCAGGATGGCAGCCCTTGAAGCCCCTCTCCTGCAATGCACTTGACTCTGGGAGCCCTGTGTGGCGGGAGGGCACTGGTATATGGGGCTCTTGCTGAGTCTCAGTGACAAGGGGATTCATGAGCAGGATGTGGGGGTGGTGTGGGAGGGATCTCAGGAGAACACCCAGCCTGGGCCTGTGGGGCACATGTGCACCTGTCTTTCTGGACAACTGCTGGCAGTGGAGCTTAGGAGGAAGACTGTAGGGGAGGCCGGAGGACGGGCCTGGAGGCAGGAGGGAATGGAAGCTGCTTCCAGGGTGGAGGGGGCGGACAGGGAGGAGTGGGGATGGGGGGAAGGGAGCCGCCGTGGACAGGACTTGCTGAGGACACCGCTGCAGCAAGGGGAAGAGGCCTTTGAGGATGCATCATCCGTGGACCTGGGAGGCCCTCCAGTGGCAACCACACTTTTTTGGGCTAGATACATAACCTGGGCAGGTGACTTCCCAAAGAAGTAGTTTCTGGGCCTTTGAAGGGACATAATTAGACAACCCTCCCGCCACCCCCCAAAAATAATAACCAGTAACAAGGCAAGGAGGCATCCCAGGGCCCTCCACAAGCTCCATGCTCTGCCTGGACAGGGCCAGTGCCAGCTTCATACCCAAGGACCACCTGCCCTGACCCTGGACACTGGAGCAGAGAGCCTTCCTCTCCTGGCTGTCAGAATGTGGCTCCACCCTGCTGCTTGCTGGGCCAGAGCCCCCTTCCCTGCCCGTGTGTCTACAATGACTCCTGCACTGCACCTCCAGGCCCGAGTCCTGCCAACCCTCCTTGGTGCCTGGAATTCCCAAACTGGGCACTTAGCTTTGGTGCCCTTTTAAGTTTCTGTTTTTACAACTTGTCCTTGTCCCCCATCCTATGGCAGAGCCAGGGCTCTCCTGCAGCACAGATGCAGGTCCATGCTGGATCCCTGCAGAGCTGGGATTGCTGCTGCTGAGCGTGTGCTCTACTCTGGGCTCTGTCCCCCTCGTCCTGAGCAGAGACCCTCCAGGCTTCCTGGCTTTGACCCCCCAGGTCAGGCTTCTTTTATGGTATGTCGTCACATCCGGGCCACCGGCGGCCTATGGCATGGCAGTGGGACCAGTACAAGGACAAAATCATTTTTAGGAGTCACTCAATAAACAGATCAGCAGTGGCTGGGATGCCTCTCTGATCGATGTGAGAGGCCTAGAGGGAAGCTGGGAGACAGGGCAGCTGTCTTCCATATCAGCTAGAGGAATCCCAGACAGTCAATCGGATCAGGGGCACGAACGCCTGTCTGTGGAGCCGCCATGCCTATGTGGCTTTGCTTTTCTCTTTGGAGCACGAGCTGGCCAGCTGAGCTCCTCCACAGGCAGCCCCAGGGTAACCCAGCTGCTGCTCACCGTTGCTGCACGTGTGGTTGGTGATGCAGGAGGTCCCCAGCTGTGTGAAGCCCGTCTTACACCTGCTACAGTTCCTGCTGGAGCCTGCACAGCTCAAGCAGTTCTCGTCACACCTGTGGGAAGATACCGTTCCTGCTGAAGTCTGGGGAAGAGGCTCCACCACTCCGGGCTCCCTTCCCAGAACCCTCACCTCCCTGCACCTCCTTCCCACCCCCTCAGCCTCGGTCCTCTGTGGAGAGGCTGTGTCGCCCACCATTCCCTGACACAGGGGCTGAGTGTCTGCATGTCTTTTCTCCTGTCTGACCTCACTATTGCCCTGGGAGGGCAGAGACAGCCATGGCCAGTTGGCAGGAGCAAGCCCAGGATCAGGGGCCAGGCCTCCGAGGCTTCCCGCAGCTCACCTGGACACCCTCCTGGGCCCTGGCACCCAGCCCCCACCCCACCACACGGCTCCCAGAGCTGTGTCAGTCTTCTCTCTCCAGCGGCTGCCGGGCTGCGATGGCTGTAGGCTTGGGGTCCAGGCCAGACTCCACCCAGGGATGTGACACACCTGACTCGAGCTGACCAGAAGGCTGCTGTCACCTATATGTGGCCATGCCTGCTTACCCTCGGGGAGTGGGAGAGATGCCCCACAATTCCTGCCCCTCTCGGACGGTCCTGGCCCAGCCTGCGCAGAGATGGACACCAGCCAGGGCTATTTCTAATGCAGGGTAAACGTGACCTCAGGGGACGGTTGGTGCACTACAGCCCAAGGGCCACATCCAGCATTTATCCTGGACCACAGTCACACTCATTCATTGACAATCTTTTGTGTAGCAGTGGCTGAGCTGAGTAGCTGTGACAGAGGCAGTGTGGCCCCAAAAGCCTGAACGACTGACCATTGTGCCCTCTACAGAAAGCACTTGCCGATGCGGGCCGAGTGCTTGAAGGAGCACGTTTCCCATCCTGGGGCCGTGAGTGCACCCCGGCTATGCTGCTGCCTGTCCTGAGTCCAGAGCCCGGTGACTCGGTCTCCACAGTGCTTGCATCAGCTGCCCACCTCCCCATTGTTGCCAGTTAAGGGTGGAACAGGCCCCATAGGCAGGGCTTGGAGCTTTGTTGTGCTCATGCCTGGGCCTCCCTGGGGGGCAGTTCTTTGCTTTATACAGATGTCCCCTCCCTGCTGTGTGAAGCCTTCCCACGCTCAGACACCAGGCCTCCTCGTGGGGCTCTTTGCAGAGCAGCCCTCTGATGGGGTCTGGTCTCACCACGGACTCCGCTGCTCTGGAGCCCCAGGTGCAGCATCGCTTCAGCCTGGGTGGGAGGTGGGTTTTATTCCTAGTGTGTCTGAGGATGCTGAGCCTAGAGCTCAAGCCCTTGGTCTGTAATTGTAAATGTGTAAACCCCACAGGCAAACTCACACCCACGAGCCTTTCTAATATTCCCATCCAGGCCGCCCCAGAGGAAAGGATGGGGTTAGAGGACTTGCCAGAGGGGGTTGTGCACTTGTGGGAAGCCCCATGGGTCTGCCCCCATCATGCTGCCCCCTCCCCACACCTGCCCTTGCACATTCTGGTGGCCCAGCCACCAAACCCTGATGCCCCAGTACAGGTTATGACTTTCCCCACAGACCCTCTGGTTTCTCTTACAGACAATGCCACTGGTGAGACGAGAACCAGGGCCGAGCTGAGTCATTTAAAGAGATGTCAGTGGTCTGGAGGACCCAGGGGCCCAGTGCCCCCAGGCCACGGCTGAGGGCTGCTTCATCAGTGAAGAACTGTGGTGAGGAGCGCGCTGCGGTGGACAGCCAGGAGGTTACGGCTTGCTTGCTTCTTCAAATACAACCTCACCCAGCTCAGCAGGATGGCAGGGGCCTCGGTTTTCCATTGCTCTAACCAGGTTGCCACACACTCAGCAGCTGAAAATAACACCCACTCAGCGGCTCCCCGCTATGCAGGCAGAAGTCCAGGCAGGTGCAGCTGGGCTCTCCACCTAGGGTCTCACGAGGTTCAGGGCAAGGTGGTGGCCAGGCTGGGCTCTCCTCTGGAGGTCTGGGGAAATAATCCATCACCATGCTGCTCAGGGAGATGGGTGATGCTCCCGTCCCCGTTAGGCCAGTGCAGACGGCTCTCCCTGGGAGACCCTGTGTAGCTCCTGCTTTCCGTCAGGATTACCGTGCCCAGCAGCGGGTCCTCGTGGGCAGCACCAGCTTTGGGCAGGGTGGCTTTTAAGATGCTTCTGGTTCTGCAACCATCTATGGTACCTACTTTTCCCCCAAACACCATGGCCGCTTTGCCCTGCCACATTCTGGAAGGACAGGGATGCCGGATGCAGCCCTCTGTCCCTGCTCCCTTGCAGAGGCCACTCCCATCAGCCTCCTGCCTGTTCAGGAGTGGGATGCAGAAGACTGACGCTTTCATGCTCCAGCCTGGACGCAGCATGCGCATTGGCAGAAGGCGTGCCCCTTCAAGCTGTGCCCCTGGGAGTCTCTGCCCCCGCTGAGCCTGGGGGCAAGTGGAGGCAGGGCCAGGGCATGAGGAGTTTGCCTCCCCCGCTGGCAAGCACTCCACAGAGGCCTGTTTTTCTTCCAAGTTGTCCAGGCTGGCTCTTGCTGGGTCCTCTCACTAGGTCTTGAGGGTGTCCGGCCCCTCTCTTAGGGAACTTATCGTGCATTGTTCTCAGCGTCGGGCCTCGGCCCCTCTCTTAGGGAACTTATCAGGCATTGTTCTCAGCGTCGGGCCTCGGCTTCCACCTGCAGTTGCCAACCCAGCAGGCCTGCGTCCTGACCTGCATGTTCCAACGCAGCCCGTCTGGCCACATGCTCCCTCGGAGCTGCCTGGCACAGCAGCAGCGGACGGCCACGGCGTCCACCAGCATTCTGGGGCCTGGAGGATGCCTGTGGTTCTCAGCTCAGGCTGTCCAAGTGGGGAGAGACCCCGCAGAACCAATCGGACCAAGGCCTTGCTTCCTTTGGGAGGCGTCCACACTGACGCTCTTCCTGGGGGGTGCTTCTCCAAGACCCGGTGTGTCAGCCCCAGCACTGTCAGCCTCTGCAGGGCCGAAAGCTGCCCCTCACCTGGGAACAAGTACCCAGGAAACTCCTGTCCTCCACTGCCCAAAGAGAGGTTTGCGGTGGGGCTGCCCGCCTGCTGCCTCCTGAGGGGCAAAGAGAGGTTTGCGGTGGGGCTGCCTGCAGGGGTCCAGTTGCACAGCTGTGGGCATGATCAGCATGCCCTGAAATCCAGGGCATTTGACAAATGAAAGTGATTATCACTGTTTAATTCCAAGTTCTCCCTGGATTGCTATATTTAATTATCTGAGAACCAGCTGACTGGTTACCATGAAGGGTTTAACTTCAGACAACTGTGCCCAGGGCCCCGTGCAGGACTCAGCAAGGCTGCACCTTGCAAGCGGGTGGCAAGTTTCCTCCATTACAGCAACGCAGTAGAAGGGGCTGATGCTTGCCGAGATACGTAACCGCCACCAGGTCCCTCTGCTGTGGGTCAGACAAGTGCAAGGGCTTGGTGGTCCCTCATGGGCTCACTGTAGGGCTTTGTTTCTAGGGGAATAGGTTACAACCCACAGTGGTTCTTACACACAGCCTGGGAGGCAGACCCCACTGTGTGGTGAATCGGTACCCAGCTGGCAGCCAGCCATGGGCACCCCTCCCCTGCTCTGACACAAGCCTTTGAGGGCTCCCTCATTTTCAGTCTTTTTCAGACGGAAGCCCCCCGATATGGTTTGAACATTTGTCCCCTCCAAGTGTCATGATGAGATGTGATCCCCAGTGTTGGAGGTGGGGCCTGGTGGGAGGTGTTTGGATCATGGGGTGGATCCCTCATAAATGGCCTCACACCATCCCCTTGGTGATGAGTGAGTTCATGTGAGAGCTGCTTGTTTAAAGGTGTGTGGCAACTCCTGACTTTTTTTTTTCTTTTGAGATGGAGTCTTGCTCTGTCGCTCATGCTGGAGTGCATGGTGCGATCATAGCTCACTGCAACCTCCGCCTCCTTGGTTCAAGCGATTCTCCTGCCTCAGCCTCCTGTAAGACTGGGATTACAGGCACACACTACCACGTCCAACTAATTTTTGCATTTTTTTTTTTTTTTTTTTTTAGTAGAGAAGGGGTTTTGCCATGTTGGCCAGGCTGGTCTTGAACTCCTGGCCTCAGGTGATCCGCCCACCTTGGCCTCCCAAAGTGCTGGGATTACAGGCGTGAGCCACCGTGCCCGGCCTCCTTCCCTCTCTTGCTCCTGCTATTGCCATGTGATGTGCTGCCCTTGCTTCACCTGCCATCAGGAGTGAAGACGCTGGGCAGATGCTGGCGCCATGTTTCCTATGAAGCCTACAGAACTGTGAGCCAATTCAACCTCTTTTCTTTATAAATCACCCAACCTCAGGTATTTCTTTTTAGCACTGTGAAAGCAGGCTAACGCCTGGTACTTCCCTCACAGCTCACCCCATCGTCACCCCTCACAGCCCACCCCATCGTCACCCCTCACAGCCCACCCCATCGTCACCCCTCACAGCCCACCCCATCGTCACCCCTCACAGCCCACCCCATCGTCACCCCTCACAGCCCACCCCATCGTCACCCCTCACAGCCCACCCCATCGTCACCCCTCACAGCCCACCCCATGGTCACCCCTCACAGCCCACCCCATCGTCACCCCTCACAGCCCACCCCATCGTCACCCCTCACAGCCCACCCCATCGTCACCCCTCACAGCCCACCCCATCGTCACACCCTCACAGCCCACCCCATCGTCACACCCTCACAGCCCACCCCATCGTCACCCCTCACAGCCCACCCCATCGTCACCCCTCACAGCCCACCCCATCGTCACCCCTCACAGCCCACCCCATCGTCACCCCTCACAGCCCACCCCATCGTCACACCCTCACAGCCCACCCCATCGTCACCCCTCACAGCCCACCCCATCGTCACCCCTCACAGCCCACCCCATCGTCACCCCTCACAGCTCACCCCATCGTCACACCCTCACAGGTCCCTTCAAACTCCTCAATGTTGCTCCCACCCTGAATAAGACAGGTTGCCCTGCCCTGTTCTGGGTCCTGAGTTCATGATCTCCCAACATAGGGCAATATTCAGCCAGAAAAGAGGAGACCAGAGCAAACAGCTCCTCCTTTAACAGCTCATGTCCAACAACAGAAGGGTCCAGGGCCATCAAATAAGAATGGTGACTCTGTGGAGGGACACATGGGAGGAAGCACAAGAGGAGGATATGGAGGGTGAAAATAGATGTGCGTGGACTGTGCAGAGAACAGCTTTAGAATGAGGAAATTGTCAGGATCTTTTTAATTTCTCTAAGTATCTAACTAAAAAAAATATTTTAGGCCAGGTGTGGTGGCTCACACCCGTAATCCCAGCACTTTGGGAGGCTGAGGTGGGTGGATCACTTGAGGCCAGGAGTTCGAGACCAGCCTGGCCAACGTGGTGAAACCCGGTCTCTATTAAAAATACAAACAATTAGTGGGGAGTGGTGGCGGGTGCCTGTAGTCCCAGCTACTCGGCAGGTTGAGGCAGGAGAATGGTGTGAATCTGGGAGGCGGAGCTTGCAATGAGCCGAGATCGCCCACTGCGCTCCAGCCTGGGCGACAGGCGAGACTCCATCTCAAAAAAAACGAAAACAAAAACAAAAATTAGCTGGGCATTGTGGTGCACGCCTGTAGTCCCAGCTACTCGGGAGGCTGAGGCATGAGAGTTGCTTGAATCCCAGAGGCAGAGGTTGCAGTGAGCTGAGGTCACACCAGTGCACTCCAGCCTGGGCGACAGAGTGAGAGTGTGTCTCCAAAAAAATTTTTTTTTAACCCAAAACATGGTTTCTCTGATTATCGACAGTGCAAAGGATGCATGCTGAGCGCGACATGGGCAGGGACGTCCCGCGTAGTCCACCAATGGGGTGTGAGCACCTTGCTATTCTGCTTCCCATCTTATCCCGCTGCTGCACGGTGTCTGCCCACAGCAGGGACCCAACAAATATGCATCCAGTGAACAAAGGGACGAAGGCCCCTCAGCAGCTCTGTAAATGGGCTCCTGTCCACAGTGGGGTGATGCAACATGCCCTCCCCGGCCCCTGGGGAAGATGCTGCCAGACTCTGCCCTCCAGGCACTCCTTTGCTGGACACAGCTGCCTGCCGTTCCCCGCCAGGAGGACCGTACCTTCGACACACTTTGTGGGGCAAGCCCGGCATCTCTTCTGGGTAGAAGCCCTCACCACAGGCTGGCACACACTTCCAGTCGTGGAAGTGGAAGTTTTTCGCACAGTGAATGCACTCTTCTCTGCCTGGCCCTGAGAGACACAGGAAAAGAAGCAGGTATCAGGGATGGCTGGCAGAAGACCATGCCCCAGGCCTGCTTCAGGGCCTTGTGAGATCAGGGGTACCATTCAGGAGCCCCCAGGCCACCACCACAGCTGCCATTTCCCAGGTTCTGTGAGCTGGGCCGTCCTCACCCACTCCCAGGAGGTGGGCATCGCCATCACCATTTCACAGACGGGGACATCGAGGCATGAGATGATCTCAGAGGGAGCACACCTGCCCACTGGCCGTGCCACGATGATGGGCCCTGTTTCCAACAGGCCTAGGCCCACCTCTGCTCCCTGAACACTTGGAAATCCAGTGCCAAAGTCTTCATATAAAAAATATAAAACAGCTCATTTATTTTTTGTATGGATACATGTTGAAATGGCAATATTTTAGACACATTAGGTTGAATAGGATATGTTACTAAAATTATTTTTGCCTGTTTCATTTGACTGTTTAAGATATGGTTACTAGGCAACTTCAAATTGCACCCGTGGCTTGCGTTTGTGGCCCTTCCATTGCACAGAACGCTGTAGAAGATGACGGGGGAAGATGAAAGAAGAGATCTTTGGGAATGGTGTTGACAGGTGTTTGGTGTGTACAGCCAGGGCGTTTTCAACAACAGAGAAACAAATGCCTAAGACTAAGGGTTTATAGGGCAGGGAGGAGAGACTCGAAGACACAACAGTTCTGAGCAAAGGGCCACGAGTCATGGAGGAAAACCTTCAGGTTGGCTCAGGGTCCGAGGAGGACCTGTCGACCTGGGTCAGATGTTGGACTAGTTGACTAGATAGCACCTCCTCTGGGCCAGGTGTCTCCAGGGAGCAACTGATGGGACGTCAGAGAGGGGCAGTGAAGTAGTCACTGACTGACAGCGGAGAGGGTTACAGGCAGGGAGGAGATTATCTCAGGGGCTCTATGATAATCACAATGCCCAGGTAAACCTCCTCACAGCTGCTTCAGTTCGATTGTGGTCGCAGATCGAGGCCTTGCAGTCTGCTCTGGACTCAGATGGGGCCTCTCGCTGCATCAAGGGAAAATCCCTTTGCAGAGGTTCCGGAGCCTGGAGGGCTCAAGCACAAGGCCCTGGGCTCTGGGGCTGGCTTCACACCTCAGAACCACAGCCGTAAGCCTGGGAGGGAATTCTGAGCTCCTGCAGGAGAAGCTCCTCCTTGGAGAGTCAGGAAGAGTGAAGCCGAGAAGGCCACAGGGTTTTGAGCAGGAGGCAGATGTAGGGACCTCAAGGGGCCTCTTGAGGACCACCGTCTTCATGGCAGGTGTCTCCCTCTCTTCCTGAGGTGCGGTGGAAGAGCTGTGCCCCGGGGGCGGGACTCTGTCTGGTTTATGTTGTTCTGGAGCAGAGGCTGCTCGTATGCTTTGGCCAATGCCGCCCCTCCCCATCACTGGTCTCTGGGAGCATCTGGTGGGTGGGTCTCATACACCAGGCGGGGTGCCACTCTGAGTGGGGTTTGGGAGCTGTTCAGGGCCTGCCGTTGTACCTCTCACGCCTCACCTGCTGAACCCGTCTTCCCCACTATCCTTCCTCCAGCACCAGGGTCCTTAACACCTGTGGAGCCTCCCAAGTGGGAAAGAAAGCTCATTCTTGTTTGTACTTAAGTTTCATGCTCAATGTATTAAGCTTCAAAGTTGTTAAAACACATTTATTTGGAGGTGGTGGCGATGGTGGCACACAAATGTAAATTCACTTAATGCCACCGAACTGTATGCCTAAAAATAGTCAAGATGGTACATTTTATGTGATGTGTATTTTACCGCAATAAAAAAGCTGTTAAAGTGGGTTGATTTTCTAAGCGACCTATTTTCTCAACTACTAAAAAATATGAATTTCATAACTCAGTGAAAGTCTTTTAAGGATTCCATTAAGTCGCAAGTCTCTATAGACTTTGAACACTTTAAAAGCACCCACAATCATAGCAATAAGAGCAGAACGGGCTGTGCTTATACAGGACCTGCTATGTTGTTTGCGGGGCCCAGTATAAAGTGAAAACATGGAGCCTTTGTTCAGAAAGCTGGAAGAATGTGCCACGACAGGGACTAAAACAGAAAGCGTTTTCCTTTCTTTTGAATCTCTCTTGGTCTGTTGTGGTGTTTCTCATTTGCTGTTTCAAGTAGTGCCGTCTCAGGCACAGGACGCTCATGCTTGAGGGCTGACCGTCACAGGTGCTTGGGGCACTGCCCCGCAACTTGGTATGTGTGTGCCCTGCAGGCTGTCAGCTGCTAATCCACATGCCATGCCCCAGGTGGGTAAGTCGCGTCCCACGGGGCCACTGCATTAACCCAGCTGTGCCAGCAGCCCCGAAGGATTACAACCTCCATGCCAGGACACACGGGGCACCTGGACTCAGGAGGATGAGAGGCTCATCTCGATCGAGTTGCCTGCCAAGTGCACTGGGGCACTGTGAGCCAAGGGTGGGGACAGATTCCGCCATGCCCTACCCCAAGCACTCATGCCTGACTCCGACCCTCCCCACGACTGTGCCCAGGCCCCTGGGTGGGTGGTGGACAGCAGTGGTCACTGAATGGGAACAGGGAGGGGAATGCCAGGTGGGCCTGGGTCTCCAGGGCACAGGAAGTAGGCAGCTGAGAACAGCTGCCTCCAATGAGGTCCACACCTGACATGGAACAAGAAGCCTCCAGTGACTCAGAGGAGGAAAATGAGGTCTCTCTCCCAAGAGGCTGCCAGGGGATAGATGTACACGTTCCCAGGAGCTTAGAAAGAACCCCAGGCCAGAGGGCATGGGGCGCAGGGGAGACCCCCAGAGCTGTGGACCTGCTCACCAATGAATTTAATAGCTGAAGTGATGGAGAAGTCACTGGTTTGAGATGAGAATTCCAAGGGACTCTATAAAGCTTTTTGCCATCAGGCAATCTGGGGACTCAAAGAAAGAAAAGTGAATTATTGAAATCAAAGAGTTGCAAAACTGTATGCCTGAATGTTATGGATTCAAGTGACTACGAAATTTAAATAAGCAACATCAGTGATGCTGCCTAATCCATCTGGGCTAAATAAGTCAAAGAAATAATAAAAATAATAGACAAAAAGGCGACAGGCAAACTGCTGGGGAAATCTGCTGAGCTGCCAGCGGGTGGAACCCATCCAGATGCTGAGCACTGTGGCCTTGAGGGCTGCCCCAGGAGGGAACTGAGGAGGACATGTCTCCCCTGGGTGGTCTGAGGTCAGCCTGGCAATCATAGGAGGACACTGGCCTTGGCCACAGCCTTGTTCATCAGGCCTGTCTATTCCAGGACATACGGCAGGGAGCTGCATGGGGTGCTCATGGCCGGCCACGTGGGGAGGGGTGTGCCCATTCTGCAGGATTTCTGAGGCACAGTAGTATCATGGAAACTGGTTTAGCAGAGACTTAATTCTGTTTTTTTTTTTTTTTTTTTGACAGAGTCTTACTCTGTCGCCCAGGCTGAAGTATGTAGGGGTGTGATCTCAGCTCCTTGCAACCTCCACCTCCCGGTTTCAAGCAATTTTCATGTCTCAACCTCCCCAGTAGCTGGGATTACAGGCGCCTGCCACCAAACCTGGCTAATTTTTGTATTTTTAGTAGAGATGGGGTTTCACCATGTTGGCCAGGCTGGTCTTGAACTCCTGACCTCAGGTGATCCACCCGCCTTGGCCTCCCAAAGTGCCGGGATTACAGGCATGAACCACTGTGCCCGGCCAGTAGAGACTTAATTCTTAAAGTATTACTGCAGAAAAAGCTCATATGATGTGAGTTTCTTAGAAAGGACCAAAGTACCAAGGACAGGAAGGAGAGAGGAGAAAACTTAACCCAAAACATATCCGAGCCCACAGACTGATGGTGCACTTCAACTTACTGTGCAAATAGCTCTGCAAAACAAAATCCAATAAAATGAATGAATTCTCTGCTATTCTGCATAAAAACTGTGCCTGGGAGACATCTGTGCCATCATCTTTGTGGGCAATTATAATACATGTAAAATTGTTTATAGAATTCTTTTCCTCTTTGAAAAAATGTTCAAAATAAGTGAAGATAGGCACAAAGAACTAAGGCTATGTTTGAAAACATCCCCATCCCCACCTGGATCCATTCCCGCCTCTCCCAAAGCCCTCTCAATGTTTATGGTGTTGTGTTTCTGTCCGCGCCGTTCCACAGCAAGAGCTGAGCTCTGAGACAAGATGGCTTATGAGTGGTGAGCATCTCTTATCCCTTTCCCCATCTGAAATAAGCCACTGCCTGGCTGGGTTTCTAATGAGAACCTCAGGCTGCGTGTTCAAAGTGGGCCTTTGCATTGTTTTGGGATTTTGTTTCAAATTTAAAAACATGGTTTTAAAAAAAATTTCCAACAAAACGTTTTCCTTTTGTGGAGAACGGGGTCTCACAGCTTTGCTGCCCAGGCTGGTCCTGAGTTCCTGGGCTCGAGCTGTCCTCCCATCTCTGCCTCTCTAAGTGCTGGGGTTATAGGCATGAGCCACTGCAATGTACATAAAATCTACCATCTCAGCCATTTTTAAGTACACAGTTCAGCAGCATTAAGTACATTCACACTGTTATGTAACCATTGCCAGCATCTATCCTTAGAACAATTGTCATTTCTCAAGTTGAGACTCTGTAACCATTAAACATTAAATCCCCACTCTCCCGGCCCCCAGTCCCTGGTAGGGCCTTTGTACCTTGTTTTGCCCTTGCATTTTAATGCTGCAATAAATGCAGAAGCCCACGAAGTCCTAGGGCTTTCTCGGGTTCAAGGCAGCTAGCCTACGCTTGGGTGACGCTGGCCCGAGGCCTCCGCAGGCGGTGAACTCACCCACGCAGGTTCCGCAGGTGTGATGGCATTCCCCACATCTGATCAGCTCTGAGTCAAAGTAGGTGCCTGGCTCACAGTCAGGAATGCAGCTGCCCCGTGCAAGGCTGTTGAAAAGAAAGAGGCAGATTTCCACATCCATTCCAAAAGTCTAATTATGACTTGCCCTCTAGCACCTTTCCCAAGAGGAGATGTAAGTGGCTGAGGCACAGTTCTTTGTGTCACCGAAAGTTCTCAGCTAAGGAAAGTCGGGAAAGCCATCCCGCAGTCCGCTGGGGGCCCAGCAGGAAGGGGTACAAGGCCCTGGGAAGCAAAGCTCCCATCACCAGGCAGCAGGCGCCAGGCTCCGTCCTTGACCCAGTGATAGCTTTTTCTTACTGTCATTTCTCCAACTCGAATCCAAACCCCATGAAGAGAAGTGGAGCTGTGTGGGTCATCACTGGTGGCACGCTAGCTCAGTCTCAGTGTCAAGTCCCTCTTGAAGTGTTGGCATTTATGGCGTGTGACGGGGCTGTCGGCTACAAGGCTGGCCCTGAACCCCAACCCGCTCTTGCCTCTCTTGCTTGAAACCTTGGAACCTTCTGCAGCTTCGCAATGAACTTGAAATAAGACGCCCTCTGGAGCCCCAGCAGGCCTGTCAGATGCAGCCCCTACCTTCCTCTTTCGCCCCATTTGTGCCCTCACTTCACTCCAGCCAGCCGAGTGCTGGACAGAGACACAGATGCTGAGCTAGACCACCCACGTGGATGGCTTCTGCCACCTTCCCAGTGTTCGACCCCAAGCAAGCCAGCCAGCCCCTCTACATCTGTTTCCCTTCCTGTTAATTGGTTTCTACATCATAAAGTTGCTTGGAGGACTCAATGAGCTAATACCCATAAACATTTCAGTGTCTGGCACACAGCAGTGTGAATCAATATCACCTACTATTATCTCTTTAGTTCCTGAGATTATACTGTGTACAGTCTGTGACGTACATGTTCTAGATGGGTTTGCCATACTGAGCAAGGGCTCTGGGGTGCATCTGTCAGACCCGGAGACTCCTGCTATGACACTGGGATTTATAATAAGAAATATGTGAAGAGAAAAAGAAAAAAAAAAGGAAATATATGTTCGGTCTTTGTCCTGGCACACAGCTCCTAAAACCCTTGGAATTATCAAAGTGCTAAATGTCTTTAATAACTGATAGCTGGGGGTTCCTGGGCAGCCTCTAGACAGGGGCTGGCTGCCAGGGAACCAACCATTGATCAGAGCTTTGGAATTTTTAGCCCTACTACTCTGACTTCCCTCCTGGGAGGTGAGAGGGGCTGAAGGCTGAATTGATCACCAATGGCCAATGATGTAATCAATCATGGCTATGTAACAAAACCTCCATAAAAACCCAAAAGGTCAGGGTTTGGAGAGCTCTGGGGTGGTGAACAAGAACACAACCACATCCTGGGAGGGTAGCCCAGCCCAGCCCCATAGGGATGGAAGGTCCAGCGCTCAACCCTTCCAAACCTCACCCTCCGCATCTCTTCATCTGGCTGTGTGCCATATCCTTTGTAATAAATGGGCACATGTAAGTAAAGTCTTTCCCTGTGAGCTGCTTTAGCCAATTAATCGAACCCAAGGAGGGGTCATGGCAAGTCCGATTTATGGCTGGTCACTCAGAAGCACAGGCTACCATGTGGGACTCGTGATTGACATCAAAGTGGGGCAGTCTTGGGCTGAGCCCTCAATTTGTAGGATCTGACACATCTAGTAGCGTCAGAATTGAGCTATTTATTTATTTATTATTTATTTATTTTTGAGACAGGATCTCATTCTGTCACCCAGGTGGGAGTGCAGTGGCACGATCTCAGCTCACTGCAACCTCCGCCTCCCAGGTTCAAGCGATTCTCCTGCCTCAGCCTCCCGAGTAGCTGAGATTACAGGCGTGCACCACCATGTCTGGCTATTTTTTTTATTTTTAGTAGAGACAGGGTTTCGCCATGTTGGCCAGGCTGGTTTCGAACTCCTAGCCTCAAGTGATCTGCCTGCCTCGGCCTCCCAAAGTGCTGGGATTACAGGCGTGAGCCACTGCGTTCAGCCTGAGCTATATATTTATTACGTATATCTTACGGTTCACTGGAGAACTGCTTGGTGTGTGGGGAAAAACCCACACGTTTTGGCTACCAGAGGTGAAGTGTGTTGTATTTTGTGTGTGAGAGTAGGAGAAAACACTGGTTTTTCCTATCTCTTACACCTGCATTTAGCAGGAAGACGTCTGTATGTTGGCAAGCTCCTCTGCATAGATGGCGGACACCCACCCGGCGCCCTTCCTCTTCATGGTGCCATGCCCACTGCGAATGGCAGTTAAATCATGTCTTTATAACTGACACTCCCCTGCAAACCTTTCCTGTGTTGATCCCCCTGAAGAGATGGAGGGCCAGAGGCGGCGGCTCGGCTGCTCTCTTGCTGCTTTAACATGACTGCAGTGATTAGAAGTCACAGCTTAAGAGGATATTGGGCAATAAACGGAAGCTCTCTGTGGCTGACGGCTGGCGATGCGTCTGGAGTTTGCACGCCTCTCTGAAAGCTCGTCAGTGACGGAAGCACTGCCTCTATGTGGCGGGGCTACCGACAGGAGGCGTTTTCTCTTTAGCACACCATTCCTACATTGAGTATCCGATTTCCCTCTCCTACAGGATGGGACGGGATGCATAAATGCATTCCCGGGGACCCCTCAGCACTTCTCTGCTGGGAAACAGGCAGGTTCCAGGGAGCTGGGAACACAGAGCCTCCTCTTCCTGATGCCCCCAGCTACCAGCCTGGGTTGAGGATCCACTCCTGGGCTGCCTGACCTGCAGAGCCTGGGACATCAAAGCTGGCCTCTCCCAGGCCGCCAGCGGAATGCCTCCTTCCTCTTCCAACTCTTTTATCTTTGGGGGATCCCTTTCCTGGGCCAGTTCATCCTTTCACTCCTAATCCTGCCTTGTCCAGCCAACAGGTTTAAATGACAGCAGATGTGATGCATGACTTTGGGAGCCTTGCTTTGCCTTCCCTCTCCTGGACTCCTAGCTGCTTGGGGTCCTCTTCTCCCCAGTACTCTGATCTGGAAGAAAGAGGCAGGCTGAAGGAAATGAAGGCAGTAGCATAGTGCCTCCTGGGGAAACTTCATCTCCCCTGTTTGTAAAATGCGAGTAAGAATTATGTCTACTTCACAGGTTGCTGCAAAGATTAAATGAGGCAACACTGGTGCAAGCCCCTGGAATAAGAGAAGATATGCTCAGTAAGTTTTCTTCCTTTGTTCTTTACTCCAAAAAAGAAACTTCTTCTATGGAGAATTCCAGTCCTCACAGCATTTGAGAAGGGAGACGGGGCTGGGGGTGTGTTGCAGCCCTCCACCGCCTCACCCTGCAAAAGCAGCTCCCTGCCTGGACCGCAGCATCCTCACCACTGCCAGCCTGCGGAAATGCAGAGTCGTGGGCTCTGCCCAGACCTGCTGCATCAGAACCTGCATCTGGACATGAGGTGATCCTTCCAGTGCGGACCATGGTGCTAGTCTCCCTACTATGGGAGTGTCCCCCAAAAAATTTTGAACAGAATGTTCTAAGATTTTAGACAGCAATTCGGAGGAACAGGTAATGTATATTTGATTGCATTAAATGCAGTTTGGTTGCATTAAATGGGCTGAAGAAACATTTCAAAATATTCCAAGAACAATCATTAACCCAGTAGAATGATTTTAAAGAAAATGCATGCTGAGCTTTATGGGGCTGAGCCTGATGAACAGGGAGAACCAGGAACGTAAAGAGCACCCTCAGGAAGCCGTGAAGATGTCAGGAGCTGGGAGAAAAAGAGAAGACCGAGGGATGCAGAGGAGAGAGGGTGGGTGAGCCGCTACAGCCCATCCCCGGCCCAGACAGCGAGGGGAACTGGAGCAGGTGGAGGTGCTGGAGCGAAAGGAGGCGGATCTGGGCACAGCCCTGTGCTGTACGTGATGTGATCAAGTGCTGCTTTGCCCAATTCGCCCATGTTGTGTAAAATGTAGAGATTCCGCCCATCCTCTCCCTTTCCATCCTAAGTGGACACACGATTTCCAGGACTCGGAATCTTTACCCTCAATGGCTTTGGGCCTCTGACAGTTCAGCTTTTAGGAGAAATGCACCAACGTGGTAAATCCATAACACACTCCAAGCAGCGCCACCGCCCTGACATTCCTCAGGTTTCGAGGGGGTTTTACCTGAATCCTTCTTTACAGACAGTACATTTCTCAGGTTCATCCACGCACTTTTTACAGCTTGGGTGGCATTTAAGGCAATTTTTCTGACCTGGAGAAAAATAGCGAGATAAGAAAAGAGAAGGGACGACACTGACAGGAATGAAATCTGGGCAAGCAGGCCCCCGGCATTTCAAAGCGGGGGTGCGGGTGGGCTGTTCCCCGAGTCCACCTCCGGAATGGGTGGAAATAAAGCAGCCAGAGGCCGCTTGTACCTGGTGTGGGGTCACAGAATTCTCACCTCCCCTTTCTGAGGTAAAAACGGTCCTCAGACAACCACCAGGCCTCTGAGGTGGTTCTGCTTATTTCAACAGGGATGGAGGCCAATTCCTGGTGGGCTGAGTAGAGTTTAACGAGGTGGAAATCTTCATGAAAGTGGCCGGGTGTGGGCAGGTGGGGGGTGGAGAGCCTGAGGCTGCCGCTTGCCCACCACGGTGCTTTCTCAGGGAAACCTATGTATGAAGATCTGGCTGCTCTAGATGGTGAGACAGGAACCTACGGCGAGTCATCGTGCCTCTTGGGGAAGTTTTGGGTCACCCCAACTCCCACCTGCAATGTCATAACTTATTATCTGGGTTGGCGCCTCATGAAACACCACCATGCACCACTCCTAAGTGGCTGGGGTGCTCTGGGCCTGGGAGCTAACAGCTGCTTGCCACACCTGCACGTGTCCCCCTCAGGGCCCCCACAGGTGGCATCATACGCCATAAAGCAGGTGCTGAGTGAGGATGTCGGGGTGAAGAAGGGCGGCCAACTGTGCCCTTGGGAAGGGGGTGGGGATGAAGGCGCCTCCGTCCTTTGCAAAGGTCTGGCTGGCAGCCCAGGGCAAGCGTTTGCAAAGGCTGTGAAATGTGTCTTGCATGACTTTTTGTTTCCCCGCTAAAGGGAGTCTGGGACGGGTGAGGTGGCTCACACCTGTAATCCCAGCACTTTGGGAGGCCAAGGCAGATGGATCATTTGAGGTCAGGAGTTTCAGACCAGCCTGACCAACATGGTGAAACCCCATCTCTACTAAAAATACAAAAAAATTAGCCGGGCGTGATGGCGCATGCCTGTAAGCCCAGCTACTCGGGAGGCTGTGGTAGGAGAATTCCTTGAACCCAAGGGGCAGAGGGTGCAGTGAGCTGAGATCATGCCACTGCACTCCAGCCTGGGAGACAGTGAGACTCCATCTCGAAAAAAAAAAAAAAAGGGGGTGTCTTGTTATTTGATGGCTTTATACGTCTTTTAAGATTTGCTGGGTCTTGTCCACAGGGGTAACGGCAGTGCCATGACAGGCCGGATCAATGACCCATCCTGAGCAGTAAGGGCCCAGAGAGGAGGGCCGTGGGGAGGCCTGCTACCTGGAAGACCACGAGTGCCAAACGGTAGCTTCTTTAATGTGTTTGAGAACTATCCCCTGTCAATTTAACCCAAGCCCTGCTTTTGTGTCTCCCAGGGCGAGGCGAATTACGAAAACATGGCATGGGGTCTTGGGCCTACAACTCCTGTCCAGCCCCCACCCTCCTGGGACAGCAAGACACCTGGCCTTGCGGCTCTGAGTCCGAGTCCCACCTCCATCATGACTAGTTGTGGCCTTTGCCCCTGCTCAGCTTTGATTCCCCATCTGTAGGACGAGGAAAACACTGCCTGTCTAGTGTTCAGGGGTGCGGTTGCCACCTGTGAAATGCCCGGCAAAGACAAACCCATCCCTTCCGAGCCCAACTGACGTTGGTCAGCAGCTCCTTTTCATGTCTGGAGGTCTGCAAACCTTCCGCCCACATCTGACTCCCAATTTCATCTCCGCAGCTCTGCCGAGGAGGGCTCTCCCCCAGCTCTGACCACCAATCCCATGTACCCTGACCCACGCCCAGCGCACACATCCTGTGTTACAGAGAAGCCGATGGCATAGTCTTTCCTGGAGGAGAAATTACAGCACAGACAGCAGGACCTCCTCTTCTGATACCTGAAATCAGACTGAGTTCAAGAGTGGCTGGCCCTAGCCACCTC
This sequence comes from Homo sapiens, assembly GCF_000001405.40. Classification (NCBI taxonomy): domain Eukaryota; kingdom Metazoa; phylum Chordata; class Mammalia; order Primates; family Hominidae; genus Homo; species Homo sapiens. The sequence continues at coordinate 101,324,545 of NC_000015.10, forward strand.
TCTGCCCTTGCTCAGTAGTGGACGTTGACTCTGTTGCAGGTGGGTGAAATTCCCTGGACAGCCAGGATGTCTCTCAGCATCACTTGGAACTTCTCCTGGCCAGGTCTGTGGGGAAGTGCTATTAACTAACAGGTCTGGGTGCTTTGATTTCATCATCTCTGCCTCCTTCCCTGTTCAAAGTCCTTACTCAGAACAACAAAATACACGGAAGCAGAAGGCTGGGAAATTCTCCCTGGAGAGAGGACACGGGCCCAGAAAGTTGGGGCTGGCTCATCAGTTCTTGTACCCACAAACAAGCCACTTACTTTCATCAGCATAAAATCCTGCAGGACAGAGGGTCACACAGGTGTTCATCTCCTGGTGGTGATAGAACCCGCGGCGGCAAGACAGGCACTGCGTCGCAGCTCTGCTGGAGCAGGTCTCACACCCCTTGTGGCACCGGCGACAGCGTCTTGCTGCTGTGTCCCCAAAGTAGCCCAAGGGGCACACACTCACGCACTTCCTGTAGGAGCAAAGGCAGGAGGGTGAGGGCCTTGCCAACCCAGCCCCAGCCCCAGGCCTGCCCCTTTGTTTCCTCTGAGGAAACGAAGGCTTCAGGAGTGAATGTCAAACATGATGCCCTTTGTCTTGGTGAGTGCAGTTCTGAGGTTCCTACGTACACAGGTGGAGAGGCTGGAGGCCTTGCATAGAACCTGGGAATCCTTTCTTTTCAAAGCTGGCCCTGCTGGAAGGTCCTGAGGGTGCGCATGGTTTCCCAAGGGCATCGTGAGGTTCGTATTTGACTTTTGGAACTGTCGGCTCTGGCAAAACCCTCTCTCGGGCGCCCTCAGGGAGTGAGTCTTGTGGGCAGTGAGTGAGGCCAGCAGGGTGACAGCCTTTGCACTTTGGCCAGTGAGTGCGCTGTGGCTGGGAGCTCGAGGACGCCACGAGAGCCACATGGGCACCCGGCTTGACCTTGCACGGCCGCACCCGTGCCTGAGCCCTCATGGGTGTGCACCAGTGGTTGGTGGGTGCATCTGTCACCCAGGCCTTTGGGGAGCCTAGCAGTGTCCTGTCATCGTGGCCTCTGAGGCCTGGCACATGCGGGGCATAATGGGTGCTCAGGGAAGTTTGTGAAATGAGAATGGACAACAGGGCAGCTGCAGGACTGGCAGGGAAGAGAATCTGAGAAAGTGGTGATGCCAGGAGCTGGAGCAGCTCCGTGGACAGAGCCCAGGGCCTGACTGCAGAGGCCACACAGGAGGGCACACTCATCACAGAAGGGTCAGCCTGAACCGGGCAACTGGCCATATACGTGGGGTCCCAGGTCAGAGCTCCTGATATCCTCCCTTGGGGTAAACTCAGCCTCATGGGCTCTCTGGGGAGGTGCCAGGAGAGCTTCTGTGAAAGCCCCACACCCAGCCAGAGTCCAGAGACACTGAAAGAAAGACCATCAACAGGCTTCAGCCTGTCCAAGAGCCATGTCCCCTGAGCTGGCCTGTGAGGACAGCACCAGGGCCTTGAATCGCATCCGTCTCCAGGCCCTCTGGGGCAGCCTTGGCACGCCCAACATGACCCACTTCTCTTTAACAACACAGATAGAAAAGGCTTTATAAGCACGGACGCCAACGTGCAACAGCTTCTAATTTCTCCGTAATGGACATGTATGACTTGCATGATAGGAATGCCAAGTTACTAAAAATTTAAAAACTCCAAAGCAGTTAACTTCAGTGTGATGATTGTTTGGGGGTGCTACGTTACTTCCTAACTGGGGCATCAGGACATGGAGGGGCTAAGGATACAACTGGAAAGTCACTGAGTGGTGAGCCACAGGGCTGCGGGACATGCATTACCTGCTGGTCTTGACACTCCCCAGGCTGAAGTGGACGCAGTTCAAGCACTGGTCTGCATTGGGGCCATCACAGCCTTTGTCACCACACTCCGGATGGCACACACCTTAAAGAAACAAGCATTGCCTTTCATCCAGAGAGACGCCTTCTCCATCTACTGCAGTCCCGCGGATCCCTGTGTCAGGATATCGCAGCTTGGCAGGGTTGGGAGACGCTCCCAGGCCCCGCTGGGGCTGGACGGCCAGACGACAAGGCGGGAGCAGCCGTCCCTGCGGGTAACAGGCACAGCTGAGCCTCGCTGGGCTCCAGTGTCAGTCTGAGCACTCTAGACAGGGATGGCATGAGAAGGAGTGAAACATCCAGGGTGGGTACGCCACCCGGAGCAGGGAGGAGATGGGACTTGTGAGAGCCTGGAGGGGTAGCGGGGAGGGAGAGGCTGGAACAGCTGTTTCATTCACTCACTTGCACCAGTCATCATGCTGGGACCAGCCAGCACCTTTGACTTCCACGTGGAGGACAGAGCAACACAAGAGGGGGTGCTGAGTGTCAGGGGAGCTGCTGGCAAGCTGATGAGCCAGGAGGAATTAGGTAGCCCCCCCGCAACTCGCTGTGGTGGGAATGGGGATGGATCTCCGCATGCTCAGGACCGCCTGGTGGGGCTGTTGCTGGCCAGGTCTAGGGTGGGGCAGGGACACAGCTAGACAGTGCTGTCCTAGGGTTGGGGGGCTGCTGTTTTCTGTGCTGAGGGCTGAGCCCCTTTCAGAACATCCCCTTTAGGCTTTCCTTGGAGCCCTTGGTGGGACGGCAGCTGTGTCTTCCCTCAAGTTCCCAGGGGTCCCCAGCTTCTCACTCCGGAGGCTGGTGTGTTGTTGGAAAAACAACTGAGAACTGCAGGCGAGCTGAGTAGACGCCAGCAAACCTCACCCTCTAGGTCCTTCCCAGGTATCCCAGAGATGAAGCCAGTGTTAAAGGTCTACCCGTCAGGCGGGGGCGGGGCACGCTGCAGGGGTCCTCCCCACGCTGGTCGGCAGGAGTGACGCCTGAAGCTACAGCTGGGGTGGACTCCTGCCTACTGCCCACCTGTCCCTCCTACGCTGGGAAACGGCCCAGGGGACCCCGACAGCTCTGACACACAGGGACTAAGTGGGGCATGTGAAGGCTTTTGAGTTACTGGAAGAAAAACCTCCTCCTCCGAGGTGTGAGTTATGAGAGGGGATGGGGAGTGAGCTCAAGAGTAAAGACTAGTGAGTTGCTGGCCACCTTCATTTGGTGGGGACTTGAGGAAAAGACAAAAGTCCTCATTCTCTGCTGCCCACAGTGGGGTTTTGCTGGGGCACGCAAAGCCCTCTTCACTCGTCTTGAAGTCTCCAGACCTTGCCAGTGTTAGACCCAGTGAGGCTGGCTTCCCTCCCCGAAGGCTCTCTGGTGTTATTTCCCTAGTTTTCACTGGGGGGGCTTTGCGTGTCCCGGTTCCCACTGTGAACCCCTTTCAGAGCTGTGTGTATCCACGAGGACACTCTAGATGCTGTTCCTGGGCGGTGCTGGTATCCTGGGTTCCAGATGCCACTCACCATTTCTAAAACTCATTACTAAACTCCTCCCCCCAGCTCCAGAGGGTTTACTATAATATTTTGGATCAATTCCCATCTGATTGGATTCTTTGCCCACCTCATCCTGGGTCATCTATGAGGACAGCCTCCAAAATCCTCATTTCTCGCACCATTGCTTTAAATTACCCATTGAGCCCAAAACTCCAGCTCAGCCACTGGGCTCTCGCCTTCCCACCCTCGCAGCTGGCCCAGCGAACGCGGGGCTGTCGTGGTGACTTGAGGACTTCTCTCCTGCCTTTTCCTGCAGCGTCTTCTCCCTGAGGAGGCAGCAGGTCTGTCTTGCTTGATAAAGTGAACAATTTCCTTCATCTTAAGAAGATGAGGGCAGGAGTGCGACAGGGAGGCGGCAGACCAATCTTTTCACTCTTTCTAGACACGGAATGGGAGACGGGCGGGCAGGGCTTGGTTCGGTGTGTTCACTGCTAGATTCCTGGCATTAGGCACAGAGCAGGTGCTCAATCACTATTTGCTGAGCGGATGAGAGGAGGGTGGCTAGGAACAGGGAAAGTGCAGATGTCCTCACCATCTCCAGACAGAATGTTCTAGGATGTCCTCGGAGGAGGACAGCCTTGGGGAGGGTCCTGAAGCAGTGCTCCCAGCTGCTGGTCCGGGTGTATGGACTTCACACCCCCCACCCCTGTTCCTGGGTCTCTCTGCAGTGGAAAGCTTATTCATAATTTTGCAAGGAGCCCAGTGCAAGGTTGGGGGCTATTCAACAGAGCTGCAGGGCCCCCACACTGCACTGAGGTCACCCACCGGTCAGGTTAAGACGATGCCCATCCAAGGGTGGAGATGCCTAGATGAATATCTGTAAACAAACCTCCCCAGTATGGCTGTCCACTTGAATTGTGTTTAAAAGCCAAATATCCAGGTTCCTCTCGCCCATGAAGCGTTCTTAAATTAAATCCACCTTGCTGTCCACGTGGTCCCAATCACTCCACCGCCTGAGCGTGTTCTGGTCCAGCTGCAGCTCATTCTCTGGGCAACCATGATGTTTGTGTTGCAATTTGTACTTAGGTCTGCTTTTCCCTTTGCCTCAATTAGCGTGACAGTTCCTCCAAGCCCCACTGCCTTCTTGTGTCACTTCCCGTAACTCCTAGCAGGGGTCTCTTCATACAAGGGGGGCTCCGTTCACGTGCTGAACAGCCTGGCTAGCGGCTGATGCCTCTCTAGATGGGCTTAAACTGACACGGGTTTATTTGAAAACTCCACCTTCAATCCTTTGTGGAGGAAATCCAGGATTTAAAAAAATACACAAACAAATAAATGTTAGAAGCAACTTGGGAGTTCTCCATGTGCTTTGCCGTTGCGCGCTCAGACCAACTGCCGATGGACAGGAGAGTTTGGTATCACCATCTTCTCCACCGTTCACGCCATCCAAGAACAGCACACCAGAACCTCACTGGAGCAGTATCGGACCCGAGAGGCATGCAAGACTTGGGCCGATTAATTGCAGACAAGAGGTGCCCACGAGAATAAGAGTACACTGAGAACAAGTCTGGTTTCCTTCCTGACTGCTGTGCCCTGAGCAAGCGACCTGAGGCTTCTGGGCCTCTGCTTGAGCCTGTCGAGTAAGCACGGATGTGCTGAGCCTGTGAGCACACATGGTCCTGCTCCAGACATCACCCTCATCCTGTGAACTGTCTCCTGTACCGGTGGAGCTGCCCTGGAACTCCGTCTTCCAGACGATGCCACGTGGGTTCTTGGCTTCCCTTGCAGTCCTGTGTGGATGACCACAGTGTCCTGAGCTGATCTCAGCCCACTCAGCTTCCTTTGCTCAACCATGGCTTCTTTCCTGAGGCCCAGGCTTCCCTGTGTTTCCATGCCAGTAATGTCCTGGCCTCCCAGCCACTCTCTTGCAGGAACCCAAGCTCTTCCCTGCCTCCTGCCCCCATCCTCGCTGGTTTCATTATCTGCCAGCTCCCTAAGCCCACGGTGCCTGCAGGCACCTAAGAGTGGTTGCTACAGGTGCAGACCCCCAGGCGTCCCACACCTGCTGAATCCCAGTCTCTGGGCGGGGGGACAGCCCAGGGTCTGCTCTCAACTCAGCACCCTGCGGAGTCCCTGGGGTGGCCTCCACCTGCACTTTGGCCACCAGACGGCTCTGGCCTAGCAGGTTGGCTGTCACCACAAAGTTGTCCACCTTCAGAACCACAGCACTGACATCTTCCTTGTGCCCCACGCTGCCCACTGCAGCTGCTGCCCTTTCTCCCAGCCAGATGCTCTGGTCCTCAACCTTCCTCTCCAGGGACCATCTTGCCTGCTGCTGTCCTGGGACCCTGGCCATTTGCAAGTACTCCCTAGGCTTCCCTCGTCCCCCTCGCTCACTTCCTCTATTTCTTGGCAACTGCTCTCTTGCCCAAAGAGTCCAGGTGCAGCCTCCACTGGCCTGGGCCCGTCACTCCTGATGCACCATGACCATGGCCGGCTCCGCACACCCCGTCTCATATCCACCTGACCTTGCATTGGACTCTAACGTGGCTCGTCCTCCTCCTTTGGCTTCCATACTCTGGCACCGTCTGGTTCTCACCTCCTCTGTCACTCTGTCCTGGTCTCTGAATAGGCTCTCCTGCTGTCTCTGGTCTGCCCATCCCACTCACCCCTGAGACTTGAGGGGGCTTCTCTGAGAGCCAGGAATGCATCTCCTTCCCATGGAGACCCCCTCTCTCCACCTAATCCCTGCTCAGTAGACTGCTGGACTGCAGAATGGTATCACAGTGAGGTTCCATTGTGCAAGGCTGAAGTCAGTAGCAGATTTTAAGAAAAAAATCAGTTCCTTATTAATAATTACTGAATCTTGCCACAGTTTATAAATCACAGGGGGAAACAGAGCAGATTAGTCCATACATAATTCAATGCTCTATTTTAAAGGAATAGTAGAAGAAATTTAAAATGGAATTGACCGTAATTTATACTTGATATGTGTTGGTGGAATTTTCCATTTGTTATTTGTTTTTCACAGAAGATATTAGATAACTTAAAGCATCAGTGTTCTTAGATATCACCCATCATTTATCATTTAGCCGTAGTATTTAGCTAAGGAAAATATGTCCAACCAGAAATACCTCTTCTCACACAAATTGCTACAGGAGGGCTCAGAGGGAGAAGAACAGCTTCTAGTCTAACAAACGAATAAAAGCCATGTCCAGCTCAGTGGCTGGAGCTTCTCTGGGCAGCTGTGGTTTTGGCCGCCTTGTGGAGTGAACTGGCGGCCCCAAACCAGGGCCCACCTTGGCAATGGGATGATTGGAGAAAAACGATTCATGCAGGGCCTTTTTAGATGCTGTAAGATTTTCAAGGCATCTGTGAAGCATCAGTATCTGCTGACATCATCTCTTGAGATCCTCTCTGGGTCTTTAACCCTAGGCCTCCAGGCTGGTCAGGATCTCTGCCACGAAGTCCTTTCCCAGCTGTGCTCCTTGAACCCAACCTTCCTGGATCCTTGGGAGTAACTGTGTCCTTCCCACATCCTGACCTCAAGGACTGAAAGTGGATGTACTTGAGGGAGTCAGGAGGCTGAGCTGTGAGATGGGGGCCTTTGGAAAGGGGGTGCTCCTAGAAGTGGCTAACTTACCAGGGGGCAAGACCCCATTCTGGTTGGGCATATAGACCCTGCTCTCCCAGCTGGGAAGGTTGGAAAATACTTACTGGTTTGAAGCATACTTACTGGTCTGTAAAATATTAGCAGAGCCTGGGGTGGATTGAGCTGTGTGAGTGCAAATTGCCATGATTATTATGACTCCCAGGCAAGAGAGACACACAACCATCAGCCCCACCTTTGCCAGGAGCAGCCCTACATTTTAAGAGCTACTCTGGACAATCAAAGCTCGTGGAAGCTGGCCGTCTCCTCTTACTTCAGGCTCATTACCTGTGTAATCTTCCTCATCTTCAGGAACTTCCACCTGGGAGGGTGACAGGGCAGCCTTGGGTGGCTCCAGCTCTGGGGCTGAGAGCTCCAGCATCCGCGAGCGGGACTGATGGGCACTGAAGGTGTGGTACGGGTGCTCTGCTGTGCCATACAGTATGAGGCTCCATTCTTTCAACTTCCCTGGAAGGCACCAAACCCACAGAGTTACCTGCCTGTGCCAAGACCTCTGTCACTCACAGAAATAAGCCAGATGCTGCCTGGCTCCTCCCCTGATAGCTGGGCTCTGGCCTGCTACCTTCACTTCCTGGTTACCTGCTGGCCAGCTGTGCACCTATTGCCCAGGCCACATGCTGCTTTCCCCCAGTGTCTCATTCCTGCAAGCCAGTGCCCTTTTATTCCTGTTCTATCGAGCTGCCCTCCGCTTCCTGTCCCTGCTGGGATGGAGGTCAGCCGGGCTGGACTCTCCACTGTCCTGGAGGCTGTCCTCTGCCCTGCTGATCTCACTGCAGCCTCCCTCGATGCTGCCTCCCCGATGCCTAGCAGCAGCCACCTTCCCGTCTTGGGATATCCGGTGGGTAAATCTGGTGCCAGGCCTGGCTGTGAGTCTTGCCCTACAGCATCCAAGTGTGATAACTGGGTTGCATGGAGGAGTCCTGCTGTTTGGATCCTTGATCCTAGATCATGGGAAGACTCAGTCTTGGGCTCTCTCCTCCACAGCTAGCCCAGGACAGTGAGGGATGTTCTGGGGGATAGCAGTGCTGGTAAAAACCCAAATGTCTGCAGAAGCTGGGTGGAGGAAGAACATCTTTGAAAGCAGGGGGATGAGTAGACAGACACCAGGCTCCATGGGGGACATCAGAGACAGACAGACACAGGAAAGACAGTGCTGATGGGAGAGCTCCCAGCCAACATGGGGGCAGCTGGGGTCCCGCCCCACCGACAGCTCCACAGGGAGCGATGGCCCATGCAGCTGTCTGTTCTCAGGTATCAAGCAAAGTGAAAATCCTGGTAGCAATTTCCAGGTGAATTCCTGATGTTATAAAACACATTATAAACAGTCCCCAATTTATGACAGTTTGACTTACAATTTTTTGACTTTACAATGGTGTGGAAGCCAGATGCATTCAGTACACTCCTAGACTTAATGATGGGGCTATGTTGGGATGAATCCACCATAAGTTGAAAATATCATCGAAATAAGTCAACTTGCAATTTGTAAGTCAAAGAGCATCTATGCAATTAATTAACGCCTATCTGCAGGCCGACTCTGCTGCTGGCCACTGGTTTAAGCTTCTTCTTCTTCTTTTTTTTAACCACGGCATCCCCAGAATTCAGAGCAGGGTTACTGTTTAGAAGGTCATCACCCCACATAGTTGAGGGGGCCAGGGGCCAGTGTGACCTGCCCAAGGACAGCTGCTCATGCTGACGGGGCTCCCGGACGCCCCAGCCTTTCAATGTTTGTTTCTAATTGGATTGGCTCAATAGGAAACACATGCACACACATGTTCAGCTGTGAACCCCCTCAGTGGGCCCTCATGACTGTCTCCTGCGACCCAAGCTGGGGACAGGGCCATTGCTGGCTCAATGTCTCTGTTGGCTGAAAAATCCCTGCTTCCTCTTCCTTTCCTGCCATGGGGTTTCTTGGCAATCAGAATGGTTTCGGGGAGGAAGAATACTGCTCTGATTCTTTGCTGTTGACTGTGTTTTCTCAACACTTACCTCTGCCCATGCTCGCTACTCCACCCGCTGGCTCTAAATGGCAGCCTGTCTGTCTTTACATACCTGCCTATGCACTGTTTCTGCAATGCAGGCCCCTCTGCCAGTACAACTTTACTTTTTGTTCCAATTCTGGAAATCTCTTAGCGTTTCTAAATTCCAGAACAGGAGCTCCTGCTCATCCTCATACCATAAGCCCATAGGCTGTAATCCACACCATCCTGGGTGGGTGGGCGGGCAGGTGAAAGACAGGCGGGACTGGCCCCACTGGTGCGATTCGAAATGGCATTCGACACTGACCCATTTACACAATGTGGCATGTGGCAGCCCTGTTTCATTTTAACCACAGCCTCAACTGGCTAAGTACTAGGTTGCAAAAGGCTGGAGCCTGCACACTGTCCCAAGTCAGATTCTGTACTGCCCAAGCCTCCCTTAGCCTGGACAGGGCCGGAAGAGGTAAGCAAGGCCCTCCTACATGAAACAGCATCCCCAGCATAGCATTTCTAGCACACGGTCTTCCACAGGGCTCGGTTCATTAAGCCCCACAGCAGCTCCCCCTCCCTGACACAGTTCCTAACCCAGCCTACGTGTGTGGTGACAGCGACACAGGAAGTTGTTCTCACCGCTGCAGCAGTGACACAGGAAGTTGTTCTCACCGCTGCAGCAGTGACACAGGAAGTTGTTCTCACCGCTGCAGCAGTGACACAGGAAGTTGTTCTCACCGCTGCAGCAGTGACACAGGAAGTTGTTCTCACCGCTGCAGCAGTGACACAGGAAGTTGTTCTCACCGCTGCAGCAGTGACACAGGAAGTTGTTCTCACCGCTGCAGCAGTGACACAGGAAGTTGTTCTCACCGCTGCAGCAGTGACACAGGAAGTTGTTCTCACCGCTGCAGCAGTGACACAGGAAGTTGTTCTCACCACTGCAGGTGCAGAAAACAAGCCTGGTGAGGAACCTCTGACTCTCCTCAGCTCCTTAGGGTCCAGTTACAGCCACATTCCGACCACAAAGGAATCCGAGCACTTTAACCACCAAGTGGTGCACTGAGATTGGCTGGGGTTGTGATGATGGTAGGACAGGGACCAAGGGCTCTAGAGGCTATCATTTGAGTTGAAGTTTATTTCAATTATAGAGGATGTCTCCAAAAACACCCACAAAAGGCCTGGTCACCAAAACTGGATTTTTATTTTCAGATATAGTTTTGGTGGGACAAACAAGAGGGGCTGCTCCACACTCAGGGTCAGTGGTGTGCACTGTGTGGAAAAAGAGAGCAGGAAGAATTCCCAGGGACCCAGCAGACAGGCAGCCTCATGGGAGGAGGCTGGACTGGAATGGAAGAGAGACTTCATTATTATTACACTCTCTGTTTGACTTTATGTGTGTGTGTGTGTATGTGTGTATGTGTGTATTTAGACAGGGTCTCACTCTGTTGCCTAGGCTGGAGTACAGTGGTACGATCATGGCTCACTGCAGCCCCAACTTCCCAGGCTCAAGCCATCCTCCCACCTCAGCATCCCAAGTGGCTAGGACTACAGGTGTGCACCACCACGCCCGGCTACTTTTTGTATTTTTGGTAGAGATAGAGTTTCACTATGTTTCTCAGGCTGGTCTCAAACTCCTGAGCTCAAGCGATCCTCCCACGTTGGCCTCCCAAAGTGTAGGATTTACTGGTGTGAGCCACGCGCCCAGCCTGTTTGACTTTTTGTTAAAACCACAACATATGTTACCTGTTCATATATAAACATTAAAACTTTTTAAAAGTTTAATGTTTAAAATCTATGAATAAAGTGGTTGTATGGTCAAAAAACCCCATTAAAAAGCAGTAGTACTCGGGGTTTTGATTTTTGTCTCTGAATAAGTAATATACAAGGATGGCTCAGAAATGCAAAAGTATAAAAGTGCATATGACGAAGTCTCCCTCCCCATGGGCAATGTTGGTTCCCCGTTTCTTGTGTATCATTTCTGAAGCATTTTATTCTTATTCAAGCAAATATGAACATATGTTTCCCCATCCTTTTTGGTAACACACCTGCTAGCACTTTCTGCACCTTGAGTTTTCCATTAACAGTGTATCCTTATGATCCTTCCATGGCTGCACAGGAGAGATGTAGTGTTGTTTACTTAAACAATCCCCTACTCATGGACGTTTAGGTTGTTTATAAACTTTGGCAATTATAGTCATGTGTAGCTTAACTATGGGGATACCTCCTGAGAAATGCAGGTGATTTTGTTGTTTTGTGAATACCATAGAGTGTGCTTACACAAACCTAGATGGTACCCCTACTCCACACCTAGGCTATAGGGTACAGCCTGCGGCTCCCAGGCCACAAACCTGTGCAGGATGGTGCTGTATGGAATACTGTAGGCAACTGTAACACAATGATAAGTGTTTGTGTACCTAAACACACCTAAACATAAAAAGGGTACAGTCAAAATACGACATTAGAATCTTATGCAATGACTATTGAATATGGGGTCTGCTACTGATGGAAATGTCATTTTGCAGCACACGACTACACAAATAGTGCTCTATCCTTGGTCACATAGGGAGCAACTACTTGAGGTGAGCAGAGCAAGGGCCCTGGAACAACAGGGTCTGGAACCTGGCTTTGCCCCTGCTAGCAAATTACTTCATCTCTGTTCCTTAGTTTCCTCATTTGTAACGTGGGGATAATAATAACGTCTCCGAATGTCTACCTCACAGGGTTGCTTTGGAGATTAAATGACTTCATGATGGTAAAGCACTTAGAATAGAGACTGGCACGCAGGAGCTGTCCATTAAGGGAAACCTACTGCACACGTCATTTCAGCTGTGTGCATGTGTACCTGTAGGCTACATTACTAGACGTAAAACTCGTCACACGTCACATGTCACACGTCAAAAGGAACGGGCTCCCTTGCAGCCTGCAGCTATGGCTTACATTGCCAATCCGATAACTCAGAAAGGTTAACGTCGCATTTCTCTCATTATATGAGAAACGGAGCATCCTTTTCATATAATTAAGAGCAAGACAAATTTCTGATTTGATAAAATTAAAAGCAATTTATAAACTTGTAAATTTACCAAAGATATTTGCTAGGAACAAGGGATGAGACGTCTAAGATGCATAGAAGCAGATCTTAGCTGCATTTGTAACAAGGGCCAGTGGAATGAAATGGTGTTTTGCTCACACATGGTTTGTATTTTTGTTCTTTCTCTCGATCTGCAAGATACTCATGACAGCCTATGAGGGGCCAGGCACTGACTGAGCTAACAACCTGCGGAGCTGAGAGCTGGGAGCTCCAAAAACGCCAGCAGGGAAGAAGCAGTGGGACCAAAGCAACCCCTTCCTGCATGTGCCTCCAAAAGAGACCTTTCCTTTTCTAATAGGTGCGATTTGTGACACTTGACCTAAGGTTAGGTTTAGACAATGGTAATCTGGGAGACATTTATCTCTCTCTCTCTTTTTTTTTTTTTAGATGGTGTCTCGCTCTGTTGCCCGGCTGGAGTGCAGTGGCACCATCTCAGCTCACTGCAAGCTCCGCCTCCTGGGTTCACGCCATTCTCCTGCCTCAGCCTCCTGAGTAGCTGGGACTACAGGCGCCCGCCACCATGCCCGGCTAATTTTTGTATTTTTAGTAGAGATGGGGTTTCAGAATGTTTGCCAGGATGGTCTTGGTCTCTTGACCTTGTGATCCGCGTGCCTCCCAAAGTGCTGGGATTACAGGCATGAGCCACTGCACCTGGCCTATCTCCCCTTTCTAGTACTTAAATGCTTTTTTCACTTTCTCAACCAAGGGAGTCACTTTGGTTTTCCTGCCTTTGGAAGACGTAAAAATGAGAATTCCATACCTATGGCATAAAGTGTATGGCATAAATTTGAAGAGTGATTCTTTTTTAAAATTACTTTTTCCCTAGTTAGAATAAAAATTATTAAATGTTGAGATATTTAAAGAAAAATAAAAATAAATCACCTATAACTCTTTTGGCATATTTCCTCCTGGGCTCTTTCCTATGCATGTGTATTTCTTGCATAGTTGAAAACACACAGCACCCTGTTTTCTCTTTCTTTTTCCACTTAGCATTATATCATGTTAATCGCATTCGACGTTATTTATTTTCTTGTTCACTGTTTTCTCTTCCTTCAGCCTAGAGGCATCACGGGGGCAGGGAACATGTCTCTCTTGTTTGGTGCATTAGCTTCAGTGTGTAGCAACTTTTGGGCACACAGTAGGTACTCAATAAATGTTTGCTGAATGAATGAATCTGTTAAAACATTTTTTTTTACAGCAAAATACTTCACCCTGTGAACGTGACCATTTGTTTAACAACCTCTTATGATAGGTTATGACAGAACGTTTAGTCCAGTTCCCTTTTTTGAAATACATAAATCTGACAGAAATATTACTTGATGCAGTCTGGATTACTTTTTCCCAATAGAGTCCCGAAAGTGGAACCACTGGGTCAGGTGATACAACACGTTAATGTCTTATCTTGAACTGTAAACTTATGTCTATCATGAACGGCAATGCCACATGATCCCGCCACAGTGTTTGGTGTCCCATGAGGCTTGACTGCAAAATACCCAGGCGAGGGACCACAGGCCACCTGGGCAAATCAGTTACTTGATAAGAATCACCCCCTCTACACAGTCCCTTCTCCAAACCACAGCCCAAGCTTAACTGAGGCAGGAGAGTCAGATGCTTATGGGTGACTTAGGATAACAGACTAAGGCAGAGACACACAGGAATGAGCTTCTTGGAGGCTTTAGTTTTCAGGAGGCATCCACCTCCTCTCATTGCGTCCACAGTGTCGGCCCCCCACAGCAGCAGCACTTGTGCCAGGACAGGCTCCCCAGGCCGGCCCCTCCACACTCAGTCACCCCCAAGAGGCCACATTCTCTTTGGGAAGGTAAGCCACATGGGTGCAGGAGAAGCAAGGAGGAAGAACAGGCAGATGTGTCCAGGGACAACCCAGGCCAGACCAGGGTCTACACTCAACAGAACTGCCACCCAGAGGCAGTCAGATTTTAGAATGTTGACCCTGCTTTCGGCAAACCACTTAGCAAGAATGTGTTATTTACTATTCAAGATACTCTACAAGCCTGTTCAAGTTTACTGTTGTACATACCCAACTAGCACCATGAGTTCCTTAGTTTCTAAAAGGAGGGGGTCTTAAAAGATGCCCAATCAAATTTTTTGCCATCAGATTCCTGAGCCTGTAGAAGAATCACAAATCCACCTGTTTAAACACTTGGGCCAGCACTGCCAGCAGGCTGCCTCCAGATGTCAACAATGAAGGCCAGGGAATGTCATTGTGAGAGGCAGAGGATAATCCACAGCTAGTGCCAACTGAGGCTGCCAGTAAATGGATTTATCATCATTCACTATCTTCAATGCAGTATTTCCCCTCAATGAATTAAATTCATAATGAACAAACAGGATTATTCCCATTATGCAAAGAAAGAACCAGAATTAAGGGGAGACTATGGTTGAATTTGCCAACAGGAAAGTACCAGCAATAATGAAGCTTTCCTATGCCTGGCATTTTGAGTTAAGCATTAAAATCCTTGTGAAGGAAATTTACAATTGGAGACAAAGCAAGTAGGGGTGGGGGAAAGTTCTATTAGATTAAGGACTCTGAGCTAATACTTTTGGATTCCTGGGTTTTCCTGGCTATAGGAGAAGTTATTAACAATATAGAGTTTAATTAATTCTCCCCCTATGTCCCCATACTTAAAATATGCAGGAAGAAATTCCTTAATTGAAACACAGTGAAGTAAGAGAGCCCTAGAAAAATCACGTAAATATGTTTCAGTTTAAAACACCAGTGGAAGTTTCTTCCTTCTGAGATTTGGTGAACCAGCCACCCATGGCTATGTTCAAGTTACAAAGGTTAATGCAGAGGTTTGGGCGGAAGGAATAAAAAAGCTTACTTCCATCCATTTATAAAAATATACAAAAACACCCCTATAATTCACATACTGAATACTCCTATAATTTACTCCTTAAAAGGGGTGAATTTCACAGTATGTGAATTATATCTCAATAAAGCTATTATTAAAAATACCGTGTAGGGGCCAGGCACAGTAGCTCACGCTTGTGATCGCAGAGCTTTGGGAGGCTGATGTGGGAGGATCTCTTGAGGCCAGGAGTTCGAGACCAGCCTGGCAACATAGTGAGACTCCGTTTCTACAAAAAATAAAATAGAAAAATTAGCCAGGCGTGGTGGTGTGTCCTTGTAGTCCTATCCATTCAGGAGGCTGAGTTGGGAGGATTGCTAGAGCCCAAGAGTTGGAGGCTGCAGTGAGCCGTGATTGCACACTACATTCCAGCCTGGGTGACAGAGCAAGACCCTTTCTCAATATATATATATATATATATATAAAATTACACATACACACAGTAATTTTTTGTGTATATTGTATGTATATGTATACACACACAAACAGAAATATCAACCTTTACTCAATAAACACATTATTAAAATACACTTTAAGTTCACATTATGGCAAGTAAGAGAAAGGTAAAAAGGAATTTAGGAATGGCTTGGAAAGGAGGATAAGAAAAAGAGTACATATATGTGTGCTCCCCATGTACACACACGTCCATGGATGCACATGGACATGTGTGCACAAGGCACCCATAACATGCACACCCACACTCACGTACTTACCTGAGCACACACACATACACACATGAACTCTCAGACCCAGGCTAAGAAAGGGGAGATACAAGGCTTCCCTGTGCTCCTATAGCCACAAAAACCCTGAAAGATGGTATTTTAAATGCCAGGAAAAGGATCGAAGAATCCTAAACAAATATCCTTTCGGGAAAGAATGATCACCTGTGTGTACAATGGACAACACAGCACTTTTCTTAATGGCATCTATAAGGTCATTCTATCTTTTAAGATGCTCCAGCTTTTCCAAAGTAATAAATTAAATGTCTGGAAAGTCAAAAACTCTTACAAGGTTTATAACAAAGAAAGCAGTCCTCCTTCACTCCATTCTACCTCTTGGAGTCCCCCTGACTCCCCACCTCTTTTTAACACTTTGAGTTATTTTTCTGGCATTTGCCCTTACATTGCTAGACAAAAATACTCATATGCTATGTCCTGGTTTCTTGATGTTAGACATTGTCCAGTGATGTCTCACCTAGGAAGCTGAGAATTCAGTTCTCTTACACTATCTTCCACATACTCACATGATCCCTCTCCCGCCCCCACCTCCCAATGTTCTAACAAAATTTCTTACTGGGTCCAATATTTATTGTCTTTCCCCCACCACCCTTTCATTTTCTGGGAGATTTCCTCAAGTTTATCTTCTAACATATCTATTGAATTTTGAATTTTTGACTTATATTTTTAATTTTAAGGCATTTATGTGCTTCTCCCAAATTTTTTTTTTTTTTTTTTGAGACAGAGTCACCCAGGCTGGAGTGTAGTGGTGCAATCTCAGCTCACTGCAACCTCCGCCTCCCAGGATCAAGCGATTCTCCTGCCTCAGCCTCCCGAGTAGCTGGGATTACAGATGCCACCACCACACCCAGCTAAATTTTGTATTTTTAGTAGAGACAGGGTTTCACCATGTTGGCCAGGCTGGTCTTGAACTCCGAACCTCAGGTGATCCACCTGTCTCAGCCTCCCAAAGTGCTAGGATTACAGGTGTGAGCCGCACCGCGCCTGGCCAAAAGTGTGGGGTTTTTTTTTTTTTTTTTCTTGACAAAGTCTTGCTCTGTTATCCAGGCTGGAGTGCAGTGGTGCAATCTCGGCTCACTGCAACCTCTGCCTCCTGGATTCAAGTGATCCTCCTGCCTCAGCCTCCCAAGTAGTTAGGATTAGTAGTTGGGATTACAGGCGCCTGCCACCACGCCTGGCTAATTTTTGTATTTTTAGTAGAGATGAGGTTTTACCATGTTGGCCACACTGGTCTTGAACTCCTCACCTCAGGTGATCTGGCCACCTTGGCCTCCCAAAGTGCTGGGATTACAGGCATGAGTCCCCATGCCCGGCCTAAAAATTTGGTATTTTTAAAGTGCTGGAATAAATACTCCCAACCCAGAATTCTATATCCAGTGAAAATACCATTCAAAAATGGGTTGAAGTAAAGACATTTTCAAAGAAAACAAAGCTGAGCAAAGTCCTTGCCAGAAGCCCAGTTTGATAAGAAATGGTAAAGGATGTGTTTCAGGCTAAGGGAAATGATAGCAGATGAAAATTCAGATCTACAGGAAAGAATAAAGAGCACTAGAAATGGTAAGCATGTCAGTAAACACACTGAAGAGTAGCTGTTTCCCTTAATTTATTTAAAAGACAACACCCTTATAATCCCAGCATTTTGGGAGGCCAAGGTGTATGGGTCACTTGAGGTCAGGAGTTCAAGACCAGTCCGGCCAACATGGCGAAAACCTGTCTCTACTGAAAATACAAAAATTAGCCGGGCGCGGTGGTGCATGCCTGTAATCCCAGCTACTTGGGAGGCTGAAGCAGGAGAATTGCTTGAACCTGGGAGGTGGAGGTTGCAGTGAGCTGACATTGTGCCACTGTACTCCAGCCTGGGAAACAGAGTAAGACCCTGTCTCAAAAAAAAAAAAAAAAAAAAAAAAGAAGATTGCTTAAAGCAAAAAGTAATATCACTGTTTTAAGAAGGAGTTTGTAACAAATACAGAAGTAAAATATACAACACCATTACAGCACAAATGAGGAAGTGGAGGGGGATGGAATTACACTGTTATTAGATCCTTTTATCTGAGAAGTGTAAAGCTGTTCAATATTAATTCTAAGTAAAGTGTAATAAATTAAGGATGCATATTGTAATCCCTAGAGCACCACTCAAAGTACAGCTAAAAAGCCAATAGAGGAGATAAAGTGGAATGCTGACAAATATTTGATTAATCTAAAACAAGGCAGGAAAAGAGGAACAGAGTATTTCATCTTTTTAATACTGTTGGATTTAGTTTTCTTGATATTGGGCTTAGAATTTTTGTATTTATGTTCTTGAGTGAGATTGGCTGAAAATTCTCCATTCTCATATGTGCTCTTGGGATTTGGTATCAAGAATACACTGGCTTCAGCTGGGCACGGTGGCTCACGCCTGTAATCCCAGCACTTTGGGAGGCTGAGGCGGGTGGATCATCTGAGGTTGGGAGTTGGAGACCAGCCTGGCCAACATGGCAAAACCCTGTCTCTGCTAAAAGTACACAAATTAGCTGGGT